>NC_000023.11:98087542-98712542 GCF_000001405.40 Homo sapiens
TCCTGCTGTGTGGTCAAGTTCCTAACAGGCCATGGACCGGTACCAGTCTGCACCCGGGGTTTGGGGACACATGTGATAAGAAACCTGTATCCAGAATATATAAGAAACTCTTTCAACTCAATAATAAAAAGACAAGTAACCGAATTTAAAATGGGCAAAGAATTTGAATAGACATTTCTCCAGAGAAGATGTTTATTTTTCACTTCTCACTCATTCTTTCTGGTGTCTTATCTAAGAAGGTGGGTCTATGATCCACTTAGAGTTGATTTTTGCGCATAGAGTAAGCATGGAGTACAACTTCATTCTTGTGCATGTGGATATACAATTGTCCCAACATCATTTTACCAAAAATACTATTCCTTTCCCCTGAAATTGCTCTAGCACCTTTGTTAAAAATCAACTGACCATAAACATGTGGATTGATTTCTGGACCCTCAATTCTGTTCCTTTAATCTATTGGTCTATCTTTAAGTCAGTCCCATATTGTCTCCGTTACAGTAGCTTTGTAGTAGTTTTGAAATCAAGAAGTATGAATCCTCCAACCTGAATTTTTTTTTTTTGGTCAAGACTGCTTTGACTATTCTGCATCTCTTGCATTTCCACATGAATTTTAGGATAAATTTATCACTTTTGGCAAAAAAAAAAACAGCTGGAATTTTGATATGATTTGTATAAAATGTATAGATAAATTTGGGGAGAAGTCCATCTAAACAATATTATGCCCCGTAATTCATGAACATTGAATGTTTTTAAATTTTATTTAGGTCTTCTTTAATTTATTTCAACAATATTCTGTAGGTTTCAGAATACAATTCCTATACTTATTTTGTTAAATTTATTTCTAAGTGTTTTTTTCTTGATGCTATTGTAAATGAAATTGTTTACTTAATTTTCAGATTGTTTCCTGATAGGATATAAAAATATATGACCTATGTACCCACAGAAATTTTTAAAAAATAAAATTTGTAAAAAAGCTTAATAAGAACAACAAAATAAAAATAAAAATACGGTTAATGTTTGCAAATTAAACTTGTATTCTGCAACTATACTGAACTCATTATTAGCCATAAAATTTTTTGTGGATGCCTTAGGATTTTCTGTATACAAGATCATGTCATCTGCAAAGAAAGACAATTTTACCTTTTCCTTTCCAATATGGATGTTTGATTTATTTTTCTTGCCTAATTGTCCTGGCTAGAACTCCAGTATAATGTTCAATAGAGGTAGTGAGAACAGATATTCTTGCCTTGTTCCTGATCTTAGGGGGAAAGCATTCAGTCTTTCACCTTTAAGTATGATATTAGCTGTGGGTTTTTTCCTAGCTATTCTCTATCAGGTTGAGAAAATTGCCTTTTATTCCTAGTTTGTTGAGTGTTTTTATCATGAAAAAAATTGGATTTTGAGATGATTATACACTTTTGCCATTATTAATATGGTGTATTAAATGAATTGATTTTTGGATATTAAATTGACCTTGCATTCCTGGGATAAATCATACTTGGTCATGGTGTATAAATCTTTTTATATGTTGCTGGATTTGGTTTGCTAGTATTTTCTTTAGGATTTTTCTATCTTTATAAAATATCCTGTCTGTAGCATTCTTTATAAGTGATGTCTTTGTCTGGTTTTGGTATCAGGATAATACTGTTCTCATATAATGAACTGAGAAGTATTCCCTCCACCTCTATTTTTTTAGAAGTGTTTTTGAAGATATAGGGTTCATTCTTCTTTAAACACTTGGTATAATTAACCAGTGAAGCTGGGTCCTGGGCTTTTGTGGGAAGGTCTTTTTGTTTTATTACTAATTAAATTTCTTTACTTGTTATAGTTATATTCAGATTTTCTATTTATCCTTGAGCCAATCTTGGTAGATTGTATCTTTTTTAGGAATATATCCGTTTCATATAGTTTATCTAATTTGTTGACACAGAGTTTTTCATAGTTTCTCTATAATCCCTTCTCTCCCCCATAAATGTTGGTAGTGATGTCTTCTCTTTCATTCCTGATTTTAGTAATTTATGTCTTCTCTCTCTCCCTCTCTAAGTCTAGCCAAAGGTTTGTCAATATTTTAAAATCTTCTCAAAGAACCAACATTTGATATTTACATACATGTTTAAGCCTAACTTCTCTAATCTTTCACTTCCTAGAATTTTAACGCTTCTCATCCCCCTCTCTCTAAACATAAAGACAGATTAGGTTAATTTAGGAGTAGAATGAACAACTAACATAATACTGAAAATCTAAGCTTTTTGCTTACTTAATGTAGGCAGTTTCAGGCTAGTGTGATACTCCATTACTATAACTCCATTTTCTATTATCTGATTGCTTAGCCATTCTCAAAAGTTGACCAATTTGGCTACTTGAGCCCTATCACTATGTCAGCATTCCAGCCAGCACATCAATATTCTGGTCAGCAGGAAATAGACTAGCATTTTCACTCCTTTTAAGAAGACTTCCCCAATTTTGATGTACCACTTTCACTTACAAGCCTTTGGCCTAATCCTACTATTTGGACACACTGAACAACTAAGAGGCTTGGAATTGCCATTTATTTATGGTGTTTTACTTGCCCAAATAAAATTCTGACCTCCAATTATTGAGGAAACAAGGAAACAATACTTATTGAAGGATAAAACCCTGTAAGAAAAGTATGTTGTAATATTTAGTGTATGTATATATTTTGAATTTATATGACAATTTACTCTATGCCTTGTTCAATATTCTGCTTTTTATATTTAATAGCATTTATGAAAATAATTATAAATAAACCAATATTCTCCATATATGGATATATGTGTCATATGTATAATGTATGTGTGTTTTAGATATAATGATTATGAGAGTGAACATTTGTGATTTATTCTCCCTTCTGCTCTTATCTGCAAGAATCAGAATACTCTCATTCCTGATTCTCTCTTTAGAGATGAAAAGGATTTTTCATATGCTCTATAATCATTTAAAGTACTGATTCTCAGGTGTTTGTATGAATAACAGTCACCCAGGAAATTTATTTTTTAAATGTAGATTCCAGGTTCTATCCCAAGAGAGCCTTATTCAGTAGGTCTAGTGTAGAGCCAGAAGCTTGAATTTTAAATAAGGACCCCAGGTTGTTCTGGCCACAGTTTTTGAGAAATTTACTGAATTAAGGAATGTGTTGGCCAGCTTTTTCATTAACATAAAATGGATTTAGCAAGGAAGACACATGCTTTCTTCCTCTCTATGGACTCTTGAATATGGTTTTTTTCATTGCTTGTAATGAAGCCTGTCTGCCTAGTTGCTTTAAAGCGAAACTTTAAAGATATCATTATGTTAGTTAAATGATTTATGAAAGCAGTGAAAGCAAAGATGGAGAAGGGTAGGTCTCCTTATTCAACTTATAGGCAGATAATCTATATTGTTCTTGGTTGAGTATAGCCGTTATAATGGAATGATCAAAGCATTGTCTTTTTTTGGAAAGATCAAACCATTTTCTTTTCTGTGACAAAACTTATATCTCTCAATTCAGTCTTTGAGATGTATCTCATCCAACTCTCCTACATGAACAGAATTTTCCAATTAGATTCAACACCAGGTCTCAGCATGGGGTTTTATTATAGATGCATAGACACTATTTTCACAGGTAATTCTGGGAACTTCTTGAAACTCTCCCTTATATCAATGAGCTGTGATGAGAATGAAGTTTGAGCAGAAATGTAAATTTTGTGATTTGATTAAAATTAAATGACAAAGTTTATTAATTCTATTTACTATGTGAGCAGTAGATTTAAATGAATTTAAAAGTAGATGTTTTTTAACATTATTTTAGTTTCAGGAGTATATGTGCAGGTTTGATAAATAGGTAAATTGTGTGTCATCTGGAGTTGGCGTACAGATTATTTCCTCACTCAGGTAATAAGCATATTACTCAATAGGGAGTTTTTTTTTAATCCTCTCTCTCCTCCCACCTTCCACTCTTAAGTGCACATGTGTCCATGTGTACTCAATGTTTAACTCCTACTTATAAACAAGAACATGCAGTATCTGGTTTTCTGTTCCTGCATTAGTTCCCTTAAGATAATGGCCTCCATTTCTATCCATGTTGCTGTAAAGGACATGATCTTGTTCTCTTTTATGACTGTGTAGTATTCCATGGTTTATATATACCAAATTTTTTTATCAAGTTTATCATTGATGGGCATTTAGGTTGATTCCATGTCTTTGTTACTGTGAATAGTGCTGCAGTGAATATACAAGCGCATGTGTCTTTTTGGTATAACGATTTATTTTCCTTCAGATATATACCTGGTAATGGGATTGCTGGGTTGAAGGGTAGTTTTGTTTTAAGTTCTTTGAGAAATCACTAGACTGCTTTCCACAATGGCTGAACTAATTTATATTCCCACCAGCAGTGTATAAGTGTTCCCTTTCCTCTACAATCTTGCCAGCATCTGTTATTTTTTTTTAACTTTTTGGTAATAGCCATCTGACTGGTATGAGATGGTATCTCATTGTGGTTTTGATTTACATTTCTCTAATCATTAGTGATGATGAGCATTTTTTCATATGCTTGTTGGCCACATGCATGTCTTCTTTTAAAAAGTGTCTGTTTATGTACTTTGCCCATTTTGTAATGGGGTTATTTTTTGTTTGTTAATTTAAGTTCCTTACAGATTCTGGATATTAAACCGTTGCTGGATGCATAGTTTGAAAATCTTTTCTCCCATTCTGCAGGTTGTCTGTTTACTCTATTGATAGTTTCTTTTGCTGTGCGGATCTTTAGCTTAATTACATCCCATTTGTCAATTTTTAATTTTGTTGCTATTGCTTTTGGCATCTTCATAATAAAATCTTTGCCAGGTCCTGTGTGCAGAATGGTTTCCTAGGTTATCTTCCAGAGTTTTTATAGTTTCATGTTTTAAATTTAAGTCTTTAATCCATCTTGAGTTGATTTTTGTATATAGTGAAAGGAAGGTGTCCAGTTTCAATCTTCTGCATATGACTAGCCAGTTATGCCAGCACCATTTATTGTACAGGGAGTCCTTTCTCCATTGCCTGTTATTTTTGACTGTCAAAGATCAATGGTTGCAGGTGTGTGGCTATATTTCTGGGCTTCCTATTCTGTTTCATTGGTCTAGGTGTTTATTTTTGTACCAGTACCATGCTGTTTCGGTTACTGTAGCCCTCTAGTATGGTTTGAAGTCTGGTAATGGGATGCCTCCAGTTTTGTTCTTTTTGCTTAGGATTGCCTTGACTATTCAGTCTCTAAAAGTAGATTTAAAATAAGCATTAATTATTTCCTTAGAGTAAGTTTCTATAGGTAGAATTGTTGAATCGAAGTGTAAGAAGGGTTTGATGTAGAAACCCCAACTTTAGAAATTTATTTTTAAGTAGTCATAATAGATATAAACCAAGATCCATACACAATGATGTTTATATCAGCTTAATTTATAATCAGAAAATATTAGAAAGAATGCCTTATAGAAGGATACTTATTATGTGAATCATGGCATATTCATATGATTGAAAAATATACCACATTAAAAATCATAGGTCATAATAAACATATGTGTGCATGTGTCTTTATAGTACAATGATTTATAATCCTTTGGCACAATAGCAAAGACTTGGAACCAACCCAAATGCCCATCACTTATAGACTGGATAAAGAAAATGTGGCACATATACACCATAGAATACTATGCAGCCATAAAAAAGGATGAGTTCATGTCCTTTGCAGGGACATGGATGAAGCTGGAAACCATCATTCTCAGCAAAGAAACACAAGAACAGAAAACCAAACACCTCATGTTCTCATTCATAAGTGGGAGTTGAACAATGAGAACACATGGACACAGGGAGAGGAACATCACACACTGGGGCCTGTTGGGGGGTAGGGGGCTAGGGGAGGGATAGCATTAGGAGAAATACCTAATGTAGATGACAGGTTGATGTGTGCAGCAAACCACCATGGCATGTGTATACCTATGTAACAAACTTGCACGTTCTGCACATGCACCCCAGAACTTAAATTAAAAAAAAAATGTTAGAACTCTGTTAACATAACAAATGCTCATAACATATTGTTAATATTTTAAAAATCAGGTTAAAATACAATGTATAGTACATAATCTAAATTTGGCAAAAAATATAAATGTATTTATATTTGGCAAAAATATATAAATGTATTTACATACACACCCACATACACACACACACACACATATATACTTAGAAAAAAGAGAATAACACACACACATATATACTTAGAAAAAAGAGAATAACAATGTGTTAACAAAATGTTAACAGGGTTGTCTCTGGATGGTTGTATTACATGTGATATTTATTTTATTTTGTGCTGTGTCTGTGCTTTCCTATATTATACTTTCTATTGTTTATGCTTTTTTACATTATGTTTTCTCTGTTTTACTTACATAATAATAAAAAAGTGTTATTTTATGAAATAAAATTATAAGAAATTAAAATGTACCATTTGTCAACTGAGATGTAATATAACTCAGGTTTAAATGGATGTACAGACTTGTTGTCCCACTAAATCTATTAGCACAAAGTTTATAAGCTGAATTTTTAAAATGTGACCTTTACCCTTTTTTAAACAAACTGCATTATTAAAAATCTTTTTGGAGAAACTCATTTGGTGACATTGAGGGAACTGATGATATGAATCATTTGGTTTTATTATTGCCCACACCATGAACCCCTTCGCTCATGAAACAGGTGAATATTCTTGAGTAACAACAATTTGCATTCCTTAGATAGAAGATCTGTATACAAATGGTAGAACGTCAGACCTTTAGAGTGTATCTTAACACAGATTTCAACAACTTTCTTGTTAATAGAACAAACAGCAGTGCCACTAAATCCCCACACATCCCGTGGAATATTTTGTCATTAATTAACTATCTCTTTTTCTGAACATAAGCCATTTAGCTTTTTAGTCAATGAGTTCAAATTTTAAAAAGAAAAGAACAAACTCAGGATTGTATAAAGATCAGTTTTAAGATCCTGAGACTTCAAGTGAGCAAAAGTCAACAAATCCTTTAGAAATATATAGTGTAGCAGTATTTCCTCCAAAATTGTTCTGCGTGCAGGGCAAGGAATGTTGGGGGTGAAATTGGGTTCTGAATATTTAAGATACAGTTGAGAAACTAGGATGACCACACAGGTAGCCTAACACAACAACAGATCAGGATAACCAATGTAAAATCATATAGGGCGAATAGTTCTTAAGAGGAAAGTAACATTTATTGAGCATCAATTCTGTACCAGACTCTGTTAATGGGCCAGTAAGTAAAGAGGAGCATCAAGTACTGCTACAAAATTTGGATTCAATTAAGAATGAACAAGAGATAAATAATTTCTTATGATGTTTGTCATCATTCTGTTTCAGAGAAATTAGAGCTATTATTTTAGTATAAATTGACACTTATCCTGAATACGCAAGCAAGCCTCTTTCTAGGCAATTACTCACTTTCTTTTTTGAATTTAGTTTTTATTCTATCAAAGTTATACAAGTACATAACCTAAATAGTTAACTAATGTAGTTCTACAAAACTTGTTAAGATAACTTCTCTGACTCCCTCTCTTCCATATTGTTTGCCACTTTGAGACAACCAATCTTATTTTTGCAACATCATTGTAGTACTTACCATCACATTGATAAATAATGTATTTATATTGCTACTTAATTTTGGTTCTTTTTTGGCATTATTTTCTTCTTACCATAGAAAATGAGAAGTTAGTTCTCTTTCACAATCTCCACTATACTTCATATGCCCCATCTTATAGAGGAAGTTAAATTTTTCAGTTTTTACATGATTATGAAAAAGCAAATACCTAACTGAGTTGAGCTATGTCGTAAGCTATGTTTGCTTGACCTTTCCTACCCACATTTAATTCTCCTCACAGTTACTAATGAATCTGGTTTTGATTGCTTAGTTTTCTGTGTATTTATCAATAATTTGGCCCCAAGCTCTTCCCAGATGTGTAAATCTTCTTTCATACATTGAAGCGCAGTTTCCTTTTCTTAATGTCCTTCCCAGAACAAATTTGTGTGTGTGTGTGTCTGTTTTCTTCCCCCTTCTTAGTATTTTCCCTTATTTTAGAGGTGCATATTCTGTAGCAGCTTCCTAGGAAATGGTACATGGTGGCACAGTTTTTGAGACTCTGCATATCTGAAATATTTTTATTCTACCCTTGGCTTGACTGATTCATAGTTTATAAGTATAGAACTCTAGGATGAAAATAATTGTCTGTCAGGATTTTGAAATCATAGTTTCATTGTCTTCTAGTTTCCAATATTGCTGAGAAATCTGATACCATTCTGAGATCTGAGCCTTTGTGTGAAACACGTTCTTTCTCCCTAAACCTTTTAGGAGCTTTTTCTCTGCTTCAATGTTCTAAAATTTTATGATAACGTTTTGGTGAGGGCAATTTTTATCCACTGTGCTAGGCACTTATGGGCCTTTTCAATCTGGAAACTCATGTTCTTCAGGCCTGGGAAATTGCATTAGATTATCTCTTTATTTTCTTCCCTCTGATTTCTACATTCTCTCCTTCTGCAACTCCTATTTTTGAATTTAAATCTCATGGATCAATCTATTTTTACTATCTTTTTCTCCTTTTTCTACTTCTTTGACTTTTTGCTCTACTTTCTTGGATATTTCTAGATTTATCTTATGAGCTTTTCTTATCTGATAAATTATTTTAATTTTAGGGGCTCTTATCCCTTTGAAGATACTAGTACTTTTTAAATCATGTTTTCATTCATAATCTCTGCTTCCTCCAAATTGTTTGGGTATGTCTATTTGTTTTGATATTTCTCTTTTATATTGGAGACTTTTTTCAAATTGCCTAGTCATTCTCAGCTGCCACTTTATAATTAATGTTCTAAAAAGCAGATTGGAAGCTCCGTGTAGAGGATGAGTTTTGTTCACTGTGGCTTCATAGTAGTGTAATCTGGTAAATCATTTCTTGGAGGACACTTGAATTTTCTGATCTCCTTACCATAGGGGTTTAGGCTTGGCTGCCAGAATTTTGGAATCTTAGTGGGGAAATAATTATGGGGTTCTTAATAGTCAACATGTGAACTTTCACATGATCCCTTTTTAAATATAATAGCCCAAACTTTAGTTAAACCTAGTATCTCTCATTCCAGAGACTGTTTATGTTACCTTCTCTAGATAATTAATTTTCATTATTTTTCCCTAGGTAGAGAAAAGGCAGCATGTCCATTACATGAAGTAGGGAAGGGGCTTGAGTTCTAACTTCTCACGTAAATTCAAGCAAACTTTTAAAGCTAGTTGTTCCTGCTTTTAGCCCTTCATTCATCTTCCAGGTGTTCCTGGTACTATCCCTTCCTGAGAATTTTGGAGGTACAGTGGTAAAAATCCGGCTGTTTCTTGGCTTCCTCTACTGTAAGCTTGGGATTCAGCCTTTCTGGGTGTGCCAAGTCAGTTTCCACTCATCCATCTGCTTTCCATATTGCAATATTTTGTTTCCTGTTATCTTCTTTTCTATTCTTTTGGTCCTATTAATAGTATGCCTCTTTCTTGCTTTAATCTTTTTGCTATCATTTTAGTGGAGTCTTACGAGGGTAACAAGGCATTCAAGCACCATTTTTAACTACAAGTTGGTAGCTCTTTTTTGTAACTTCAAAACAGGATGGAGATATATGATCATGAAGTAAGAAGCATGAATTTCTGCTGCATTATTCTCTGCGGAAGCATGGAGTAGCTTCTTTTCATCAGTTTAAATTAGGCCTCAGCATAAATATCACTTCCTCAGTGAAGTCTTCTGGATCTGTTCATTTCAGGTAACTCCTCAGTCCTCCATTATTTTCTAGGGCAGTGCCTCACCTTCTCCCGACCCACAGAAATAACAATTTAGGTTTATTTTTCCATATAATATTAAGGGGATTTGGTCTTTTTTCCAAGCTAGACTGTTAGTTCCTTGAGGGAAGGAAGAACAATATGTCTCTGGCTTACCAGCACTTAAAATAGCACCAGGCACAGAGTAGGCACTAAATAAATATGCATTGAATTAAATAAAATATAGAGCTTTCTCTAAAGTGACATTGAAATGCTGCCCCAAACCTTTTCAGTGATAGATCAAAACAGAAAACGGCGAAACAAAACAAAACAGAAATGAATAAGGCTCAGTTTTATAGAAGACAGCTATTTATTTCTCAATCCTCAATTATAATCTAGTTTTCCCTTCTTGCACTGATCCCATAAGCATTAGTCCTATATGTTGTTGTGTTATCAGTTAAGGAATCAGAGAAGGCCAGAATCAATAAAAATTCTGTCTAGCTTTTGTAACAAAAGTTCACAAAGCCTCAGATTTTTCTGGCCTCTCAAGTTCTGCATTAGCAGGACTTTTTTTTAATTGAATATGGCCTATGAAGGGGAAAAACATTTTTGGAGCTAGAAAATGTTTGAATTGCTGCAGTATTAGAAAAGAAACCAATTTATAGAATGGCACAGCTGTTCACTGTATGATCATTATGATCCTTGTTATTTGGGTGCTGGTTGATATTTATATCTAATTAGCTCTCTCACACACCATCAAGCAATCTGCATTTTGGGAATAGAGAAAAACTAAAATATATAGAGTTCCAAGCTGCCAAAAACATATAACAGAATGAATACAGGTTTAATTCACTGCAGACCGATTATTAACAAACCACTGAAATTAGTTAGTTTGCATTTTTACTTGTGTGTGTGTGTGTTTTATAGGAGATGAGAAAGCAACAGGAATAAACTTCAGAAATTATTTTCTATCTTAAATGGTTGACACTTTTTTCTTATTGCTCACTGACCTTGGAGAGCTGGACTGCTGTCAAAATGAGATTTTGCAACCCATTGCCTCATTGATGTCTATTTATTGGTATACATATAACATTTTATAATACATTAATAAAAATGTCAGTTCTTAGTTCTCTGTTAGCAACTTATGTGTTTCACAACTAAAGTCATGTTTCTGCTATAGTACCATGCATAAAAAACACTTATGGACAGTTTAGTGTTTATGAAAACACAAGTGATAACAACTAGGTTTTAACAAACTATATTATCATATATTAGTGAGAAAAGAAAACATTATGATGACTCCACTAAGTTATCACATTACATTTTTGTTCCATTTCCCATTTTAACTTTTTGTTTTGAAATAATTTTAGATTTACAGAGCAATTGCAAAGGTAGTACAGAGATTTTATGGACCGAATGTTTATGTTCTCCCAAAATTAATACATTAAAGCCCTAACCTTCAGTGTGGCTTTATTTAAAGATGGAGCCTCTAAAGAAGTAATTAAGGTTAAATAAGGTCATAAGGGTGGGGACCTGATCTGATAGGACTAGTGTCCTTATAAGAAGAGACACACAAAACTCACATGATGTCTCTTTCTCCTCTTGCCCATGTGCAAAGGAAAGGTCATGTGAGGACATAGCAATAAGGCAGCCGTCTACAATCTAGGAGGAGAGCCCTCACCAGAAACTATCCATTTTGACACCTTGATCTCAGACTTCTGGTCTGCAAAACTGAGAAAATAAACTTCTGTTGTTTAAGCCACCAAGTCTATGGCATGTTGTGGCAACAAGAGCTGACTTAAGAGAGTTCCCATATACCTTCCACCCAGATTCTTATAATAACATCATATATAACCATATTACACTTATCAAAATTAATAAATTAACATTGGTACATACTGCTAACTAGACTGTAAAATTTACTCAAATTTACTCAATGTTTGCACTAAAGTCCTTTTGCCATTCCAGGATCCAATCCCGGATACTACATTGCATTTAGGTGTTGTGTCTTCTAGATCTCTGTCAATATGTGACAGCTTCTCAGTTTTTCCTCATTTCATGACCTTGACAATTTTGTTTAATGTTTTCTCATGATTGGTCTGAGGTTATAGAATTAATGATATATATTAAAAGAGATGACATCACTTTCTCATTGCATCATATCAGGGGGTCAATACCTTCAATAAAGCTTATTACTGATGATGTTAACCTTGATTCAGTGTGGCTGGATTTAGTGACCGTCAAAGTGGTGTTGCTAGGTTTCTACACTGCAAAGTTACTATTTTTATTTTTCTGCACTATTTTCATAAATAGTCTCTAAATCCAGCCATATTCAAGGGTAGGGGAATTAAGTTCTACCTGCTATGGAGAAGAGTATCAAAGCATTTTTGAATGTGCATTAGAAAACAATCACAGTAATTCATATTTTGGGGAAGAAACTGAGATTAAATACATATCCTCTTTCTCCTTAAAGTTTTACCACTAATTTTACCATTCATCCATTGATATTGCCTGCATGAATTACCATTGTGATATTCTTTTTCTATTTATTTTGTGGGTACATACTATGTGTATATATTCGTGGGGCACATGAGATGTTTTGATACAGGCATAATAATCACATCATGGAAAATGGGATATCCATCACCTCAAACATTTAGCCTTTGTGTTACAAACAAACCAATCACACATTTTTAGTTACTTTTAAATGTACAGTTAAATTATTATTGACTATAGTTACTCTGTTGAGCTATAAAATACTAGGCCTTATTCATTCATGCTAACTATCCTCACCTCCATCCCACTCCCACCCCCGCAACACTCCCAGCCTCTGGTGACCATCCTACTCTCCATAGGTTCAATTATTTGGACTTTTAGATCCAACAAATAAGTGAGAAAATATAATGTTTGTCTTTCTGTGGCTGGCTTATTTGACTTAACATAATGACTTCCAGTTCCATCCATGTTGCTGCAAATGACTGAATCTCATTCTTTTTTATGGCTGAAGAGTACTCCATGGTATACAAGTACCACATTTTCTTTATCCATTTATTTGTTGATGGACACTTAGGTTGCTTCCAAATCTCGGTTATCGTGAACAAAACTGCAACAAACATGGAATTGCAGACATCTCTTTGATATACTGATTTTCTTTAATTTGGATATTTACCCAGCAGCGGAATTGTTGAATTGTGTGGTAGCTCTATGTTTAGTTTTCTGAGGAACCTCCAAAGTGTTCTCCATAGTGGTTGTATTAATTTACATTCCCACCAACAGTATATGAGAGTTCCCTTTTCTCCACATCCTTGCCACCCTTTGTTAATGCCTGTCTTTTGGATATAAGCCATTTTAATTGGGGTGAGATGATATCTCATTGTAGTTTTAAGTTGCATTTCTCTGATAATCAATAATGTTGAGCACCTTTTCATATGCCCATTTGCCACTTGTATGTCTTCTTTTGAGAAATGTCCATTAAAATCCTTTGCCCATTTTTTTGATTGGATAATTAGATTTTTTTCCCATAGAGTTGTTTGAGCTTCTTATATATTCTGGTGATGAATCCCTTGTCAGATGGGTAGTTTGCAAATATTTTCTCCTATTTTGTGGGTTGCCTCTTCACTTTGTTAATTATTGTTTCCTTTGCTGTGCAAAATCTTTTTAAATTTATGTGATCCCATTTGTCCATTTTTGCTTTGGTTGCCTGTGCTGGTGGGGAATTACTTAAGAAATCTTTGCCCAGAGCAAAACCTTGGATAGTTGCCCCCAATGTTTTCCTGTAGTGGTTTCATAGTTTGAGGTCTTATATTTAAGTCTTTATTCCATTCAGATTGATTTTTGTATATGGTGAGAGGAGATAGGTATCTAGTTTTAATCTTCTGCATATGAATATCCAGTTTTCCCAGCACCATTTGTTAAAGAGACTGTCTTTTCCCCAGCATATGTTCGTGGCACCTTTGTTGAAAATGAGTTCACTATAGGTGTGTGGATTTGTTTTTGGGTACTCTATTCTGTTCCATCGGCCTATGTGTCTGTTCTTATGCCAGTACCATGCTGTTTTGTTTACTATAGCCCTGTAGTATAATTGGAAGTCAGGCAATGTGATTCTTTTAGTTTTATTCTTTTTGCTTAGGATAGCTTTGGCTATTCTGGGTCTTTTGTGGTTCCATAGATATTTTAGGATAGTTTTTTTCTGTTTCTGTGAAGAATGTCATTGGTATTTTGATAAGGATTGCATTGAATCTGTAGATTGCTTTGGGTAGTATGCACATTTTAACAATATTGATTTTTCAATCCATGAACATGGAATATCTTTCCATTTTTTGGTGTCTTCTTCAAATCTTTTCACCAGCGTTTTATAGTTTTCATTAAAGAGAGCTTTCACTTCTTTGGTTAAGTTAATTCCCATATATTTTATTTTATGTATGGTGATTGTAACTAAATTTATCAGTTGTAATAGTTTTTTTTGTGGAGCTTTTAGATTGTTCCAAACATAAGATCATATCTTCTGCAAACAAGAATAATTTGATTTCTTCCTTTCCAATTTGGATGCCTTTTATATCTTTCTCTTCTAGCTAGGACTTCTGGTACTATCTTGAATAACAGTGGTGAAAGTGGGTATCCCTGTCATGTTCCAGATCTTAGAGGAAAGGCTTTCAGTTTTTCCTTATTCAATATGATACTAGATGTAGGTCTGTCATTTATGTCTTTTGTTATGTTGACATATGTTTCTTCTATACCGAGTTTTTTGAGGGTTTTTTTCATGAAGAGATGTTGAATTTTATCAAATGTTTTTTCAGCATAAATTAAAACAATCACATGGTTTTTGTCCTTCATTGTGTTGATGTGATGTGCCACATTGATTTGCATAAGTTGAACCATCCTTGCATCCCTGGGATAAAATCTCACTTGGTCGTGATGAATGGTATTTTTAATATATTATTAAATTTTGTTTGCTTGTAATTTGTTGAGGATATTTGCATAAATATTAAATTGGTGATATTGGCCTGTATATTCCTTTTTTTGATGTGTCTTTGGTTTTGGTATCAGGGTAATTTTAGCTTTGTAGAATGAGTTTGGAAGCATTCAATCCTCCTCTACTTTTTGATATAGTTTGAGTAGGATTTGTGTTAGTTCTTTAAATGTTTGATAGAATTTAGCAGTGTAGCCATTGAGTCACAGGCTTTTCTTCAGTGGGAGACTGTTTATTATATTTTTTAACTTTTATTATAATACTTTACTTGTTACTTGTTATTGGTCTGTTCAGGTTTTGGATTTCTTCATGGTTCAATCTTGGTATGTTTTCTGTGTCTAGGAATTCATCCATTTCTTCTAGATTTTTCAACTTATTGGCATATAGTTGCTTAAAGTAGCCACTAATGTTCCCTTGAATTTCTGCAGTATCAGTTTTAATGTCTCTTTTTCCATCTCTGATTATATTTGGATCCTCTCTCTTTTTTTATCACATGGTCAAGCTAAAAGTTTGTTGATTTTGTTTAACTTTTAATAAACAAGTTTTTGTTTCATTCATCTTTTATACTTTTTTTCATTTCAAATTCATTAATTTCTGTTCTGATCATTATTATTTCTTCTCTTCTACCAATTTTGGGTTTGGTTTGCTCTTGCTTTTCTAGTTCTATAAGTTGCATAGTTAGGTTGTTTACTTGAAATTTTCATTCTTTTTTGATGTAGGTGTTTATAGCTATAAAATTCCCTCTTAGCACTGCTTTCCTGCATCTCGTAGGCTTTGATATGTTGTGTTTCTATTATCATTTGTTTCAAGAAAATTTTCAATTTCTTTCTTAGTTACTTCATTGATCCACTGGCCATTCAGCAGCATATTGTTTAAATTCCATGTATTTTTATAGTTTTCAAAATTCCTCTTGTTGTTGACTTCCAATTTTATTCCATTGTGGTTACAGAAGATGCTTGACATTATTTCAATTAAAAAATGTTTTAAGACTTGTTTTGTGACCTAACATATGATCCTTGAGAATAATCCATGTGCTAAGGAAAAGAATGTGTATTCTGCAGTTCTCAGATGAATTGTTCCGTAAATATCTATAAGATCTACTTTGTCTATAGTAGAGATTAAGTCAAATGTATATTTGTTGATTTTCTGTCTGGAAGATCTGTCCAATGCTAAAAGTGGGGTGTTGAAGTCTCCAGCTATTATTGTATTGGGGCCTATCTCTCTCTCTAATAATATTTGCTTTATATATCTGGGTATTCCAGTGTTGAGTGCATATATATTTACAATTGTTATAATCTCTTGCTGAATTGACCCCTTTATTATTATATACTAACCTTGTCTCTTTTTATAGTTTTTGTCTTGAAATGTATTTTGTCTGACATATGTAAAACTACTCCTGCTCTTTTTGGGTTTCCATTGGCATGGAATATATTTTCCATCCTTTTATTTTCAGTTTATGTGTCTTTATATGTGAAGTGTGTTTCTTGCAGGTAACAGATTAATGGGTTTTGCTTTTTCATCCATTCAGCCACTCTGTGTATTTTGATTGGAGAGTTTAGTCCATTTATATTCAATGTTATTATTAATAAGTAGAGAGTTATTCCTGCCATTTTGTTGTTTTTTGGTTGTTTTGTGGTCTTCTCTTCCTTAATTCTTTCATTCCTGTCTTCATTTTAGTGAAGGTGATTTTTCCTCTTGTGATATGATTTAGCTTCTTGCTTTCTACTTTTTGTGTATCATTTATATGGTTTCTGGTTTAAGGTTACCACGAGGCTTGCAAATACTATAACACATTAGTTTGACTGAAAACAACAATATTTGCATAAACAAACAAATAAGCAAGAAAAAAACTAATAAAGACTCTAAGTCTTAACTTTGTCCCCATTTTTTAAATGTTTGTTGTTGCTATTTATACCTTTTTGCACTGTGTCTTCAAAAGTTATTATAGTTATTTTTGACTCTTATTTAGTCTTTCTACTTACGATAAGAGTAATTTACATGCCACAGTTACAGTTTTATGATTACAGTGTGTTTCTCTGTGTGCTTACTATTACCAGTGAGTTTTGTAACTTTAGATAATTTCTTATTGCTCATTAACATTTTTTTCTTTCTGATTGGAGTGATTGTTTTAGCATTTCTTGAGGACAGGTATGTTGTTAATGAAATCTCTCAGCTTTTGTTTGTCTGGGAAAGTCTTTATTTTTTCAAGTTTGAAGGATATTTTCACTGGATATACTAGTCTAGGGTAAAAGTTTTTTCCTTCAACACTAATTATGTCATGCCACTCTCTCCTGGCCTGTAAGGTTTCCATTGAAAAGTCTGCGCTGCTAGACGTGTTGGAACTCTATTGTATATTTGTTTCTTTTTTCTTGCTGCTTTTAGAATCCTTTGTTTATCTTTGACCTATGGGAGTTTGACTACTAAATGCCTTGAGGTAGTCTCCTTTGGGTTAAATCTGGTTGGTATTCTATCAACTTCTTGTACTTGGATATTGATATCGTTCTCTAGGTTTGGGAAGTTCTCTGTTATTATCCCTTTGAATAAGCTTTCTACCCCTATCTCTTTCTCTACCTCCTCTTTAAGGCTAATAACTCTTAGATTTGCCCTTTAGAGGCTATTTTCTAGATCTTGTAGGCATGCTTCATTATTTTTTATTCTTTTTTCTTTTGTCTCCTCTGACTGTGTATTTTCAATTAGCCTGTCTTCAGGCTCACTAATTCTTTTTCCTGCTTGATCAATTCTGCTATTAAAAGATTCTGATGCATTCTTCACTATGCCAATTTTATTTTTCAACTTCAGAACTTCTGCTTGATTCTTTTTTATTATTTCAATCTGTTTGTTAAACTTATCTGGTAGAATTCTGAAATGTCAATTCAAATATTTTGCCCATTTAAAAATCAGTTTATTAGATTTTTTTCTATAGGGTTATTTGAGCTCCTTATATTTTCTGGTTATTAATCCTTTGTCAGATGGGTAGTTTGCAAACATTTTCTCCTATTCGGTGGACTGTCTCTTCACTATGTTGATTGTTTCCTTTGCTGTGGAGAAGCTTTTTAACTCTATGTGATCCCATTTGCCCCTTTTTGCTTTGGTTGCATGTGCTTGTGGGATATTGCTCAAGAAATTTTTCCTCCTTGGGAAGGCTTTCCAGATATTTGAAAAGACTTGCATGTTGCAATTTATGCTGTATCTTCTTTGAGGGGGGGACCCCAACCTCATTAATGCTGTGGTTCTTGCAGACTTGTCAAGGTACTGCCTTGATGGTCTTGTCCAAGATCTGGAAGAATTCTTTAGATTACTAGGCAAAGACTCTTGTTTTCTACCCTTACTTTCTTCCAAACAAATGGAGTCTCTCTGATCTGAGCTACCTGGAGCTGGGCATGCAGTGACACAAGCATCCCTGTGGCCACCACCCCTAGGATTATGCTGAGTTAGACCTGAACCCAGCACAGCACTGGGTCTCTCCCCAAGTCTGCTGTAACCACTCCTTGGCTGCAACCACCTATGATTGCTCAAAGCCCTGGGAGTCTACAATCACCAGGTGGCAACACCAGCCAGGCCTGTCACTCTCTTCAGTGCAGCAACTTCCCCCATGCCCCAGGTGGGTCCAGAGGTGCCTTCTGTGAGCCAGGGACTAGAGTAAAAAATCTTAGAACTCTACCTGGTGTTCTACTGTACTGCAGCTGAGCTGGCACTCAAACCACAAAACGTAGTCCTTCCCACTCTTCCCTCCCTTTGGCTACCACAGGCTCATGGGGAGTACTGCCAGACTGCCACTGGTATTCCCTTAAGGCCCCATGGATCTTCAGTCAGCTTGTGGTAAATGCTGCCTGGCAAGGGACTCATCCTTCTGGGGAACTGGCTCACCTCTGGCCCTGGGCAGGTCCAGAAATGCCATCCCGGAACTACGTCCTGGATTCGGAAACCCCAAGTGCCCATTTGGTGTTCTAGGTCCTGTGGCTAAGCTGGTATCTGAAGTCAGCAAGTGTCAGAGTCTCACCCAAAGCCCTTCATGAAGCATCTGGGTATTGCTGCTGGTTATTCAGGGCTCAAGGGCTCTTCAGTTTGCAGGTGGTGAGAACTGCCAGGACTGGGTCCTTCTTTTCAAGGAGTGGGTTCCCTTCTGGCACAGGGTTTGTCCAGAAATGTCCAGGAACTAAGACCTGGAATGAAGGCCTCTTGACTCTGGCCACTACCCTATGCTGCTGTGGCTGAGCTGGTACCAAGATGCAAGACAAAGTCCTCCCCACCATTCCATCTTCTCCCCTCAAGTGGAAGGAAGAGGTCTCTTTTGGTGCTGTGAGCAGTGTAGCCTAGGTTTAGGGTAGGGGTGATGCCAGCACGCCGTTTGCCACCATGGCTGGTGTCTCAGTAGGTCATGTGCTCCCCAGTCCACTGTCTCTGAGCCCAGTTGAGCCCTAGAACTCACATAGGTGTTATAGTACTTGTGGTCTAGATTGCCTTTCAAGTTTATTTGGGGTTGAGAGCATGTTAGCCCATGGTGGTAAGGCTTGTGGGAACTAAAATTCCAACCACTGGGATCAGTGATTTCCCTCTTGCTCGGACTGGTTTAAATGCTCCTTCTGTGGGCAGGCATCAGCTGAGGTTGGTCTGGTTTTGCTTTCTGCTGTGATAGAACTGCACTGAGTTCAATGCCTCACAAGTACTGGCTCTCCTTCTCGCCAGGACACAGAAATGCTCTGCCCCCCACACTGCTGCTGCCAGGGGGCCCAGGAGGGATGGCATCAGTGATTCAGGACTGTTTAGTCTACCTCTTCAGTGCCTCTTTCAGTGATATGAAGTTAAAACCAGGTACTGTGAATGCTTACCTGACTTTTGGTTCTTACAAAGGTGTTTGTTTGTATGTGTGTGTAGTTGTTAAATTGATGTCCTTGCGAGAAGAAAGATCTGTATAGCCTTCTATTCCACCATCTTGCTCTATCCCTCTTCCTATCACTGTGATACTAATGGTGATTTTCTAGTTTCTTTATTTATTTTACATTTATTAATTGGAATTTTTCTGCAAGGAAGATTTATCCCTTCATCCCTATTATTTACTTATGTTAGTATGGACTCTCAGATGTTTATTTTATTCTTTGGGCTATAATCCAATATTATTATTTATTTCGTTACTCAAATTGTTCCATCTTTGGCAATTGGGATGTCTTTTAGACTGACTCCAATGTCCTTTTCTTTCTTTTGTTTTTCTTCTTGAGTTCTTCCTTACTTTCATGAACCACAAGATACTACAGGTACAGTTTCTATTTTCTCTGACCTAGCCCTAGAATCAGCCATTTCTCCAAATATCCTTGGTTGCTTATATTGTGTGTATGTATGTGTGTGTGTATGTATGTGTGTGTGTGTGTGTGTGTGTGTGTGTATATATATATACACACACACACAAACGTGACTTCATACTGATATCTCCAAGTCTAATCTAGTACCACAGGGTTCATTCTAGCATTCCTCCTTGTTTATTTCCTCAGACAGTGTGAAACCTGATTCAATTATCTACAATATATTTACTCATTTGTTCAAACCTATTATACGAGTAATTTCAGAATTGCTAATTCCTTTTACTGTGAGAAACCAATTTATCAGCAAAAGCCCATTTTGTAGTTTTTTGTTTTCATTTTTTTTGTATTTAGCCTAACACTGTCTGTTCAAAACACTGTTTTACAAAGTTGCTTAGGTCAACTCCTTTCTTCTCCAAGCACCTTTAGAAAGTATCCCAAACCCTATTCTAAGAGATTTTTTTTCAGTAGTTTTTGGGCGTGGCTCTGGAATTTTTAGTTTTAATCAGCATCCCAGTGATTAATATACAGATAAACCTTGGACCTCAGTTTGTGATTTACTGATCTAGGATATGTTGGGTATAAATTGAGCACATCTCCACCCTTCATTCCTGGAGAGCCCACACCAGTTAAAAAACACAAAGCTAAAAATATCTCATTAAGCCAAGCCAGAGAGGAGCATTATAAGTACTCCATGGAGATTAAACCCTTCTCATATTTACCTTCTCTCTACTTCTGCACTGAGTTCTACTTACTTATGTGTAAGTCTAAGGAAAAGGGATATCAAATAAATTGTGGCTTCTTGTTTCTCCTTAAGTATTACTCTAGCAACAGAAACTGGAAGACAATTTCAGGAAATAGGAAGATCAGAGACTATGGAACTCTTATAGCAGGAACAAGCTGGAGTCAACCTCCCTCGTAACCTTGAGTTAATTCTTTATTATGATGAGTGCTCTGGCACATTCCTGCTTTGGCACTTCATTGTTCCAGCAAAATACGACATGAGAGCTGCTGCCTTTGGCAAGCAATACTTAACAATAAAACTCTTCACCTCTCATTTGCAAACTCCAGAAAACAGTACTAATGATAATTTCTGTTGCAGACTTAAAATTAGGGCCATTTGATTATTTACATTTTACAGATGACAAAGGAGAAAACACAACTGGAATGAGAATTCAGTACTCAAATTACTAACGCTTAACTCTTATCAATTGCATAACATGAAAACCTTCTGTTTGTGTGGCCTCTCTCTTTTATTGGTCATTTTCAAGGGACATTTACTTGCATAGACTTTAAGGAACAATAGAAATCTCTATTATGGTAACATAGAGAAAGTTAAAATATGACCCAAATATGGTAAAAGGTTTGATTTCTATAGTTTTCTTTTTACTTTTCAAGCTTCAACTCTAAGGTAATGCTCTTTCCTTGAGGTATGAAAACTGGGTAACATTTTGTGAGATAATTCCAGCCAGCAGTTAGTTGTATAGAACTTCTAGCATTTCTATAATAAGAATACCACTTTATGACTTAGTAATACAGTGATGTTGTTAAATAGAATGAAGAATTTGCACAGAAAAGATACAACCCACTTTGAAGAGCTTTGTGGTTCAACTGGTAATCATCACTGGGGCAGTTCTCTCTGATTCAGTATCTGGTACTCAGAATTCGTAATTCAGAATAACTAAAAGGAAATCCATTCAGAGGTTAGCTTATTGGATTTGGATCCACCTTTTAAAAAAGAAAAAGAAAACATCAGAAGTCTATGTGCCTTAGAAATCATGTAGTACATTCCTTATCAGTCTTTTGCCTGACATAATGTCCTTTATTGCCTTTTCTAATATAGAGAATAGTTTGCTGTAATGCAGCAGTCACTCCCAACAAACATTATTATTGTGTGACTTGCCCTGACTTTTCTCCCTCCTTTCTTCATTTCTTCCTCCTCTCTCTTACTAACACCCCCGCCCCCCGCCACCACCCCTTATGCACCCAGTCACTCATGGATAATAAACTATCATTCTGCTATGAAACCAAGTGGGCCACTCCTCACAACTCCACAGCAATCTGTGAAAATAGAGTAGAGATGAGAATTCAGAATGCATTCGATGTTACAGCTGGTACAGCTGTGCTCTGAATCTGGTCAATGTATATATTTATTTCAGAAGGTTGTGAACCAGTAGAAAATAGGAATTTTGCAAATGTCAAATTATTATGCCCCTTTATTCCTCTGAATTTTAGTACCTGACAATTGGCCAATTAGCAAAGAACCGGTATGTGTTTTACATGATTCATTTGGCATAACTCAACACCCTTCTATCTGAGGAGACTGCAAATACAGTACATGACTGTATTACGTAATTATATGCTATATTATCTACAGCTAATAGAAAGAGACATTGTTGCATAGAGATAGGTCAGGTTTACATGTTTAAATGCTGTTAGAATGATAACTCTTTGTTCAATTGCATATAAATGGAATAAAAGGACATGATTTGTTTAGCCTGGACAGTGTTCTCAGCACAGTACAGAGATTAAACATTTAACTCATATTGAGAGAGACACTTTCTCCTCAAGGGATCCATAAACAACACCTATCACACTCAAAGAAAGACTTCTCATTTGATCTCCTAGAAATATTCCCAGGGTATCTTTCACCCCTGCCAGCTGTTGTCACAGTTTGACAGTGAATGTATCAGCAAGACAACAATGCCTAATTGCCTGCACCCTGTCAATTCAATATAGAGTAGCTTTGGTCATCCATACCCTGCTTATGATAACAGTCAAAGGAAAAGTGGATGTAGAAGAAACACTAAAAGACTGAAATGCCTTTCTGATAAGTTGTCAAATAGTGAAAGAGCTCTTTGCTTGATACCCAACTATTTTTAAAATTGCCACCCAACTTAATTCTTAATATTAAGTCTTACGTGATTATACTGTAAAACTCCGAGGAATTAGGATCTCGAAGGCAGAATGATGTTGACATATATACCTAAAACCATTGCCCCTGGGAATTTTCATTCCATGGCAAATTTATATACATGCCTATATTTTCTATAGCAGAGAAATATTGGAAGAAGAGGCGTAATCCTGGGAAAAGGTATTGTCATAGCCAGCAATAAGACCACAGCAATGTTAGAAGACAGTGTTCACACCCGCCTTAAGTCTTCTGATAACTTCCAACGCAAAAAGAATGAAGGTAGGGAAGGAGACTGCATCTATGAAAGGGAATGAGGGAGGAGGCGGCCCAAATAGCTGCCTATGAAAGGAAAGTGCTAAAGACAGATCTCACTAGAATGTATCAAAAAGATCTTTACTGTATGTCAATGAAACCTTCACAGAATACCTTACAGAATGAGAAAGAAAGAACGTACAAATATTTGATGTCCCTACCATATGCCAGGCCTCATGCTTGCTACTTTATATATGTGTGATCTCTCCCTAATCTTCATAACAGCACTATGAAAACAAGAAAGTACTGGTTTAGAGTGGTTCTGTGTTTCATCCAATTCTGCCACTTACTATGTACGTACCACTGAACTTAGGACTCCAATAGAATCAACTCAGGCATACTTCCCTAGCCACAATTAGGAAAATTAATGAACACTGAAAACTGGAGATGGTTAGAGGAACCTCCTTAGCTACTCAGAGTTGTTCCCCATGATCTTTTCAGTCTGTTTTCAGAAACTTGCTTCATTATCAGAAAACTGCTCTGTATGCACAGCTTCTCTGAATGTGTCCTTCATTTACTTATCTAACCTGAAATTTGGTAGTTCCTAAAAAATTCTTTCTTTTTCTTGCTAGCATCTCAAGTGGACATTGTTTTGTTTTCCTTTCATAATCCAGGTAACTCAGAAGTTGAAATTGGTATCTTCCTTGTTCCTCAATATTACTTATAGACATTTGCTTCTCCTCCCTCTTGCTAAAACCCCTGTTTCTATTAGGATCACATAGTCATTATAGCTTGCCTCTTTTTCAATAGCATTAACCTGGAAAAATTTGAATCTAAATGATCAGTCTCTTGCCCAGCAGATAAGAATCAAACAACCATGTAGATTAGTATCTAACACCCTACATGTGTGATCATGCAAACAAAATTAGTACTCAGAAAATCCCAGCAATATTAACAAATGTCTCTTTAACTTTGCTTTCAAACTCTCTGCAATTCCGTTTTCTTACCTTGTTTATTCTTCCTAAATATTTAAACAAACCATCACTGCCCTATGTCTCGGATTTTATAGAGAAAGTAGAACTTATTAGACAGAAATTGCTTCATCATCATTAAATCAGAAAAAACAAAAACAAAAACAGAACATAGGAGTGCCTGCTCCCATATTTGGTTTTTCCCTCCTATTATAATAGAGGAAGAAGAAGCGATTCCAGTAAGTACATGACCCTCAAACCACAGTTTCCAAAAGACTATGAGACAGATTTAATTCACAGATCAGTTAAAAGTCACAAGGATGGCAATGAAAACAAGAAATATGGAGAGTGACTCATTAGTCCAGAGGTAGCAGATTCACAATAATACCAGCACAAACAACTTCCTGAAGGGAAGTTGTCCTTAGTTTTTGCTGAAAACTAAGTGTGAGAAATGGATTAGCAGGGTGAGACCCCATTTCTTTCAAATAATAAGATATAGAGCTAGATGAAGAATCACATGCACAAGCCACATTTGCAGGAAGTCATCTGCCTCTGTGGCAGTAAAGTAGAAGTAATTCTTTGGGTATAAAGCTTAGAGGGCTACAGTTGCTCCCTTTCCAACCAACCTATAAATAGCTGGTCTAGAAAAATCCAATTAATTCAGTAATGAATAATATAGGGAAAAACTGGCATGATATTGACACAAAAAATGTCATAAGAAAAATACAGAAAAGGGCTGCAAAATTTAGAAACAAAAGAACATTCACCAGAATGTGTTTCAATACACGATTTAAAGACAATGGATCAATCACATTTAAAAACAAAAATCACAGATCAGAAATGTACAGTCAGGAAAGAAATGATGTGACAACAGAAGCAATGAAGTATGAGCTGGAATCACTAAGGAAATAAGAGCATTAATTTTAACAAAAACCTGAAACAAAAACAAAAGTGGTGGGATGACAGAAGAAAACAGTATGGAAAATTGGGTGTGATACTGTGAAATAATGTATAATCATATATATATAGAAGATTATATATATAAGTAAAGACTGTATGTGTGTGTGTGTGTGTATATATATAGAGAGAGAGAAAGAGAGAGAGGAGAGAGAGAGAGCGGTCCTAAGACCTTTATAATTTACTGAGTGATAGGAGGATAGGGCAAAGGCCTCCAAAATCAGGTGACAGACTCATCGTTTGTTCTAATGAGGTAACTTTTGGTGGGCTCCTGGATAGCATCAGGATGGGGGCTAGTTGCCAGGAAAATGACCCATGTCATTAGATGGGTGGAACTGTCAGTCCAATCCTGACCTCCAGGAAGGAGAGAGGGGCTAAAATTGATTTTATGACCAATGGCCAATGATGTAATCAACTATACCTGTGTAATGTAGCCTTCATAAAACCCCAAAAGGACAGGGTGAGAAGAGCTTCTGGATTGCTGAAAACATGGAAGTTCCTGGAGGGTATTATGTTTGGGAAAGGCACAAAAGCTCCATGCCCCTTCCCACATACCTTACTCTGTGCATCTTTTTCATTTCGCTATTCATCTGTATGCTTAGAAATATCTTTCATAATAAATGAATGGATGTAAGTAAAGAAATTCCTTGAGTTCTGTGAGGCACTCTAGCCAATTAATTAATGAGGAGAGTGTTATGTGAACCCCCAATTTATAGCTGATTAATGAGAAGTGTAGGTTACAACCTCCTGCTTGTCATTGGAATCTGAAGTCAGGGGCAGTCTTGTGGGACTGAGCCCTCAACCTGTGGGATGTGATGCTATCCCAGATAGATAGTATAGGAATTGACTTAAAATTATAGACACCCAGTTGTTGTCCATTGTGAGAAATCTCTGCACATTTTGGGCACAGAAGTATACTGTGTTGAGTAGCATAAGAGTAGAGAGAAAAAAAAATTTTTTTAAGATGTGGTTAGAAACTTGGAAGATAGAAATTGGGAAGTAAATGATGATGATAATAATAAAGTGAATAAAGAGTTTAAAAGGAATGGGTGAGGCAATGATAGACTTAGAAGCCTGGCAAAGGAGAGTGAACTTATGTGTAACTGGAGTACCTAACGAAGAAAATTAAAACAATGAAATAGAACAAATATTTCAATACATTATTCAATAAAACTCTACTAAAAAAGAGAAGGCAAAGCTATATATATATATAGAAAGAACTGTGTAAGGGACACTGTGTGTAAGAGAAAATGGAACCAGAATGGTCAATGCTGGGAAATGTCCTAGTAAAGTTGTGGGTTGTTAAAGATAGTTAAATAATTCTTTGAACAGTCAGACAAAAAGATCAAGTCACGTATAGAGAGAAAAGAATTAAACTAGCCTCAATTTTTTCCATAGAACAATTCTATACTAAAAGATAGTGAAACATCTACAAAGAGTTCAGGGATAGAAAATGCGAGCCAATGATTTACATCCAGTCAAACTGTCCTTCATGTGTAAAGACTGTAGACACATGCATTTGAATTGGCCAGATTTCAGAGGCTATTGTTCTGTGAGCTTTTATGAGGATACTGCAAGAGAACCATTTTGAGCCAAAACAAGTGATGACAAAGAAAATTAAGCTAAAAGATTGGCAATGAATTTTGAATACTTTTAACTGTATAAATAAAGCCAAAACAAATGTGGGAATAGAGTGAAAGAGCAGAAGGTAAATGTTATATGCCTTAAGAATGTCAAAGTCATGTAATTAATACCAATTGGGAGAAGTAGAGAAAAGAATGTGTAGGTAGAGTAAGTGTACTGATTAGCTAATTGTAATAGAGGGGAATCATCTTATATGCCTTAAATATAATAAGGCATAGGAATAGTTGAGGCAAGTAATAGCTATATATTTGACTATACAAAAGAAAATTCTGAGAAAGGGTATATTAGTGCATTCATTATTTTATTATAAAAAAAGAACACATATACCTTTACCATCTGCAAAGATAAATAGACTTGCATTACCAATCTAAGGAAAAGAGGAATTTAAGATTGTATCACAAAGCAAAACTAAACACTACATTGTATATATAAGAGATACACATAAAACACAGTTACTCAAAAGGGTGGCAAGTAAAAATATATCCCAGGTAAATGCAAACAAAAAATGGCAAAGGTCAGGTTTTTAATATAAACAAGGTAGAATTAAGGCCAAAAGCACTGAAACGGATGGAGAAGGACACTCCAAAGTGATAAAGGATGCAATTTATATGTAAGATAAAATAGTCATATATTTAACATTAAGTAACATAGTAACAGCATTCACAGATCAGAAATCATAGGAAAAAAAGGAGAAATTTATAAAAGAATACACAGGTAGGATGATGATTCATTACAATGAAATGAGTCTAGAGATTTGTAATTCTTTTTTTAAATTATGAAAACAATGTTTTCTCTGTGCAAATTAAAAACAGATTCCTATAATTTTAGAGCATCAAATAGGAAATACAAAATTGAAGTATATTGTCTCTAAAATAATATAATAAAAGCATTATACATCACTACCTGAGAGACACAGCTAAAGCAATGCTGGGGGAAAATTCAGGACCTTAAATACGTATATCAGTAAAAAAGCAGAATGTAAGCAAGTGAATTAGTAATCTGACTTAAAATTAGAGATACAGCAGCAAAATATTAAAGTTTGAATTAATAAATTAACAAAGATAGAGAATATGAGATTTGGGGGGGTTGGAAAAGTATCCAAACTATATCGTTCCACCAAAAGCCACCAAAATCTCATGTTTTTCTCACATTGCAAAATACAATCATTTTCCCAGTATGGACTTTTGGGACACTCTCACAAACACACTCAGAAATAGGTTTTAACCTGGGCATTCCATGTCCCAGTCAAGTAGCCACATGAAGTAAACCATCATGGAGTACTTAAAGGAAATGAAAAGAAAGGGCACTAGACAGAATTTCCAATCCACAATATTCCCTAAAGTCCTAACTCAGTTCACCAGTAACTTTAAAGTCCTAAGTCTAAAGTCTCAACTGAGACTTGCAAATTTCTTACAGCTCTGAGCCTGTAAAATTAAAAACAAGTTATTTCTAAGATACAATGGTGGTATAGGCATTGAGAAAACATTCCCATTCCAAAAGGGAGAAATTAGCCAAAAGAAAGGAGTAATAGGCCCCATGCAAGTAGTTTGAAATACAGCAGGGCAGACAATAAACCTTATAATTCCAAAATAATCCTTGACCCCATGTCCTTCATCCTGAGCACACTGGTGCAAGAGGTGAGCCCTCGAGACTCAGACCGCCCTGCCCCCATGGCTTTGCTGATTCAAATGCTAATCTCATCCAGAAACACTCTCACAAACACACTCAGAAATATGTTTTAACCTGGGCACTCCATATCCCAGTCAAGTAGCCACAAGAAGTAAAACATCATGGAGTACTTAAAGGAAATAAAAGAAAAAGAAAGGACACTAGACAGAATTTCCAATCCACATGAAATAAATAGAAGCCGGGAGTAGTACTCATGCCTGTAATTGCAGCACTTCGGGAGGCCAAGGTGGGAGGATTCCTTGAAGCCTGGAGTTCAAGACTAGTCTGGGTAACAAAGTGAGATTCCACCTACAAAAAATTTAAAAATTACCCAGTGTGGTGGCATGTACTTGTAGTCTCAGCTACTTGGGAGGCCAAGTTGGGAGGATTCCTTGAAGCCTGGAGTTCAAGACTAGTCTGGGTAACAAAGTGAGATTCCATCTACAAAAAATTTAAAAATTACCCAGTGTGGTGGCATGCACTTGTAGTCTCAGCTACTTGGGAGGCTGAGGTGGGAGGATTGGGTGAGCCAGGAGTTTGAGGCTGCAGTGAGGTAAGATCACCTTCTGTCTCTTAAAAAAGTAAGTAAATAAACAGGTGGAGAACTAAAAAGCAATTACATAAGTAAATATAAAATAAATATATTTTTGAAATTTTTTTCTATATGATTAAAATGAAAGCAGACTAAATTCATAGACACACAATACATAAAGATGTAATTTTGATGACAACAGCACAAATAATATGAAATGGAGCTATGTAGGAACAAAGTTTTTTTTGTTGTTGTCTTTTTTTTTTTTTTGAGACAGGATCTCTCTCTGTCACCCGGACTGGAGTACAGTGACATAATCATGGCTTAATGCAATTTAAAACTCCTGAGCTCAAGAAATCCTCTGGCCTCAGCCTCCCAATTAGCTGGGACTACAGGTACGTGCCACCACACCTAGCTAATTTTTAAATTTTTTTGTAGAGGTGAAGTCTCTCTGTGTTGCTCAGGCTGGTCTCGAACTCCTAGCATCAAGTGATCCTCCTGTGTCAGCTTCCCAAAGCACTGAGATTATGAGCATGAACCACTGGGCCCAGCTAAGGAGCAAAGTTATTATTTTTTTGAAATTAAGTTGGTAATGATCCCAAAAAATCATTAGAAGTTGAGATGCCAATTGCAAATTCCACAGAAACCTCTGAGATAATCTAAAAACATACAGCAAAAGAAGCAACAAGATAATTAAAATAGTATAGAACACTAAATATCCATTTAATACAGAAGACTAGAATAGTGGAGGCATACAGAAAAAAAGACATAAGACATACAAAAAACAAATAGCAGACATAAATCCTACCTGTTAGTAATTACATGAAACAAAATGGATTACGTTCTGATTAACAGACAGAAATTGGCAGCACAGAATTTCAAAAATTATCGAATTATATGATGTCTACAGGAGGGAAACGTTAGATTCAAAGATGCAAATAGATTGAAAAATAAAATAATGAAAAAAATATGCAAACATTACCCAAAAGAGAACCATTGTGATATTAATATTGGACAAAATAGACTTTAAAAACAAAAATCTTACTAGAGACAAAGAAGAACATTTCTTAGTGATAAAAGAGTCAATCCATTAAGAAGATATAACAATCATAAACACATATGCACCTAAAAACAGAAACTTAAAAACTACAAGAATTGATGGGACAAATAATTTAACAGTAATAGAGATAAATATCACAGATACATAATCACAAAGGAAAAAGAACACTTGAACAGCACTACAAACCAACTATATTTAACAAACATCCATATGACACTCCACTCAACAAAAGCAGAATATGTATTTTTCCCAAGTGCACATAAAACAATTTCTGAGAAAAACCATATCTTAGGCATAAAATAAAAGTCACTAAATTTAAAAGCAATGAGGGACTGGGGCAGAGCAAGATGGCCAAATTAATGGTTCCACCAATGGTCCCCCACTTCCACAGGGACACCAAATGTAACAACTACCTACAGAAAAAAGCACTTTCATAAGTACCAAAAATCAGGTGAGCACTTACAGTACCAGGTTTTAACTTTATATCACTGAAAGAGGGACTGAAGATGGTAGAAAAGATAGTCTTGAATCACCAACACCACCTCTCTCTGCCATTCTCTGGCAGTGGCCATGTGGTGTGGAGAGAGAATCTGTGCACTTGGGAAAAGGAAGGTGCAGCAATTGTGAGACTTTGCATTGAACTCAGTGCTGCCCTGTCATAGCAGAAAGAAAACTGGACTGAACTCAGATGATGCCTGCCCATGGAGGGAGCATTTAGACCAGGCCTAGCCAGAGGGGAATTGACCATTCCAGTGATCAGAACTTCACTTTCGGCAAGCCTTGTCGTCACGGGCTAAAGCGCTATGGGGCCCTAAATGAACTTGAAAAGCAGTCTAGGCCACAAGGACTGCAATGTCTAGGCAACTCTTAGTGCTGAGCTAAGCCTGGAACCAGTTGACTTGGGGGGTGTGCAACCTACTGAGACAGCAGCTGGGACAGATAAGGGAGTGCTTACACTACCTGTCTGCCAACCCTAGGGACCACAGCTCATGGCTCCAAAAGAGACCGTTTCCTTTTGCTTGAGGAGAGGAGAGAGGAGAGGAGAGGAGAAGAGAGGGAAGACTGAAGAGGACTTGGTCTTGCGCTTTGGATACCAGTTCAGCCACAGTAGAATAGGGCAATGGGCAGACTCATGAGGCCCCCGTTCTAGGCCATAGCACCCAGGTGACATTTCTAAACATATCCTGGGTCAGAAGGGAACCCAGTGCCTTGAAGGAAAGGATCCAGTCCTGGCAGTATTCGTCACCTGCTAACTGAAAAGCCCCTGGGCCCTGAATAACAAGCAGCTATACCTAGGTACTACACTGAGGGCATTGGGTGAGCCTCTGAGTCTTGCTGGCTTCAGGTGAGACAGCACATTACCAGCTGTGCTGGCTATGGGGCAAACTGCTTCTTTTTGAGAAAGGCAAAGGGAAAAGTAAAGGGGACTTTGTCTTGCACCTTAGGTACCAGCACAGCCACAGGCGATAGAGCATCAAGTGAACTCTTCTGGTCCCCAATTCCAGGACTTGACTTTTGTTCTGCATTTCTAGACCTACTCTGGGTCAAATGGGAGCCCACTGCCCTGAAAAGTGAGCCCCAGGCCAAGAAGTATTCACCACAAGCTGACTTAAGAGTCCTTGGGCCTTAAGGGAACATTGGCTAGTAGTCTGGTAGTACTCCTCGTGGCCTTGGGTGGCAGTGGCTATGGGATGAGGCTCCTCAGCCTTTGGAAGGGGGAAGGAAGAGTGGGAAGGACTGTGTTTTGTTGTTTGAAAGCCAGCTCAGCTGCAATACAATAGAATAACAGGTATACTTCTAAGGTTTTTGACTCTAGTCCCTGACTCCTGGATAGCACCTCGGAACCCACCTGGAAGACCTTGCTGCCCTGAAAGGAAGAAGGAAGGACAGAGACTTGGGTAACTTTGCCACCTGCTGATTGTAGAGGCCCAGGGTCTTGAGCAAACATAAGCAGTGGTCAGGGGGTAGTTACAGCAGGCCTTGGGAGAGATCCAGCACTGTGCTAGCTTTAATACATGAAAATTAAATAATGTGCTCCTGAATGACCAGTGGGTCAATGAAAAAATTGAGAAGAAAATTGAAAAATTTTTTGTAACAAGTGATAATGGAAACACAACATACCAAAACCTATGGGTTAAAGCAAAAGCACTACGAAGAGAGAAGTTTATAGGTGTAAGTGCCTACATCAAAGAGAGGAAAAACTTCAAATAAAAAAAATCTAACAATGAATCTTAAATAATTACAAAAGCAAGAGCAAAGCAAATGTAAAATAGCTAGAAGAAAAGAAATAATAGAGATCGGAGCAGAAATAAATGAAATTGAAATTAAAAAATACAAAAGATGAATGAAACAAAAAGTTGGCTTTTTGAAAGTTAAACAAAATTGACAAACCTTTAGCCATACTAACTATGAAAAAAAGAGGGATGGTCTAAATAAATAAAATTAGAAATGAAAAACGAGACATTACAAACTGATACTGCAGAAATTCAAAGGGTCACAAGTGGAGACTATGAACAACTATATGCCGATAAATTGGAAAATCTAGAAGAAATGAACAAATTTCTAGATACATACAACCTACCAAGATTGAACCATGAAGAAATGCAAAACATTAACTACCAATAACAAGTAACAAGATTAAAGCCCTAATAATAATAATAATAATAATAATAATAATAATAAAGTCTTTCAGTAAAGAAAAGCCTGGGACCTGAGGGCTTCACCTCTGAATTCTACCAAACTTTTAAAGAACTAATACCAATCCAACTCAAACTATTCCGAGAAATAGAGGAGGAGGGAATACTTTGAAACTCATTTTATAAGGCCAGTATTACCCTGATAAAAAACAAAACAAAAAAACAAACAAACAAACAAACAAAAACAAAGACACAACAACAAAAAAGAAAACTACAGGCCAATATATTTGATGGGTATGGATGCAAAAATCTTCAATAAAATACTAGAAAACAGAATTCAACAATACATTAGAAAGATCATTCATCATGACCAAATGGAATTTGTCCCCGAGATGCAAGGATGGTTCAACATATGCAAACCAATCAATGTGATACATTATATCAACAGAGTAAAGAATAAAAACTGAAAAAGCATTTGATAAAATTCAACATCCTTTCATGATAAAAACCCTGAAAAACTGGGGACAGAAGGAATATACCTCAATATAATGAAAGCCATACACAACAGACCCACAGCTAGTATCATACTGAATGGGGAAAAACCGAAAGCCTTTTCTCTAAGATATGGAACATGACAAGGATGTCCACTGTCACCACTGTATTCAACATAGTCCTGGAAGTCCTAGCTAGAGCAATCAGACAAGAGAAAGATATAAAAGGCATCCAAATTGGAAAGGAAGAAGTTAAATTATCGTTGCAGATGATGTGATCTTATATTTGAAAAAAACCTGAATACTCCACAAAAAAACTATTAGAACTGATAAATACATTAAAGTTTCAGGATACAAAATCAACACTCACAAATCAGTAGCATTTCTATATACCATCTATGAACAATCTGAAAAAAGAAATTAAACGTAATCCTATTTACAACAGCCACACATAAAATTATATACCTAGGAATTATAAATTATTTTTGACTATAGTTACCCTGCTGTGCTAGCAAATTCTAGGTCCTATTCTTTCTGTGTAACTATTTTTTCACACCTGTTAACCATCTCCACATCAAAAAATGGAAAAATCTTTCACGTTCACAAATTGGAAGAATCAACATTGTTAAAATGTCCATACTACCCAAAGCAATCTACATATCCAATGCAATCCCTATCAAAATACCAATGACATTCTTCACAGAAATAGAAAACACAATCCTAAAAAAAGACCCAGGATAGGCAAAGCTATCCTAAGCAAAAAGAACGAAACTAGAGGAATCACATTATCTGACTTCAAATTATACTACAGAACCCTATCTCTTGCTATATACAAAAATCAAATCAAAATGGTTTAAAGACTTAAACTAAGACCTCAAACTGTGAAACTACTACAGTAAGACAGTGGGGAAAATTTCTAGAACATTGGTCTGAGCAAAGATTTTTTGAGCAATACCCAGCAGCACAGACAACCAATGCAAAAATGGACAAATGGGATTGCATCAAGTTAAAAAGCTTCTGCACAGAAAATGATACAATCGACAAAGTGAAGAGACAACCCACAGAATGGAAGAAAATATTTACAAACTATCCCTCTAACTAGGGATTCCAATCAGAATATATAAGGAGCTTAAACAACTCTATAGAAAAAAATTCTAATAAGCTGATCAAAAAATTGGCAAAATATTTGAATAGACTTCTCTCCAAAGAAGACATTCAGATGGCAAACAGACATATGAAAAGGTGCTCATCATGTATTGATCATCAGAGAAATGGAAAACAAAACTACCATGAGATATTAACTCACCAGAGTTAAAATGGCTTATATCCAAAAGACAGGCAATAACAAATGCTGATGAGGATGTGGAGAAAAGGGAATCCTTGTACACTGTTGGTGGGAATGTAAATTAGTACAACTACTACGGAAAAGAGTTTGGAGGCTCCTCAGAAAACCAAGCATAGAGCTGCCATTCAATCCAGGAATTCCACTGCTGGGTATATACCCCAAACAAAGAAAATCAGTATATTGGATATCTATTGGATATATAAAATTCAACATCCCTTCATGATAAAAACCCTGAAAAACTGGGGACAGAAGGAATATAAGTGCAGTATATATCTGCACTCCCATGTTTATAACAACTCTATTCAGAATAGCCAAGATTTGGAAGCAAGTTAAGTGTCCCTCAGTTGATGAATGGATAAAGAAAATGTGGTACGTATACACAATGGAGTCTCCAGTCATTTGCAACAACATGAATGGAACTGGAGGTCACTATGTTAAGTGAAATAAGCCAGCAAAGAAAAACAAACATTGTGTGTTCTCACTTATCTGTCAGAGCTGACAATTAAAATAATTGAACTCATAGACATAAAGAATAGAAAGATGGTTACCAGAGGCTGGGAAGGATAGTGGGAGGGAGAGTGGGAAGGGAAGTGAAGATGGTTAATCGGTGTAAAAAATAGTTACACAGAAAGAATAAGACCTAGTATTTGCTAGCACAGCAGGGTAACTATAGTCAAAAATAATTTATAATTTAATTGCACATTTAAAATAACTAAAGGAGTATAATTAGATTGTTTGTAACACAAAGGATAAATGCTTGAATACCAAATTTGCCCTGATGTGATTACACATTGCATGCATGTATCAAAATATCTTATGTGCCCCTTAAGTATACACACCTATTATGTACCCATAAAATTTAAAAACTAAAAAATAAAAAATTAAAGCAATGTAATCTTGTAAAATATGGAATTTAATTAGAATTAAATTCTAATTAAATTAAATTAGAATTTAAATTAGAATAAATTGGAATTAAATTAGAATAAATAACAGAGGGAAATCTGGAAAAATTTCAAATGTGTAGAAATTAAACAACATACCCTAAATAATAAGTGTGTTGAAGAAAAACATCACATGGGAAATGATAAATGAAAATAAGTAAATGAAAATGAAAATATAACATCTTAAAATTTATGTGATGCAGTGAAAGCAGTCCTTATAGGGTGATTTAGAGCTTTATATATCTATATCAGAAAAGAAGAAAAATCTTGAATCGATAATATAACCTACCACCTTAATCACTTATAAATAGAAGAGCAAACCGAACCCAAATCAAGCCAAATAAAGGAACTAATTAGGATCACAGAAGGAATAAATGAAATAGAAAACAGAATAACAATAGAGAAATTTAATGAAGCCAAATGTTGGTTTTTGAAAATAACCACATTGAAAAAACTAGGTAGACTGGCCAAACAAAAGTGAATGGAGACTCACATTACTAAAATCAACAGTGAATGATGGGACATTACTATTAGGTTGGTGCAAAAGTAATTGCAGTTTTTAATGGCAATTACTTTTGCCCCAACCTAATAACAACCTTACAGAAATAAAAAGGATAATACAAAATTATGAAAAATTGTGCCAAAAATTAGATAACGTAGAATGCAATGAACAAATTCTTAGAAGTACACAAACTACCAAAACTGACTCAGAAAGAAATAGAAAATCTGGATAGAAATATAACAAATAAAAAGCTTGAAAAATAGTTCCATAAAAGAATCCCAGGACCACAGGGCTTCACTGATCTCATGAATTGTAGCCAACGTGATAAAATGAATTAATACCAATCTTTCATAAACTCTTAAAGAGAAGAAGACATTTTCGAGCTCATTCTATGAATTCAGAATTATCCTCATACCAAAAACCAGATGAAAACATTATAGTTAAGAAATCTATAGCCTAATGTCCCTTATAAATAAAGACACAAAAATGCACAACAAATAACTAGCAAACTGAATTTAGTAATGTGTTTTATATAAAACATTATCTATCCATCTATCTATCTATCTATCTATCTATCTATCTATCTATCTATCTATCATCTATCCATCCATCCCATGTGCAAGTAGTTATCTCAGAAAAGCAGGTTGGTTCAACATATGAAAATTAATATAACATACCATACTAATATAATGGAAAAAAACACATATGATCACCTAAATAAACACAGAAAAATCATGTGAAAAAAATCCAACACCCTTTCCTGATAGAAATGCTCAACAAACTAAGAATGGAAGTTAACTTCCTCAACCCAATAAAGTACATGAATTAATATCCCACAACTAACATTATACTTAAAAGGTGAACAACTATAATTTGTACACCTAAAATCAGGAACAAGAGAAGAACATCTGCTCTCACCACTTTTATTCAATGTTGTACTAAAGTTTTAGCCAGGGCAATTAAATTAAACATAAATATATCGGTTTATTTTAGAATGCTCAATTTTATTCTATTGATCTTTATGTCTACTCTTATGCCCAAACCATACAATCTTGATTACTGTTTCATTATATTAACTTTTGAAATCACAAACGGTGAGTCTGCTTTGATTTTTCACAAGATTGTTTTGACTATTCTGGGTTCTTTGCATTTCCCTATGAATTTTTGGATCAGCTTAATTTCTGCAAAAAAAAAAAAAAAAAGTCAGCTGGAATGTTGATGTGGATTGCATCGAACCCATAGGTCAATATTGGGATTATTTCCATCTTAACAATATTATGTTCTGCAATCCATAAACAGGAGATGTCCTCTCACTTATTGTTGCTATCTTTAATTTCAACAAATGTTTTGTACTTTTGCGTATGCAAATCTTCACTTCTTTTGTTACATTTATATATAAATATCTCTTTTATGTTATTGGTAAATGAAATTATTTACTCGATTGCATTTTTGGATAGCTCACTGCTAATGTACGAAGATATAATTGGTGTTTTACTAATGTATGAAGATATAATATTGATCTTATATCCTATGAACTTGCTGAATTTGGTATTAACTCTAATAGATTTTTTTGTGGATTCCTTAAGATTTTCTATATACGAGATCATTTCATCTACAAATAGGTACTTTTTTCTTACCAACCTGAGTGCCTTTCATTTAGTTTTCTTGCCTATTTTCAACAAGGTTGCCAAAAAATTTAATGGGGTAAAGAATAGCCTTTTCAACAAATGGTACTGGGACATCTGGATATTCACTTTTAAAATATGAAACTGGATTCCTATTTCACACCATATACAAAACTTAATTCAAAATAGATTAAAAACCTAAATAAAAGAAGTGAAACAATAAGACTCTTAGAAGAAAACACAGCAGTAAAATCTTTGTGACCTTGGATTAGGCAATGGGATCTTAAATATATATGTATAACACAAGCCTCAAAAGGGGTAAAAATAGATAAATGGGAATATATCAAATTAAAATTGTTTGTGCTCCAAAGAATACTATCATGAAAGTTAAAGGACAACTCACAGAACGAGAGAAAATATTTTTAACTCATATATCTGAAAAGCATATAGGACCCAGAATATATAAAGAATTTAACATTAGACTATAAAAAGACAACCAAACATTTTTTGTTTTTTCTTTTTTTATTATTATACTTTAAACTCTGGGATACATGTGCATAACGTGCAGGTTTGTTACATAGGTATACACGTGCCATTGTGGTTTGCTGCACCCATCAACCCGTCATCTACCTTAGGTATTTCTCATAATGCTATCCCTCCCCTAGACCCCCAACCCCCAACAGGCCCAAGCGTGTGATGTTCCCCTCCCTGTGTTCATGTGTTCTCATTATTTAACTCCCATTTATGAGTGAGAACATGTGGTGTTTGGTTTTCTGTTCCTGTGTTAGTTTGCTGAGAATGATGGCTTCCAGCTTCATCCATGTCTCTGCAAAGGACATAAACTCATCTTTTTTATGGCTGTACAGTATTCCACGGTACATATGTGCCACATTTTCTTTATCCAGTCTATCATTGATGGGCATTTCAGTTGGTTCCAAGTCTTTGCCATTGTGAACAGTGCTGCAATAAACATACGTGTACATGTGTCTTTATAGTAGAATGATTTATAAATCCTTTGGGTATATACCCAGTAATGGGATTGCTGGGTCAAATGGTATGTCTGGTTCGAGATCCTTGAGGAATTGCCACACTGTCTTCCACAATGGTTGAACTAATTTACACTCCCACCAACAGTGTAAATGTGTCCCTATTTCTCCACATCCTCTCCAGCATCTGTTGTTTCCTGACATTTTAATGATTGCCATTCCAACAGGCATGAAATGTTATCTCATTGTGGTTTTGATTTGCATTTCTCTAATGACCAGTGATGATGAGCTTTTTTTCATATGTTTGATGGCCACATAAATGTCTTCTTTTGAGAAGTGTCTGTTCATATTCTTTGCCCACTTTTTGATGTAGTTGTTTTTTTTCTTGTACATTTGTTTAAATTCCTTGTAGATTCTGGATATTAGCCCTTTGTCAGATGGATAGATTGCAAAGATTTTTCTCCCATTCTGTAGGTTGCCTGTTCACTCTGATGATAGTTTCTTTTGCTGTGCGGAAGCTCTTTAGTTTAATTAGATCCCATATGTCAATTTTGGCTTTTGTTGCCATTGCTTTTGGTGTTTTTGTTATGAAGTCTTTGCCCATGCCTATGTCCTAAATGGTATTGCCTAGGTTTTCTTCTAGGGTTTTTATGGTTTTAAGTCTTACATTTAAGTCTTTAACCATCTTGAGTTAATTTTTGTATAAGGTGTAAGGAAGGAGTCCAGTTTCAGTTTTCTGCATATGGCTAGCCAGTTTTCCCAAAACCATTTATTAAATAGGAAATCCTTTCCCCATTGCTTGTTTTTGTCAGGCTTGTCAAAGATCAGATGGTTGTAGATGTATGGCATTATTTCTGAGGCCTCTGTTCTGTTCCATTGGTCTATATAACTGTTTTGGTACCAGTACCATTCTGTTTTGCTTATTGTAGCCTTGTAGTATAGTTTGAAGTCAGGTAGCACTATGCCTCCAGCTTTGTTCCTTTTGCTTAGGATTGTCTTGGCTATATGGGCTCTTTTGTGGTTCCATATGAAATTTAAAATAGTTTTTTTTAAATTCTGTCAAGAAAGTCAATGGTAGCTTGATGGGGATGGCATTGGATCCATAAATTACTTTGGGCAGTATGGCCATTTTCACAATATTGATTCTTCCTCTCCATGAGCATGGAATGTTTTTCCATTTGTTTGTGTCCTCTCTTATTTCCTTGAGCAGTGGTTTGTAGTTCTCCTTGAAGAGATCCTTCACTTCCCTTATAAGTTTTATTCCTAGGTATTTTATTCTCTTTGTAGCAACTGTGAATGGGAATTCACTCATGATTTAGCTGTTTGTCTATTATTGGTGTATAGGAATGCTTGTGATTTTTGCACATTGATTTTGTATCCTGACACTTTGCTGAAGTTGCTTATCAGCTTAAGGAGATTTTTGGCTGAGACGATGGGGTTTTCTAAATATACAATCATGTCATCTGCAAACAGAGACAATTTGACTTCCTCTCTTCCTATTTTAATAGCCTTTATTTCTTTCTCTTGCCTCATTGCCCTGGCCAGAACTTCCAATACTATGTTGAATAGGAGTGGTGAGAGAGGGCATCCTTGTCTTGTGCCAGTTTTCAAAGGGAATGCTTCCAGCTTTTGCCCATTCGGTATGATATCGGCTGTGGGTTTGTCATAAATAGCTCTTATTATTTTGAGATACGTTCCATCAATACCTAGTTTATTGATAATTTTTAGCATGAAGCGGTGTTGAATTTTATCAAAAGCCTTTTCTGCATCTTTTGAGATAATCATGTCATTTTTGTCATTTGTTCTGTTTATGTGATGGTTTATGTTTACTGATTAGTGTATGTTGAACCAGCCATGCATCCCAGGGATGAAGGCGACTTGATCATGGTGGATAAGCTTTTTGATGTGGTGCTGGGTTCGGTTTGCCAGTATTTTATTGAGGATTTTCGCCTCAATGTTCATCAGGGATATTGGCCTGAAATTTTCTATTTTTGTTGTGTCTCTGCCAGGTTTTGGTATCAGGATGATGCTGGCCTCATAAAATGCGTGAGGAAGGAATCGCTCTTTTTCTATTGTTTGAAATTGTTTCCGAAGGAATGGTACCAGCTCCTCTTTGTACCTCTGGTAGAATATGGCTGTGAATCTGTTGGGTCCTGGGCTTTTTTTTGTTGGTAGGCTATTAATTACTGCCTTAATTTCATACCTGGCTATTGGTCTATTCAGGGTTCGATTTCTTCCTGGTTGGGTCTTGGGAGGGTGTATGTGGTTCAGGAATTTATCTCTTTCTTCTAGATTTTCTAGTTTAATTGCAGAGAGGTGTTTATAGTATTCTCTGATGGCAGTTTGTATTTCTGTGGGATCAGTGGTGATATCCCCTTTATCATTTTTTATTGTGTCTACTTGATTCCTCTCTCTTTTCTTCTTGATTATTCTGGCTAGCGGTCCATCTATTTTGTTAATCTTTTCAAAAAACCAGCTCCTGGATTCATTGGTTTATTGAAGGGTTTTTCATGTCTCTATCTCCTTCAGTTCTGCCCTGATCTTAGTTATTTCTTGTCTTCTGCTAGCTTTTGAATTTGTTTGCTCTTGCTTTTCTAGTTCTTTTGATTGTGATATTAGGGTGTTGATTTTAGAGCTTTCCTGCTTTCTCCTGTGGGCATTTAGTGCTATAAATTTCCCTCTCAACACTGCTTTAGCTGTGTCCCACAGATTCTGATATGTTCTGTCTTCGTTCTCATTTGTTTCAAAGAACTTATTTATTTCTGCCTTAATTTCATTATTTACCCAGTAGTCATTCAGGAGCAGACAACCAACCTTTTAATTAAAAGTTGGCAAAGAATTTCAATTGACATTTCTTTAACAAAATAGAAATGACCAATAAGAACATGAAAACATGCTCAATCCCAAGAGTTATTATGAAAATGCAAATCAAAATCACAATTAGGTACCACTTAATACTCACTTGGATGGTTATATTAAAAAAAGACAGGCAATTACAAACGTTGTCAAGGATATGGAGAAATTGCAAACTTCATAAATTGCAGATAGGACTATAAAATGATGAAGCCATTTTAGAAAATAGTTTTCCACATAAAGCTACCATTAAATCCAGTAATTCTACTCCTAAGTATATTCTCAAGTTAATAGAAAACTTATGTCCAAAAAATACTTTTACAGGAAAATCATAGCCACATTATTCATAGTAGCCCCAAAGTAGAAACAATCCAATTGTCCATCAATGTATACATGCATAAACAAATGTGATATATCCACACAATGGGACATTATTTAGCAATGAAAGGCATGAAGTACTAATACACACTACAACATGGATGAACCCTGAAAACATCATATTAAGTAAAAGAAGCCAGCCACAAAGGCCACATATTATATGATTCCACTTACATAAAATGTCCAGAATAGGCAAATGCATAGGAGGAGAATGGAGATTAGTGTTTGCCAGAGGTTAGGGATGGGGGATTGAGAAGGAGGATTGAGGTAAGGAGTTTCTTTTCAAGTTTCTTTTCAGCGTGATAAAAGTATACTGAAATTGGTAGTCATGCTTGAGTAACCTTGTGATTTTAATAAAAATAACTGAATTATACACTTCAAAAGAATACATGTACCCCTGAACTTAATAAAAGTTGATGGAAAAAAAAAGAATGAATCTTATGGTATGTGAGTCATATTTTAACAAAAAATTACAGAAAAAATTCTGACCAAAGTCAACAGAATCCAGCCATACATTATAAGAAACAAGAGCAATGGAATTCATTGTAGGAATCAAGAATTGTTTACTATTTGGAAATCTATTTTTAAAATTGATCATATTAACTGATCCAATGAGAAAATTATATGTCATCTCCATAGATGCTGCAAAGGCATTTGACAAAATTCAATGACAAATCTCAACTTTTAAAAGTTAGTATGAATAAACCAATGCTTATTTAACATGATTAACTGCATTTATCTCAGCCCCAAATTCAGCATCATAGGGAAATACAGCAAGTGTTACCATTAAAATCAGCTAGAAGTTAGGAATGTCCACAGTCTTCGCTAGTATTTAGCATTATACTGCATGCAATAGCTAATACCATTATGTAAGATAAGGGGAATCAAAGTATAAAAATTAGAAAGAAGAAAAAAGTACTATTTTTCATTGAAGATCATATAATTGTGTAAATGGAAAATACAAGAGAATCAACTGAGAAAACTATGGCAAGCAAACAATAGTTCAGTAATGTAGTGGAATATATATTAATATATGGGATCAAAAGTATCTATAACCCATTTACAATAGACTAATATCATAAAATACCTAGGAGTGAACTTATAAATAAGTTCTTAATAAGTTCATTATTTTTATGTATAATACCTACATATTTATTTTTTCTTTTTTGTAAATCATCTAGTTTATTTCCTGGACACAGCAGGATTGTTTACTTTCTGAATTTCATTTTGTTACCAATAACCGATCTTCATTTTTCATTTGCTATACTTTTGATTGTGGTAAAATATACATACCATAAAATTTGCCCTCTTATTCATTTTTAAGTACAATATTCAGTAGGTTTTTTTCTTTTTTTTTCTACTTATTTATAATTTCAACTTTTATTTTAGATTCAGGGGCTACGTGTGCAGATTTGTTACATAGGTATATTATATGACACTGAGGTTTGGGGTACAAATAATCTCATCACCCAGGTAGTGGGTATCATACACAATAGGTAGTTTTTCAGCTTTTGCTTCCCTCCCTCTCTACCCCCTCTAGTAGTCCCCAGTGTCATTGTTCCCATCTTTATGTCTATATGTACACAGTGCTTAGCTCCCACTTACAAGTGAGGACATGGGCTATTTGGTTTTTTGTTCCTGTGTTAATTTGCTTAGGATAATGGCCTCCAGCTGTATCCCTGTTGCTGCAAAGAATGATTTTGTTCTTTATTATGGCTGCATAGTATTCCATGGCATATATGTACCACATTTTCTTTATCCAGTTCACCATTGATGGGCACCTAGGTTGATTCTATATCTTTGTTATTGTGAGTAGTGCTGTAATGAACATATAAGTGCATGTGTCTTTTTGGTAGAATGATTTCTTTTGAGTATATACCCAGTAATGGGATTGCTGTGTTAAATGGTAGTTTTGTTTTAAGTTGAGGAATCTCTAAACTGCTTTCCACAGTGGCTGAACTAATTTACATTCCCACCAACAATTTATAAATGTTCCCTTTTCTCTGCAGCCTTGCCTGCATTGGTTGTTTTTGAACTTTTTAATAATAGCCATTCTGACTGTTGTGAGATGGTATCTCATTGTGGTTTTGATTTGCATTTCTCTGATTAACCATGTTGAGCATATTTTCAAATGGTTGTCAGCCACTTGTATGTCTTCTTTTGAGAAGTGTTTGTTCATGTTTTTTGCTCACTCTTTAATGGGGTTATTTGTTTTTTGCTTGATGAATTGTTTAAGTACCTTATAGATTCTGGATATTAGACCATAGTTTGTTAATATTTTCTCTCATTCTGCAGTTTGTCTGTTTACTCTGTTGGTAGTTTCTTTTGCTCTGAAGCAGCTCTTTAGTTTAATTAGGTCCCACTTGTCAATTTTTGTTTTTGTTGCAATTGCTTTTGAGGACTTAGTCATAAATTCTTTCCCAAGGCTGATGTCTAGAATAGTATTTCCTAGGTTTTCCCCTAGGATTCTTATAGTTTGAGGTATCACATCTAAATCTTTAACTCATCTTGAGTAAATTTTTGTGTATGGTGAAAGTTAGGGGATTAGTTTCATTCTTCTGAATATGGATAGCCAGCTATTCCAGCATCATTTATTGAATATGGAGTCATTTCCCCATTACTTATTTTTGTCAGCTTTGTTGAAGATCAGATGGCTGAACGTGTGCAGCTTTATTTCTGGGTTCTCTATTTAAGTTCAGTACTGTTGAAGAAAACTTTAAAAAAATCAAAAGAGTTCAATAACACATGGATAGGCCTGCCATGTTCCAATGTATAAAGATTCAGTGTTCCATAACGTAAATTATTCCCAAGAAAATTTGTAATGTGGCTCCTATAATAACGCTAACAGGTTATATCTTTAATCTGGGATTAGAGAGAAGCTAATTTTTAAGTCATATGGAAAAATACAAAAATATACAACAACAATACCAAACAAAATTCTGAAGAAAAGAAGCAATGGGGTTATGTTTTGAATGTGGCCCACCCTGACAGATATCTTCATGTGTGATGAATTGCTTATAGTTTCCCTGTTGCTCCCCTTTGATATCTGCCTTCTGTCATGTCACCCCCATCTTATCAGTCAAATCTGAACCCCAGCTATATACAGAGTTATTTTCTCCTCCATGAGAGCCCTGGACAAAATTCATATAAGGAAACATAATATAATCCCTGTTTAAGTATCCCTGAACATTCTATAATGGGGAGGATTTGTATACTCTGATCAAACAGAAAGCCTCTTAGAGGTGTTGCTTACTGCCAAAGGCTAGCTTATTCAAGTTTTAGCTCTGGCTTCATGAAGATACTTATAAACTCCAATAATCAAGAGGTAAATAAGAGGAAGTGCAAGACATTTCTACTACTATCATGAACCAGGACCCTGTAAGCATCTTCTACACTGGGAAATATTCCATCATTATTTGTCATCCAATATAATCTCCCTGGTCAACAAAAAGATTCTCCCACACCAACTGCAGGAATCTTGAATATTTAAAAGAAGATGTGCCTATGTTAGTGATTTTCTTCTGTTTACAGGTGAGGCTTCAGACCTTTTTCACAAGTGCACATGTTAAATATGCAGTCAATTCTCTATCCTAATAGACATAAATGCACAGCATCCTGCCTATCATTCATACTGAGTTGTGTGTTAATTTCAAAAAGGGATGGATTCCCATTTCAATGAGCAAATGGATTTGTATGTGTGTATAAGGTGATAGGTAATCTAAAGGAAGGCTCTGTAAATTTAGTATGTATATTTTTCTCTGTATGTGTAATTAAGCTGTTAAAAAGAAATATTTTCCTTAATGTATCTGTTAGCAAGATGTTAATGTACCTCCTGAGATATTTTACTTGTTACTTCATATACAACTTAGGTTAAAGTAAAAAAGAGCAACATATTAATATTGAACATGTAAGAATCAGTTAAGGTAGATTGTCTAAGATTGCCTGTGTGAATATGTGATGTAAAAATACTTATGGATATTATGATCAACTGTTCTAACTTTACAGCCTACAAATCATTTTACCCAGTTTCATTTTTGTTCTTTCTTTTCTTTTATCTATTCTACTTCTCCTTCCCACTTTGAATTGAAATTTGGAAAATTTAACACAGGAAAAGATTTCTGGATAAGGTGAAGAGTAAAGCAGCCATTACTTGGAGCTTTTCTCAACATAATGTTTTACTAAACCTTGAAGGAAGGTGATGATTACACTACCTTATATATTTAACTCCTGTCTATCTTACAAACTAATTACCTGTGGAGTTGTTACTAAGTGATCAATCTAATAATTCAATTTAGTTCTTAAGGTGACCAAAAATCTGAACTGTGCTCAATTTCTTTTTCTTGATTGCCCCATATCATAATCAAACAAGTTGTTATGTATAATAAAATAATAAAGATTGCCCCCCAAATACTGTCAGTAATGCTCTTCTGTCAGTGTATGTCTCCACTGAAAAAAAACTCTACTCTCATTTGCTATGTAATTGCAAAACATGAGCAAACAATATATGCTTTCATTTAATGACCATCATATATTTAAGACTGTTGTTTCCAATGCTTTTTATGTCATGCAAATATGCTTCATACAGCTGTCACCTCTTCCATGCTTGGTAGCTAAATGTCCTGCTGAGCTCTTTTGCTCTTTTTGATCAAATAAAGACCATCATTTTGTTGTGAAGTTCCATTTGTCTTTTCCTGCATTGTAGTATGAAACACCTAAATGCTCTTTCCAGCTGCTTTAATTTCCTGATAGTCATTATAAATCTTTGGACTCTATTCTAAAACTAAAAATAGTTTCCTTTTAAAATCCAACAGAAAAATCTGTCAGAATACCTTATTAGGCTCGCTTCCTTGCTCACCTGCCAAAAAGATCATAATTATATTGAGGGAAATAAACATATAGATTAATTGACCTAATTTGTTAAAATTTCAAGAGCACATCCTGTTGTGTGCAAACTAAAGAGTTGTTTTTACAAATGAGCTTCACAACTATTGACACTACATTATAATTTTCCCTCTTTCTATGAGGTGATAAAACTATACTAATAAAGGTTCCCAGGCATATGTATAGAAAATAATATAGAAATAGTGAGTAACCATATAGTAAATGTGTAAAAAGTACATGAAACATGCATGATGTATTGAGTGAAATCAGAAACAAATTAATCACTCTGCCCCATTAACATTTATTCAGAGGGAGAAAGATCTTTTTTTATTATGGATAAAAACTTGGAAAATCCCATAACATTTTTAGAACAATGTTCTTCAGTCACTTTTAGTGACAAAAATCAATAATTATATCTTTTCCTGTTGGGAAATACCAATATAAAATGGGAAAAAATGAGGATGAACTCTTGATGTTACATTTGAATTAGAATATCGATACGAACTCATGATTTCTTAAAAGTGTATAGTGTCCTCATAGTGCCCATTAGCAGAGTGTAGAAGCAAAACCATTGGTAGTAATGAGTACTCTTAGCACCAGATCTTGGTTTCTAAATACCATTTTCCATAAAAGAAAATGGAGCTCCTTGAAAAAATAAACAATTCCCGGTCTGGAGCAGGCAAGGTACAGATAATCCTGTATAAGAACATTGAGTTGTGCTAGAAAGCAAGTATTCAGAGAATGATGGGGCATGTCAAAAAGTTACACATCAAAAAAGGGCCCTCATTGTCCATATCTGGAGCAATTTGAGCATCAGAAAAAAATGGTAATATCTTGTAACATATTAGAAAATAATTAACGCGTCCATAATGACACTCAAAAAGAGGGTGGGAAGAAAAGCTTTTCTTTACAGATGAATGACAGCTAATAAAATAGAAGGAATGATGTAAACAAAATCATCATTTTAGAACTACAAATATAATAATTGATTAAGGCATGAATGCAACGTTATTGGGGAATAGGATATTCACATAGTTTCAAAGTATTACTCTGTAGATTAAATACTAAATTACAAAGGTAAAAAATGTACCTTTAAAATGGACAAATCTAGGATTTACCACTTTAGATGCAGATAAAATATTTTGGGCAGGAACACTATGCGGCTAATCTTGTGTATTTTCAATCATGACATTACTGAGTCAACTGGTAGAGAAATAACTTTTTAAAAGAAAGTAATATCCCTTACAGATCATATATATGGTTTTAAATTATAGATGAAAGCAAGGGAGTAATAAACAAAATTTTGGATAGTGCTCCCTTAGAAGGAAAAGTAGGTGTTGTGATGGGGAAGGCACATAGGCAGCTTAAAGACACTGATATTTAATCACGTAAATGGATGGTCATATGCATGGGTGTTCATTTTGTTATTCTTAAACTGTACACATGCATTAATATATGCTCTATTTTATGTATGACAAATTTCAGAAAAAACAAAGGATGAGCCAATATCTAGCAGAAAAACTCACAAAGATAATTTTTAAGAAAAATTAGAAACTACATCTTTTTTTCAGGCATATATGAAAATGAAAATTTGATATTTTAATTTTTTCATTATACTTTAAGTTCTGGGATACATGTGCAGAACATACAGGTTACATAAGTATACATGTGCCATGGTGGTTTGCTACACCTATCAACCCGTCAACTAGGTTTTTGTCCTAATGCTCTTTTTCCCCTTACCCCTCAACCCCCTGACAGGCCCTCGTATGTGATGTTCCCCTCCCTATGTCCATGTGTTCTCATTGTTCAACTCCCACTTATGAATGAGAAGATGTGGTGTTTGGTTTTCTGTTCCTGTGTTAGTTTGCTGAGAATGATGGTTTCCAGCTTCATCCATGTCTCTTCAAAGGACATGAACTCATCTTTTTTATGGCTGCATAGTATTTCATGGTGTATATGTGCCATATTTTCTTTATCCAGTCTATCATTGATGGGCATTTGGGTTGGTTCCAAGTCTTTGCTGTGGTGAATACTGCAGCAATAAACATACGTGTGCATGTGTCTTTATAGTAGAATGATTTATAATCCTTTGGGTATATATCCGGTAATGGGATTGCTGAGTCAAATGGTATTTCTGGTTCTAGATCCTTGAGGAATCACCACACTGTCTTCCACAATGGTTGAACTAATTTACACTCCCACCAACAGTGTAAAAGCGTTCCTATTTCTCCACATCCTCTCCAGCATCTGTTGTTTCCTGACTTTTTAATGATTACCATTCTAACTGGTGTGAGATGGTATCTCATTGTGGTTTTGATTTGCATTTCTCTAATGACCAGTGATGATGAGCTTTTTTTTCATATTTTTTTGTCCACGTGTCTTCTTTTGAGAAGTGTCTGTTCATATTCTTTGCCCACTTTTTGATGGGGTTGTTTTTTTCTTGTAAATTTGTTTAAATTCCTTGTAGATTCTGGATATTAGCCCATTGTCAGATGGATAGATTGCAAAAATTTTCTCCTATTCTGTAGGTTGTCTGTTCACTCTGATGATAGTTTCTTTTGCTGTGCAGAGGCTCTTTAGTTTAATTAGATCCCATTTGTCAATTTTGGCTTTTGTTGCAATTGCTTTTGGTGTTTTTGTCCTGAAGTCGTTGTCCATGCCTATGTCCTAAATGGTATTGCCTAGGTTTTCTTCTGGGGTTTTTATGGTTATATAATCATTTTTATAACATCCCAGCTCTAGGCAGGGTTAAAGCCTTCTCCCATAATCTGGATTTTGAGATTCCCCTGCGGGGATGTATTTTCAGAGGCAGGTGCTCCCTTTCTCGTACTGCAGCAACTTAGTTTTTCTCTTGTCTCCTGGAAAATGCTGTAGTAATCAGACAAGAGAAAGAAATAAAGGCCATCCAAATTAGAAAACTGGGAGTCAAACTGTTACTGCTCACTGATAATATGATTATATACCTAGAAAACCCTAAAGACTCATCCAAAAAGCTCCTAGATCTGATAAGTGAATCCAGTAAAGTCTCAGGCTACAAAATCAACGTACACAAATTAGTAGCACTGTTCTACACCAAAAATGACCAAGATGAGAATCAAATCAAGAACTCAATCCCTTTTACAACAGCTGCCAAAAAAATTAAAAAGGAGTTAGAAATATATTTAACAAAGGAGGTGAGTGATCTCTACAAGGAAAGCTACAAAACACTGCTGAAAGAAATCATAGACAACACAAACAAATGGAAATACATCCCATGTTCATGAATGGGTAAAATAAATATTGTGAAAATGACCATACTGCCCAAAGCAATCTACATATTCAATGCAATTTCCATCAAAATACCAACATCATTCTTCACAGAACTAGAAAAAACAACCCTAAAATTCGTATGGAATGAAAAAGAACCTGCATAGCCAGAGCAAGACTAAGCAAAAAGAAGAAATCAGGAGGCATCACTTTATCCAACTTCAAATTAATACTGCAAGGCTATAGTTAACAAAACACATGGTACTGGTATAAAAATAGGCATGTAGACCAATGGAACAGAAAAGAGAACCCAGAAATAAAGCCAAATACTTACAGACAACTGATCTTTGACAAAGCATACAAAAACAAGAAGTAGGGAAAGGACACTCTATTCAACAAATGGTGCTGAGATAATCAGCAAGCTACATGTAGAAGAATGAAACTGGATCCTCATCTTACCTTATACAAAAATCAACTCGAGATAGATCAAAGAGTTAAACCTAAGACTTAAAACCATAAAAATTCTAGAAGACATCAGAAAAATTCTTCTAGACAATGGCTTAGACACAAATTTCGTGACCAAAACCCCAAAAGCAAATGCAACAAAAACAAAGATAGATAGATGGGACTTAATTAAACTAAAAAGCTTCTGCACAGCTAAAGAAATAATCAGCAGATTAAACAGACAACTCATATAGTGGGAGAAAATATTCACAAACTATGCATCTGCAAAGACTAATACCCGGAATCTACAAGGAATTAAACAAATCAGCAAGATTAAAAAAAATCCCATCTAAAAGTGGGCAAAGGACATGAATAGACAATTCTCAAAGAAGATATACAACGAACCAACAAACATGAAAAAATGTTCAACATCACTAATTATCAGGGAAATATAAATTAAAACCACAATGAGATATCACCTTACTCCTGCAAGTATGACTATAATTTAAAAAATCAAAAAAGAATAGATGTTGGCATGGACGTGGTGAAAAGGGAACACTTTTAAATTGCTGGTGGAACTGTAATCTAGTTCAACCACTATGGAAAACAGTATGGAGATTCTTTAAAGAACTAAAAGTAGAACGACCATTCAATCCAGCAATCCCACTACTGGGTATCTACTCAAAGGAAAAGAGGTCATTATATGAAAAAGACACAGCATACACATGTTTATAGCAGTCCAATTTGCAATTGCAAAAATATGGAACCAACCTAAATGCCCATCAACCAACCAGTGAATAAAGGAAATGTGGTATATACACACCACATGGAATACTACTTAAACATAAAATTGAATGAAATAATGGCCTTTCCAGCAACTTGGATGGAGCTGGAGGCATTATTCTATGTGAAATGACTCAGGAATGGAAAACTAAATATCATATGTTTTCACTTATAAGCAAGAGCTAAGCTATGAGGATGCAAAGGCATAAGAATGATAGCATGGACCTTGAGGACTTGGGGGGAAGAGTAGGAGTGGAGTGAGGGATAGAAGACTACATATTGGGTACAGTATATACTGCTCAGGTGATGGGTGCACCAAAATCCCAGAAATGACCACTAAGGAACTTATCTAACCAGAAGCCAATTGTACCCCCAAACTATTGAAAAAAAAAAAAAAGAGATTGTTATTTCTATTAGGTACTTTCTCTTGAATCACTCACCATGGAGAAACCAGCTGTCATGTCATGAAGACACCAAAGCAGCTCTATGGAGAGGTGGTAAGAAACTGAGGTCTCCTGATGACAATCAGAACTAACTTGTCAGTCATGTGAATGAACTGCCTTGGAAATGAGTTCTCCAGGCCCAGTCAAACCTTTAGACGCCTGCAGACACAGTGACATTCTTGACTACAACATCATGAGAAACTGAGCTAAAATGACCCAGTTAAGGCATTCCCAGATTCCTGACCCACAGAAATTGTGTACATTTAATTGTTTTAAACTGTTAAGTTTTGGTGTACGTTTGGTGTAAAATTTTGGTGTAATTTGTTATGAAGCTGTAGAGTACAGGATTTTGATCTATAGCCTTTGTTCAGTTTTCACTTAGTTTCTGTCTATTCTTAGAGTTCCCCTATTCTCCTAAGATTCCAGTCAATAGACTGTCCCATTCAGTTATTTAAGATTCTTATTATCTTGGATTTTAGTTGATTTCTGCTCAGCTGTAGTCACCAAGTCCTGGCACCAATAATTTCTGCTCCTTCCAAACTGAGTCAATCTAGACCAAGACAGGGAGGTAGAATAGACTGTTTCCTTTTACCAGTGAGTAGGCTCTAACTATTCTATTTTGGTGCCTTTTATGGCATGGATGAAACCTTCAGCCTCCTCTCCCTAACTCTTGTCATGTTTACATGGATGATAGTTCTTGGACTGGAATAGAGCTATAACTCTGGCTTGAACCCAACTTGTTTAGCTGGGTCCCAACACTCTAAATCTGAGTTTGAATCCCAGCTCTACCACTAATTGGCATATGATTTAAATAAGTGATTTAATTTCTCTGTACTTACTGGTTTTTCAACTCTAAAATATGGATAGGTCTTACTTTACAGAGTTGTAAGGAGAAAATGAGATCATATATGTGAAGTTCTTAGCCCAGTGTGTGTGGGAATGAATCTTTCATGTGCCATTTAAATCCATAATATAGCTACCATTTTGACTCTAAATTTTGCACTGCTAAAAAAACTCACACTACTGGACCCTTCCAACAGACTAAACCTCCTTGGATACTAATTTCAATCCACTTAAAGTTTTAATTTAACACTATTCTTTGAACATCATGATCTTAAATCTATAGTCCACCCTCTATACAAGATAGTTACTCAAATCCTGGTCTTTTCCCCTTTGTCAGTAGCCATCCCTAGAATTCCCAAAATGTGGTCAATTTTTTTCTGTGTTTTCACAACCTGGGGCTTCACTGTGATTTTTAAAAAGAAATATTATTTTTCTGCAGGTATTATATATGTTGCTTTGTCTGATCAGAATACTTTCCTTTGGTAAACAGCCCATTTCTTACTCCACATAATTCTGATGGGCTGTTACTTACAAGACTCTGCTCCATACAAGACCATAGGGTGGGTATGTGACCTAAGCTAGGCTTATCCGATGTTTTTTTCCTGCTAATTTTATTGTTGAGTGGTTGTACATAGAAACTAAGGTGATGAGACCTATGAGTTTAAATGGAAGCACCCTGTAGAGATGGTGCTGGAATAACTAACTAAGATATTTAAAATTGCTCTGGTTCTTTTTCTTTGTGAGGCCTGATTTCTCTAATCGTCCTTTGCTGTAGTGACAGACACTATATCCATCCCATAAATTTCTTTTTTATGATTTAATCTAGTCAGAGTTATATTTTAATGCTTTCAAAATTTATTTTTGAAAAAGTTTGCAAAACATAACATTCATTGTAAAAATATTGGAAAATATAGATTTGTATAGCTAAAATATTGGAAATCACCCATATTTCCGCTATCTAGGGAGATCTACCATTTTGTATTACAATGCCTACTGCTTTATTTCACTTAACATTATGTCATAAGATTTTTCTACAGCATTTCGCTTCATAAATATAATGAGGTTGCTTGTTTTCCTTTGTATGTATATGCCATAATTCATTTAATTGTTTTATTATCATTGGATATTTTGTTTTTTTTCCAGATTTTTGTATTTTAAAAATTCCTGCAATGGAATGTCTGCACATAAATTTTTGTTTTCATTGTGAATTACTTTTTTTTTTTGTAGTGTGTTGATTGAGCTAAACTCCATCTAGATTTTCTTTATTTCATTTCTAGACTCCTTTGATCTAGAAGTGGTCATTTGACATACTTTAGAACAGTGAAATGGAAGCAGAAGTTGCTGGGTGAGACTTTTGTGAAAGATTTTTAAGAGGCTCAGAGTTCTTCTGGCATACCTCCTTTTCCAAATCAAACAATGATAATAATAATGGAAGGATGAAGGGCCTTTATCTGCTACTTTTACTGTGCTGAAAACACTCTCCTTACTATGCTGTCCTCTGTATGAGTTCTCTCAGCTATCTTCTCTGCCTAAATAAAAGCTTTAGGCCACCTAGCCTAAAAGTCCCTGACCTTACCTTTAGTTACACAGTCAATGATTTTACTACCTACATCTTACTTTCCTGCTATCCACCACAAGGATCAACTATGCCCCACCTCTTTGCATTCTTATTGTCCTGACTCTGGCCTGCATAATAGAGGAAAGGAAGGTCAGAATGTGAAAAGAATAAGTACAGCTTAGTAATTAACAGCATGTTCTCTGGAGCCCAATTGATTTTTATCCTGGCTTTGTCATCAGCAATTTTCTTAATCTCCCTGTTTCTCAGTTTCCTTATCTATAAAATGCGGAAAATAATTGTAGTCACTTCACAGGATTGTTATGAGGACTAAGCAAGTTAATAATTAGAAAACACATGTATTAGGTGCTGCATGAATGTTTATAAAATCCTCCATCTCTTTCTGTCTGATCTACCATCCTCAAATTAAAAAGAATAAAAAGAAGAAAGAAAAGAAAACCAACAGCACCACTGTGTTAATTACTGCTCCCATGGCTTGCAGACTTGAAGATTTTCTATTCTGGTGTTCTTGCTATGTAAAACAAAACAAAGAACACAAAACATTCTCACAATTTCTCTATCTCATTCAAGACTGCTCATCTTTACTGATCCACTGTTAGCAGACATGCAGTCCCCCCACCCCTTGCTTAGAAATGGGTTTGTTCAGCTCAACCAGCAGAAATTCTCCTCTTCTTTTGATCAGTAGCCCATGTTTGTGAGTGGTTAAATGAAGACAGGGGTACATTTTTTCTAAATTAAATTTTATCTACCCTTACTCCACATATAATGCAGTGGATCTGAGACATTTCATATTTACAAAAGGCACTTTGTAAATACTTCCCTACCATTACTGAAATAGTTGATATTTTAATTTTACTGTCCGTGACTGTGCCTACTTTTTAAAAAAGGCCAGATTGAAAATTATTAATAAAGTCCTTAGGGCCATCAAATGGATAATATAATGGTAGCACTGCTTATTGGATCAATTGTGTCATTCAAGAGAAACAACAATAAAAATAGAATCAAATAGATAGAGGGGGAGAAGTTGGTAAGACCATTCTTAACATTTGCATGACACAGAATTTTCCATCATAAGTTATTACAGAAATGGTGAAATTCCTTATGATTTGATGAATTTTTGTTTTAAGAAAATATGTATTTAATTAAATGAATCTTGTTGTTCTTAAAATATTTTCTCTGATCCAGATGATAAGTTCACATATATGCCAGCTACAAGAATCATTGTTTTTGTGGTTGATCTATTCGTAAAGAGTCACTACAAATAATATTTCTTATATTTGAATCTTTAGAGGTGGCACAAGGGCAAAATTACCTGTTAACCAACATTCCTTCATTTAGAAGTGATAACTTTTCCCATTTTAACAAAATTTTATCTGAAGAAAAAAAATGGATGAATGTAATGTCATTCACTTTAAGATATTTAGATTTCTAGTTAATAAGATCTTTTTTTATCCATTAACTACTTGAAATGTCTAATATTCATTCATTCAAAAAACTTTTATTGGTTCTTGCAATATGTAAGGCATAGGGAAAACACAAATAACAAAGACAGACAATATTTAGCTATAATAGCTTCTTCCCAGATAATTGGAAAAATTTCACACTTTAGTAATAAGGCTTGTATTCATGAAGATCACAAATTTTCTCAATAAACATATATATCTTGCTTTATTAGCAATTAATAAAATTATCTTAATGTATAAAACAAAAAAGTTTCTCATCAGCAATGAGTAACACCTAAAATGTCTATACGCTATAATTACTTTAGCTGTAGAATATAGACAATTAAAAATAATCTCCTCCTATGTTTAAAATGATCTCTATGTTGAGAAAATTAAATATTTAACAATCAATATACTTTCAGAAGTACAACGGTAAAGTTATACCTAGAGAGACCAAAAATAAAAATACAAGCATGTCATCAATGGTATGACTTCTTTGTGAATGCTCCACAGACTTAAAATACAAAAGACAAAAACTTCCCCAAAGCACAATTTTAAAATAAAGCAGTTTAGAATAATCTTAGCGCCATTGATCTGTCCCCTCTTTCACATCAAACACAGTCACAAGACGCCTACATCCTGAAATCATCTTTCACCAAACTGACAGATTTAATGGATCACATATTCTGAGTTTAAGTGACCTATTTTGTCTTATGTTTTCTTTGGGATTTAGAAAACAAATGTAATGTAACTATATATACTTACCTTTCAGTTTCAGGACATAACAGGTCAATTGCCAACATTTCTTACAGGAAGAAACTGATAAACTCACAAACTTTGTAAGGCTATCTTTAAAATAAAATTCACCCCATCTTTTTCACATTTATTTTGTTAATTTTATTCTTACTTCTCACTTGCTCATAGATTTTCTAAATACCAAATTGCCACGTGAGACCTCACTGGTTGACTGTAAAATCTGTAAAGCCACAAAACTTAAAAAATGTCCCTTGACAATAATAAATCCTCAAAAATTCAGCAATACCAATTGCTTTTCCCATTCACCTTGCTGATAGCAAAGAATATTTATGAAAGATTTCTTAGACTGTGAGACCTTTAGCACGTCAGTTCCATTCAATATAGTTAGCATTCCATAATAGTCAACTATTTCCAGACACAGTTTCTAAAATCGCAGCAAAAGCCCCTTGGAAAAATATTTGGTTTCTTATACTTTTTATTTTTAAAAATATGATAACTAGCAAAAACAAACAAAATCGCTGTCCAGGATGGTGTTTCATATAAGCACTTATTGTATGTCTCCTCTTCAGACTAGAAATAGTGTAATAACAATAAAAATGGAATTCTGTAAATAATTTCTAAAGAGTCAGAGTAACAATGAAAAACAAAGGTTTACAATAAGAGGAATTAGCTGGTTTAGAAATTTTTTAGTATGAATGGATTTGTCTTAGTAGCAACATTTTTTGGCCTCTTCAAAAATTCAGTATTATTACTCTCAGACATTTTTTAAAAATTAAGTAGGAATTCACAATACACTTCTCTAATCTATTTTTAAATTAATCTGTGGAAAGTGAATAAACACAGCAAGAGTCCAATGTCAGTCATGAGGGAGTAAGAATTTGACGGTTCCGAATACTGGAGGCCAAAACACAAGGTCATTGAGCAGATTTTCTAAAAATGTCAATAATTCTCAGACTATCTCTGCAATACTTATATGCATTATATGTTCTAGACCAGTGGATCTCAATATTCAGGTCTCGACCAGCAGCATCAACATCACTTGGGAAATTGCTAGAAATGCAAATTATGAAGTCTCTCATCAGATGGGCTGAGTTGGAAACTCTGTGGGTGGCACTCAGCCATCTCTCTCTTTCTCTCTTGTAATAATTCCAACTTTTATTTTAGATTCAGGGATACAAGTGCAAGTTTGTTCCATGCAACTATTGTGTGAGATTGAGATTTGGGGTGTGAATGATTCCATCATCTGAGTAGAAAGCACAGTACCCAGTAGGTAGTTTTTCAGCGCTTGCCCCTCTCCCTCCTCCTTTGGGAGTCCTCATTGTCAATTATTCCCATCTTTATGTCCATGTGTACCCAATGTTTAGCTCCTGCTTGTAAGTGAGAACATGTGATATTTGGTTTTCTGTTTCTACATTAATTTGCTTAGCATAATGGCCTCCAGTTGAAACAGTGTTGCTGCAAAGGGCACACTTTTGTTCTTTATTATGGCTGCATAGTATTCCATGGTGTATATGTACCACATTTTCTTTATCCAATCCACTGTTGATGGGCACCTAGTTTGATTTGATGCCTTTACTATCATGAGTAGTCCAGAAATCTGTTTTAACAAACCCTTCAGGTGATTCTGATGCACACTAAAGTTTGATAATCATCACAGAATGTTACATTTAATTTTCAGCAGTTGTAAACTTAACTCATCATGGAATGAACTTTTTACAAATGTTGTATTGTGTATGTATTATAAGGACATTACAATAGCGTAATGAGGTGAAACTTCAACTTTAAATGTATCATAATATAAGAACTGAATTATGCCCTTTTTCTTTACCAGTTTGATTATTTTTCCTTCCCTCTTCTATCTACCTCTAAACAGGAGATTATGTTAATTTTCCCATTGAAGTCCTTTAATGGTTGCCTATCTCACTCGAAGTAAAAGCTACTCTCCTCATAATGGCCTACAAGTCCATGCAGGATCTGCTGCCCACTTTCCCCTCCTCATTATTTCTCTGACCTCATCTTTTTCCACATCTGCACTCATTCCTTCAACATCAGCTATAGTACCCTTCTCACAGCTCTTCATAATTGCCAAACATACTCTCGTATCAGAGACCTTGAATCTACTGTTCCCTCTGTCTGTCGACACTCTTCCTTCAGACATTTGTGTAGCTGACTTTATGTTTTATTCCTCCTTTGGGTCTTTGCTCCAATGTTTCTTTCTTGATGATGCCTTCCCTGGCCACCCTTTCTAAAACTGCAATGTTCTCTCCATTCTCTTGTCCCAATTGACTGCTATATTTTCCTCCTTGGCATTTTATATCTATTCTTGGAATATATTCTGTTTACATCTTTTATGGAAGTATGTCCCCACTAGAATGCACACTAGTGACAGCCATGATTTCAATCAGTTTTATTCACCGCTGACTACCAAGTGGCTAAAACAGTACCTGACACAAGGTTGGATTTGATACATACTTGGAAGATGAAGGAAGTAAGAAAAGAGGGAAGGAGGAAGGGAGGGAAAAGAGAAGGAGGGAAGATAACTTGGTAAGGTTCCTCTACTTGTTAGAGCTACTCTCCACTTGGCATAACTATATTTTCTATATAGTATCAAAATTCTCTTTTTGCCTAAATATCTCAAATATATGCTTATATTTATAATCTTTGCTACTTATCTATCAAGTAGTTTCCTTGTAATCTTTCTACAATATTGATTTCTTCCTTACATTTTAACTAAAACTGAATGCCATCTTGTCTAATTTTAATAAGATCATAATCTATGTTTTCTTTTTTTCTTCCCCAAATAAGTTTATCCATTATTTTCTTTTCTTTCTTTTCTTTAATTTTATTATATTTTATTTTAAGTTCTGGGATACACGTGCAGGATGCGCAGGTTTGTTACACAGGTAAACATGTGCCATGGTGGTTTGCTGCACCTATCAACCCATCACCTTGGTATTAAGCCCTGAATGTGTTAGCTATTTATCCTGATGCTCTCCCTCCCCCTACGCCCCATGACAGGCCCCAGTGTTTGTTGCTCCTCTCCGTGTGTCCATGTGTTCTCATTGTTCAGCTCCCACTTATAAGTGAGAACATGCGGTGTTTGGTTTTCTGTTCCTGTGTTAGTTTGCTGAGGATAATGGCTTCCAGGTCCATCCATGTCCCTACAAAGGACATTATCTCATTCCTTTTTATAGCTGTGTAGTATTCCATGGTGTATATGTACCACATTTTTCTTATCCAGTCTATCATTGATGAGCATTTGGGTTGATTCCATGTCTTTGCTATTGTGAATAGTGTTGCAATGAACATACTTATGCATGTATCCTTATGACAGAATTATTTATATTCCTTTGAGTATATACCTAGTAATGGGATTGCTGGGTCAAATGGTATTTCTGGTTCTAGGTCTTTGAGGAATCACCACACTGTCTTCTGCAATGGTTTAACTAATTTACACTCCCACCAACAGTGTAAAATCTTTCCTATTATTGCACTATTGCACTCCAGCCTGGCCAAAAAGAGCAAAACTCTGTCTCAAAAAAAAAAAAAAAAAAAAGCATTCCTATTTTTCCACAGCCTCTCCAGCATCTGTTATTTCTTGACTTTTTAATAATCACCATTCTGACTTGCATGAGATGGTATCTCATTGTGGTTTTGATTTGCATTTCTTGAATGATCAGTGACGGTGAGCTTAGAGAACCAAGAGCAAACAAACCCAAAAGCTAGCAGAAGACAAGAAACAACCAAGATCAGAGTGGAATTGAAGGAGATAGAGACATTAAAAACACTTCAAAAAATCAATGAATCCAAGAGCTGGTTTTTTGAAAAACTTAATAAAATAGACAGATCATTGGCTAGACTAATAAAGAAGAAAAGAGAGAAGAATCAAATCGACACAAAAAAGAATGATAAAGGGGATATTACCACTGACCCCACAGAAATACAAATAATCATCAGCGAATACTATAAACACCTCTATGCAAATAAACTAGAAAATCTATATATATACTAGAAGAAATGGATAAATTCCTTGACACATACACCCTCCCAAGACTAAACATGGAAGAAGTTGAAATCCTGAATAGACCAATAACGGTTCTGAAATTGAGGCAGTAATAAGTAGCCTACCAACCAAAAAAAAAAAAAAAAAAAAAAAAAGCCCAGGACCAGATAGATTTACAGCTGAATTCTACCAGATGTACAAAGAGGAGCTGGTATCATTTCTTCTGAAACTATCCCAAACAACTGAAAAAGAGGGACTTCTCCCTAACTCATTTTATGAGGCCAGCATCATCCTGATACCAAAACCTGGCAGAGATACAACAAAAAAGCAAAACTTCAGGCCTATATCCCTGAGAAACATTGATGCAAAAATCCTCAATAAAATACTGGCAAACTGAATCCAGCTGCACATCAAAAAGCTTATCTACCATGATCAAGTCAGCTTCATCCCCGGGATGCAAGGCTGGTTCAACATATGTAAATCAATAAACATAATTCATCACATAAACAGAAGTAGAGACAAAAACCACGTGATTATCTCAATAGACACAGAAAAGGCCTTCGATAAAATTCAGCATCCCTTCATGTTACAAACTTTCAATAAACTAGGTATTGATGGAATATATGTCAAAATAATGAGAGCCACTTATGATAAACCCACAACCAACATCATACTGAATGGACAAAAGCTGGAAGCATTCCCCTTGAAAACTGGCACAACACAAGGATGCCCTCACTCACCACTTCTAGTCAACATAGTATTGAAACTTCTGGCCAAGGCAATTAGGCAAGAGAAAGAAATAAAGGATATTCAAATTGGAAGAGAGGAAGTTAAACTGTTTCTGTTTACAGATAACAAGATCCTGTATTTAGAAAACCCCATCTCTCAGCCGAAAAGCTCCTTAAGCTGAAAAGCAACTTCAGCAAAGTCTCAGGATAAAAAATCAATGTGCAGAAATCATAAGCATTCCTATACACCAAAAACAGACAAGTAGAGAGCCAAATCATGAATGAACTCCCATTCACAATTGTCACAAAGAGATTAAAATACCTAGGAATACAGCTAATAAGGGAAGTGAAGGACCTCTTCACGAAGAGCTACAAACCACTGCTCAAGGAAATAAGAGAAGACACAAATGGAAAAACTTTCCATGCTCATGGATAGGAAGAATAAATATCATAAAAATGGTCATACTGCCAAAGTAATTTATGGATTCAGTGCTATTCCCATTTAACAACCATTGACATTCTTCTTCACAGAATTAGAAAAAAAAAAAGCTTTAAAATTCATCTAAAACCAAAAAAAGAGCTCATATAGCCAAGACAAGCCTTAGCAAAAAGAACAAAGCTGGAAGCATCACGTTAACTTACTTCAAACTACACTACAAGGCTACAGTAACCAAAACAGCATGGTACTGGTACAAAAACAGACATATAGACCAATGGAGCAGAAAAGATATCTCAGAAATAAGACTGCACATCTACAATGATCTGTCTTCAACAAACCTGACAAAAACAGACAATGGGGAAAGGATTCCCTATTAGATAAATGCTGCTGGGAAAACTGGCTAGCCATGTGCAGAAAATTAAAACTGGACCTCTTCCTTTTACCTTATAAAAAATTAACTCAATAGATTAAAGGCTTAAATGTAAGACCCTAAAATATAAAAACTCTAGAAGAAAATCTAAGCAATAGGTCAGGTACGGTGGCTCATGCCTGTAATCCCAGCACTCTGGGAGGCTGAGGCAGGTGGATCACCTGAGGTGAGGAGTTCAAGACCAGCCTGGCCAACATGGTGAAACCCTGTCTCTACTAAAAAAAAATAGAAAAAAAAAAAATTATCTGGGTGTGGTGGTGGGGACCTGTAATCCCACCTACTGGAGAGGCTGAGGCAGGATAATTGCTTGAACTCAGGAGGTGGAGGTTGCAGTGAGCTGAGATCACGCCATTGCACTCCAGGGTAACAAGAGCAAAACCCTGTCTGAAAAAACAAACAAACAAGCAAACAAAAGGAAATCTAGGCAATAACTTTCAGGACATAGGCACGGGCAAAGATTTCATAACAGAAACACCAAAAGCAATTGCAACCAAAGCAAAAATTGACAAATGGGAGCTAATTAAACTAAAGAGCTGCACAGCAAAAGAAACTATCATCAGAGTGAACAGACAACCTACAGAATGGGAGAAAATGTTTGCAATGTATCCATCTGAAGAAGGTCTAATATTCAGAATCTATAAGGAACGTAAACAAATTTACAAGAAGAAAACAAACAACTCCATTCAAAGGTGGGCAAAGGATATGAACAGACACTGACCCCACAGAAATGCAAATAATCATCAGAGAATACTATAAACACCTCTATGCAAATAAAGTAGAAAATCTAGAAGAAATGGATAAATTCTTGGACACATACATCCTCCCAAAGCTAAACAAGGGGTTTATATTATTTTCAATCTGTCTTAATAACTGTGTTTGATGTGTATTTCTTGTATAAAAATTGAGTTGGATTTATTTTTCAGGTATAATCAAAAATCATTTTTTTAATTGGTAAGTTTAGTCAATTCATATTTATTGATATGACATATTTTGTATATTTTTATTTTCATAAAGTCTTTCACAATGTTATCTGTTTTTTTGCTTTATTTTAAATTTATAGTTTTAAAAAACTTTATTTTACCATGTTAAGAACACTTAACATGAGATCTACCCTCAACAAATTTTTAAGTGTACAATAGAATATTGTTGACTATGGGGTCAAAGTTGTATAGCAGATCTCTGGAATTTATTCATCTTGTGTAATTGAGACTTTATGCACATTTACTAGCAACTCCACATTTCTCCCTTCCCCAGGTTCCTGGAAGCCACCATTCTACTCTCTGATTCCATGAGTTTGAATATTTTAGGTACCTCATATAATTGAAATCATGTGTATATGTACTTCTGTGACTGGCTTATTTCACTTAGCATAGTATCCTCAAGATTCATCCATGTTGTTGCATATTTCAGGATTTCCTTCTTTTTTAAGGCTTAATAATATTCCATTGTATGCATATACCATATTTTCTTTATTCATTTATTCATTGATGGACATTTAGGTTGTTTCAATATCTTTGTTATTGTGAATAATGCTGCAATGAACATTGGAGTGCTACTATCTCTTTGAGATCCTGATTTCCATTCTTTTGGATAAATACCCAGAAGTAGAATTTCTGGATCATATAGTCGTTCTATTTTTGATTTTTGTGGAATTGCTATATGTTTTCCATAGTGGCTATGCCATTCTGCATTCTCACCAACAGTCTACAAGGGTTCCAATTTCTTCACATTCTTGGTAACACATTTTTGGTAACACTTGTTGTCTTTTTAAAAATAATACCTTAGGTCCTAACAGATGTGAGGTGGTGTCTTAACCCATTGTGGTTTCTATTTGTATTTTTTTGATGAATAGTGACATTGAACATCTTTTCATATACATGTTGGACATTTCTAGGTCTTCTTTGGAGAAATTTCTACTCAAATCTCTAGCTCACTTTTATAACTGGGGTATTTATTGTTTTGCTATTTGAGTTTTATGAGCTCCTTACATAGTTTGGAAATTAAACTCTTATTTGATATATGCTTTGCAAATATCTTCTCCCCTTCTGTAGGTTGCCTTTTCACTCTTGTTTCCTCTGCTCTACAGAAACTTTTTAGTTTGATGAAGTGCCACTTGTTTATTTTTGTTTTCATTACCTGTTCTTTTTGAGTCATATCCAAAAAAATCTTTACTAAGATCAGTCTCATGAAGCTTTATCCCTAAGTTTTCTTTTTAGAGTTTCAGGTCTTATATTTAAGTATTTAATCCATTTTCAGTTGATTTTTTGTATAGCATAAGATAAGGATCTAATTTCATCCTTTTCACTATAGATATCTAGTTTTCCCAACACTATTTGTTGAAGAGACTATTTTTCCCCCTTATGTATTGTTGGTATCCTGTTAAAGATCAGTTGAATCTTATATTTGTGAATTGATTTCTGGACTCTATTTTGTTTCATTGGTTTATATGTCTGTGTTTATGTCAGTTCCCTAATGTTTTAACTACTGCACCTTTGTAACATATTTTAAAACCAGGAAGTGTGATGCCTCCAGGTTTGTTCTACTTTCTCAAGATTGTCTTGGTTATTTAAGATGTTTTGTGGTTCCATATAAATTTTAGTATTATGTTTTCTATTTATATAAAAAATGCCATTGAAATTTTGATAGAGATTTCATTGATTTTGTATCACTTTGAGTAGCATGGATATTTTAACAATATTAAGTCTTCCAGTACATGAACACAGAATATCTTTCTGTATGTCTGTGTCTACTTTAATTACTTTCATCAGTGTTTTCTAGTTTTGAGTCTACAAGTCTTTCACATTCTTAGCCAAGTTCATACCTGAGTATTTTATTATTTTTGGTGCTATTGTACATGGATATCTTTCTTAATTTCCTTTTCAGATAGTTTATTGTTAATGTCTTGAAACACAACCAATTTTTGCACGTTGATTTTGTATGCTGTAATGTTACTGAATTTGTTTATTAATTTTAACAGTTTATTTGCGAACTATTTAGGATATTCTACATATGAGATTGTGTCATCTGTAAACAGGGACAATTTTACTTCTTCCTTTTTGGTTTATATGCCTCTCATTTCTTTTTCTTGCCTAATTGCTCTGGCTAGGACTTCCAGTACTATGTTGAATTGAAGTGGTGAGAGTGGACATCCTTGCCTTCTTGATCTTAAAGGAAAAGCTTTTAGTTTTTCACCATTGAGTATGAAATTAGCTGTGGAATTTTCAAATATGGCCTTTATTATGTTGAGGTAATATCTTTCTATTCCTAGTTTGTTGAGAGTTTTTATAATGAAAGGGTGTTGAATTCTGTCAAATGCTTTTTCTGCATTTATTCACATGATCATTTGATTTTATACTTTGTTCTGTCAATGCAATGTATCAGATTAATTGATTTTCACATATTGAACCATCCTTATATCCCATAGATGTTCATATAATTATTCATAGTCATCTCCTATGATTTTTATTTTTCTGACATCAGTTGTGATCTGACATTTTCACTTATGATTTAATTCATTTGAGTCTTCTCCATTTTCTCTTAGTTTAGCTAAAAGTTTAGCATTTTTTCTGAACTTTTCAAAAATAACTCTTAAATTTGTTGATTATTTTCTATTGTTTTATATTTTCTATTTCATTTATCTCTGCTGTTATCTTTATTTCCCTCCTTCTGATAACGTTGGGCTTAACTTTTTTCCTTTCTGTAGTTCCTTCAGGTATAACATTAGACTGTTTAATATATTTCTTCTTTTTCAACATAGATGTTTTTTGCTATAAAGTTCTGCTATGGTCTGAATGTTTGGGTCCCTCCAAAATTTACATGCTGAAATCCTAAGCCCCAAAGTGATGGTATTAGGACATAGGACATTGGAGAGGTAATTAGGTAATGAGGGTGGTACCTTTATTAATGGAATTAGTGTCCATATGAAACACAACCTGGAGTGCTCATCCCCTTCCCACCCAACATGGGAGTCTGCAGCAAAAAGACAGCCATGTAGGAAGTGGCCCTTGCCAGACACTGAATATGCCAGTGCCTGGATGCTGGAATTTCCAGCCTTTAGAACTGTGAGAAATTTTTGTTTATAAGCAACACAGTTTTTTGCTATTGTTGTTACAGCAGCCTGAATGGACTAAGACAACTTCCTGGTTAGTAATGACTTTGTTGTACCCAAAAGTTTTGGTATGTTGTATTTTCATTTTCATTTGTCTCAAAGTATTTCCTAATGTTTCTTTTGATTTCTTCATTGACCCATTGATTGTTCAAATGTGTATTGTTTAACTTTCACATATTTTTAAATTTTCCAGTTTTTCTTCTGCTATTGATTTCATTCCCTTGTGATAAATACAGATTCTTGGTACGACTTTAATTTTCTTAAATTTGTTAAGACTTATTTTATGACTTAACATGTGATCTTTTCTGGAGAATATCTGATCCTCTGGACAATGATATATATTCTGCTGGTGTTGGGTGAAATGTTCTATATGTGTCTATGAAGTCCATTTGGTCTACAGTTTTGGTCAAATCTGCTGTTTCTTTGCTGATTTTTTGTCTAACCCTAACCCTAATCCCTATCCATTACTGAAAGTAGGATATTGAAGTCCCCTACTACTGTAATATTATGGTATTGCTATCCATTTCTCCCCTCAGTTCTGTCAATGTTTTCTTAATATATTTAGGTGACCTGATGTTGGATGTATATAAATTTATATTGTTATGTCTTGCTGGTGAATTGACCCCTTTTTTATTATATAATGCCCATCTTCATCTCTTGTGACAGTTTTGACTTAAAGTCTATTTTGTCTGATAGCCATTCCTGCTCTCTTTTGGTTGATCTTTACATAAAATATCTTTCACTATCTCTTCACTTTCAGGTTGTGTGTCCTTAAATCAGAAGTGAGTTTCGTGTAGACAGCATACAGTTAGATTTTATTTGTTAATCTTTTCAACCATTCTATATCTTTGGATTGAGAATTTTAAGTCATTTACACATAAAGTAATTATTATTATTATTTATTTCCATAGGTTATTGGGGAACACGTGGCGTTTGGTTACATAAGTTCTTTAGTGGTGATTTGTGAGATTTTGGTGCACCCATCACCCGAGCAGTATATACTGCACACTATTTGTAGTCTTCTATCCCTCACCCTCTTCTTACCCTTTCCCCGAGTCCCCAAAGTCCATTGTGTCATTCTTATGCCTTTTCATCCTCATAGCTTAGCTCCCACTTATGAGTGAGAACATACGATGTTTGATTTTCCATTGCTGAGTTACTTCACTTAGAATAATAGTCTCCAATCTCATCCAGGTCACTACAAATGCCATCAATTCATTCTTTTTTATGACTGAGTAGTATTCCGACATATACATATATATATATATATATATATGTCATATATATATATGTCATATATATATATGTCATATATATATATGTCATATATATGTCATATATATGTCATATATATATGTATGTATACATACACACCATAGTTTCTTTGTACACTCATTGATTGATAGGCATTTGGGTTGGTTTCACATTTTTGCAACTGTAAATTGTGCTGCTGTAAACGTGTGTCCAAGTATCTTTTTCATATAATGACTTCTTTTCCTCTGGGTAAATACCCAGTAGTGGGATTGCTGGATCAAATGGTAGTTCTAGTTTTAGTTCTTTAAGGAATCTTCACACTGTTTTCCATAGAGGTTGTACTAGTTTACATTCCCACCAGCAGTGCAGAAGTGTTCCCTGTTCACCGAAGCCATGCCAACATCCACTATTTTTAAATTTTTTGATTATGGCCACTCTTGCAGGAGTAAGGTGGTATCACATTGTGGTTTTCATTTGCATTTCCCTGATCATTAGTGATGTTAAGCATTTTTTCACGTTTGTTGGCCATTTGTATATCTTCCTTTGAGAATTGTCTATTCATGTCCTCAGCCCATTTTTTGATGGGATTGTTTATTTTTTCTTGTTGATTTGAGCTCATTGTACATTCTGGATATTAATCCTTTGTCAGATGTATAGATTGTGAAGATTTTTTTCCCACTCTTTGGGTTGTCTGTTTACTCTGTTGACTGTTTCTTTTGCCATGCAAAAGCTGTTTAGTTTACTTAAGTCCCAGCAATTTATCTTTGTTTTTATTGCATTTGCTTTTGGGCTCTTTGTCATAAAATCCTTGCCTAAGCCAATGTCTAGAAGAGTTTTTCCAATGCTAACGTCTATAATTTTTGTAGTTTCAGGTCTTAGATTTAAGTCCTTAATCCATCTTGAGTTGATTTTTATTTCAGGTGACAGATGAGGATCCAGTTTCACGCTCCTACATGTGGCTTGCCAATTATACCAGCAGCATTTGTTGAAGAGGGTGTCCTTTCCCCACTTTGTATTTTTGTTTGCTTTGTCAAAGATCAGTTGGCTGTAAGTATTTGGGTTTATTTCTGGCTTCTCTATTCTGTTCCATTGGTCTGTGTGCCTATTTTTATATCAGTACCATGCTGTTTTGGTGACTATGGCCTTATAGTATAGTTTGAAATCAGGTAATTTGATGCCTCCAGATTTGTTCTCTTTGCTTAGTCTTCCTTTGGCTATGGAGGTTCTTTTATGGTTCTTCTCCAGAACTCTTCTCCAGCTCATTCTATGAGGCCAGCATTATCCTGATACCAAAACATGACAGAGTCACAACAAAAAAAGAAAACTTCAGGCCAATATCTTTGATGAACATAGATGTGAAAATCCTCAACAAAATACTAGCATGTTAAAAAACCTTCAACAAATAAGGCATTGAAAGAATATACCTCAAGCTAATAAGAGCCATCTATGACAAACCCATAGCCAAAATCATATTAGATGAGCAAAAGCTGGAAGCCTTCCCTTTGAGAACCAGAAGAAGACAAGAATCCCCATTCTCACCACTCCTATTCAACATAATACTGGAAGTCCTAGCCAGATCAATCAAGAAAGAGAAAGAAATAAAAGGCATCCAGATACGAAAAAAGAAGTCAAACTATCTCTGTTTGCAGACAATATAATTCTATACCTGGAAAACCCCATGGTCTCTGCCCAAAACTTTCTGATAACTTCAGCAAAGTTTTGGGATACACATCAATGTACAAAAATCAGTAGCATTTCTATACACAAACAGCATCCAAGCTGAGAGCCAAATAAAAAATGCAGTCACACTCACAAAAGCCACAAGAAGATTAAAATACCTCAGAAAACAGCTAACCAGGGGTTGAAAGATCTCTACAATGAGAATTACAAAACATTGCTGAAAGAAATCAGAGATGACACAAATGGAAAAATATTCCATGCTCATGTACTGAAAGAATCAACATCATTAAAATGGCTATACTGCTCAAAGCAATTTACACATTGAATGCTATTCCTATCAAACTGCCAATGGCATTCTTCACAGAATTAGAAAAAATTATTTTAAAATTTGTGTGGAACCAAAAAGGAGCCCAAATAGCCAAAAATAACCAAAGCAATCATAAGGTGGGGGGAAGCTGGAAGGATCACATTTCCCATCTTCAAACAATACTAAAAGGCTACAGTAAACAAAAAAGCATGGTACTGTACAAAAACAGACACACAGACTAATAGAACAGAACAGAGAGCCAGAAATAAAGCTATGCACCTACAACTGACGGATCTTTGACAAAGTCGACCAAAACAAGCAACGGGGAAAGGACTTCCTATTAAATAAATGGTGCTGGGATAACCAGCCAGCCATATATAAAAGATTGAAAGTGGACTGTTTCCTTATACCATTTACAAAAGTCATCTCAAGTTAGATTAAAAAAGTAAATATAAAACCTAAAAATATAAAAAGAAACACTGGAAGATAATCTGGGAAATACCATTCTGGACATAGGCCTTTGCGAAGGTTTTATAATGATATCTCCAAAAGCCACTGCAACCAAAACAAAAATTGACAAATGAGATCTAATTAAACTAAAGATTTTCTGCACAGCTAAAGAAACTATCAACAGAGTAAACAGACAACCCACAGAATGGGAGAAATATTTGCAAACTGTGCATCTGACAAAGGCCTAATATACAGAAACTCTAAGGAACTTAAATTGATAAGCAAAAAGCAAACAACTTTAAAAAAGTGGACAGAGGACATTAACAAACACTTTTCAAAAGAAGACATATGGATGGCCAACAAGCGTATGAAAAAATGCTCAACATCACTATTCATTAGAGAAATGCAAATTAAAGCCACAATGAGAAACCATCTCATACCAGTCAGAATGGATATTATTAAAAAGTCAAACAATTATAGATGCTCGCAAGGTTGTGGAAAAATGATCACTTATACACTACTGGTGGTAATATAAATTAGTTTAACCATTGTAGAAAGCATTTTGGTGATTTTTCAAGGAACTTAAAATAGAACTACCATTTATCCCAGCAATCCTATTAAATCCCATTATTGGGTACATACCCAGAGGAATATAAATAATTCTACCATAACAACATATGCACGTGTATGTTTATCACAGCACTATTCACGATAGCAAAGGTGTAGAATCAACCTAGATGCCCATGAGTGGTGGACCGGATAAAGGAAATGTGGTACATATACACCATGGAATACTATGCAGCCATACAAAAGAACACAATTATGTACATTGCAGCAACATGGATGCAGCTGGAGGTCATTCTCCTAAGCAAACTAACATAGGAGCAGAAACCGAGTATCACATGTTCTCACTTGTAAAAGGGAGCTAAACATTAGGTACACATGGACACACAGAAGGGAACAACAGATACTGGGGGCTCCTTGAGGATGGAGGATCAAAAAAGTACCTATTGGGCACTATGTTTATTACATGGGCAATAAAATAATCTGTTCACCAAACCCCCATAACATGAAATTTACTTATATACAAACCTGCACGTATGCCCCTGAATCTAAAATAAATGTAGAAAGAAAGCAAAATAGTGAAAATAAAAAGAAAAACAAATAAATAAATAAACTTACAAATAAAGGCAGATCTTTAGAATAAATTACCAGCAACAACACAATAATTGGTTATGGGCAAGTAGAGTTGATTCCAGGAATTTTAAGCTTTTTAAAATCAGGTAAGATATCAACATAATCCATTAATTACATTAGTATATTTAAGATAAAAATGAGAAACCAATCGATTATGCTTAGAAGTCATTAATAATAAATCCCCAAGTAAACTGTTAATAGAAGGAAATCATTTAAATATAATGTGGGCTATTAAAGAAAAAATTATTTAAAATAAAAATTAAAGTATTTAAAAATTCTTACAAATGCATTAAGAAAAAATAAAATAGAAGATTTGAACATTAATATTTAATGGACTATATGTATACTTGTACATATATGTGTATATATATGCATATGTGTATTCCCTTGCATTTAACATTTGGAGGGCATACCTTTTATTTTTAAGAACACATGGAACAATCATAAGAATTGAATACATATTAAATCATAAAGAAGCTGGCAAAAATTTTAGAGTGTAGGGATGTGGAGAATAAAAGTCTCCACAGATCATCCCCCCATTCAAGGACACTCATTTAACAACTGTCTACACAGAAAAATCACCTTCATAAAAATCAAAAATCAGGTGAGCACTCATAGTGTCTGGTTTTAACTTCATATCACTGAAAGAGGCACTGAAGAGACAAAACAAAAGAAACAAACAAAGAAACAGTCCTGAATTGCTGGCACCATCCCTCCCCCACCACCCAGTAGAAGCAGCATGACGCAGAGAGCATCTCTGGTCACTGGGGGAGGGAGAGCACAGCAATCGTGAGGCATTGAACTTAGAGCTGCTGTGTTAGAGCAGAAAGGAAAACCGGACCAAACTCAGTTGATGACTGCCCATGGAGTGACCATTTAAACCAGCTGTAGTCACAGGGGATTTGCTGATCCCAGTAACTGAAACTTGAATTCCTGCAAACCTCATCACCACAGGCTACAGTGCTCTGGATCTCTTAGTAAAATTGAAAGGCAGGCTTGGCCACAATGACTGCAACTCTTAGGCAAGTCCTAGTGCTGAACTAGGCCGAGAGACGGTGGACTGTGGTGGGGCACAGGACCTACTGAGACACAAGCTAGGATGACTCTGGGGTTACTGGTATTATCCCTCCCCTAAATCAGGCTGCAAAGCTCATGACTCCAAGAGACCCCTTTTTTTCTGCTTGAGAGGAGAGGGAAGAGTGGGGAGAACATTGTCTTGCATCTTGCAAGGATAAAGCAGGATAAAGTATTGGTTAGAGTTGTGAGGTCCCCATTCCAGGCCCTAGCACCAGATGACATTTGTAGACATACCCTTGGCCAGAATAAAACAAAAAACAAAACTGCTGCCTTGAAGGAAAGGATCCAGTAATGGCAGCATTAATCACCTGCTAAGTCAAGAGCCCTTGGGCCCTGAATAATCAGCAGTGATATCCACACACTTCACTGAAGGTCTTGGGTGAACCTCTTATATATGTTGGCTTCAGGTGAGACTCAGCACATTACCAGCTGTGGTGGCTATGGAGTAAAATGCCTTCTGCTTGACAAAAGAAGAGGGAAAAGTAAAGAGGACTTTGTTTTCTACCTTAGGTACCAGCATGACTACATGGGGCTAAAAGTACCATGTGGGGATCTTGGGGGTCCCCGATTTTAGAACTTGACTCTTGGACAGCATTTTTGGACATATCCTGGGCCAGAGGGGAGCCCACTGCCTTGAAGGATGAGTACCAGGCCAGGCAGCATTCACCAAAAGCTGATTTAAGAGCTCTATGGCCCTTCAGGAAAAATTGGCTGGTAAACTGGTAGTACCAGCCTGGGGTGGCGGTGGCTACAAGGTGAGGCTTTGCTGCCTTTGGAAAGGAAAGGGAAGAGTGGAAAGAACTGTGTCTTGTGGTTTGAGTGCCAGCACAGCCATAGCACAATATAACACCATGTAGACTTCTAAGGATTTTGACTCTAGTCCCTGAATCCTGATGGCACCTCTGGACCCACCTGGGGCCTGGGGGAACTCGCTGCCCTGAAGGGAAGGACAGAGGCTTGGCTGATTTTGCTACTTGCTGATTGTAGACCCCCAGGGCCCTGAGCAAACAAGGGCACTTTCCAGGGAGTGGTTACAAAAGGCCTTGGGTGAGACCAAGTGCTGTGATGGCTTTGGGTCTGACCCCAGTGCAGCCATAGTGGTCATGGCCACAGGTGAGCTTGTGTCACTCCACCCTCAGCTTTAGATGGCTCAAAACAGAGAGAAAGACTCTATTTGTTGGGGGGAAAGTAAGGGAGGAGAACAAGAATCTCTGCCTAGTAATCCAGAGAATTCTCCCGGAACTTGTCCAAGACAATCAAGGCAGTATCTCTATGAGTCTCTAAGAACCACAGCATTACTGGGCTTGGGGTGCCTCCTAAAGCACACACAACTTAGATCACAACACCAAAGCCCTTTAGAATATTTGGAAAGCCTTCCTAAGAAGGATGGGTACAAATGAGGCCAAACAGTGAAGACTAAAATAAATAAGACATACTATTTGATAGTCAATAATAATTTAATTGTACAATTTAAAATAACTAAAAGAGTGTAATTTGATTGCTTGTAATACAAAAAATAAATGCTTGAGGGGATGAATATCCCATCTTCCATCATGTGATTATTTCACATTGCATGCCTGGATCAAAACATTTCATGTGCTCCATAAATATATATACCTACTATGTACTCACAGAAATTAAAAATTTAAAAATTTTTAAAAATTCAGAATTGATATTGGGTAGATTATTTTCTAAGGACAATGCAAGTAATTTGGATTATCAATAAGAAAAAGAATAAGAAAGGACCTTGATATTTTCAGACATTAAAATGCACTTCAAAATCACTCATGGGACAAATAAGAAATTATAACAAAAAATTAAAATACTGGCCAGGCATGGTGGCTCATACCTGTAATCCCAGCACTTTGAAAAGCCAAAGCGGGTGGATCACCTGAGGTCAGGAGTTCAAGACCAGCCTGGCCAACATGGTGAAACCCTTCTCTACTAAAAATACAAAAATTAGCTGAGCGTGGTGGCAGGTGCCTGTAATCCCAGCTACTCGAGAGGCTGAGGCAGGAGAATCACTTGAACCTGGGAGGCAGAGGTTGCAGTGATCCGAGATCACGCCATTGCACTCCAGCCTGCGCGACAAGGGCAAAACTCCGCCTCAAAAAAAAAAAAAATTAAAATACTTAGGCATAAACAACAATAATAATAAAGCAAAACTTTTGAATGAAGCCAAAATGCCTTTTTCCAGTCTCTTAAGCTGTAATATTCAAGGTCTTCATGTTTATTCCTGCCTCTACACCTTTGCTAGTGCTAATTACTGCCACCCCCGAAAAGATCATTTTTTTAGTTCAAATTTTCTGAAGTTCACCTGCAGTTTCACTTTGTTTGTGAAGACTTAGCATCCACTTGTTTGCTAATTATTTCTCATATTAATTTTGGATCCCAAACTGGTTGGTAAGGTTTTTGAGGGGACAGGGATCTTGCTTTATTTATATACTTTGCATTTTCCATAGCACAATGTTAAGCATCACCCATTCCCATCTCTGTGCCTACTATTTGGGTTCAAAAAAGGCTTTTGAATGACTTATGAAATTATTTAATACCTTGCAATGAATTATTCCAGTATTGTTTAGGACATTGTATCATGGAACAATATTGCTACATAGTCTGCTGGCTTTAATATCTTGCTTCATTCCTCTTCAAAACAAGATTTATGATGTAGAAAACTATTTGTGATTTAAATTCAAGGTTTTAATTTGAAAATAACATCTGTATTTTTTTGCTAAGTATACTATTAGCAACTTGAGCTTTTTGTGGGGGTATGAGGTGTAAAATTGTGCTTAACATGAAGTGACAAAAAAAAAACTCGCATCAGAATAAGCAAAATGAAGTCTTTAATCAGTTAACATTTTACACATTTTATAATTTCATTTGGTATCCTAATAATAGGCCAATACACTCAACAGGTGGAAGTGCTTGAGGGCCATTGGGCATTGAATTTTCCTAAAGTAGCGCAATTAAAGAAACACCTGTGTTAAATAACCAAGTGCTAATTTACTATGAAAATATGCGAAGTGTTTAACAGTGCTCCAAAATTGTGATTTGCTTTTGATCGAATTTGTGGATTTACAATGAGTAAATGACAGTTTATTGTCAGGCAAACGATTACACTTTATAAATTAGTTAAAACTATCCATATCCTCATTAAATACATATGGAAACAGAGATGTATGCAGAGTGAGGTCTCTTCAAAGAAGCTCTGTTTGCTCTCTCATAAGGTAAATAAAAAAGAGAGCAAACAAAAGTTTGCCCTCTCTTGTCCATCTCATTAGAGGTTTTGGTTTTAATTTTTAAGACTGGATTTTGTAACTCTACCTAAAAAGTTGCACGAAATGGCTAAAACTTCTTCTAGAGAGATAATAATGTATCTTTTATGTGGATAAAACAAAAAACTAGGAATGCAATCACAGTAGTCAGTAACGTATAATACACACTTAGAGGAAGGACGGAGGAATCAATAGTTTCTAGAAGAGAAAAGACAAAATGGATGAGGAAAGAAAAAATATTTTCATGCTCTTCAAAGGACATTACAAAACTGCAAACAAAAACTGAAATAATGTGGTGGTAGACTCTGACTATTGGAAGTAATGTTGATTCATCATAATATTGAATTGTCTAAAGTAAGAGATAGACAAAAGTAGATTTTAACATCTTTTGGACAAAGACACAGCTGTTTTTATAAGTAAAAATGCCACAATGGATTAAGGGAGGCTGAAAAAATCTGCAAAATAATGTATTTTGGACTCTACCCTAAGACTTTCTCTGTATTTTGGCCTATAATTATTCTCAGAAACACATTTTGCCTTTCTTATATATGAACTCAACCAACGAAATAGAACTCTAATGCACTTTTAAGAGGATAAACACAAACGGTAAACAAATCATTAAATAAGTTACTGAAATATTAGATCCCTCTTGTCCCCCAGCAGTGTTTTTCTCCCTTAGTCTACCTTCAGTTGTAGGGCAAGGAAAACAAAAGACCCACTTTGGTTTTAGCTGAACTGTAAAATATACAGGATTAATTTTCCACCGAGCCAGTGTATATTTTGTCTGTGCTATAAGAGAGGAGAAAACTTGATCAATAAAGTATATATAGGTTTGGAAACACTTTTTGCATGTAAGATATCTCCCAAAATACACAGTGTTTTATACACACACACACGCACACACACACATACACGTGCATGTGCACACATTCTTTGGGTAGATGACTTTTACATCCATTGTTTAGACAAGAAAGGTAGCAAGGTTGGAAAAGCCTGGTAACAATAAAAATGCTAGGAAGATGAAGATTAAGTACCACCAGTTTTGCAAAAGGTAACTTGTACCATTTATATCCTGAGGAAGTGATTTTGTATGAGAGAGTTGGAAGGGAATATTGTGAAGACACAGCAAGTACGGAGTTATGATAGGGTATAATGTTCCAGAAGGGCCTGTGGAGAGTGGGGATGAGGTGAGGAGTCAGGAGGGTAGGAGAGTATATCAGTGATACTGATTCCACGGTGATGTTCTATAACAATCTCAAAACCTCATTAGCATACAACAAGTGTTTATTGCTCACATACCTAAGACAGTTTTCTAGGGGATGTATTGATCTTGGTTGGGTTCTCTCACATGTCTGGGATTTGGCTGGCTTTTCAGTCATCTAAGGTGACTTGGACTGGCATGACTAGGGCAACTTGTGGCATGTGTGTTCTACACATCTCTCATCATTCTGCAGGTTATCCCAGGTATGTTCTTATGGCAATGGAAGAGAAAAAAAAGAGAGAAGACATGCCCAATCATCCAACCATTTTCAAGACTCTTTTCATTTCTTTTGCAAACATCCCAAAGGACGTCATGTGGTGAAACCAAGAGTCAGAGTATAATACCCTGAAAAATAATATGGCAAAAGGGCATAGATAAAAGGAGAGATAAGACTATTTTTGTAACCTACCATAAGGTTCCTGGGGAGAAGAGACAACTCTATCCTCAACTTTGTAGCCCAAAGGTAAAACAAAAACAATCTAACATCTATAGTGATAAAACTTCAACAGGCTTAGAGATTTTGTTCCTTTTTCATTTTTTTTTTCTCATCAAATTGTGCTAGATTATGCTGCAGTAACTGCAAAACCTCAAAATCTTAGCTGCAGGTAGGGTCATGCCCAGAGTAGTAACCTAGGGATCTGCGCTAATGGGAGCTGTGTCTCAAGCCCTGCTTAAACTGCTGCTGAAGATGCAGGAAATACGAAAAAGGCAAAGTGAACACCAGTTATTAAGTTTTTATCTATGAAGTAACACATGTCCTTTCTGCTCATATTTTGTTGGTCAAAGTAAGTCACGTAGCCTCAACAAAACACAAAGGGGTAAGGATGTACAATCAAGTCCTACCATGTAGCAGAAGGAAGAGAAACAGTATTTGTGAACGATCCTAAAGACTGTAGAGTTTTGCACTGGGGAGTAGTTCTTAAAGAGACCATCAGTATATCCCCACCTAAGAAAGAAGCAAACAGCACTTCAGTTGAATTATTTTGTTTATAAGCAACTTTGAGGAATAGTATTTATTTTTATAGTGAGAAATGCCTAACATATTGAGAAATATCTGGAAAAAAATTATCAAGTTCATTATTATAATTGCCTTTTTGAAAGAATAGGTAGGTCAGCCAACCCACAGTGGAAATACTTAAACAATTTTCAGAGGCAAGACTATTAAAAGCAAAGTTCTAATTAGCTAATTTGGCACCAAACAACTTCCTTTTGGCCTACAAAATTTTCAAACATTATTTGATTGAGTTCAGAATACCTGGGATTAAAATTGATATTTCTAGTTCAATGTCCTCATATAACAAACACTATGCTGTGATCTTGTGAAGAACAAAAAATAATATAGGCACACTGAGAAACTGGAGAAAAAAATAATCTGAAAGCCAGATTTCTATATTAGGAAGTCTTTCAAATTATTGGCTGAAGTAGTTATTGTTATTTTAAACAGGCTGCTGTTGCCATCAAATCTAATGCTCTACTTCTTATTCTCCCCATAAAAATAATATTTTGTGAAGTTTTTTTTTCTGAAAAACAAGGCAAAATAAAGTATTACATTTTGAAAGTATCTGCATGATAAACAGAAAAGTGAAACCAAAGGAATATGTGCTCCCCTTCTTACATTATTATAACTGTAGAATCTGTGATTAGCTGGAGACTATCATGGGGTGTACTGTGTGTACATGTTTGTGTTTCTTAAAAGAAGGTGATGCCCTGCAGCTCACAGATAACACAAATAGCATATGATGCAGTAGTTGCTAAGGGCAACCACACGTATTTTCTGTCATTTCTTTATCCCTAAATGGCTGAACTTAATGATGTTCCCAATACCAAAAAATCTGTGGATCTGTCCTTAGAAGTTTGACAGGATACAGTCTATAATGATTATTGGTTGTGTGTGTATTGGGGAGGGGGTGTGAGGCATTTCAAAAGAGTGGACCTAAAATTCACTGCTTTATGCTGAGAAAAAAAGTATGTACACTATATTAAAATCTGACTCAATATCAAATAGACCCAAAACATGAATATTGAATAATCCAAGAAGATTGATTTAGCATGTGATATTGCTACCTTTTATGTTCAAATTTCCATAATGTGGTTGGGCCAATAGTAGAAAATGAATTTTATGCATTCTTTTGAAAAATTCTAAAGATCAAAAAATTATTCTGGTTGATGATAACCAGAGAAATACTCGGCAACAAATATCATCAGCTGAGGGAATAACGTATTTGTATCCACTTTTGTTTGAATTTAATAGAAAGCTATATAATGGAATTCAACAGCAATCTCTTCTAAAATAGAAAAGGAGATTAAGAGAAAAACATATAACTCATATTTGCAAGGAAGAATCTGTTTCATAGGAAACAGCATATATAGTAAAGTTCTAATTAGCTAATTTGGCACATTTGATCACATTAAGACTAAGCACAAATGCTTACTAAATGTGAATATTCAATTCCACCCACCAAGATTTTCAAGTTTTTGTGTTGTCCTTTGTTTTGGAAATGATGTTGCTATTGTTGCTTTCCTCAACTTCTGCCACAGGGGTCCATAATAAAAAGTGAATGGGTTCAAAGAGAAACAATGGCTAAAGGGTCTCCTGTCACTTAGGCAGAATTATTATTGTCTCTGCAGCTATTGCCCTTCAGAGTTCTAACACAGCACCAAATCCTTGGTAATACAAGGGCTTGAATGAAGAATAGAAAATGTGTCCACAGAGTTAGTTTTTACTTGCATTGAATCTATAGTTGACTATTTACATTCAAAAATATATATTTATTTCTACAAAAAAAGTGTTACTAGAAAAATGTGGAGCTTCAATATTCAAACCTAAGTATGTTTCCAGGTCTCAGAATATTGTAATAAAAAGTTAGTGTCTAAGCACATTTTTTCTAGTCAACCATAAAGTTATAAATGACCCTTGTAGGCCTTAGGATATATTGATTCTCGTGTTGCATTAATAATTTGCTAATTGACACACTAGTGTGCATTTAGTTATAAAAGGGTACGTGTGTGCGTCAATGTGTGTGTGTGTGTGTGTGTATGTGCGTGAAATTGCTGAGTTAGATCTGAGCACAGGAGAGCAGCTTTCTTCCCATGTTTGGTCTGCCCTGAACATGAAAATTTCTGGCATTACTGCTAAGGATCATGAAAGCGAGAAAGGGAATGAATCAGCCCTTTATGTAAAATGGTCTTTCAATGTGTGGAAAGTGATGTCAACTCAGGGAATGTTGTTTTATGAGAAACAAAAGAAAAGTAGAAATAAAGGATGAGAATAGAAAGACAAAATTTCTTGATTATTTTAAGCTTCTGTTTTGAAAAATTTATCATTTTCCAAATTCTTAGCCAGTTCTTACCAATCAGTAGCCACTATTAGCCAAAGCGTAACTTCTGAGATAGATAGAATGTAATCCATCAAAAGCAATGAATCCAAAAACACATGAGCACGAGCGTACATGAGTGTGTGTGAGATATGTGTCAGTTTCCAGATAAACACTTATCAGTGCCCTACAATCCATACAGGTGAAAATAGAAGTTTGAATGGTAGAAATTACCATACCCTGGTGGTGCTACCTTGGGAAGCTTGCTGCAGGAGGTAAATAAATCTCCAGTAGAATTTTGAAGCAAGGGAAAAGTTTGATTTGGCAGAGAAGTAGAGGCTGAAGAGGTTATAATGGTAGGAGAATAGCATATTCTGCACACTGCAGAAAGGGGATAGTTATGCTTGGCAATAGCACAGCGGACTAAGCAGAGTGCAGTGGGAGAGGATGGTGAAAGGGTTCAAAAAATACAATGTCTAAAAGGCCTCCTGTCACTTTGGCAAAATTATTATTGCCTCTGCAGCCGTCATGTCTTCTGGTGGCAAAGGAACCCTTGTAGGACAAAAAAGTTTCTAAAATGCACTGACTCTTGGAGGCCATTAGTATATATTGATTCTTGTGTTGCATCAGTAACTTGCTAAGTGACACACCAGTGCGTATTTAGTGAACTGCAGCAATGCTTTGCCAAATGAAATCCTAATGGCCATGACAGAGTTAATGTACCCCTGAACCTTTTGGTATATTCTTCAGAAGAACCTTGCCCACAGAGAAAATTTGCAAAACACGGCTCTCTAATAGGATTGATTTTTTTTTGTAGTTCAGCCTATTCAGAACATTTAGGGGAGGAGGCTAATGTCTGTCCAACTAGGCTTATAAGAGAGGACAGTCTTTTTTTTTTTTTTGAGGCTGAGTCTCGCTCTGTCACCCAGGCTGGAGTACAGTGGCATGATCTCTGCTCACTGCAACCTCCGCCTCCTGGGTTCAAGTGATTCTCCTGCCTCAGCCTCCCAAGTAGCTGGGATTACAGGCGCCTGCCACCATGCCTAGCTAATTTTTGTATTTTTAGTAAAGACGGGGTTTCACCATGTTGGTCAGGCTGGTCTTGAACTCCTGACCTCAGGTGATCCACCTGCCTCGGCCTCCCAAAGTGCTGGGATTACAGGTGTGAGCCACAGCAGCTGGCCTTTTTTAAAAAATTTGGCTTACAATGTTTGTTTGCTTGTTTGTTTGACCAAACATTCTATGCCCCTTTTCTATCTGTTTGCTTGCTTATACCCTAGCTTATTCCAAAAAGGGTTTAAGGTAGTTTTGCTTAATTTGCTATTTAATGTGTCTGATTTATATTAGCATTGCTACCTCTGTAGAACTAAGATCCCACCAGACTCTTCTAGGATCACTAGAGTTTGATTGTATGTGAAGCATTCCATCTCCTCCTCAGTCCTCCTTTTCTGGGGCCTATTCTCACTTCATTTAGAAAGGAAACAGGCACCTCATTGTTGTAGTACCTCAGCCTGATTATACCATATATGAAATAATCACAGTGCTAATCAGGCTGGTTCTGCTGGTCTCACTCCTTGACTGCAAATCTCAGCAGCACACAGCAGGGCCTGACAACTTCCATACTGACAACTCCTCCCAGAAAAAAATGCTTACCAATTAACCTTCAGTCACAGTGGATCGAAGACTGACATTCATTATTTTAATGAAAATAGTAAGAAAGAACACTATTGAAACACCCGAAGACTAACTCATTATTCTGTTGGATGTTCGGCTTAGCAAAGTACAAAAAGCAAGCTCAGGGTCAGAAAGACAGGACGCTGGGTGTAAAGGAGAAATAAAGAACAGGTGCCCCCTGCTTCTCATGAACCATCTCCTAAAGCTTTTGTAACCATTTTCCAGAGGAGAAGAGAATAGAAGTTGCTTGTACCTCAGGAGGGAACTATTTCAAGATGACTGAAGTATAACTGCACATAAAATGTTACCATGGCTTTCTTCTTAACTTTTCTGTTCCCGTGGCCAGTGATATGTTTCTTCTAGAGGCTTTGCTTTGTTGTTATTCTGCATCTACACTTTAAACTCAAACTTTTTGGAGCAAAAGTTACTTTATCTATTGATGTATTTGACAGAGTTAATAAATAATCTTCCTTTTTTTCAGGAGTATTGTTGAAATAACATAAAATGTCCTCTTCGTTCATGCTTAAGAAATCAAAAATATGTATTGAACCATTCACCTTACACTTATTGAGTGTCTACTATATGCCAGAAACCTCACTACATACAATGGATCTAATCATGTATAAGATAGAGGTCTCTGCTTTTGGGAAACTCACTGTTTAAAATCTTGGGGTGGGACGGGGGATGTGTTTGGTAACATGGCCTTTCCTTGCAGGCACTTTATTTGAAATACTTCATACAGGCAAGCCCAGGCCTGAGGAAGGCCTGTGATACTGTTCAGACTTTTCAGCTCTACTTCAAAGCCCACTTACGCAGGGATGCCAGTCGGATCCACTGCTTTTTTGAATCATGGAAATTAGCTTACAATTGAAATCTAAATCATTAAAAAAGAAAGTAGAAAAAGACTATGAGATTGGGGCAGGAGGGCATTCAAAAGCTCATGGTAAATCCAAACAATAGACCCCTGCTAGAGTTTAAATGTCTTATTTTGTTCTCTTAATTTTTCCTGCATCATTTCAGGATATTTTTTCTTTTCAATTAAACATAAGCATACAGACTAATTCGCAAGAGCCTAAAAGAAATGTGCTCTGGAACCATCTGGCTCAGTCTAACCTTTTCAAACATTGAGCATTATCTCTTTTGTGTACACAGAACTAGAGGAACTTTCTTCGGGTACAGCCCCAGAGTCTTCCCTGGAGGCCAGCCCAGACTCAATTTTTGTTGAATAGCTGAGCTGTGATCAGTGGTCTATATATGTGATTTGTGTCTATACTTCCTTACACATTTCTAGAGACACAAGTCATCCTGGAAGCAGTATATCATCTCTTTGTTTCGGTATTGTAGACAGTGCCAGTCTGGCTATTAGGTGTTATAAAGAGGAGTAACCATGTTCATTTCCAAGGTAGGGGAGCGCAGAGGGATTTCCCTGCCTTTCTTTCCTTGCTTCTGTAAGCCTTGATCAGATTTGCTTTTATATAAATCTGTTCTCCAATCCACTTGAACAGAAAATCAAGCAGGATACACTTTCAGACCTATCACATCTCCTACCTAGGATTTCTAGCATATATGTAATATACATATATTAGAAATATTTAGAATTTGGAGATCACTCAGTCTCTCTTAAACCAAATGGCATTTGATCTCAAAGCCAACATTTTCAACAGAAGGGATTTGAAGTGATTCATTTATGCATAACATACAAGGTCAGAACATGAATTTATACTCAGGTTAGGGTTTGTCTCAGTAATTACAGATTACTGTAATTACTCCCAACAGGACTTAAAATAAAAAACAGTTGCAGTGTAGTGGTTAAGAGAACAAATATTAAAGATGGGCTGTTGGCTTCAAATCATTATCCCTACACATGCTAGCTGTGGCTTTGAGTAAGTTGCCTAAACTCTCTTTGCTTCAGTTTGTATATTTGTAAATTAGAGTCATTATTTGTCTTCTACCATTACAACACAGCTCACAGGGAATCTTGTCTTATTTGCTGTTTCTCAAATGCACTGTGCCTGTTAACAGGGCAGATGCTTAAGATTTCTTGAATGAAGAGAGCCTAACTACCGAACTTGGGTTACATGAGGATTAAATAAATGTACATACAGAAAGTGGTAGTGCCTGTTATGCTGTAAACCACCAAAACATGGCAAGTGACTATTATTATCATTATTATACCCTCAAACTTGAATAGGAATGAGCAGGCTTCCCCACCTGCTAAATTTGGAAGCTCCATCATAAGCTTTCTCAAACAAACATGTGTTCTGATTGAAATATGTTACTTATTGAGGATACATTATGTGTCAGACATGGTGCTAGATGCTTTGTGGTATTTCATATAATCCTTTTAGTAACAGTTGGAGAGACCTGTTATCTTTATCTTACAGAAGACAATATAGAAGTGGTCTGCATTTGCAGCAAACGTTGTGGGGAATGCAGAAATTTGTGAGATGCATATTGTTTGCCCTTAAAAACATGAGATAGTTACAATAATTACCTTTTGGGGCTGTTGTAAGGTTTGAATGAGAAAGTAAACTCCATCTACTATGTACCATACCAGGGACATAGTAAATGCTCAATAAATCTTAACAATAAGGATGAGGATGATGTCAATGATGACTGATTGTGAAGATCATGATGTTGGCATGATGTAAGGGAGGAATAACAATGAAAAGATGGGATGAGAACAGAGCATCTTTCTTGAGAGCCTAGGGACTCTGGCCTGAAGCAAGGAATCAACTGACTTGCCATTTGATTTCCCTTTCCTGTGGGGCAGTTATAGTATTTCTATTAGGAGAGATATCCAAAATCCATGTAATCAATGCTAGATATAACAGGAAGAGGAAATGCTTATGCTCTTGACCTGCATAATGACTATGGGACACGTTTTACCCTCTTTCAATTGAAGGTCAAAATTGAACTTTTAAAAAATTCTTAATTTTTTTTTCCAATCTATTAGTTTACATATTATGACTAATTTTTTTTCTTGCTCAGTTTTAACAAGGTGGGGATTTGGGAATAGAGTTAATTACAAAGAAATACACATTTATCACCATATTGTAACACTCTAGGTAGCGCTTAAATTTTTTTAAATTAATATATGACACTTTGTCTTTCCAGACAAAAGAGAAGGTTCAAGGTTTAGAGGAAAGGGAATCGAGCTTGAAGTTGCAAGAGTTCCTTAAATAGAAAATGACCCAATGAAATTGGGTAAGTTAGTCAGCATTTAGAGCTTTAATTTCCTAACTTTTCAAAATGTAGTTTATAATCAAAATACTGCATATTTGTGTGCAGTGTAGCCATACTTGTGCTCTTCTTTTGTTCTTTACGATGACCCTGAAAGGAGTTGGGCAGGCATTATTATACTAGCTTAACAATGAGGAAACTGAGTTTCAGAAAGGTTAAATAAATGTCCAAGGTCACATACACAGCTAGTAAAGGTTACATCCAGAGCTCAAAACCTTGTTTTCTATTTCACATACAATGTTTTCTTTACATTACACACACAAGTGCTCCAGGAAGAAACGTGATGAGTGGAAAAGGCTGTCTCACCAAGAAGCTGTGTAATATTGCACAAGTTACATTCCTTCTCTGTGCCTTCTTTTCTTTACTCATAAAGTGAGAGACATAATTAATTTTTGCAAAGTCTCCACAGAGCATGCTTTATCATCATTTTCATAAATAAGGGAACCTAAGCAGATAAAAGTAACCTGCTTTGCTTAACATCACATAGAAAGCAATAGAGAGAGGCTGCTTCCATCTCCAGAATGATGTAACTTTTGCCTAGCAAGGGGTAATTATCTACATAGTTCAAAAGAGGAAAGAAAGAAATGAATATATTTTTACATGCTAGGATGCATAGTGAAGTCTACTTCCATGGTATAATAACAGGTAAAGAGGAGAAATTTCCTACTGCCCCAAAATTCACAAAAATCTCTATCTTTGGAAGTCTACTAAGTGATGACAAGGGTGACAGATTACTCCAATTATGCTACCAAGCATTGGTTCTTGCCAACATTTTCCTAAGAGCCATATTCAAGTATCTGAAAAGGGGGAACTTGTAGATAATTTTGTTGATTTTCGTGGACTGTGTACTTTATTCCTACACTTAGGATTAGCGATGATGTTGCTAATAATGGAGATGATTGCTAATGAATAATCCATGCATGCTGTTGAATTGGCAACCACAAGGCAAACTTTTTAAATTTTATCTTTAATTAGCTTTTCCTCTGAACACATACTGTGCATTCTCTATGCCTAGAAAACCACTCCCCTGATGACATTTGCACCCAATCTTTCCCTAGTTAATTCCCTTCATCCTTCCTGTCTCAGTTCAATAATGACTCTCCTCCAGAAAACCTTTCCTAAGGTTTATGCTAGTTCTCCTCTTAAGTAGAAATCCGTTGTTTTTACCAACACAACAATGATTCTGCTTCAGAGAAATATGGCTTGGTTTTCTTTGAAAGAACTTTTCCCCCACGCATGTAGTGTTGAGAGGGCTATCAATCAAGGCCACTCTTCTTTCCTAACCAAGTAATGGAAATTTGACCTGCACTAGGCCACTCTGACTCTCCCTCACAGGAATTTGTACCTTGTGCAGCATTGCAAAGATGGAAAATCGAGCCAATTCATCTGACAACCCTGTCCATTAATCCGTGCTCCCTGGATGCCTGAAGCTGCTCTACTACTTGTTTCTCAGACTCCTGGTTTATCAGCTATTCCTTCTTTACAGCCTTACATACTTTGAATTTTTACTTATGTTAATCCAAATAACCTAATCATACATCCCTGTTACACTTATTTCATTTTGTAAGTGTATATTTTGGCTGATTATTTGGTTAATGTTGGTCACCATCACTGGGCTGTGAGCTCCTGGAGAGCAAAATTATATCCTCAATTCTTAGAATAGTATTTAGCACTTTCCAGTAACTTAATACAATTTTATTTTATTTAGTGGATGAACGAATGGAATTTCAGGTTCTGATTGCTCTCTACTCTTTCTTAGGATGGGGATTCTCCGCCAGCACATGCCATCAATACTTCCTTTTCTAAAGTCTCATATTTTGGGCCTTTTTTTTTTTTTTCAATCTCTTGCTTTCCCTCCTCTTCTTGCCATCTCCCTGTCCCCTCCCCTTCTCTTTCTTCCCAGTCTCCAATTATGCTGATGTCTTCAGGACTGGGTTTCTCCCTTGTCATAAAACTCTACTTTGACCATCTTTTACTTTCAGGAAAAATTTCCAAGGTCTTTCATGATCTTAAGCCTGATTGCTTCTGTTGTCACATATCCTGCCTTAGCCACACTTGTCTTTTCGATCTGGGCAGGCAGAACTCTTACAGTTCTTGGATGCACCAAACTCCCTTATATCCTTGCCCTTTTGAAATAACAACTGTCAGCTCTTCCTGCAGTGACTTTTATCTTCCTCTGTTCCTCAGTTCTCAGCCCTAAAGTTTCTTCCTCCATGAAGCTTCCCCCCACCACAACGTCCACCTTTGCCTAATCTTGGACTAGTTTGGATAACCTGCCTTTGTGTTCCTAAAGCTCCTTCTCTACCACTTTATTCTTACATTTGTTATTTATTTTATTTTTAAATTTTTCTGTTGTTTTACCCTCTCCTTTTAAACTGAGCCTCTTAAGGGCAGAGACCTAAAATTTTTCCCTGTATCTCCTCAGAGCCCAGCATGATACCTGGAATACAGCAAGTGTTCTGCAAATGTTAAAAAAAAAAATTAATAAATAAAAGATTGACTCATCCTCCTAGCTGAACTCTTTTCACCGCAGTTTTAGTGTCACACTTGTAATCCTCTTATAGTTTTTATTGATTTCAACTTTTCGTTATAGATATCTGTATACATGTCTTATTTCTATGGTTTTTATACCTTAAAAGTAGAGCCTACTTCTTTATCTATAAATGTATTCTGCAGCATCTGGCATACTTCCTGGCCTATAATGGGTGCACAACAATTACCTGTTGAAAAAAAATGAATAATGAATCAAGCCATACTAGTGATATGGTATATTAAAATGTATAGATGAAATAGTCACATTTCATAAATAGTTTTTAAGATGACAGTGACTTATTTCTAAAGGAATGAATCCCAAACATGGAGTTTCAGATCGGTTAAGACAGAAATGAGAGGATGGAAAGCCTTTCATGATACTTCTCAAATTTTATTACATTAGCAACTATAATTTCACCCTAAATAAGTCCAGCCAGCCTTAAAATTAGATAGTTAACTGAAATATTAGGCTATTTAGTAGTATGCAGACTACAGGATCTACAGTATGACATCAGATACTTCTTAGAATAATACAATACTACTGATTCAATATATATATTTCAATGACACTCTGGATGAAAACAAAAAGTCTTTTTTTTATCAGAACACATAGGTGTAAATCCCTAGTTTTCTTTAAATGACAGAGGGATGAGGAAGACAAGTACAAGACTGCACAGGCACATTTATGCTACTCTACCATGAATAGCTAAATCTTTGTGGTGGCCTCATGTTTGGTTTGTTAGAAGATGAGGTTTGTTAGTATAATGTCAGATCAGAGAGAGAGAGAGAGGTTTAGTAATGCACAATGCATTTCTTTGTAGAGTTTTTGATGGTGAGATTCTTTCCTAATTCAACTTGAATAAGCAAAACTTTCTAGAAGGTATAAGATTAAAATGAGAGATAAAGAAAGAGAAGGTGGTAACTTGGACTTGGACCTTGTTTTTAAACAGTATTAAAATAATACAATCACAGGCATGCTAGCAAAGCAAGACCAAGTTTAATGGGAATTGAGTTTAAATACCTAGTTGCAATTCCCCTTTATACCAAAAGGCCAGCAGTTCACATCCCAAATTCAGATAATCACTTTTTGCACAATGTTACTAGTGGCTGTGATTTGATATGGGATGAAACAGAAATAGATCTTGAATAAACTTTTTAGGTTCAGGATGGTGCACATACCATCATCAATGATTCCAGATGTTTCAATATATCTGTTTTGCTTGAATACACTCCCCAAAGTGTGAATCTTCTGAATTTACTCCTCAAATGCTTGTCAATCTTGTTAATCTCACACACCTCACCTAGAAAGTGGCTTATCAAAACTAACCCCAGAGATTCTCCATCAGTTCTTCTTTCTCTTCTTTCTCTGTCTCCCTGTCTGTGTCTATGCTCTTTTTCTCTCTCCCTCATTTTTAATACTTTGGGAGGAACATAAACTTTATGCTAATAGAAAGAGCCTGTACTGAGAATCAGGGGAATTGGAATCTACCTCCAAAACTGCAGATATGTAATGTATATGAATTTTTCAAAGAATCATAGATATCCTGCAGGAAAGATATTTAGTCCAACATCTCTCACATTTATTTGATAACGTAGCCTTTTTCCCTCAAAACCACTATTGGACATCATGAAAAACAACTGCAGAGACATTGATTATAATATTCTAAAAATCACTGCATGTAAAAAGTGTTTGAAAATGTTTGTGATATTTAATCTTGGAAAAGAAGAGACTTGGGAAGTTGTATGTGTGTGTGTGTGTGTGTCTATGTATTAATACATAATACATATATATGTACAGTATATTTTTTTAATTAAGAGATTTCAATTTACTGTGTGCCATTGTACAACATACCGAAAACAGCCAAGAAGATGTTGTAGGATATCTGTTTTGGTCAATTTGTCACAGAGGTTAGATTATATCTAAAATATCTTCCAACTCTAAAACTGGATGATTTTGTAAATAATTAGCATATGGTTTTTTCTTTGAATTTTCATATTTCATTTTAATCTCAGATGTGTTCCTACATGGAGACAAAGAAGAGACTTCCATCATGATCTAATTCAAGGGGTAGAATTACTGCCTTAACCCCGACCCCTATCATTAAAAATACTTTTCCTTCCATCTTGCCACTTAGCCTCAAATAGTAGTAGGTCTCACAGTGATATATGAGGATGGAGTTTTGGAGATAGAAAGACCCAATTCTGAATCTTGGCTTTGGTTCTTCCTATCTTTGCTATTTCAGACAACTTACTTAGGCTCTTTGAAACTCAATTTACTCATCTATAAACTGTGGATTATAAGGATTAGAGTTAATACATCTAAAGCAGCCACTATATTGTTAACCTTCAGTAGGTGCAAAATGGAAGATGGTTATTGCTATTTCTTTCTGTTAAGTTACTGTTTTCTTCATAAGTTATCTGTTAAAATTCAAATAGTCTTGAGAGCAACACGTTTGATCATTATCAACCATTATTACTGCAGTCCAAGTAAATGAGTCAGATATTTGAGCACAGGAGAGATATGTTTTGCTCAGTGGAATGGTGGAGGTAGGACAGAGAAGCCTGAGAAGCAAGGGAAGTTACTGAAAGATCAGGTAGGGACCACTGAAAATAAATATTTCTTGGGGCCATCTCTGATCAACCTCTTTGAATTCTGGAGAGCTAAGAAAAATAGAGGCTAAAAAATAATTCACAACTGGGAAAACACAGATACTTACCTCTGATCCCTTGTTTAGCCCTGCTCCTGGGACTAAACAATGGACCAGAAAGAGAAATAGCAATGGAAAACAACCATCATTTCAGTAACACAGTAAAATTTTTTTTCAAAAAAGATATTAATCCCTATATTATAATTTATGCTTAAATACCTAAAATGAATTATATACTATTCTCTAGTCAAAATGAATTTAATAGCTTTCTAGTTAACTGGTAATTCCACCCTCTCCCCCAGGGGCAGAAAACATGTCACTATGTTTAACCTTTTTAATGTTTTTAACCCTCTCGCTATCTTTAAAGAGAGATAAGCTTTCATTTTACATTTTTAAATGCTATGTATCTGGTTTACACACCATAATACAACTCTCTATGCACCAAAACTGCTTTGACAAATGGAAATTTGAATGGTAAGGGCCTTTTAGCAAAAATCCACATTTTAGAAATAATTCCCTACAAGCATTGTACATTTTCTAAATAAGATATGTGCCACCACAGGCAAGGTTAGATTGCCCTTATCTTATGGAGCTCAGCAGAGTTTCCATTTTTTGAATAGCATCAGATAAGCAGTCTGTAAAGGCTCTACAACACTTCATTCAGTGGCAGTATTTCCACAAATGTGTAGCTACATGCAGGGCACGACAGGTTGGAAAAATTGAAATTGCATTAAAAAAATCTGCCACAGAATTTCTATATTCGTTGTAACTGATATCACCACCTGGAGGGTTCAAATAGGTAATAAACCTATTTGAGCAAAGGCATAGCAAATACTTCTGTAAGGAGAAAAGAGCTCTGTGAGGGAGCCCACAAGGCTTCAGGCAATTCTCATGTAGCAAAATCCCACTTAAAACAAACCTCCCCTTTCTCTTGGGATCTCCTATAATCCTGGAATTAGATGGATCAGTACTGGCTGTGGTTGCTCTTTGCTCAGAGAATTTGCTCAGGTTGTATGGGGCTCATTCTGTTTTCCCTCAAATTTCAAAATTGAGTGTTGAGAACATTTTACTTATTAATGAATTTCTCAAGGTGGTCTTTGATCCATGATTCTACTTTGTATTCTCCAGGGGCAAATTTTAACCTCGAAAGCCTTAATTTCATCAGTTTGGAATGAACAATGTAAATTTTGCCTCTAGTGTCTCTCATCTATCAGACTGTGAGCTTTTCTGGGACATGGATATGGCCTATTTTTCCTTCATATCCCTCCTCTCTAGCATAGTGCCCAATATCATAAAGGTTGAATAAATATTTGTAGAATGAATGAATGAAGGAAGGAATGAATGAATGGCATAAAGTACTAAGGAATATGGCTAGCATGTAAGAGCTCACCTGCCTGTTTACTGCTGTATGGAATTAGCTTATGCAGGGTAATCTACACAAATGATCACTTATAAACTTTTGGGAAAAACTTACATGTTGATTTTAGTCTATACAAACAAAGATATCCCTTTAGTTTTTCCAAATGTCTCCTCTCTTTCAAAATTCTTTTGTGAAAACGATGGGGCAAATGAAAACACTCTTGTCTTCCTGTGATTAAAATTTTAAAGAAAAAGCATGGTATTTTCCCAAAAGGATTCTTGACTTTGAAATCTCCTTGCTCCACTTACTGCTAAAACTTTGGTTTATTGACCTGTTACAAGGTCTATCAATGTTAATTTTACTTACACTGGGTAAACAGGAAGTATTTTCATTTGTTAAATGGTTGTCTAATGTGTCTGTATCATATAAAGAAGTACAAACTATTTTAATGGGAATTTCTCAAATACATGAGCTATAAATATAGTACATTAAGCAGATATAAATACAATGCATTTTTCATAAATTCAAAAGATTTGAGAGTCAGGAAGATTTAAATTATAAATGCAATTTTTTGTCTTCCATCTTAAAACCTCCAAGAAACCTACAACATTTAACTCTTATCCTATTCCTTTAAGATGGAGGAGGAGGAAGATATTAAAAAGAGTCTCTGTTCTGCCTTCTAAGATCATTACTTTATTTTCCAGAAGTGTATCCTATTCCGGTAAGACAGATATGTCCCATTGATCTTAGAAATATGTTGTTCCATGGCTGCAATTTCTTTCTCTGAAATCATCCTCTGGCATTTTAAATTTATTACCAATTGGCTGGTGCAGTGTGGTTTTCAGTTGCTGAAAATTTAGAGTCCATTACAAAAGTGAGGTTTGGAGTAATTTCCTGTTGTATGTTTGGTGCCAAAGTTGCCACAAACTGATTTTTTTATCACTCTTTTGGCTGCTGATCCCAATGGGAAAATCAGTACTTTTATTTGCACAGATCTGATACAAAGAATGCTATCTATAGACATCCTTTGTCAAAGTTGTAATCATCTGTTTCGTAAGAGAGAAATTTGAGACAGAAACATTAAAATGCACCTGAAAAAATCAACAGTGGAAATCTGAGTTCATTCTGTTTGATGGCTTCCTCTGCTCCTAGACCTTAAGGCAAGGTCACTGTTGCTGTTGTCATGGGAATCTGGGTCATGGGGAACAAAACTCAAACCCATTTTTTAACAGGATAAGAAAAAGAATTTTCCCCTGAAGCAAATTATTCATTTTTCTTAAACACTCACAACCATAGGACTAGTTAGTGGTCTAGTCCCAAAGGGGAAATGATTTTTAACAGATGAAAGCTCAGAAGACATCTCCTTCACCAAGAAAAAGCAAAGCAACTCATGATCTATTAAGTAAAAGGTTAATTTTTATTAGTGACAAAGTTACTTATGAAAGCTACAATAAACCTGTACAACAACAGTGTCTTCCTCTTGGTTTTTCAACTAGCATTTTAATTATAACAGGGTAATGGCACCAGGTGTTTCAGAGATTGGTGGAATCAGATTGAGTCTGACTGTCCACTAAAAACCATGCTCTCTGAAAGTAAAAGGAACAATCCTTTACCTCACCATGCTCTTCTAGGGATGGACCTATGCCCAAATTGCTTTTCAAAGTGTTTGGGCATGTAATGAACTCCAGTACCATTTGGTAAGTTTGATGATGTCCTCAGTTTGCACATACGGTTTTAACACCCCTTTTCTCTTTTCAACGAAAGTACTGTAACAGTTTTCCGTGCACTAAATTGGATACTAAAATAAATCAGGTCTTATATCTATGAAAATATGTGTACATGCTTACATTTCTTATATTCTGTATTTCATTATACAAAAACATCTGAAAAAATCAATTTCTTCTTCACCTGCCCATCAAGAGTCAGATTAAGGATTTATAAGAATTGATGACAGCGCTTGCAAAGCATGCAGCACTCCCTGACTGCTCCTTTCCCTTCAGTTCTTTCAGAGCAGAGCTAGAATACTGATTGAGAATTTCTTCTGTTCTGTGAAGGAAATTTACTTTTAAATGTTCTCCTTTAAAATGTGAATGTGATTATCATTATACAAATGTATGTGGCATTACTGGCATATTTAAGTTTCAGCACATAATGCACACTCCTGATTTAGAAACTTAAATAGTTTATTTTTTAAGAGCTTTCCATTTCACCTTTAAGCTTGTGTTACATAAGCTTAATGGACTCACTCAGCTCCGTGATGGGGAGAATCCACCAGGTGAATGGCAGTAAGCTCATGAGCTTTGAAGGGCTTATTTTGCCAGATTGCAACTCCAACTTACTGTTTGGAGTAGCACTAGTCTGCATGCACTGATTACAACACCGCAAAGCTCTGATAATATTTATTTCAGAATGAAAATGTCTTTTGCCTCCATCCTCCTCCTTTCTTTTTGCATAAATACAGTAAGTTAAGCTTTAACTAAGGTGATGCTTGAATTAAACTGACAAATCCAACTGCCTGAAATTTAGGATTGCATTTATGGATTTCATCTACAGTATATCAGCATCAAAATGTCAGAGACAGTGAGTCACAGCCAGGAGAAGTTTTTATGAGTTTTGGAACTTTCAGTTCATGTCATTGTTGTGTTATCTGGCACTGGTCAGAGCAGCAGGACTGATGAGGATGGTGAGACTTAAATTTAGTACTTAAATATTCCTTCAAAGTAGAGATTTACTCTGGCATATGGGAGGAATAAAGCATATCTTTAAGAGGAGTGTGTGTATGTGTGTGTGTGTGTGCTTTTCAAAGAAAAAGTAAAACGCTAGTGAGACAGATTGAACCAGAATCCATTTTAGCAAAATGATACAATAGTCCTTGCTTTGAGGACTCAAATGACAAAGCCTTCAGTTAATATTAGGAGAAATATTAATGAGATATCTTCTGAGAAGATATTCTTGAGAATACAAGTTCTGCTAATTAATTATGCATCATTTTTCAAAATAGTATTTAAATTTTTTTTCATGATGAAGGATCACACTTGGTTTATGAAATAAATAGCAAACAACTATTTAGAAAGCAACTCTAGATTTGAGACTCTGCCATCTTCTGCTAGAGTCAGATTCATGGCAGCCTTTCAATGAAGGCCTCTGTAAAGTCATCCTGTGGAGGAGGCTGAGCTCTCTACTGCAGCCTTACTTGAGTGAGAATACCACTGTGGGTACAACCTAACAGTACAAAATAACTACTGTCAATATCACGTTAGAGTCCTGGGGAAATATTTCACCTCTTCTTCTTAGAACCATGAAAACTATACTGGAAATTAAATGGACAAACCTCAGATGAGTAATTCTGAGAGATGGGGGTGGTCTTGGCATTTCCTTCCCAGAATGGTGCTGAAGAGTAATCAGCATTCCATTGAAACATTCTGTTCCATTCCTTGGCCCCACAGCTTCCCAATCTTACTTCCTTTTTCTTTTCCTCTCCTCTTCTTCTCCCCAGCCAAAAAAAGAAACTGGAAATGTTTGGGTAGGGAAACACTAAATTGTAGATAATGGTGATAGGGGAAATTATTCATTTTCATTTTCCCAACTTAAATGTTCTTGACTCACCATTAAGGCCATAAAACAAAACCAAGTAGAACAAAGCAAACCCCCACTGCCAAGACGATAATCTCATTTAATTAAGCTCCTATTTCAAAAAGAAAAGTTTACTGTAGAAATCTCTAAAAGGGGAAGAAAATCTTGCAAAGACAAGAAAACATGAATCTGAACATATCATGGGGTGGCTGGGAGGAGAGGGGAGTGGATGGATACAGAAAAGAGAAACTTCAATAAGAGGAGGAAAAAAGAGAGAACCAGGAAAAGAGACAGAGGAAATGTAAGGAAGACCACAGATGTCAAAGGATATTTATTTCTGTTACTTGAAGAGGGATAAATTATACTCTTGCATCAAAACCCTCAGTGCTTAGTATTATCACATTCACTAAACATAGAAAATAAATTATGCACATAAGTTTTCAAAATAAAAAAATGAAGAGAGACCAAAGTTGACAATTTGTTAGCAATTAAGTAGCAATATATAACCTTGTGGGCAGAGAATACCACTAGGCCTAACCTTTTAAAATGTAGCATTTTGTCTATTTTTGGAAAAATATAACACATTCACTTTGTGTGTTTTATTAGTAAGAGTTCTCCAGAGAGACAGACCCAATAGGAGATAGATGAATAGATAGGTAGACAGATAGATATATGAGAAGATATTTATTAGGGAAATTGGTTCACATTATTATGGAAGTTGAGAAGTGCCACAAGAGGCCATCTGCAAGCTAGAGACCCTGGGATGCTGGTAGGATGGCTCAGTCCAAGTCTGAAAGCCTTAGAACCAGAGAAAGAGGTGTCTTAGTCTGAGGCTGAAGGCCCTTTAAGAATCCAGGAAAGGTACTGGTTAAGTCCAGGAGGCTAAAGGCTGGAAAGTATGGAGTTCTGATGTCCCAAGGCAGAAGACAAAGAGCGTCCCAGCTCCAGAAGAGAAAGAAGAACTCACCTTTTCTATGCCTTTTTGTTCTGTTGAGGCCTCCATGCAATTTGATGGTGCCCACTCATGCAGAGGGTCAGTTAATTGGCCTATTCATAGGCCAGTCTCCTCTGCAAACACTCTCACAGACACATTCAGAAGTAATGCTTTATCAGTTTTCTAGGTATTCCTTAGTCCAGTCATTTACCATTCATGTGTTTAAACAATATGTATGTATTTGGTACAGTGAAACACAAGTGTCTCTGTGCATTAGAAGAAAATGAAAGCTTGAAACTATTATTCAAATGTGAAAACAGTCCTCTAGATATTTTCTTTAAAGTACATGGTACAAAGCAGCGTACAGCCCATCGTGGACTCTAGAATATGTAGCGCTTGCTCAAATTTGCAAAAGGAATGAATAGGCTATGTAAAAGTACAGGAGATTTTCACATTTCTTTCATTCTAAGTAAATAATCCAAAGCAATTACAAGACACTTTTTAAAAAACTTATATTTTCGGTTTGGGGATCCATGTGAAGGTTTGTTACATAGGTGAACTCATACAACGGATTTTTTAATATACAAATAAGTAACTAGATAACGTTACATTCATAGACATAACTTTAGATCACAAGGCACATTGTTTTATGTGATTATCACAGTCAATCTGTGAGGTTTGCAGTACAAGTTATATTTTCTCTCTTCTAAAGATGAAGAAACTGAAGCTCAGAGAGTTGAAGTGACTTGCTCAGGATTAAAGTATAAAAAAATGCAACTGAAACTCAGGTCTCCCAAATCCAAGTCCAATACTTTTTCCATCAACTACACTGCTACTAAAACTATGGGAATCACAATTAAGTCAGACTGAGTATGGTCATCTAAAAATCCTAGCTAAAGATTTAGAAGAGAATCCAGAAGATACCCCAAATCCCACCCCCACCCCCCACCCCACCTGAGGTCACTGTATTTCTCTTTCTTTTTTTTTTTTAACTGAGATGGAGTATTACTCTATCACCAGGCTGGAGTGCAGTGGCACGATCTTGGCTTACTGCAACCTCGTCTTCCTGGGTTCAAGCGATTTTCCTGCCTCAGCCTCCTGAGTAGCTGGGACTAGGGGCACATGCCACCATGCCTGGCTAATTTTTGTATTTTTTGTAGACATGGGGTTTCTTCGTGTTAGCCAGGATGATCTCTATCTCCTGACCTCATGATCCACCTGCCTCAACGTCCCAAAATGCTGGGATTATAGGCGTGAGCCACCGCGCCTGGCCGGTCACTGTATTTCTTAGTGCGTCATATACCAGACATCTTTTCCTGCATCATTCACAACTCCTAGCAATAGTGTGTCCTAGGTATACAATAGGTGTCCAATAAATACTTATTTGGTTCAATTACTGCTCAAAAGGCTTAAAATTAATAATCAATCTAATAAGCTGCTAGTGTTTCCATCAACCTTTTGAATTGTTGAAGAAACTCTAGAATTAAGGAACACATGGTGTTAAAACTGCCTATCAGATATATCAATTTTATTGACATGCTTTTTTGCAGAGATGTACTATAGACTTTTTTCTTCTTTTAAATTCAGCAAGCTTCTCATGCATTCAAAAATATAATTACAAAATGCTCCAAATATTATTTCAAAACCTATTAGCTGCTTTTTGACCACAAAATACAAACTTATTAAAATTATGTTTGGAAATAAATATTTCTGTGACAATTGTAATAAATGTGGGGGAAAAAAATACATAGGTTAAAAGCAAGAGTTTATGTACATGCGTATTCATTTTTCTCTAATAAATGCATAAAGGTACACTAAACTCAAATTCAGGACTATTCATTCTCTTTTTGTTTCTAAATAGGGGCATGTATAAATGTAGTCATTTTTCTGGAAATGTGGTAATAGCCAAATTCAAAACATTTAATTGGAAACATCAAACACTCATTTTGAAGGAAGCCAATCTCAAAATGGGACCTAGAAGTTCTTATGTCATGCCATGTTTGGATTTACAGCTACTGGATTTATGGCTATTAAATGAAATAAAAGCCAAAAAGTTTCAAAATAGTATGTTTGTTAGTTGTGGAGAATCCAGTGGAAATTGTGGCTTTTGAAGTGTTATAGACAGAGGAGAGATGTCACAAAAGTGTCCACGTTTAGCATTTCTGCTAAAATAGACATAAAACAAAACAAAAATATCCTGTAAATTAATGTAGCAATTCTGAGTTGCTGTTTCAAAGATGTGGCAACTCCTTGTCACTTCTCTAGGTACTACTGATTTTACTGTTAGCATTAGAAAGGAAGAGAGCTATATGTAGTGTTACGATTTAATGCCAATATTTGTTTCTCTATCTTTTGAATGGGACTAGTAGCTTCATGAAGGCAGGCATGATAGCTAATTTGCTCTCAATTTTATCCCCGATGCCTAGTGTAGTGCATGGCACATGGCAGACACTTGATAAATATTTTTAATGAATACACAATATCAAGAGGGAATGAGTTTGAAACTGGAGGAATGCCTCACAGACACCCAGAAATCTCAAATATCTGAAATAGTGCTGAAAGGAAATGCCTCTTATAGTAAAGAAATAGCTTTGGTGAAACAAGAAAGAATGGAAAGAGTAAAGAGCACACAGCTGATCCCACCCTCATACTGATTGCTTTGTTCATCAAGAGAGTAAATTTCATGGGTTGTTAATAGTCAATCTTCTAAAGTACAAAATCTGAAAAATACAGACGTCATGTGGAAAGGACAGAGAACAAGAAAACAAAGAGAAACAAATGGTAGGGACTGAGCAGCGGACTCTGACACCAAAGGTCAGAAGCAATAAGATAATTGATTTCCTTGTCACATGCTCTGTAGTCTTCTGAATCTAACAGTCATTTCATTTTCAGTAGTTTTCGAGAGACTTATAAACACTAACAGCAAAACAGCAGACTTTTTGGTAGGAGTAGAAATGTCTGTGTGTGTATTTGCTGGTGTGTGTCTGTGGGGTGTGGACAGCCATCTACCTCTCAGTAGTCCTTAGGTACATCCCTGTACCACATTTTAAGGATATCAGCTACAGGACATTTGTTGTCAACCTGAAGAGTTACAGTTTCAATGAAAGGACAAACAATGGTATATTATTATAGGTCTAAGAAATAGCAGATGATGTTCAGAATGTCACTGACAAGTCAAAAAACCCAGCATATACTAGAAGTAAAGATTTCTGGAAGGTAAAGCCATGACCTAGGAGAAGGCTTCTTTGGATTTTGATTCACCAATTAATTTCACAGAAAGGTAGTCATGCACACCCCACAAGAGATCAAACTGCTGCACACTGTTTTCTTGTAGTTTTATGAGAAAGAGGCAAACAACCAAGACTCAGTTCAATACTAGCAATTTTTCAAGAGAATGAGTTCCTGGCTTCAATACTTACATAATTTTATTTAGCCTTTGAATATATATTTATAATTACATATTTGATAATAACTCTAAGGAATTAAAAAGGGATTAAATTATTTCCTATATGCAGAGTATTTTAGAAATGTTTTCATTTGGGAAAAAAGGCAGTTTAAACAAAAGCACTGGTTCTTACAGAGTCATACGCAAGTTATTTGAAAATCTACTTGGCTAAGCCTCAGCATTCCTGCAAGATGCTACATAGACCACTTTCAGTTGAATAGGAATTACCAAATGTTGGATTATTTTAGCCCTGATGAAGAGTATATGCCTATTTTAGTTTACCAGTGTCACCTGCCGGGTCACAAAGTATAAAACCTGATTCAACAAACTGAAGTATAGGGACCCAATCACAAGGTATTGGAGACAAGAACTACTGTACAAGTGCTGCAAGATGTGAAACACTACCATTCCAGACTCTTACCTAATGTATTATTGCAAATAGTTATTACCTCAGAAACAAGTTCTTTTGAGTAGAGCTAATGCTACCCCAGATACACCTCAATATCCTCTTCATTAAACAGTCTTAGGAATACTTTAATTTATTGCTGTGCTTTTAAATACAAATTTTCTCATAAAACTGTAGGCAATTTCCACATGCCATTTTTATATGTGGGGATTACTTGAGACTGTTTCTAACCAGAGGAAAAATTCATAGTTTATACTAAGATGAACTCCCTTCATTGCTGCAGTATTTATAGCTCGTGAAATTAACATTCTGAACAAATCTCTGGCATAGCATCCAAATAAATATAGTAGGAATAAATTTTACAGATAAACATGTGCCTAGAGTCAGTGGCAATTGAAAACAGAAAGATATTAAAACAGGTTACATTGATTCTGTGGTCTTCCTTTATGGTTCAGATGGTGCAGCCTGTGAACTTATGTTACATAGGCTGCAATGTTTTTTTAAAAAAATTATGAATTCTTTATTTTGCATGCTTTTGTGTTCACAACATATCCACCAAATAAAACAAATTAAGTAGGGATGGATGACTTCTGGTATTCCCACATTCTGAATTTTTTTTTTTATTTTTATTTGAGAGGGAGTCTCACTCTGTTGTGCAGGCTGGAGTGCAGAGGCAGTGATCTCGGCTCACTGTGACCTCCGCCTCCGGGTTTCAAGTGATTCTCCCACCTCAGCCTCTCAGGTTCAAGTGATTCTCCTGCCTCAGCCTCCCACGTAGCTGGGACTACAGTTGCCCGCACTATACCCGACTAAGTTTTTTTTGTATTTTTAGTAGAGATGAGGTTTCGCCATGTTGGCCAGGCTGGTCTCGAACTCCTGGCCTCAAATGATCCACCCGCATCGTCCTCCCAAAGTGTTGGGATTACAGGTGTAAGCCACTGCGCCTGGCCCCACGTTCTGAATTCAGCTTAATTCCTAGTAGTTTAATAAATTCAAATAAACCTTATCTGGATTATTCTCAGAATCCAATCCTTAAATTTTCAAAACTGTCCATTAAAAGTAATAATGCGGTTTTAATGTGTTCATTCATTTAATACTTGTGCTATGCTCTATTTGGTCTCAAGGCCTCAAGTTTAAAGTCTAATGTTTTAATCGTTCACTCCTTATTGACACACTTTTGGATTCCTTTCCTGATAGTCTTAAGAAATATGTTTCCTTTAGCTCAAGCTCTCTTCTTTTTCCTTTTAAATAAGTTCAGACATGGAAAGAAATTGGGGATGGATAACTAATAAAGTTTCCAGATAAATTATAAGTAATTCTTACCTCAGATGCAATGTTTTCTGTCAGTGGTCAGAGGCCATTATGACAAACATAGTGTTAGTGACTTTTTTGCCAAGACAAGATGAAAGGAACACCTGGAACCATGTTTGGTAAAAGTGACTTCTGTATGGTTCATCAAACCAAGCAGACAGAAGCAGGTTCCTAGGAGTGAGGCAAAAGAAAAACATGGTTGGCTGCTTTGGATGGCTAGGCAGGTCTAGATAGTTTGGAAACAAAGGCTGTTTCCAGTCCATAAAGTCCATGAGAGCAAGGGTGAAGTCTGATTTATTAATTGCTATATTCCCAAAACCTAGCATCACATCAGCTGTGGTCTGAATGTTGGTGCCTCTCTCCAAATTCATATGTTGAAACTTTATCCCCAATGTAATGGTATTAAGAGGAGAGGCCATAGGAGGTGATTAAATCATGAGGGTAGAGACCTCATTAATTGGATTAGTGCACTTACTAACAAGCTTGAAGGGAACTGCCTTGCACCTTCCACCTTCCACCATGTGAGGATGAAACTACAAGGCACCATCTACGGAGCAGAGAGCCAGGCCTCACCAGACACCCAATCTGCCAGCACTTGATCATGGACTTCCCAGCCTTCAGAACTGTGAGCAATAAGTTTCTATTGTTTATAAATTATCCATTGTGAAGTAGTTCCTTAAAGAAGTCCAAACAGACTAAGACCGTATGTTACAAAGTAGATGCTAACTAAATATATGTTGACTGGCCAATGTAATACTAATAAGCAATTCATCCTCTCTTATTAGCACTTCTGAAAATCTTATTTTCGAAAGACAAATGAAGACTGCAAGACAGTCTCTTTCTCTCAACTAGGACATTTCAACATAATATGAAGACCTACAATGTGTCAACAACATCTGGAGCCTCTAGATTTGTAACATGTAGACATTTCTCAAAATGTGAGACACAATTCCAAATATTTTAGAAGTGGTCAAGTAGATTTTCTCGCACAAGAGAAAAAATATTTTTATCCTTCAGGACGGAAATCAAACACAGTGGATAGAATGATGATATGAGGTTTAAATAGTGGCATTAAATAGGAATTTCTATCTGCAACATGCACAGTTGCTGCGGTTTCCATTTGAGTTGAAAATTAAGGCAATGTTGTAGCTTTTCTATAATATAACCACATGTGTTTCTACATAATAGGAATTTATATTCATACACTCAATACTTCTCTGAGACTGTTTTCAATTTAGGCATTTGTAAATGCAAAAAGTCATTTGATGCCTAGGTGGAGAAAGGTCTTTTGTTGAAGAAAACATTTTACTGATTCTAAAATGCAGTTTCTTTTCCCCTACTAAAACAAATACTGGCAGGCTATTGGTTAATTTATTAAAGGAACATGGACTTCTTCTAGAAAGATACTTCCCATTAAGCTATTGAGCTGAATAGGATAATTCTAAGTAGTTTCTAATTCATAATTATTCTTGAATCTGGGCAGAAAATGTCACTGTCACTATGTTTGGGATTTGAAAGAACAATCCTTGCAGTTAGAAATAATGAGGAAAAACATGTATCTTGTGGGGAGAGGAAGGCATATTAACAATAAAATAATGAAATGTTAAACAAACTAGGTTTAACATCTAATTGTTCATAATTTTTATTTTATTTATTCATTTACTTATTTTTACTATTTGTTGCTTAATTCCGTTTGCTGCAAATTTATTTGGATTTTTGTACCTATGTTTATGAGTGAGATTCCCTGTAATTTGCATTTCTTGTACAGCCTTTGCTTACAATAGTTCTAAAATCTAAGTTGGAGAAATTGCACTCATTTTGAAACTCGTGGAAGGGTTTGTACACTATAACGATCTTTGATGTTTGGGAAAAAGTTAAAATCATGTTGCTATTTTTATGATTATTGTGTTCATATCTGGGAGACTAAATAAACAAATAGACCATTTCTTTAATGGTCTATTCTGATTTTCTGTTTTTTTTTTTTCTGCAATCAGCTTCTTATTCCAATAATGTCAAGAGATTTTTCTATTTCATTCAATTTTTTAAATGTATTAATTGTTCATAAAGTTCTTTATTATAGTTTCTATGATCACCCATTTTAATGCTTTTTTTCTTGACCAATCTTACTATAGTTTGATATATTTTGCTGGTCTTTTCAAAGAGCCAGTTTTTGGCTTTTTTGATTGCCTTTAATACAAGTTTATTTCCATTTCAGTAATTTCAGCCCCTATAATTATTATTTCCCTCCTAACTTCTTAGGGCTTATTCTGTTGTTTTTAACTTCTTCAATGTTTATAACATGTGCATTTTAAACCACATATTTTCCTGTAGATGATGGATTGGCTTCATGTGACAAATTTTGTTTTGTAGTATTTTCACTGTCATTCATTGAAAGTATTTTCTAATTTTCATATATCTTCTTTGACCCAGGAACTTTTTAGAATTTTATTTTAAATTTTCTTTACATAGTTTATTGTTTCGGTTATTTTCTAATTTCATCGTATTTTGGCTAGAGATCACTATGTGATTGATAGTTGGTTATTTGTTAAGACCGTGTTTGCAGCCTCTTTATTGGTCAATTTTTGTAAATATCTCATATGTGCTTAAAATGTATATGCACTGAATGTGTGATACATGGTTCTATTTCTATCCATTTGACTAAGCTTGGTAATTGTGATCTTCAATCTTCTATGTCCTTACTGAAAGAGTTCTTTTAAAACTTCCCATTTCACTATACTAGATATTTTGTTGTAATTATTTCAATGATGACATCATAAAATTTGAAGCTATGTTGTTAAGTTCTCAGAGATTGAGAGTTATTTTACCATTCTGCCAAATTTCTTCATTTTAGTATTATGTAATACCTCCCTTAATCCATAATAATGCTTTGGGATAAAGTATATTTTGTCTGATAAAGATACAGCGGCACTAGGTATTTTTTCATTAATACTTTCCTGAGATGTGTTTCCTTATCCCTCTATACACTTCCTTTTTTTGTTCTTAGGTTTGAGAGTGTCTTATTAAAATAGCTTATAGCTATATTTTGTCATTTGAAATTACTCTCAGGGTCTTTAACTTTTTTTCTCTTTTTTTTTTTTTGAGACGGAGTCTCGCTTTGTCTCCCAGGCTGGAGTGCAGTGGCGTGATCTCAGCTCACTGCAAGCTCTGCCTCCTGGGTTCACGCCATTCTCCTGCCTCAGCTTCCGGCCCGCCACCACACCCGACTAAGTTTTTGTATTTTTAGTAGAGACGGGGGTTTCACTGTGTTAACCAGGATGGTCTCGATCTGCTGACCTCGTGATCCGCCCGCCTCGGCCTCCCAAAGTGCTGGGATTACAGGTGTGAGCCACCACATCCGGCCCAGTCTTTAACTTTTAACATACAAATATTACAACTTATTTTGATGTTTCCCAAAATATTTGAGTTTAATTTCTACCATATTATTTTGTGGCTTTGCTTTGCTTTTTTCTTCTCCTTTTCCTCATCTTACTGTATTGATTGATTTTTCTTTATTCCTTTTTTCTCATTCAGTTTGGAAGATAATATAATCTTTTCTTTGATAGGTATCTCTATGCATTTTTCAGTTTATTTCACAAACTAATTTTAATCACATTTTTTATTTTGAGATAATTGCAGATTCACATACACGTGTATGAAATAACACAGAGAAACCAGATGAACCCCATACCAGTTTTCTCCAATGGTACCACCTTGCAAAGTTATAGTACAGTATCATAACCAGATATTGACATTGGCACAGTCAAAATACAGAACAGTTCTATCGCCATGAGGATCCCTTACATTGTCCTTTTATAGCTACATTCACCTCCCTTCCATCTCTTTTCCCTTCCTGATCCCTGGCAACTACTAGTCTTCCATTTCCATAATTTTGTCATTTCAAGTATGTTATATAAATGAATCATATAGTATGTAACACTTTGGGATCAACTTTTTTCATTCAGTGTAATTCCCAGAGAATTCATCGAAGTTGTATGTATTGATGGGTCCTTCATTTTTACTGCTGAATAATTGTCTTTATGCTTTAAAAATGCACACTGATCTGAGACAATCCAAACTTAATCACTTAATCAACAATTCCAGTCCTCTTCCAAACTGGAAAATGGATCTTAAAGTACTTTATCTCAAATTCCCTCATCTACAGTGTTTTTGTTATGAAATATTTAGTTTCAGTTTGTTTTTAACCCCTAAGTTAATTGCAATTATTATTTCTCTTATTCTTTTTTTTTCGGTCTATGCTTATACATATACTTACCACTTTCTGAGCTCATTGTTGCTTCCTGCATCCCATCCAATTACTTTTGGATACACTTTTTTTCAAAATATCATTTCCTATTTCTTTTAGTAACTTTCTCTATAAGGTATATTCTCATAGTGTTTGTCCAAAAAATGTTTCAATTCACTTTTACTCTTCAATAATTGGCAAGGTAGAAAGCTCAAGGTTAGCAGTCGTGGTCCCACATTACTTTGAAGATATTATTGCATTGACTGTTGGCTTCTATTGTTGCTATTAAGAAATCCTTTATATATAATCACTATTTTTTTTTCCTCTGGTTTAAGGTTTTCATTTAACATCAGTCTTCTGAAGTTTCAGTATGACGTTTACATTCATTTTTACTTATCCTGCTCAAACTTATTGTACTTTTTAAATCTAAGGATTCATGTCTTTTGTCATTTCTGGAAAATAAATCTCAACTATTATGTCTTCAAATATTGCCTCAAAGCCCATCCCTACATTTGTAATGTCTGGGCTAAAAGTACAAATTAAGGCTCTAATGCCATAAGTCTACATTTTTTAGAAAGTTATAAATTAGACTCACTTTTCAATAAAACAGGTTCTATCAAATACCTTGACATGTATATCTTTATAAAGAAAAAAAAATCAGGTGTACAAAGCTACAGTTTTTATCTGACTGAAAGTTGACAAAATAGCAAAGATAATTAAATTGGATGACTTTGTATGTATATGGGTGTTCCATTGATGGGCCAGCAATATTGAAATTTGTAAAAACTAAAGATGTGCATAATGCATACATTAATATCTATTTCTTCCATATAGTTTATTTTGCTTGCCTTGTGTACATCTTATATAATTCTCTTTGAGGACAGGTGGAACTTGCGACTTGCTTCTAACAAAAGTAGTGGGATGTCACTCTCATTATTAGGTTAACTTATATAAGACCCCATCTTTACATACTGGAGAAAGAGACTCTTCTGCTGGCATCGAAAACATAAACTGCCATGTTGTAAGGAACCCTGTGAGTGTGTCACATGGCAGTGAACTCTTGGTGGCCTCTAGGGTGTAAGGTCAGCCTCCAGTTGATAGCTAGCAAAAAGCTGGAGCCTTCAGTCATATAGCCACAAAAAAATGAACTCTGTCAACAACCTGAATGAAAGTGGATCTTTCCCCAGTGGAGACTTTCAATGAGACTCTGTTCCTGTCACCTTGACTGTAGCCTCGCTGTGAGACCCTGAGCAGAGGGCCCAGTTAAGCCATGCCTGCACTCCTGATCCACAGAATCTGATAATATATTTTATTTTTAGCCCTAAAACTGTGGTAATATATTTTATAGTTATAGATAACTAATACACTAACAAAAATCACTAGCAATGTTGTTACACTCAAAATAGTCACACAACTACTTTTCTATTGACTCTGTTCATCTAAATCAGGGATTGACAATTTTTTCTGCAAAGGGATAAGTATTTAAAAGACTTTGCAGTACGCAGTCTCTGTCATGTAAATTTGTCTTTTTTTTACAACCTTTAAAAAATGTCAAAACTGTTCTGAGTTCATTGACTATACAAAAAGAGGAAGTGGCCCGGGGGCCATGGTTTGCTGAACTTCTGTTCTAAAAGATGAAGCAAATATAATTGGAGTCATTATCCACAAAAGTCTATGTCTTTATAAAGATGCACATCAACATAAATACAAAAACCAATAGATGTATTTTTCATGTGTTTTCAAAGACATATTTTTCTCTAAAATATTTAAAATTAACTAGTAAACTGAACCACTTATCAGTAATTACCTATCTAATTATCAGTAATTCCATTTTTTTCAAGAAAACTTTGCTCACTTTTTTTTTTTTGAGCCCTCACCAAAATCTCCTTTAATATCCATGTTTCTACCAAGTCCTTTCAAGGCACTCTAGGTTTTCTCCCGTCATTCACCTCGAAACTCTTCCAACCTCTACAAATTACCCAATTCCAAAGCCACTTCCATATTTTAGGCATTTGTGACAGCAGTACTCCATTTCCCAGTATCAAAATCTATAGTAGCCTGTTAGAGTTGCTATAATGAAGTACCATAGACTAACTGGCTTAAGCAACAGAAGTGTATTGTATCATAATTCTAGAGGCTAGAAGTCCAAAATTAAGGTGTTAGTAGGGTTGATTCTTTCAGAGGGCAGTGATGGAAGAATTTCTTCTAGCCCTCTCTCCTTGGCTTGTAAATGGCTGTCTTCTCCCTGTATCTTTTTACCTTGTCTTCTATGTGTGTCTCTGTGTCCAATTTTCCTCTTTTTATAAGGACATCAGTCATATTGGATTAGGCCTCACCCTAATGACCTCATTTACCTTGATTGCCTCTGTAAAGACTCTATCTCCAGATAAGGTCACATTTTGAGGTTCTGTGGGTTAGAACACTGACATATGAATTTTAGAGGGACACAATTCAACCCATAACTATATATAAATATATATGCATATATAGTTAATTTATATATAATTAACTACATTATATATAAATTATAATTTCTTCTGAGTCATTTGAGTATAAATTATGGACATCATGACCCTATGCAGCTAAATATTTCAGCATGTATATCCTAAGAACAAGGACATTCTCTTAATCAATAAAATTATCAAACTCAGAAAATTGATACAATTATCTAATATTGTCTATATTCAAATTTCCCTTATTTTTGTAATTATGTATTTTATAGCCATTTTTAAATTAACCAAAATCCAATCCAGCATAACATACTGTATTTTGTTATCATGCCTCTTTAGTGTCCTTTCATCTGAATAGTTTTTCAGCCTTTCTTTGTCTTTTGTGATACTGACCTACTTCTAAATTAGGAGTAGTCCTGCTGTTTTATAGAATGTTGGCTATTTTGTAGAATGTCTTGCAATTTGCATTTGGCTGATAGTACACACACACATATACATATTTGACTATATATATGTAATTTTAAGATTAACATAAATTTTTTAATATTTCAAAATATTGCAATGTGTATCTGTTGGGAATATCACACTAAATTGTGAGTGCTTTTGGCACATGAATTGGAACAGAGAGAGAAGCAAGAAAAGGAAGCTCTTTGCAAATGTAAACTGACACTTTGTTATTCAAGAATCGATTGTAATCAAGCTGAGAGGAAGGATTTGACAAGTTAATCAATTTGGCTTTATATTATCTAAGTAATTTCACTGCTCATACCCTTTCCACTCTCTGAAGCAGTATCCAACTTTTCATAGTGGTACAACCCACAAACCTTCACTGTGTTCAGATGTAGTTGATGTTTGCTTTGAGGACATAGGGCAAGATATGTGAAGAAACATTCTCCTGGGGATTAAGTAATGTTTTTTTATTTCCTTTGTTTTTAATGAGAATGGATGATTAGGGTTACTTTTTAAACTTTGCTAGTGCCAAGCACCAGCACAGAGGCATCTATATATTTTTAAAATAAAATGCATATGTGTGTGTCTGTAATATGTGAAGAACTCTAAAGTACAGTGCCCAGGAAAGGAGTACCTCTGGCCTAGGTGTAAGGATAGCAATGAACCCCTCATACAATTTTCACACTCCCTCTAATTTTCTACTCATACCATTCCTTTTAGACATATGTTTACCCTTCTCATTCCATCTTCAAAATCATTTTAATTTCTTTTATATTTTCATTTTTTTCTCTATTCTTTGTATTCTAGGTAATTTTTTAAAATCTATCTTTAAGTTCACTAATTTTCTTTTCATCTGAGTCTAATCTTCCATTTTTTATTTCATTTTTATAGATTTAAGGGATACAAGTGCAGTTTTGTTACATGGATATACTGCATAGTGGTGAAGTCTGGGCTTTTAGTTTACCCATCACTGGAATAATGTACATTGTACCCAATAAGTAGTTTTTCATCCCTCACCCACTTCTCACAGTCCCACCTATTGGAGTCTCCTGTGTCTATTATTCCACTCTGTATGTCCATGTGTACTCATTGTTTAGCTCCCACTTGTAAGTGAGAACCTGTGGTTTTTGATTTTGTGAGATGTTTCAGTTAAGATAATGGCCTCCAGCTCCATCTGCATTGCTGCAAAAGACATGATTTCATTCTTTAAATGTGTGATTTAATCTAGTCATTAAGTTTTAATTTCAATGACTTTATTTATTTCTAGAAATTCTTGGTTTTCCTCCCAATCTGTTTATTATTTTCTCTTAGCATCCTCTTCTTTTATGATGATTTCTAGTACTTCTGCTAACTCTGTATCATCTTCCATAGACTTATTTAATACTGTCATATTTTAGCCTTAACCTTTTAGTTTAAGATTATTCAATCATAGTACATTCCTTTATGTTCAGGTCTTTCCTTCTGTTTATTTTGTTCTTAATTTTTTATTCTTGAATACACAGGAAAAACACACTTGAAGCATATCTTTTATTCTAAGTACTAAAGCCAGATTTCCTAAGTTTGAATCCTGGCTTCACTACTTAGTGGCTGAGTGATCTTGGGCAGGATACATAACTCATGCTCTCTGTTTGTGTGCTTTCCCAATCTATCGTTCAGTTTTCTCTGGCACATAGGAATTTTCCTTTGTTTCTTAGGAGCACAGATTAAAATGTTATTTAAAACTTTGTTTTAAAGGCATACAGTAAAAATCTCCCTCCCACCAGTATCCCTCAGCCATATAGTTTCCCTCCCCTGGGACAACCTCTATTACCAGTTATTGAGTTTTCTTAAAGAGATGGTCTATACATATATAAATAAGTAATGTCATCCTTTCTTCCCCGCCACACCATTTTGTATACAAATTATACTATAAAATACTAAAATACACTATTTGTACCATGCTCCCCCTCCACACACATTTAATATATCATAAAGCTCTCTCTATATCGATGTCATGGCCTCATAATAAAACAGTGTATGGATGCAGTATCATTTATTTACCTGTTATTTATAACAGGTAACGTAGAGACATTTTAGTGGTTTCGAATAGGACTTAATTTTATTCCATGTATTGTAGTATCCACATATCTGCTCTTACATTGTTGTAATTTATGTCTTTCCTCATTTTAAGTTACAGAAAGTAAGTCAATTCATGCAAATATCAGTGCACATTTACTGAACACCTACTATGTGACTGCACTGTGAGGGATATAAAAATAAAATTTTATTTATTTATTTTTGAGATGGAGTCTTGTTCTCTCACCCTGGGTGGAGTGCAGCTGAGAGGTGAAGCCAGCTGGACTTCCTGGGTCGAGTGAGGACTTGGAGAACTTTTCTGTCTAGCTAAAGGATTGTAAATGCACCAATCAGTACTCTGTGTAAATGCACCAATCAGCACTCTGTAAAAATGCACCAATCAGTGCTCTGTGACTAGCTAAAGGACTTTAAATGAACCAATCAGCACTCTGTAAAAATGCACCAATCAGTGCTCTGGGTCTAGCTAAAGGATTGTAAACACACCAATCAGCACTCTAAAATGGACCAATCAGCAGGATGTGGGTGGGGACAAATAAGGGAATAAAAGCTGGCCGCCCCAGCCAGCAGCGGGAACCTGCTTGGGTCCCCTTCCACGCTGTGGAAGCTTTGTTCTTTCACTCTTCACGATAAATCTTGCTGCTGCTCACTCTTTGGGTCCATGCCACCTTTAAAAGCTGTAACACTGCAAAGGTCCGCAGCTTCATTCTTGAAGTCAGCGAGACCAAGAACCCACTGGAAGGAACCAACTCCGGACACACAGTGGTGGGATCTCGGCTTACTGCAACCTCTGCCTCCTGGGTTTGAGCGATTCCCCTTCCTCAGCCTCCCAAATCCCTGGGACTACAGGTGTGCACCACCACACCCAGCTAATTTTTGTATTTTTGGTAGAGATGGGGTTTCGCCATGTTCTGCAGGCTGGCCTTGAACTCCTGGACTCAAGTGATCTACCCGCCTTGGCCTCCCAAAGTGCTGGGATTACAGGCATGAGCCACCACACTCAGCCGAAAAATAAAATTTTAAAACATAGGTTGGTCTTAGCACTTGTGTAACCTAGCTTATAATTAAGACAAAAAGAGTTTAATAATGACCCAGAGAGCATCCTAGGAAGTGTCACAAGTCCGCACGATAAAAAACAAAACGAACAAACAAAAAACCTTTGTTTTGTTACCATTTATCTGGTGTTTTCAGGTGTTTGTAGTAGGAAAGCTTCCATGTTAGCTCAGTCTATCAAGGTGCCAGATCTGCTCTGTTGTTCTAAATCCACTGTCTCACTATTGTCTTCTCAACTCACTGCTGTCTTTACCATCTGTATACTACCCTCATAAAATCCTGAAATTGCTCTAGCAAGTCATCTGTAACCACATTATTGCTAAATCCAGTGGATTCTGCCCTCTATTTACCTATAACAGGATCTGGCAAGTAGTCTGTACTCAGTAAATGAGCGTGAAGTGAATTAATCTTATTTGACATCAGAGCATCTTTTGCCACCTCTACCCTTCATACAATTTTTTTATTTCCTTGACTCTCTTAACAAAGTTAATGGAAACCAGCAGAGTTTCATTTTACTTCTCTTTACTCCTCCTAAATCTTCTTTCAGATCTCTTTTAAAATGTATCCATTAAGTGTTGTTGCTTCCCAAGCATTCATTCTCTCTTCCTGGCTAAACCCATGTGCTGTGGGCTTTCAGATGCTTAACTCCAGCTCAGGTTTCTTTTCTGATATCCAGACTCATATGAGACAGCCAGGTGGGAGGGAGTCAATATCTAAAACTCTACTATGGGATGTCTAATAAGTAACTTAAATTCACACGACCTAAATCAAACCCATAATTCCCTGTCCTGAATTTGCTTGCTTCCACATTTTCTATCCCATTTCCCTGAGGTAGAATTCTTCATGTCATCTTTCACTAGTGCTTTTCCCTCACCCTACCCATCAGCTCAATCTGATCTCCAAATCCTGTGAACTATATCTTCTAAAGATCTCTTAAGTCTGTCTTTTCCTTTCTATCCCTATGACCAGGGCTTAATTCAAACACTTGTCATATCTTACCTATATTATGGCAATGGCCTCATCTTCAACTTCAGGTTTTAACTTTACTCCCCTACGCTCTACCTTCAATCCATCCTCCACTTCCCTGCAAGTTCAATCTTTAAAATTAAATCTGGTCATGACATTACTTTAATTTACAGTCCTTCAGTATCTTTATAATTGCTTTCAGGATGAAATCTACTTAGTGTGACATTCAAGGTCCCTGCTTACTTTTTTAGCCTCGTATCTCAACACTTCCACTTTGCACTCTATAATCCAGCCATATTGAACTGCTTAGAATTCCTGAAATGAGTATTTGCACTTAGGTAGCATTCATTGATTCAATAGCCTGGATAAGCCGCCATTATTATGCAGCACTCATCACAATGTTTCATGATTTCCCATAATTAGAGACACTATGTCATCTCTGTATCCTCAGTACTTAATTCCATGTCTAGTGCATACTAGGACCTCAATAAATGTCAAATGAATGAATATAAACCTATGATTTTACATCTTTTCATTTTTCTTCTACTATCTACCTATTAATGTGTTACTAGTAATAATAACACAAATATAGAATACATGTGTCTGTAAATATAGATGTATATCTATATATAATTACTTGTTTCAGGCCAGGCACTATTATAAGTGTTGCATATATGGCAATGCATTTAATCCTCATAACAAACCTTGTATCCCTACTTTTTTTTTTTTTTTTTGAGATGGAGTCTCACTCTGTCGCCCAGGCTGGAGTGCAGTGGCGCGATCTCGGCCCACTGCTCACCTCCGCCTCCCGGGTTCACACCATTCTCCTGCCTCAGCCTCCCGAGTAGCTGGGACTACAGGCGCCCGCCAGCACGCCCGGCTAATTTTTTATATTTTTAGTAGAGACGGGGTTTCACCATGTTAGCCAGGATGGTCTCAATCTCCTGATCTCATGATCCGCCCGCCTCAGCCTCTCAGAGTGCTGGGATTACAGGCGTGAGCCACCGTGCCCGGCCGTATCCCCACTTTTTAGAAATTAAGGCACAGAGAGAGATTGTGTGACTCCTTCAGAATCACATAGTCAATAAGTGGTGAAGTTGGGATTAAAACCCAGGAAGTCTGTTTGTGCAGTCCATAACAGGCCATAAGGAGAGAAAAAGAAGAGCATATTTTATGGATGATTCAAAATGCATCACCAAGCCCTAAATTTTTGATAAAGATACTCTAACAATTTAGACTTCATGTGACATATATAGAGCATAAAACTTTAGTATAAAAATTAACCTTGATTTTGCTGACCTACATTGTTATCATTGTTATTATTCAGTTCTTGATATTTCTTTCTCAGGTTGTTTTTTGTTTTTGTTTTTTTGAGACAGAGTCTTGCTCTGTTTCTTAGGCTGGAGTGCAGTGGCGTGAACTTGGCTCACTGCAACCTCTGCCCCACCGGGGTTCAAGCAATTCTAGTGCCTCAGCCTCCCAAAAAGCTGAAATTACAGGTGTGCGCTACAACGCCTGGCTATTTTTTTGTATTTTCAATACAGATGGGGTTTCACCATGTTGGCCAGGCAGGTCTCCAACTCCTGGTCTCATGTGATCCGCTTGCCTCAGCCTCCCAACGTGCTGGGATTACAGGTATGAGCTGTGGCGCCCAGCCTCTCAAGCTAATGTTTTATTCGTTGGCTACTTCTGATCTTCTCTATGTTCTTCATCACATCCATTATTTTATATATAAACCAGGTTAATTAGACTGATTGGCTTAAACAATAGAAATTTATTTTTTACAGTCCTGAGGCTGGAAAGTCCAAGATCAAGATGCCAGCAAGGTAGGTTTCATTCTGAGGCCTCTTCTCTTAGCTTGTAGGCAGCTGCCATTTGGCCGTAGGCTTGCATGGCCTCTTCTCTGTGCAGGCTCAGATCTCTCTCTCTCTCATTTCTTCTTCTATAAGGGGCATTAATCTCATTATGAGGGCTCCACCTTCATGACCTCATCTAAACCTAATTACCTCCCAAAGACACCATCTCCTAATATGATTACATTGGGGATTAGGGCTTCAACATATGAATTTTGGAAAGCACACAGTTTGGTCCACAGCAAACCTGAAGATGAAAATGAAGTAAAGAATAGCAACATTAACAAATTGTGTAGGTACCTGATGTCCTAAAATAATTTGTATTTTCTAAAACAAGTCATCTTTTAACAGCAGTATTTTCCCCATGCCAAATACTAAGCAAAGTTTTACATATATACTTTTTGAACCCAGAATTGTTATTTCTGAGAAATAGTTATAAGTATCAAGTTTATGGTCAATGACAATGTCTCTTAGAAGTTTCTACAGTTACTTGTAAATGTTTCAGTATTTGGGAATTCAATGGCTATCTCTTGCCCCAATTCCTTCTTTAACCAGAGTTGCCTGTAGCTCAAAGCAACTGACCAGCAAAACTTGTATCAGCATCTAGAACTGTACTCTACACTTGAAAAGTATGAACCTGCTGCAGAGTAGAAAGACCATTGATTTTTCTTTTATAGGGCATTACTGTGGCCTCCATTTCTGTTATAAACACATGACTGAATTTTATAACCAGAACAAAGTTACAGGCCTTACATAATGATAAATGACTGATTACAATACAATTTTACTGTCATTTGAAACACTATTTATATTTTTCTCTAAAACAACCTTAAATATATTGAATGAAACTGAGGGTCCTTAAAAATATGAAGAATGGGCTGGGCACGGTGGCTCATGCCTGTAATCCCAGCACTTTGGGAGGCCGAGGCGGGCGGATCATGAGGTCAAAAGATCGAGACCATCCTGGCCAACATGGTGAAACCCCGTCTCTACTAAAAATACAAAAAATTAGCTGGGCATGGTGGCGTGTGCCTGTAGTCCCAGCTACTCGGGAGGCTGAAGCAGGAGAATTGCTTGAACCCAGGAGGTGGAGGTTGCAGTGAGCCGAGATCACGCCACTGCACTCCAGCCTGGCAACAGAGCAAGACTCTGTCTCAAAAAAAAAAAAAAAAAAAAAAAAGAAGAAGAAGAAGAATGGGGGTTGAATCTGCCCTATGTTTTAAACCCAAACAGGCTGCTCAACTAAGTGGGTATAATCAGTTAAACTCTGAAAAACTGATACTCTGTAGACACCACAATATACTTGTTTATTAAAGTCCCTTGATATGAAGATGGCTGCTTGCTGATCTCTGTTTAATTTCAAAAAGTAGTTAGATTGCTGCTTTTTTTTTTTATGGCAATGAACTGTACCATAACACATTCTAGTAAGCAAATGCTATGTATTGCTTTGCTTTCTAGTCCTGGGCTTATACAGATGATGTGGGAAAAAGGACTGATTTTTTTAAATGCTTTTAGCAGTTCTGCTAGATGTGTCGTTCATAGGATTAGAGCTTTTTTTTTTCTTTTTCAAATTTACCTTTTTCCTTTCACAACTGATGAAGAGGAAGAGGTTAATGGAATGCTCAGTTCTTTCCTTGTGTTTGGTGTTTGACATTGGTGTTTGACAATCATTGTATGTAGTCTTCTTTCCATCAACTTTAGAGGAATTTACATGCTCCTGTATAAGGAACTCCTATGGCTGAAACTATATTCGCTTCAAGACAACAAAAACATTTTCAACTACTCCTGAAATCTGAAACTTCTAACTCTGAGGGTTCTCATGGACAAGGACAGCCTTTGTCATTTCTCTGCAGATACCGCCCAAAGCTTTGGCACTTGGCAAGAGCAGCTGCATGTATGTGCTTATTCAGAGAAAATAAACTGGCTTCTCTCACCTAAGCAAATGACCTTTTTATTTATAGTTGCTCTCTGGTTTTGATTATTTTATTAAAAGTAAAACATAAAAATTTTTCTTTATAGTTAAATCTATTTGAGTTGTCATCTTCCCAGTGCTCTCTACCTTTTCATGGGAATAAATTGTTTTGCTTTCTAATGTCAAACTTTTCTGAATCCATTTTTTAAGCACTCTTGCTGGAATTCTAAATATCTTCTGATTCTCAAATATGTGCATAATTTCCCAGCCCATATCCAAAATATGAAGGAAAAATGTCATTGGACAAGTTCTCACAATAAATAAAACATGCACATATTTGTTGAAGAGAAAGAGGTAATGAATTTTAAAAATGCCATCAAGTCTTGAAGGAGTCATGTTTTACAAATATAATAACCAAATATTTATCATTTTGTTGTTTTGATTTCTTTGTTTTCAGGGCTTTGAAGTTTAGAGTCAGCCTAAAAAGTTAGAATAAGTCTTTGAAAATTGTTCCCAAAATCACCCCAGGGAAAGTGTTGAGTCACAGAAGAACACACCATTTCACCTTTTCGTGAATCAGGATAAGTCATTTTGACTGATTCACTGTCTGACCACTGGGCAAAGTATAAATCATGTAAGAAAATGTCAGTTGAAATGTTAGTGCACTTTAAGGTCATCTGTTGAATTTTTAGTGTGTGTCTGTGTCATCTTTAAAAATCCCAAGCACTAAAACACCGTTGCAAAGCAAGTAATATTTACTCCTCATTACCTCTCTTTAGAAATGTATAAGCTGTATCATATTCAAATTCACATCAGAACATTCATGTGAATTCACATTCAGTGTGGCAAAAATTAATGCATCGAACAAAGAAATGGAATTTAGTGCTATGTTTGTTCATCGGTTGGAAATCAATTTAGCAAAAACAAAACTCCTTTCCTACTCCCCTCCAAAACAAACAAATACAAAAGTTTGAACAAACAAGAAACTGCAAAAATTTTACAGAGTATCAGAAAATAAAAGAGAAATATTGAAACTAACAGATATAAAAGTAATGTCAGTTACTTAGGAAGTCACTTTTTTCCCCCATAGGAATGACCCAGATGCTTCATTAATCTACAAGATTTATCACGTTTTGGCAACAGTTCAGAACATAGTTTCTAAACATTTGCCATTTTATCAGTAAATATCCATTTCAACAATATGCTATCAGACTATATTTAGCTAGTGGTGGTTGTAATGTATGAAAGGCAGGCTAACAACGGAGTCTGAAGTAGTTTTTAAAAAATCCTTCAAAACCAGCTCTACATTCTACAATATTATAAAATAAATACAAAAATATAAGGCAGAAATTATGTGGATAGCAATTAATATGCAAATGAAGTAGCAACTCAGCATGAGAAAGGAAAACAGTGGCAATTATTATAGCTAACATTCTGGAAAACTGAGTATGTGTTGTTACCTAACACTTTCTACCACAGAAAATTTAAGGAGAAATTATAACAATTTATCAAGCATTTGCTGAACTGCTATATACAATATGCTATGCATCATTAAATGTCATTAAAATATGGCAGTTCAAAATATTTGGGCCTTTCCAAAACCCCCAACTTTAAAAATACATTAAGGTAACAATACATACCTGTTACAAAATAGTTGACTATTATTTTGAAGCCATTTAGGTAGAAAACCTACTCTTGTAAAAGTGAGAAATGAACTGCTGCTATCCACTGACTATCACTCCCACTCAAATGAAATCTCCATAAGTAGAGAGACTTTGCGGCACTCACCACTGGATCTCAAACATCTGGAAGAGTGCCTGGCACATAATGAGCACACAACCAATACGTGTTGAATGAAGACATATACATAGAGTTGACAACCAAATTAAATGAACAATGGCACCTTATTACCTACTTCTGAAACAAATCAATGTGAATGGAAATACTTTGAATGATACTGAAATGGAACTGAAAAAAAAGCATCATGGTTTACAAACACTTTACAAAGAACTATATTTCCACACCTGTATTTATAGGATACTTATGCTGTATACATAAACCACTATAAATATAGTTAGCTGTATGTATTAGTTTGCTAGGGCTGCCATAACAAAGTACCACAGACTAGATGTCTTAAATGACAGAAATTTATTTCCTCACAGTTCTGGAGGCTAGGAGTCCAAGATCAAGATGTAGGCAGGGTTGGTTTCTACTAAAGCTTCTCTTTTTGGCCTGTAGATGGCCATCTCTTTGCTGTGTCTTTGCAGAATCTTTCTTCTGTGTGTATTTTTGTCCTAATCTCTTCTTACAAAGGCACCAGTCATATCGGATTAGGGACCCCCCTAATAATCTCATTTTAACTTAATTACCCCTTTATAGACACTACCTTCAAATACAATCACATTTGGAGGCACGGGAGATTAGGGCTTCAACATATGAATTTTGGGAGGACATAATTCAGCCCACAATACTGTATGACACACAAGATGGAGTATGGTTATATGAAAAGTGAACAATATATACAAAATCTTAAAATACAAACAATTTAATGTGTGAATTATCTACTTAATTTTCAGTGACCACAGAGATGAATGAAACGATAACAGAAGACAATATATGATTACAAGGTAGCAATATAAATTATATTCACAAGTACTGAAAAGGATAAATTACATTCACAAATGCTGAAGGGATTGGAATAAAGACACATTCAACATGGGTATCAAGGAAGATTTCCTGGAGCAAGACTCTTTTGCTGCTGTTTTTTTGTTTTTGAGGCCTATAGTTTCTTAACAGGGGTTCCAAAGGTATGAAAAAGTTAATATTTCTACAAGAAATGATCAATTGATTCCCTCTTAACAAAGACAGCTGTATTAAATTATTTACTCCCATGGAGTCATATTTGCAAACTCACTGTAGTATATTATGATTTAAGGAATTAGGTGGGTCTATTTTGGATCTCCAGAGTATTTGTAACGGAATTATACACACGGAAAAAGCTTCATTATCAAGTTGTATGATAATGATATGCTAGTATATGAGGTGAGTAGATAATAAATATGAAAGGAAAAAAGATAATATATAATAAAAGAAAAATTCAAACTTTCCTGATTTTATATGCACAGTCTAACTGAAAATATTTTGTTTTTATTTTCTAATTTGTGTCAAATTAGTTGAGGGTGAAGTTGTAGCTCTTAGGTACTAAGCTCAATCATGTCAATAACAGAAAAAAGTTTTATATTTACACTAATTGTCCTATAATATTACATAATAAAGTAACACCTATTTGTTAGATTTCCTTGTGCTTTAAGATAGTTTTTTATAGAAAGGATGAAAGTGTTCCAAAGATCTTATGCTGACCAAACATGAAGGCCAGAGAGCGTTTCCTGAACAAACCAAGAATGAGTTCTGAAGGTAGAGAGTAGTCAGACAGTAAAATAAACAATATGGCTTATCTTGATTCACGAAAAGGCGAAAAGGCATATCTACATTACTCAACACCTTCCATAAAGCAATTTTGGAAACAGCTTTCAAATATTTCTATAATCTGTTTAGGCTGATTATAGAAATTAGGCTGAAAATTCTAAAACAAGAAATCACAAAACACTGTTGAATACTGTTGAATTGTTTTCCCTATAATATCTACTAAAAAAATAATAGAAATGGTCAATGGCTGAATCCTTCTTAGTCTTAGCATGCTCCTGAGCAAGGAGCCAACCAAATGTTAGAACCTTCTTTTCTGAAGTCAAGATGTAAAATCTCAATAACAAATTCTGTCTTAACTCAAGCAGTGAGTGTATTGTGATAAGTGCTTCTCAACCCCATTCTTCCATGCATTTTCTCAAGTACAATATCCTTAAACAACAAGGGTTTGAAATCCATTGGTTTACTTAGACGTGAATCTTTTTCAATAACAATTACATGAGTGTGCCTGCCTCCCCTTCCATCTCCTCCACCACCCCTGAGACAGCAAGACCAACCACTTCCCTTCCTCCTCTTCAGCCTATTCAACATGAAGACCAAGAGGATGAAGACCTTTATGATGATCCACTTCCACTGAATTTAATTAAGGGTAAATGTATTTTCTCTTCCTCATGTTTTTTTTCATAACACTTTCTTTTCTCTGGCTTACTTTATTGTAAGAACACAGTATATAATACATATAACCTAAAAAATATGTGTTAGTCAAGTGTTTAGGTTATCTGTAAAGCTTCTGGTCAACAGTAGGCTATTAGTAGTTAAGTTTTGGGAGATTTAAAAATTAGATCTTTGTGCAGGGGTGGGGGCTGTTGGAGTCCCTAACACCTGTTAACATGTTTAAGGGTCACTGTCATGACTTTGGGGACAAAATCAATGGCCATGCTTTTGGGATTAATCCATCAAGAATAATTTACCTTCACATTTGAGGCATAAAAATTTTTTTTTTCTTCATTGGAAGACCTAGAAACCTTTAGACCTTCAAAGGTATGTCCCTTAGACTGAGGAGTGAGAGGGGAATTAGGAATCTTCTGTTTTAGGAATCAGGTTTTAAGTGTGTAATTTGAAAGACCAATAATATGGGCTAAGGTGAATGAGGATAAACTGTTCTTATTGCTTGTAACAGTTAGGTATGCATGTTGAGCTCTTTAAGGACCTAGATTTAATTCCTAATTATATACTTAAGGGAGTTTAGAGCCAAAGTAATTCTGAGTTTAAACAAAAGCAAACTGCTTTGGTGGGGCATGAAACCCGGCTTGTCACAAAGGCTTACAGAATAAAGATTTCCTGGGAAGTGACTTAATAGGTACTAATCCTTGATTGAACCTCAGCCCAGTAAATCAAGCATCTCGTCACTCTTTGACTGCTAAACCAAGGGCGGTTTAAAACAATAACTGAACACCAAAACTATACAAAAATAACATTGATTCATTAACCAATTTGTTAGTTGAGGGGGTTGAGACTTCAGTGGAATAGAACACAAAACACACAGTAAGATTTAATGGTGGGAATGTAAGAGGGATATGTCACATAAAAGGTCTGGAGACTTTAGAGATGTTTTTGATTTCTCTATTTCTCTCACACTCTATGTCTAACTCATCAGGAAATATTGTTGGTCTACCTTCAAAATACATCCATAATCTGGCCACTTTTCACCGCATCCATAGCGACCACCCTGGTCCTTGCCACCACCATCTGTAATAGCCTCTCAACTGGTATTTCTGCTTTCCTCCTTTTTTCCCTATAGTCTATTTTCAACTAAGACTCCAGAGTGATCTTTTAAAAATGAAAATCAGACCACATCAGTCTTTTGCTCAAATCCCTGTGAAACATGTTCATTTCGACCAATGTTAAAGCCAACATGCTTACAATAGCCAATTAGCTCCTTATATGATTTAGTCCCTGTGATTTCTTTGACCTCTTTTTATCCTATTCTCCCACTCATTCCCTCAGCTCCAGTCACACTGGCTTCTTTTCAATCCTTCACACATGAGCATGCTATCCTTTTAGGGGACTGTTCCTTCTGCTTAGAGTTTTCTTTTCCCAGGTATCCATTTGTCTAATTTACTCACCTCGTTCAAGTCTTTGCTGAAACACCTTTTTCTAGATGAAAGAAGGCTGCCTTGATTACTCTGTACTTACAGCCCATCTTGGCTCGTATGACTCTCCATATTCTGTTCTACTTTTTTTTTCTTGACAGTGCTTATCATTTTCGAGTATACTAGAAAATTTATTCATTTATTTTATCATATTTTTTCTTATCTTTTCCCTCCTGCTAGAATGTAAGCACCTCAAGGGCAGCAATCTTTGTCTGCTTTGATTATCCTAGCCAGTATCTGTCATAATTTAGGCACAAATATTGTCCAATGACTGAACGAAAAATAGATGCTTCTGATGGAGATAGTAAATCCATGTGATCCACCTGGGGTGGGGAGCTTCTGAGGAAGCATGAAATCATTGGAGCACAACAAACCTGCAAAGTGGGTTTTGATTACTCCTTTTATAGAGTAATCAAAGAGGTTAAATGACTTGCCCAAGGTCACAATGCTAATAATGCCAGAGCAGAACTTTCACTTTCATGAATGTCAGTAAAACTCCAAGTCATATTGTTGCATGACAGATGGTTCTAGAAGACAGCTAATTGAGATACAGTTTATAAGGAAATTTCAGAGGAGGTGATGTGGTCTGGTACCTAATTAGAAATAAGTCCCCCTGAAAGGGGAATAGCTATCAGCATACAAAAAGAGATTCTGAACGATGTTCAAGGCAGTGACTGTAAGTCAAAGTACTTTAGGTTCACTGGCCACTGGTTAGAAACCTGCAGATGAGGTGGAGCAACATGATGGAATAAAAGCCTATACCATTAGTGTCTCCTCAGGAACACCAAATTTTAACAAATATCCGCACACAGAAAAGCACTTTCACAAGAACCAAAAATCAGGTGAGCAATCACAGTACCTGGTGAGCAATCACAGTACCACTCCCCCATCCTCTGGCAGCAGCTGTTCAGCATGGAGAGTCTGTGCACCGGGGGAAATAGAGCACAGAGACTGGGGTACTTCACATGGAACTCAGTGCTGCCCTGTCATACTGGAGAACAAAGCCGTGCTGGCTCAGTCAACACTCACGCATGGAGGAAGCATTTGGACAAGACCTAGCCAGAGGAGAATCTCCCATCCCAGTGGTTGGAATTTGAGTTTCTCAGCAAGATTTAGCGATGTGGGCCAAAGGGCTCTGGGGTCCTAGATAAACTTGAAAGACAGTCTAAGACACAAGGTCTGCAATTCCTAGGCAACTCCTAGTGCTTAGCTTGGCTTACAGCCCATGGTATAGGATGGCATGTGACCTGGGGAATCACCAGCTGGTGCAGCTAAGGGAGTATTTGTACCACCTCTCTCCCAACCCAGGCAGTGCAGCTTACAGCAAGGACAGTCTCCTTCCTTCTGCTTGAGGAAAGGGGAGGGAAAAGTAAAGAGGACTTTGTCTTGCATCTTGGATACCAGCTAAGCACCAGACAGAGTCATGAGGCCCCCATTCCCCCTAGCTCTTGGACAACATTTCTAGACATACCCTGGGCCAATAGGGAACCCACTGCCTTGAATAGAAGGATCCAGCCCTGGCAGGATTGATCATCTGTTGACTAAAGAGCCCTTGGCCCCTGAATAACCAGCAGTGATGCCCAGGTAGTATACTGTGGGCCTCGGGCTCTGAGATGAGCTCACTTCAGGTGTGACCCAGCACATTCCCACCTGTGATGAACACAGCAAAAGGCTCCTGTTGAGAAAAGCAGACGGAAAAGCAAAGGGGACTTGGTCTTGCACCTCAGGTACCAGCTTGGCCACAGTGAGGTAGAGCAACAAGCAGGCTCTTGGGGTCCCCAGGTCCAGGCCTAGGGTATTTGACAGCATTTCTGGACTTGCCCTGGGCCACATGGAAACCCATTGCCTGGAAGAATGAGTCTCAGGTCTGGCAGCATTCACCAAAATCTAACCGAACAGCCCTTAGGCTTTAAGTGAACATGGGTGGCCTGGCAGAAACCCTGCGGGCCAGGGGTGGTGGTAGCCACAGGGAGAGGCTCCTCTGCCTGCAGAAAGGGGAGGGAAGAGCAGGAAGGACTTTGTATCGTGCTTTGAGTGCCATCTTAGCTGCAGTCGAATAGAACATGAGGCAAATTTCTAAGATTGTTGACTCCAATGCCTGGTTCCCAGACAGCATCTCTCAACCTGCCTGGGACCGGGGGAATGTGCCACTCTGAAGGGAAGGACGCAAACCTGGCTGGCTTCACCAACTGCTAATTGTAGAGCTCTAGGGCCTTCAGTGAACATAGGTGGTAGCCAAGAAGTGGTTACACCAGGTCTTGGGCGAGACCTAGTGTTGTGCTGGCTTCAGGTTTGACCTAATGTAGTCCCAGTGGTGGTGGCCACAGGGGTGCTTGTATCACCACACCCCCAGTTCCAGGTGGCTCAGCACAGACAGAGAGAGAGAGAGACAGAGAGAGGGAGACTCCATCTGTCTGGGAGAAAGTAAGGGAAAAGAACAAGAATCTCTCCCTGGTATTCTAGAGAATTCTTCCAGATCTTATCCCACAACACTAAGGTGCTACTTCTATGAGTCTATAAAAAAACACAGTGCTATTTCACTTGGGGCCCAAGTCCTTCTGAATACCTGGAAAACCCTCTGAACAAGGATAAGCATAAACAAGCCCAGACTGCAAACATTACAATAAATAACTAACTCTTTAATGCCCGAACACTGAAGAACATCTACAAATATCAAGATCATCTAGGAAAACATGTCCTCACCAAATAAACTAAATAAGGCACCAGAGACCAATCCTGGAAAAACATATATGTGACCTTTCAGACAGATAATTCAAAATAGCTGTTTTGAAGAAACTCAAAGAAATTTAAGATCACACAGAAGAAGGAATTCAGAATTTTATCCGATAAAGTTAACCAAGAAATTGAAATAACTAAAAAGAATCAAGCACAAATTCTAGAGTTGAAAAATGCAATTGGCATTCTGCAGAATGTATCAGTCTCTTAATAGTAGAATTGTTCAAGCATAAGAAAGAATTAGCTTGAAGACAGGCTAATTGAAAACACACAGTCAGAGGAGACAAAATAAAAAAACAGTACAAAACAATAAAGATTGCCTCCAAGATCAAGAAAATAGTCTCAAAAGGGCAAATCTGAAAGTTATTGGCCTTAAAAAGGAGGTACTGAAATACCTCCTTTTTAATAGGAATAGGGATAGGAATAGGAATCCTATTCCTAGGATTCCTGAAATAGGAATAGGGAAGTTTATTCAAAGTGATAAAAACAGAGAACTTCCCAAACTTAGAGAAGGATATCAAGATTCAAGCACACGAAGGTTATGGAACACCAAGCAGATCTTAAGGCATGTAATAACCAAACTCCCAAAAGTCAAGGATAAAGAAGGGATCCTAAAAGCAGCAAGAGAAAACAAACAAATAACATACATTGGAGCTCCAACATGTCTTGCAGCAGACTTTTCAATGGAAACCTTATAGGCCAGGAGAGAGTGGCACAACATATTTAAAGTGCTGAAGGAAGAAAACTTATACCCTGGAATAGTATATCTGGCAAAAATATCCTTCAAGCATGAAGGAGAAATAAAGACCTTCCCAAACAAACAAAAACAGAGGGATTTCATCAACTCCAGACCTGTCCTTCAAGAAATGTAAAAGGAGTTATTCAATCTGAAAGAAAAGCATGTTAATGACAAATAAGGAACCATCTGAAGGTAAAAAACTCACTGGTAACAGTAAGCACAGAAAAACACAGAATATTATAACACAGTAATTGTGGTATGTAAACTACTCTTATCTTAAGGAGAAAGATTAAATGATGAACCAATGAAAAATAATAAGTACAACAACTTTTGAAGACACAGACAGTACAATAAGACATATAGAAAGACAGCAAAAAGCTAAACATCAGGGGGATGACATTATAGTGTTTTTATTAGTTTTCTTTTTGTATGTGTTTTTGTTTGTTTATGGAATCAGTATTAAGTTGCCATCAGTTTAAAATAATGGCTTATAAAATACTATCTGCAAGCTTCACAATAACCTCAAATTGAAAAACATACAACAGATACACAAAAAGTAAAAAGCAAAAAATTAAATCATACCAGCAGAGAAAATCACTTTCACTAAAGGAAAACAAGGAGGAAGGGAAGACCACAAAACAACCAGAAAACAAATAACAAAATGGCAGGAGTAAGTCCTTACTTATCAACAATAACATTGAATATAAATAGACTAAACTCTCTAATAAAAAGAGTGGCTGAATACATTTCAAAACGACCCAATGATCTGTTGCCTACAAGAAACACATTTCGCCTATAAAGACACACATAGACTGAAAGAAAATAAAGGGATGGAAAAATATACTACATGCAAATGGAACTAAAAAAGAGCAGGAATAGCTATACTTATATCTGACTAAATAAATTTCAAGACAAAAACTGTAAGAAGAGACAAAGAAGATCATTATATAATAAGAAATGTTAATCCAGCAAGAAGATATAATGATTGTAAATATATATGCACCTAACACTGGAGCACACAGATATATAAAGCAAATGTTTCTACAGCTAATGAGAGAGATAGACCTCAATACAATAGCTGGAGACTTCAAAACCCTACTTTCAGCACTGGAAAGATCTCCCAAACAGAAACTCAACAAAGAAACATCGGACCTAATCTGCACTATAGAAGAACATTGATCTAATAAATATTTACAGAGCATTTCATCCAATAGCTGCAGAATACACATTCTTTTCCTCAGCACATGGATCTTTCTCAAGGATAGACCATATGTTAGGTCACAAAACAAGTCTTGAAACATTAAGAAAAATTGAAATACTATCAAACATATTCTCTGAGGACAATGGAATAAAACTAGAAATAACAGGAGGAATTTTGGAAACAATAAGAATACAAGGAAATTAAACAATATGGTCCTGAATTACTCACGGGTCAATGAAGAAATTAAAAGGAAATTTAAAAAATTTGTTGAAACAAATGTCAATGGAAACACAACATACCCAAACCTATGGGACATAGTGAAAGCAGTACTAAGAGGAAAATTTATAGGTGTAAGTGCCTACAACAAAACTAAGAAAAACTACAATAAATAATGTAATGATGGCCAAGTGTGGTGGCTCGTGCCTGTAATCCCAGCACTTCGGGAGGCCAAGGCGGGTGGATCACGAGGTCAGGAGTTCAAGACCAACCTGGCCAAGATAGTGAAAGCCCATCTCTACTAAAAAAAAAGTACAAAAAAATTAGCCAGGCATGGTGGCGGGCACCTGTAATCCCAGCTACTTGGGAGGCTGAGGCAGGGAATTGCTTGAACCCAAGAGGCAGAGGTTTCAGTGAGCTGAGATCGTGCCACTGCACTCCAGCCTGGGCAACAGAGGGAGATTCCATCTCAAAAATAATAATAATAATAATAATAATAATAATAATAATAATGTAATGATGCATCTTAAAGTAATCTGAAGAGTCCAGAGGGGAGGCGATACCTGAGGAATCCTTGAGTAGGAGCTGTACTTCTCCTTGTTCTTCCTTGACCAAATCCTTTGGAGAGCCTGACAGTTGAGACCCCTACCCAAAGAAATTCTCAAGAGTCCCAAGTAGAATTCAGACCAAGGATGGCATGCCAAGATTCATTCTTCACTCAGAAAAGAGGGGAGACAGCATATCTCTAGTGAATATGGGGTTCTTTAAGGCCTGACAAGCTGCTCAGAATACTTTCCCATGAAAACAGATATCACTTCCTGTCTGTGCTCTCAATTACTTTTGGATTTATGCAATGTGATCCCATGAGACTGGGTCCACTCATGGTTACATTATAGCTGGGGAAACCAGCACTGCTTTTTCCCTACTAGAAGAGCCAGCTCAATGAAGAATTTTCATGCAAACAACTACACCTAGATTTACTGTCTCAGAGAATTCCTCCACACACCTACCATCCTTACCTCACTATAATCCCCACCAATTTCCTAGAGAAAGGGGAGTTCATGAGCTAAAACAAATGTGATAGAACTCTCAGAAATATACAGACTATTACAGATATATATAATTTGTGAGGCATGAGTCACAATTCTATTTGTTTTATGATGGGATAAAACTCAAATTTTTTTCATCAAAATGAAAAAGAAAAACAATGAAAAATGAAAAGATAGAATTATTTGTTGGCTCACACTCCTGTGGGTCAGAAATTTGGGGTGTACTTAGAAGAGCTGGCTCATCAGTACTGGGACTCTTTCTTGTGGTCATTCATCCTCAAGATGGCTAGCCCAGGCTTCTTCACATAGCAGTGGTAGGGTTCAGAGCAAGAGTAGAAGCTGCAAGCCCTCTTGAAGAGTAGGGTCAGAACTCATGCCCTATTACTTATGAGATAGTCTACTGATCAAAGAAAGTCACAAGACCAGCCCATATTTAAAGGGTAAGGCAATGGACTTCACCTGTTAATGGAAGGAACTAAAAACCTGGCCGCTTCAATCTACCACAGATACCTGCCCCATCATGTCTAAACTTCAGGAATAATAAGCCAAAGCCAGATAAGACAGGAATAAGCTATGTTAAGATATTTGAATTTTACCCTGAGAGAAAGGGGAAATGTTGGAATGACTTGAGCAGGGAATTGAGATGGTTAAATGTATGTGCTAGAAATATCACATTGACTGAAGTAGAGAATGAATTAGAATGGATTAGAGAAGACTAGTAGTACTGTTTGGAATGAAGAATGAAGGCAGTAGTACTGTTTGGAATCTTATTATAATGACCCAAGCAAGGTGACTTGACCGAGTATAGTGGCTGTGAGAATGGAGGAAGATGCACAAATTGGAAAGATATTTAGGAGACAGGAGCCATTAGAATCCTTGTGAAGATGGCAGTGAACATAAGTGGGTAAATAAATCAAGTAGCAATGATGGAAATTAAAATTTTAATTTTTAGTTATAACCTTAGCTTATTTACATTCTGATTTCTTTCAGGTCCTGTACTAATATTTGAACTGTGCAGATGGTTTCCTATTATTAAGCAACATTGCCTTTAAAGTTGTTAAATTATGACATTTTTATATTTACATAGTTAACGGGTCACTAATACAGCAGGGTGCATAAATAAAAATCTTATTCGACAACATGGATAATGTATTTTTCCTGCTTGTTTAGAAGCAGAAGTAGACATGTATTCTGCTGGCTAGCATTTTGAATTAAATAGAACAACCAGGTCTTCATAATAAGCCCACAAGAACAACTAGCATTCTTCTGGAGTTTTGACTTCTCAATAAGCTAACAATATTCATTGATAAAATTACATGTTTCTGGTCTTTTTCATGGCCGTTACAATTTACATTCTGTATCCTGTTAACCTCCTGACAAAGTAGATTTCATTTTCACAACCAATACAATATTGTTCTATTCAGGATCGCTAACTTCATCCCTTTTAGTAGTTATGGTATGGTGTTCTCCTGCGTAATGGTTTAGTGTTGATTCTCTTCCTACAAGGTTTTCTGCCATGATGTAGTTTCAGGAGATAACACCAGTTTATTACAAAACCATAGCATGGCATTCACTCCCCTCAAGGTCTTTTATTTCCTCTCTTCTGTGCTTTACTTTTGCCCAAGGGGAAAACATGGATAAAAGCAACAACTTCCACCATGAATTAGATATCTATTGAACAGTCATACCTTCTGTCAGAGCATTTAGTTAAGATATAAATCTAAGAACAAGGTGAATACTGTATTTTGTTATGCAGTTGCCATCTAATTTTCACAGACTGTTTCCAAGTCCAAGTAATATTCATTTTATCTTTGTTTTTATTCACATTTTTTCATTATAAACAGAAAGTAGAGGTTTTAAGATGTTGGTTTCAGAGTGGAAGGAGGTATTGTGAAGCCTATTATCTTCATATATGCGAATATGTCAAACACTTTCCTCCATCTGATGTTAAGAAAATAGAAAAGCAATGTCTGTTAAAGTTGAGTAAAGACTAAAGTTTCACCTTCAGACAATAATTTTATCTCATCCTAAACTTGAAATAAATCTTAGTAATGCCTTCAGTCCCTACAACAAATTAGCTCACATTAGAAAGCTGACGAAATATAGAACAGCTGTGTGCACATCATTCTGCTTGATTGTACATTTCAGCCCATAATATGAGTAGCCTTGTATGCATACTGAATAATCCATACCCAGAGGGTTAATTGGATGGTTGCTGATATATTTATATTGTATTGATTGAGAAAGTTTGAGATGAGTAGCTCCCCAAACTACAGTAATGAAAAACAACCATAATGTTGTACATTGATGATTATTTAGCTACAAAGGAAAGATTACTTCCTAGACCTGATTTACCATGGTACTAAAATATATGTTTACTTCAGATGGACAAATTGAAGAGCACTAGTTTCAGGGTAAGGCTGCAAATGATTTCTTTGAGAATCAGAGAGGAATATTTTCAAATGCAAGTTTGTTTCACAGGTAAACTGATCATTTCTGGGCTGCTATCTAGATCTCACTTAACAGGAAGATTTGAAAGCCTATCCAACGTGAGAAGTCCTTTAGCAATGACAGCACACTCATAAAAGCAGGTTGAAAGAGTGACTATTTATAGAAGATAGTCATCATACGAAAAAGGTATGATGCTATAGCACCTATAATCATGTTTGGTATATACTAGATGCTTAATAAATATTCATTGACATCAACCAAGCAATCAATCAGTATCAAAAGATACTGGAAGTTTTTAAATGCCTGATAAATTTGAGGAATCATATACCTGACAACAATTCTATAGGCAAAGCATTGGGTGCTTAAAGAAAATCCAAATTGAAAATCAATGCAAGGCAGTACTTCATTAGTTAAATAACCTTGGGCAAGTCAAGTAACCTCTCTGTGCTTCTTTTTCCTCATCTGTAAAACAGAGCTGTTGATACATGAAAGGCACTTAGAATAATACCTGGCACATGTAAAATTAAATAAATACCAATTATTTTAATGATGCAAAATATTTCATTTCATTCTAAACTTCTATATTTATTATAGTATAACCAGGAAAATAGAAACAAACCTGAGTACCTAAAACAAAAGGAACTTCATACAGAAATTTGTTACCCAGGTTATGAAAAATCTTAGAGGCCAACAGGGAATGGTGAAGTAATCAAGAAATCAGCAGAAAGAGAGATTTATTATAGTCCTGGAATTTAAGGCCAAAGAGAGCAGTAAGTATAACCAGAACAGGAACCCAGGGGTCAGGGCCACCTAGAAGAACCTGTAGCCATGGCCACTTTCTATAAAGGGAACTAGAGTTCCAGAGACCAAGAAGGAGAAAGAGAAATACTGACTTCTCCCTCTTGTTCTCCAATATCTTGCTAGTGGCTTCCATTGCTCAAACCCTGTAGGAGCCATCTGACAAAGGGGCCCTGGAAATGCCACCTGTAGGTGTCAGCCCCTCTCACAATACAGAGCAGAGCAGGGGAAGTGCAAGGAATGGATTTGAGAGCCAATAGACCAAGGACTTGTACCATCCCACACTGTTGTTGCCTTGTATTATTGCTTTACTAGTCTCTGTTTCTAACCAAACTGCAAATTTCTTTGGCAATAGAACCTAGGCATCATTGTTTTGTATTCCTAACCCCCATTCTCCTGTCAATACTGTGCTTTGCACATTATAGGTATTTAGTTGTGAGTATTGCTGAAAATTTTTCACATAGGTCTGAATCACTTGACTCCTAGGATATAATTTTATTTATTTATTTATTTATTTATTTATTTATTTATTTATTTATTTATTTATTTTGAGGCGGAGTCTCGCTCTGTTACCAGGCTGGAGTGCAGTGGCATGATCTCAGCTCACTGCAACCTCTGCCTCCCAGGTTCAAGCGATTCGCCTGCCTCAGCCTCCCGAGTAGCTGGGACTACAGGTGTGAGCCACCATGCCCAGCTGATTTTTTGTACTTTAGTAGAGACAGGGTTTCACCATGTTGGCCTGGATGGTCTCAATCTCCTGACCTCATGATCCACCCGCCTTGGCCTCCCAAAGTGCTAGGATTACAGGCGTGAGCCACCATGCCCGGCATAATTCTTTTTTTCTCTGTGAGAGCAGAGATATTAATTAATTATGTCCGCTGTTCTTATGCAAGATATGCCTTTTTACTAAGATGCAAGGATGAATGCATGCTAAAATAGCTGCATTTCTGCACTGATTAAGAATGAGCAATATATGCAAACTGGTTGCTTGAAGTTCTTTGTTTAGAAATCCTACTTATTTATAGAACTCCCTAATTTACTCATGGAAAAACAGGCCTCTTTACTTATGAACTAAAGCAAAATAATAATTGTTATGACAACGGTAGAAGGCCAATCTGGTAGCTTTTACACTTGTAACTTTATAACCAACAATAAAAAATACATTTTATATTATGACCCAGCACACACACACACACACGTGCACACACACACAATTGAAACAGATATTAGAAAAATGTGTAATATATTCCATTCCATTTTTTTAAATGTTTGTCAAACCCATTAAATTGATTTCCCAACCCACCAATGGATTACAACCTACAGTTTGCAAAACACTTGTCTAATAGGATTATACCCTTGGCAGAGGTTGGAAATGCATGTCATCATAGGTTCTCAGCCTCTCCCGTGAGAGACGTAATGAAAGAGGTCAGAACACCTCCTCCATCTACAGGTGGAGGCTGAAGAGCCAGGCCTGATACAATACCTCCTCTTTTCTGCCCACCATCTACTCCTAGTTGCCAGCTATAAGCAATTTGGGCAAGTAAAGATTCTGTCCTTAAGACAAGGTATAAAACACTGAAAATAGCATTTAATTATGTCTTAGACATTGTGTTTCTTTGGGTCTGAAACCCTTTAACCAGTCTCTGTGGGTCCTAAAATTTTCTTTTTGTGATTAACACAAGCAAAGCACAGTTTGGTTCAACTGGGGAAGCATTCTTTATTCTGTCAGATCTTGAAACAAAAACTAAAGGGACTAACTAAAAATCCTTGTGAAAAATAAACTCAATACAATTTGGAAATATGTTGTTATTGAAAAACAAGAAGACTTCTATTATGGTAAAAACAAGAGCTCTTCCCTTTGAGTATCATCTCAGAATTTCTGGTGGTTCAAAAAAACAACATTTTTAAGAAGTTCTGTTTTCTCACAAACTTCAGGATTTCTATCAAGCTGTCTGAAAACAAAATATTTTTGTTACTTAAACACAGCTGGCAGATTTGAGAGTGTTATACACAATTGGCCATATGTCAAAATATACATAGAGCATAATGCGCTTTATATGGCTTTAAAATAAGATAATTAATTAAATGAAGAATATAGCACTATTCAGGAAAGTGAATGTAATATTTTGAAAACTTACACATGAATTCTCAGGCAAGTTTGTTAATAGATTTTTAGTGCTAGAGTGAAATTACCCACTCTTCCTTGCCATCCCAGTCCACATAATAAATATAGTCATTCTAACCACAGTGTTGGGATGATATACAATTCACAGTAGACAAATTTCATCCCATAGGCACAGGCTCACTACTTCAACGACCTTTATCTGAGTATAAAATTTGACATACTGTCTCCAAGACAAAGTCAATCCTGAAATAGTTATGCTTATGGAAAGAATGGATAAAGGGCATGTAGATAATATTATAAAATCATTTATTTCTGTCTTTAGAATAAAATGAAAAGATACCTGACAAATAAAATACAAATCCATGGGTAGCAGCACTGCAGAGCCCAGGGTCTGAAGGCTGGTTCTAATTCTGACTGTCATTTAATCATATATCAAGGGAATGTTACTTAATTTCTCATACTCTCTTTCCTCGCCAGGAAAGTAAGGATAAGAATAGAATATATCACAGGAAGCTTCTGCAAAGATTAAATGAGATTATATTTGTAACAGGGCTTAGTTCAGTGCCCGGAACATAGAAAGCTCTCAATAAAAATTGTCAACAATGAATATACATGCTATAATTGGGACGATTATTATTTTTCACATATTTTGCTTCTCCAAGCTCAGCTTTGAGCTTCTAGTTCCATCACATGATTGCCAGGAGCCTGGGACTCTGCTAGATATCAACAGATGAGACAGTGGCATATTACTAAGAATTGAGTGAATGCTCATATTTATATAAGATCGAGATGCTTCTGTTTCATTCATTCATAGAGATTTAGCCATTTAGCCTGAAACTCTCATCTTCACCTAATGACTAGTCACATTTGTTAGAGTAGTTTCATGGTGCAGCTGAATGACACAGAAATGGTACATCCTTTTTACTCTCTATCCATCCTTACTTGACAGGCTCAGTTATCCAGTGCCATTCTCTGTGTACTCAGTCACATCAGGAGCTGCAGAACATGAGTACACAGCTCCTATGGGGAAAGCCCAGTGGTGATAATGCTGAAGTGCCATATGTGAAGATGATATAAAATCAAATTTAGGCAGAACAAAACAAACTGTGATTGTCACCTCATGCAGTGCAGTAAATGAAAAGACCATTAAAATCTATGAATTAGTTCCTAAACTCTCACACTATGCAGATGAGATAAATTTCTTCATTGAGAGAACAGGATTCGAGTTTGTTGACCCAAACACAAAAATGTGCTTCTAGATCCTTGCAGCAGTTCAACATTAGAGGCAATGAAGTTTGAGTAACAATTTTTCAGAGTCTGATAGGCTAAACAGGGTTGATGGGTTTCCCCGTATCTGATCTGCAAATCCCTTACGGTAGTTTTGAGAACAGAGCCCATTACTGTATCTTGACAAGGGACAGTCTCCACCATACACTTAGTGGTCACAGGACATTCTATCTCTGTGTTGTGAACACAGTTACCTGAGGGAAATGTTGAAGCCATGTGACTTCCTCACATTATGCTAGCATTGTATTGCTTATTGGTGTAGAATAAATCTTGCTGTTACTTAATGCAAAGCTCCTTTGCTTTGAGTTAATCAGAAGGTAATTTGAAGGAACTAAACATTACATTTAAGTCACTTTCAAAATATCTTGAATTTGGACATAGCCTAAAACTTTCTATGAATGAAAATGTTTTATATATTTTACATTAGTACCCAAATCACAGTTCTTTGTTTAACTGCTGAAAATAGAAATTTAAAAGGTTTCACAAATTGATTCGTGCTGAAAATGATGAACTATTTACTAAAAAAGATAAATTACTTAATGTCATCTCTAAAATAGACATCATAACTCTGCTGATAATGTAGAACTTTTGAAAAAATACTATTGTGATAATAAAGAACAAAATAGTTTGGCAATTTATTAAGTGGTAAACTCTAGCATATAAATTTAATGTATAAGTAATTTTCTGCTTATTGAATATTTGTATAATTTCAAATTTTAATATTTATTTTCTTATAATAAACAAGGTATTAATTTTCATTATACAATATATAAGTGTACCAAATGGAATTTTGTAGAAATTAGGGTAATTATCTTGCCCTGGCTCATAGTGATTTGCAAAGTAATTTTCTTTAAGTTATTATGAAAAATACTCATGGCCCTTTCTTTATTCTCCCAATTTTATTTCAAAATTAGACCTTCTCTTCCTTAGTGCACGCGCTTACCATGCCCTAGTACATTGCACCCTAATGCAAATCTCTGGTTTAATATGAAAATTATATTTACCATTGATAGTGTAATTTAGTATCTGTGACAATACCATCTGTTAGAATTTGAATTGAAACTCTAACACACTTCTATTATGCTGAAATGAACACCTGTCCATTAGGTTCTAGACCTGAGACCAGGGATTCATTCTAAATCATCATTGAATAGCTATCCAGTGATGACAAACAGACCATGTTTATTCGAATAAACTAATGGCAAAATCTCATTATAAATTCACCAAAGTGATCTATTCCCCTTTTAAAATGTATTGCTAATTTCTTCATCTTGTAATATAACTAAACAAAGTGACTATTTTTCTGGAATTTGAATAACAGAAATTATTGAGTTTGGTAAACTGCATGGAAACTGAGGACAAATTTATTTGAAGACAGACTGGGAGAAGTACATTTTTCTGGTCACTTTCAGTGCCAGTGCATGTGCCTGCCTGGTCTTATTTTAAAATGCAGGTTGAGGAACTGAATATAAGTTACCTGTCCAGCAAGTGTTACATCACCCACCCCGGATGCACTATCCTACAGGGCCACTGGGTATTACTAAGAACTCTCATTCCCCACCTGCTATGGTCTTTATGTTTGTATCTCCCTAAAATTTGTATGTTAAAACATTAACGCCCAAGGTGATGGTATTAGGAGGTGGGGCCTTTAGGAAACAATTTGGTAATAGAGGCAGAGCCCTCATGAATAAGATCAGTGTCCTTATAAAAGAGGCCTGAGAGAGACCTCACACCCCTTTCAACATGTGAGGACAGAGCCAGAAGGCACTGTGTATGAACCAAGAAATGGGCCCTCACCAAACACAGAATCTGCCAATACATTGATCTTGGACTTTTTAGCCTTCAGAACTGTGAGAAATAAATTCCTGTTCTTTAAGCCATCCAGTCTATGGTATTTTGTTACAGCAGCTCAAATGGACTAAGACGCTACCCCACCCTCCCCTGCACCTTACATTTACAAATGTTTGTGTCCTGATGATATAAAATTGTTTCTTCCATTCCATTCCTTCACTCAGTGGTTAGGCTATTCGTTCCCCAAGAAGAGGGGAGAACCTCCCTCTCCAGCAGGAATTTACTGTATTTCCTCTGATCTAGAAATCACTGCCAGTTTCTTCCAGGTGATTACCCCAACACAGAATGGGATGATATATTTATTTCAACACTAAAGTCAAACATTAGCTCAGACTCTGTATCAGATATTCCATTTTTAAAATTCTAGCCATAAAATTTTCCAAGGTAATTTGGGAAATATGACTTCCTTCTAATAGCGTGGTAGCTAAGTGTCAGTGACCATAAACTATTTCAAAAGAAAAAAATGCAAGCAAGTTCTGCTTGAGATTAGAAGGGGAAGATTTGTGTAAAATCAAGATGTGAAAGTTATAGCAGTTCCTAACAGCAAATTTTAAGGTTTGAAGATGGTGGTACTTTAAAGCTTAACCTTCAAAATTCTTCCATCTGCTAGATTAAAAAAAAAAAAATTAAGCTTAAAGAAAGATAACCTGAAAAAAAAGCACTTTCTTGCCAAAATCATTTGAATTATTTTTTTTGTCTAAAATAATTAGAATGTTTTCATCTATTCTGCAGGCTGCTTATTTTGACACAATGGTATTCTCAAGTTTTAGAATAATTTACTTAAAGAAAAACATAAATCTACATTTAAAAATACTCGCTTTTTAATCCAAATTAATTTCTAATTATTTGGGTTTTCTGTGATGCTGCTGATTGAGAACAAATAAAATAAGCATGTACTAGAATGTCTATTTTACATCATATATAACTCATTTTCAAGCTGAGGCTCCAGGAGAATTGGACACAGAATTTGGCCTTTTAAATCCTCCCAAAAAAGCACATCTTTTATTGTTTTTGTTTTCCCCTCCATCCTCACCTAAATTGTCCTTTCTCTGCCTCTCTCCCGCAGAAATATATATGTATATAAATATATTTATATATATTATATATTTTCATATATTATACATATATATAATTGTACCAGGTACTCATGCCTTGAAAACACTGAACAGTTAATGTCGTTTCTCCCCCTTCACTGAAGTTACTAAAATTATTTCCATAAAAGGCTTTACTTTTCCAAGAAAATAAAGATTATTTATGCAAATGACGATTATTTTCATGATCCTACTGTTTAACTCTGCAGAACTAGTTCTTTCCTATTCCCCTTGCATCTATCCTCCACGTTGTTTCTTGTCCTTGCTACTTCAGGTATTTTTTTTCCTCCTCTCCTTTTCACCATACCATCTGGCCAATTCAGCAGCAAGTTTATGAAAACACATTTTTCTGCGTCACAAAGAAACAAATGGCTTGCAAATAGATGGATATTTGGGGCTTGATTGTATAGTTAATGCATGAACAAAATATAGATATAAATGGGAAAGGACAGAGAGATAGATTCAGTATCCATTAATCTTCTTCAAATAGTTTACCTTTTAACTGGGTACATGAAGATACAACCAAAGCAGAAGATGTGGGACTCGACATAGCCTTTAGATGGAACCTGGACATACTAAGAGAATTCAGCATAAGAAAGCCCAATTATTGATTAAATGCACAACAGGTTTATGGTAAGTAAAAGGAGGGGCTCAGAACCTTGCGTTACTTTTTCTGGTATTCTGCTATTAGATTCCCTGAGACAGCAAAAATGGGTAGAAAATTAGGTTTAGCTGAATTGCTGTGAACTGCACTGTCTTAGGGAAAGTAACATTAAACTTCCTCAGTAGGCCACACAACAGGTAATATAAGTAAGTTACTTTGAGGTCACTTACACATCCATTTACATCTTATTCTGGCTGTGGCTGCCTCAGGGACTTGGGAAAGTATCTGTGCTCCAGGTAAAGTATTAGACTCACTGCTACCCACAGCTGGTCCAGGAGTTTTTAAAATAAACACAAGAGAGGAAACTTGCTTAGGATCTCTACCTCTTTACCTCCAAGGTACCCAATTCTCTCTAACGCTCCCTGGCCATAAAGAGGGTTCAGTATCATCTTCTCCCCCAGTATGTCCCCTATATTGGCAGTCATGCTGGTCCTGGAGGGGGCCTTCTGGGGGTAGCAGGGATCTGACCTTCCATAATCTTGTACTCTTCACCCAATCCACCAGACTTCTTTGCTACTCTGGTTTTTTGCAGCTAGGCTCATGAAAGACCAAAAAGTGAGCAGTGCATAGTATTTGAAAGTGAGGATGGCAGCAAGAAAAACAAAGAAGCAATGAGCCATGTGGGTTGCACTCTCCAAAGGCTGCCCCTCTCCAACATGTATCTCAACATTATTTCTGCAAATGTTATGGACCCAGGGACTGAAGAAGTTTACCACTTGTGTGATGAAGTCAAAGGTGCAAATGTCATGGTTTCACATTCAAAGCCCTCTGTGCTTGATGGATACTTACAAAAATAATGCTAAAAAGCTGAAAGCCTACTGACATATCCCGCAGTTTACTGAGTGAATCTGCATTCCATGTGAACCTACATGTCATGTTCTAGCACAAAGGGCCACAGATCAATGATACTCTATTTATTCTAAATTCACAGAAGGAAAAGTTGAAAATATAAAGAGTGAAATCAGAGTGGCTTCATTTTCTATTCACAATAGAGTATTAGCAAAAGTATTACCCACAACCACGATCCAACCAACATTTTCTAAGAGTCTTTCAAAATCTAACAACTTTGCATCAGTCATGGCCATCATCCAGAGGCCCTCACTCTAATTCATCCTAGCTTAAGTAGACCTCAGTGGCAGAACTTTCTAATCTTTCCAATAAAGCAGAACTTTCTTTTAGTTTAGCTAAGTCACATTTCTTCCATGTCCATTGCTTTAATTGCATAAGAGAAAGATCACTGGGATCTCTATGCTCACTGGCCTCTTTATGTGCCAGGCCCTTGATTACTGCTCACTCCTCAGATAAACTGACTCTCCAATTGGCCTGCGAGCAGCTGTAACTTCTTAACTTCTTAGTTCTTATTATTCTTCCTCTCTCTCTCTTTCTCTCTCTGTTTAGAGACGGGGTCTCACTCTGCTGCCTAGGCCATAGTGCAGTGACATGATCACAGCTCACTATAGCCTCAAACTCTGAGGCTGAAGCCATCCTCCAACTCAGAATCCCAAAGTGCTAGGATTACAGGCATGAGCCATAGTGCCTGGATGACTCCTCTCTTTTTAATTACTTACATTTGGATTTTATACAATAAATCAAAATTTGTTCATTCGGTTATCCATGGAGGAAAGATACCACCAGTTAGGTACCCAGTTCGCTTCACCAGTCAGGTACCCTGTTTACTTTAAGGAAGCATCAGTAATCAGCTCTGCAGTTTTAGTAATTCAATTCACCACAGATTGCTCAAGTGCCAACTATGTACTTAATACTTATATTGACTAGAAGTCTTAGAGTAACCTGTTTAAGTTAATATTAGCTATTCAATAACTGGGATACATTTATTCTAGTAGATTCTTAAAACAAGTTTTAAATAGGACACCTATGACTATCTTTTTTTACTGGTAAAAGGAAAAACACTTATTCTTTAATAACATGTTTGGATTTATGTTATTGCATTTTTGAGCAATTGGAATATTAAGTTCCATTTTATTTATTCTATTAATTTTTTTTTTTTTTTTTTTTTTTTTTCTGAGATGGAGTCTCACTCTCTTGCTCAGGCTGGAGTGCAGTGGCGCCATCTCAACAAACTGCAACCTCTGCTTCCCAGGTTCAAGCAACTCTCCCACCTCTGCCTCCGGAGTAGTGGGACTTACAGGCACGCGCTACCATGCCCAGCTAATTTTTTTTTTTTTTTTTTTTTAGATAGAGACAAGGTCTCACCACATTGGCCAGGCTGGTCTTGAACTCCTGGCCTCAAGTGCTCCGCCCACCTTGGCCTCCCAAAGTGCTGGGATTACAGGCATAAGCCACCATGCCTGGCCAAATTCCATTTTATTACTGTTACTGATTTCTGTCATAGTGTAATGAAATGATATGGGTTTAAGATACTGAAACTTTTTATGAATAAATTCACTTATTAATTGAATAAGTATTTATTAACCTACTATGTGTCAGAAATTCTGTTAGTAAGGTGCTACGAATATAATGATCCATGCTGTCATTAAGCTTTAAGGCTGTCATTAAGCTTTAAGGCACTGGGGGATACAGAAGGGTAAATAGAGAGTTGTAACATAAGGTAATAAAAGGCAATGAGGAGACGTAAAAGTATGATAAGAATAGGTAGAATGGGTTTCTCACCCACCCATAGGATGATCAGAGATGAGTTCATTTAGGAATCTAAAATGATATCAAAACTGTGACCTGAGGAATGATTATAAGATATTGGGGCTGGGAGGAATGTTCTAGGCAGAGAAACAGTAGTGTGCTAGCAGAATTTTTCAGGCAAGTTATTAAACCATTTGCACCTTGAAATAGGCCACACTGGGAGTAATTATGCCGCAGAAATCTGTGAATGATCCAAATCAAGGCCTTCCCCTTCTGGAAGACCAGAATATGCCTCCCCAAAATAAGAAGGATTGTTAAGCTGAAGGCAGTTAAAAAGAAATAGATACAGGAGAGCTCTCTGCTCTTTCTCTATTTGCAAAGGTATCCTACCCTCCTCTCTACCAAGGAGAATGAAGTTTAACCACTGAAGACAGCTTTAGGCTCTCATCAGCCTAGAAATAATACCACAGGAATTTATAGTAGCAAGCTTTACTAACTAGCTTTTATCTGTCATTTATTGACCTTTCTCCAAGTTGCCACCTAATAGAGACTCAAAGTTCCTTTCCTTTGTCTTTCCACTTCTCTAGATATTTACTGTTCTTTGTTGAAGATGCTGTATAAGCTGGGATTCAAAGCCACCTCTTTGAGGATTACTCATTTTCTAGGTGTCTCTGATGTATATATGGAATCTACATATTAATAAACTTGTTTGTTTTCTTTTGTTCATCTTTTGTAACACGGGTCCATTCTAACTACAAACTATGGGGATTTTTCCCCTATATTCGCCTATGCCCCACTCCCATCTGCAGCTAATTTACCTGTACTCCATTGGAAGTGAATGAGAGCACAGTCAATGAAGGAACTAAAAGTTATCTCAGTTTAGTGGAATGGTAGAAATGAGGCTGGAAAAGTAAGTAGGAGCCAGATCTTGAAGGACCATGTAAACAAGGAACTTGGAATTTGCCAAGAGGATGAAGGGGAAGCAATGAAGAGTTTTAAAGGAGAAAAGTCTTCATTCTGTTTGCATATTTAAATGCAAAATGTGACAGTAGTACGGAGAACATTCTGGACCAATACCATGTGAACTTCCTCAGAAACAAGTTGAAGGACATCAAGTAATTTGGAAAACACAGAAAAAGCATTCTCAATATGACAAGAGTACATCTGGGACAGATTAATCCCATGGCATATTGTAATAGTGTGTGTTCCACAGATGGAAAGGAAGGTAAAATAGATTATGAAAAATGTTTTATCTGCTGTCACCTGTAAGACAATAACCATAAATGGAAGTCATGTGTTGCATTGACCACAATGTCAATTTCAGCATTAAGACCCAAGAGAAAGCCAGCCAACAGATCATTCATTCACTTACTGTGAATATAATTCATTAACTGTGACATGATTCATTAAAATTTACCAATTAACTGAAAGAGACACCTATAAAGGTAATTTGGGGGGCTTTTATTGATGGTATTTTACAATTAAATTTTAAATAATGTTCATGTCACAAGCAATGTGAATATTTAACTGTATATTTTTATGATTCCGTAGCTTTCCTGGATTAAAAGAAAATGTATAATTTATTTTACAATAGACCCTTGATCATTCACAAATTTAACATGTTCATAGCCCACATTCACTTAAAATATTGCCAATGCCCATATGAAATGCACATAATCCTGGGCTGGTTTGGGTGTTAGAATCAGTCATTTACCTAGTGAATGAGCCTACTCAACAGCCCTGCATCTGTACCTCAATGAGGTTTTATTGTTGATCACTTCAATACTGACAGACTTAACAGAAGAATTGAATAATGGAAGGAGACTACATTCTTGTCTAAGAAGAGTCAACATTTTAAAGATTCCAATGCTTTAAAAATATAAAGCTATAAATTAAAAGCAATCCCAATATAATTAGAAGAGAATTTTTGAAGACTAAATGTGGTAACTCAAAGCTATATATGGAAAAATAAAGGTGTAAGAAGAGTTAAAAATTTCTAGAAAAGAGGATGAATTGGGGAGCACAGCATTACCAGATACCACCACATATTATGTAGCTATGGTAATTAAAGAATGAGATACATATAAATCAAGAGACAGAGTAATGGAATAAAGAAGCCAGAAATAGACCTGTATAAATTTAGTACACAATAAAGGTGACATTTCAAACTGATACATTTAAAAAATTAAACATTAAAAATGAAGCCATAAAAGTAGTAGAAGAAAGTATGGTATAGTTTTAAAAATAGTTTTGGTAGAGGGAAGGACTTTGAAAACATGGAACCACAGGAAACAAAACATGCAAATTTGAATAAACATAAAATGTTTCTGCATGATGAAGCATTATAAACAAAGTAAAAAGCAAATAATATGCCAAAGATAAAATATTTGTGACATATGAAAAAGGAAACTTTTTAGTCCTATAGAAAGAACAAATCAATAGAAAAAAATAAACCCAAAAGAAAAGAGGCAGAGATCATAAAGATAGACTTCACAGAAAAGAAATAAAAATATATTTTAAATATGTGAAAATATGCTCAGCCTCACTCATTTCAAATAAATGCAAATTCAAACTTCAAAGAGATACAAATTTTCACCTTCAGATTGGCAAAGTATATGACACTCATATATTCGATGGGAAGGTAAATTGGTATGATTTTTAAAAAGGCAATTTGACACTTTATATCCAAATTTCAAATGCAGGTATCCTTTTAACCAGCAAATCCTACTTTGAAGAATTTATTCCTCATGCACACTTGTATATATATGTATGCTAAGATATTCACTGTATCATTATTTGCAATAGCAAAAAAATTTGAAACAAAGTTTATTAGAACATTGTGTAATAAATTTTTGTGCATTCCTATAATGTGGTACTATGACATTATCAATAAAACAATAAAGCAGATCTGTCAGGACTGAATGGGAGAATTCCCAAGATACAGTGTTAAAGGGATAAAAGAGGTACAGAACAGTATGTATGTATAGTATATTACTATTGTAGGAAAGAGATTATACATACAGAAAAAATATATGCAGTTATATGTCTAGAATAGCTTTGGAAGGACACATGAAAGGAACAGAGAAGAGAACAAATAAGGAAGAAGCAGGGTTTTTTGTTTTAACCATATACCTTTTATAGCATGTAATTTTGAGGGGGTGAAAATCAGGAGAGGCTGGAATCAAGGATAGAAAGATTATGAAAAGGTTTCAGGGAGTGTTCCAGCAAATGCAAAATATGCTCACTGAGTGAAAGATGTAACTTAAACAAAAGTTGAAATGGCTTTCATGTAGTACATTTCATCATCTTCATTTATGAGATATCTGTGATATGGTGGGAAGCATCATTATTCATAGCCATCACTATGAGTAAGTAGTGCTGTAAGGGCTGGAGCTGTCCTGTCTTAACCTGCACTGAATTCACTGGGATTAGCATGGTGCTTATGTCAAGGAAGAGCAGACCTGGACAGTAGTTAAAGAGGTAAAAACAGACTTTATTAAAGAACTATCATGGTAGAGGGAAATAGACTTCAGTATAGAACTGTGCTTAATTCTGATACAACAAGGAAAAGTGAGAACTTATAATCAAGTAGCAGAGAAATGAGTCTGTGAATGGAAAATTACTTAGAAGGTAGGGGAATTGTTGCTAAACTGATCTAACAGGATTCTTGTTGAAATCAGGCCAGGATGATCAGACACCACTTGGTTGATGGTGAAAAATGAGGAATTTGATCAGATAACTAGGCTGGCAATAATAGTGAGAGACTTCCACACCCCACTGACAACATCCCACTGACAACATTAGATCAATGAGGCAGAAAACACAAAGAAATTCAAGACCTGAACTTGACATTTGACCAAATAGGCCTAACATATTTCAACAGAACTCGCTGCCCCAAATCAACAGACTATACATTCTTCTCATCTGCACATGGCACATACTCTATGATCAACCACACAATTGGCCATAAAACAATCCTCAGCAAATTCAAAAAAATAGAAATCATACCAACCACACTGTTGACCACAGTGCAATAAAAACAGAAATCATACTAAGAAGATCTCTCAAAAACATACAATTATAAGGAAATTAAACAACCTGCTCCTGAGTAACTTTTGGGTAAACAATGAAATTAATGCAGAAATCAAGAAATTCTTTGAAACTAATGACAGCATACCAGAATCTCTGGGACACCGCTTAAAGCAATGTTAAAAGGGAAGCTTATAGCACTAAATGACCATATCAAAGAGTTAGAAAGATCTCAAAAAACCATCTAACATCACATCTATAGGAATTAGAGAAAGAAGAGCAAACCAATCCCAAAACTCATAGAAGACAAGAAAAAAACAAAATCAGAGCTGAGCTGAAGGAAACTGAGACACAAAAAAACAAAGAAAAGATCAATGAATCCAGGAATTAGTACTCTGAAAGAATAAATAAAATTGACACACCACTAGCTAGACTAATAAAAAAACCAGAGAAGATCCAAATAAACACAATCAGGAATGACAAAAGGGACATTACCGCCAACCCAACAGAAATACAAAATCCACAATGCTCAAGTAGGCCTTATCCCTGGGATGCAAGTTTGGTTTAACATATGCAAATCAATAATTGTGATTCATCACATAAACAGCACTAAAAACAAAAAATACATGATTGTCTCAATAGATGCAGAAAAGGCTTTTGATAAAAGTCAATATCTCTCCATGTTAAAGCCCTCAAAAACCCAGGTGTTGAGGGAACATAACTCAAATAATAAGAGCCATCTATAACAAACGCACAGCCAACAGCATATTGAATGAACAAAAGCTGGAAGCATTCTCCTTGAGAACCAGAACAAGATAAGGATGCCCATTCTCACTACTCCTATTCAACATATACTGAAAGTCCTGGCCAGAACAGTCAGGCAAGAGAAAGAAATAAAAGGCATCCAAATAGAAAAAGAAGAAGTCAAACTATCTCTGTTTGCAGATCATATAGCGCTGTACTTAGAAAATCCCATAATGTCTGCCCAAAATTTCCTAGTTCTGATAAACAACTTTGGCAAAGTTTCAGGATACAAAGCCAATGTACAAATAGCAGTAGCATTTCAATATACCAATAACATTCAAGCTGTGATCCAAATCAATCATATAATTCCATTCACATTAGCCACAAAAGGAATAAAATATCTAGAAATACAGCTTACCAGGGAGGTGAAAGGTCTCTACAATGAGAAGTATAAAACATTGCTCAGAGAAATCAGAGATGACAAACAATTGGAAAAACATTCCATGCTCATGGATAAGAAGAATCAATATTGCTAAAATGGCCATACTGCCCAAAGCAATTTATAGATTCAATGGTATTCCTATCAAACTACCTGCAACATTTTTCACAGAACTAGAAAAAAAATTCTAAAATTCACTTGGAACCAAAAAAGAACCCAAAGAGCCAAAGCAATCCTAAGTGAAAAGAACAAATATGGAGGCCTCACACTAGCTGACTTAAAACTTTACTACAAGGTTACAGTAATTAAAACAGCATGGTATTGGTACAAAACAGACCCATAGACCAATGAAACAGAATAGAGAACACAGAAATAAAGCCACACACCTACAACCATTTGATCTTCAACAAAGTTAACAATAAAAATGATGCTAGTATAACTGGCAAGTCATATGCAGAAGATCGAAACTGGACTCTTACCTTTCACCACATACAAAAATGAACTCAAGATGGATTAAAGACTTAAATTCAATACCTGAAACTATAAAAACTATAAAAACCCTAGAAGAAAACTTATGAAATGCCACTTTAACATCAGCCCTGGCAAAGACTTCATGATGAAGACACCAAAAGCAATTACAACAAAAACAAAAATCAACATATAGGATCTAATTAAACTAAATACTTTTCTCACAACAAAAGAAACTTACAACAGACTAATCAGACAACCTATAGAATGGTAGAAAATATTCACAAACTATGTATCTGACAAAGGTCTAATAACCCAAATCTATAATAAATATAAAACAACCCCATTAAAAAGTGGGCAAAGAACATGAGCAGGCACTTTTCAAAAGAAGACACATATGCAGCCAACAATCATATGAAGAAAAGCTTGACATCATTGATCATTAGAGAAATGCAAATCAAAACCACAATGAGATACCATGTCACACCAGTCAGAATGGCTATCATTAAAAAGTCAAAAAATAACAGATGCTGGCCAGGTTGCAGAGAAAAGAGAATGTTCATACAGTGTTGGTGGGAATGTAAGTTAGTTCTGCCATTGTGGAAAGCAGTGTGATAAGCTGCATTCTTAGATATTTTATTCTTTTTGTGGCTATCGTAAATGGAATAGCATTCTTTATTTGGCTCACAGCTTGAACATTACTGGTATATAGAAATGCTACTTCTTTTTGTACATTAATATTGTAGCCTGAAACTTTGCTGAAGTTGTTTATCAGATCTAGGAATTTCTGGGAGACACTACAGGGTTTTCTAGGTATAACATCATATCACCTGCTAACAGAGATAGTTTGACTTGTTTTCCTATTTCAATGCCTTTTATTTCTTTTTCTTGCCTGATTCCCCTGGCCAGGACTTCCAATATACATTGAATAGGAATGGTGAGATGTACCATTTCTCTTAATGGCACACTAATTTTTTTAGTTTTATAAAGGACTTTGTGCCTGTATTTTTGTCATTATTGTATATTATCTATTTTTTCAGTTACTCTTTACTGTGGTTAAGAGAAAATACGATATTAAGAAATCTACATATTTGTGATCATCTTAATATAGATTCCTTTGCCAGACAAGGTTTTACTACAATGCTTATCAATGATGGTACAGAGACCGCCTGAGATACTTGTTTGAAATGAAGATTGCTAGGCTACATGCCCAGAAATTCTGGTTTACTAGATCTCGGTTGGTGTTTAGAAATACTTAAAAATTGTCTCAGGTAATTTTAATGTCAATTAAAATTGCAAGACCATTGGTTTTCAACCCTTTTTTTTCTTACGGATCTCATAATAAAGACATATGGTAAAACAAAACATATCTATTTTTTCTTTTTTTTTTTATTAAAGTTCTGGGATACATGTTCAGAATGTGCAGGTTTGTTACATAGGTATACATGTGCCACGGTGGTTTGTTGCACCCATAAACCCAAAATCTACATTAGGTGTTTCTCCTAATGCTCTCCCTCCCCTAGTCCCCCATCCCCCAACAGGCCCCAGTGTGTGATGTTCCCTTCACTGTGTCAATGTGTTCTCATTGTTCGATTCTCACTTATGAGTGAGAATACACAGTGATTGATTTTCTGTTCCTGTGTTAGTTTGCTGAGAATGATGGTTTCCAGCTTCATCTATGTCCCTGCAAAGGACATGAACTCATCCTTTTTTATGGCTGCATAGTATTCCGTGGTGTATATGTGCCACATTTTCTTCATCCAGTCTAACATTGATGGGCATTTGGGTTGGTTCCAAGTCTTTGCTATTGTGAACAGTGCTGCAATAAACATAGGTGTGCATGTGTATTTATAGAATGATTTATAATCCTTTGGGTATATACTCAGTAGTGGGATTCCTGGGTCAAATGGTATGTCTGGTTCTAGATCCTGGAGGAATCACCACACTGTCTTCCACAAAGGTTGAAATAATTTACACTCCCACAAACAGTGTAAAAGCATTACTATTTCTCCACATCCTCTCCAGCATCTGTTGTTTCCTGACTTTTTAATGATTTCCATTCTAACTGGTGTGAGATGGTATCTCATTGTGGTTTTGATTTGCATTTCTCTAATGACCAGTGATGAGCTTTTTTTCATATGTTTGTTGGCCACATAAATGCCATCTTTTGATAACTGTCTGTTCACATCCTTTGCCCACTTTTTGATGGGGTTGTTTTTTTTCTTGTAAATTTGTTTAAGTTTCTCATAGATTCTGGATATAAGCCTTCTGTCAGATGGATAGATTGCAAAATTTTTCTCCCAATCTGTAGGTTGTCTGTTCACCCTGATAGTTTCTTTTGCTGTACAGAAGCTCTTTAGTTTCATTAGATCCCATTTGTGTATTGTGGCTTTTGTTGCCATTGCTTTTTGTGTTTTAGTCATGAAGTCTTTGCCCATGCCTATGTCCTGAATGGTATTGCCTAGGTTTTCTTCTAGGATTTTTATGGTTTTAAACATAAGACCTAAGTCTTTAATCCATCTTGAGTTAATGTTTGTATAAGGTGTAATGAAGGGGTCCAGTTTTGGTTTTCTTCATATGGCTAGCCAGTTTTCCCAAAACCATTTATTAAATAGGGAATCCTTTCCCCATTGCTTGTTTTTGTCAGGTTTGTCAAAGATCAGATGGTTGTAGATGTGTGGCATTATTTTTGAGGCCTCTGTTCTGTTCCATTGGTCTATATCTCTGTTTTGGTACCAGTACCATGCTGGTTTGGTTACCGTAGACTTGTAGTATAGTTGGAAGTCAGGCAGTGTGATGTCTCCAGCTTTGTCCTTTTTGCTTAGGGTTGTTTTGTCTATATGGGCTCGTTTTTGGTTCCATATGAAATGTAAAGTAGTTTTTTCTAATTCTGTGAAGAAACTCAATGGTAGCTTGATGGGGATGGCATTGAATCTATAAATTACTTTGGGCAGTATGGCCATTTTCATGTTATTGATTCTTCCTATCCATGAGCATGGAACGTTTTTCCATTTGTTTGTGTCCTCTCTTATTTCCTTGAGCAGTGGTTTGTAGTTCTCCCTGAAGACGTCCTTCACATCCCTTGTAACTTGTATTCCTAGGTATTTTATTCTCCTTGTAGCAATTGTGAATAGAAGTTCACTCATGGTTTGGTTCTCTTTTGTTGGTGTTTAGGAATGCTTGTGATTTTTGCACATTGATTTTGCATCCTGAGACTTTGCTGAAGTTGCTTATCAGCTTAAGAAGATTTTGGGCTGAGATGATGGGATTCTCTAAATGTACAATCATGTCATCTGCAAACAGAGACAATTTGGCTTCCTCTCTTCCTATTTGAATACTCTGTATTTCTTTCTCTTGCCCAATTGCCCTGGCCAGAACTTCCAAAACTATGTTGAATAGGAGTGGTGAGAGAGGGCATCCTTGTCTTGTGCCAGTTTTCAAAGGGAATGCTTCCAACTTTTGCCCATTCAGTATGATATTGGCTGTGGGTCTGTCATAAATAGCTCTTATTATTTTGAGATATGTTCCATCAATACCTAGTTTATTGAGAGTTTTTGGCATGAAGGGGTGTTGAATTTTATTGAAGGCCTTTTCTGTATCTAATGAGATAATCATGTGGTTTTCGTCATTGGCTCTGTTTATATGATGGATTACGTTTATTGATTTGAGTATGTTGAACCAGCCTTGTATCCCAGGGATGAAGCCGACTTGATCATGGTAGATAAGCTTTTTGATGTGCTGCTGGATTCGGTTTGCCAGTATTTTACTGAAGATTTTCACATCGATGTTCATCAGGGATATTGGCCTGAAATTTTCTTTTTTTTGTTGTGTTTCTGGCAGGTTTTGGTATAGGATGATGCTGACCTCATAAAATAAGTTAGGGAGGAGTCCTTCTTTTTCTGTTGTTTGGAATAGTTGCAGAAGGAATGGTACCAGCTCCTTTTTGTACCTCTGGTAGAATTCAGCTATGAATCCATCTGGTCCTGGACTTTTTTTGGTTGGTAGGCTATTAATTACTGCCTCAATTTCAGAGCCTGTTATTGGTCTACTCAGAGATTCACCTTCTTCCTGGTTTAGTCTTGGGAAGGTATATGTGTCCAGGAATTTATCCATTTCTTCTAAATTTTCTAGTTGATTTGCATAGACTTGTTTATAGTATTCTCTGATGGTAGTCTGTATTTCTGTGGGATCAGTGGTGATTTCCCATTTATCATTTTTTATTGTGTCTATCTGATTCTTTTCTCTTTTTTTATTAGTCTGGCTATTGGTCTATTTTGTTAATCTTTTCAAAAAACCAGCTCCTGGATTCATTAATTTTTTGAAGGATTTTTCGTGTCTCTATCTCCTTCAGTTCTGCTCAGATCTTGGTTATTTCTTGTCTTCTGCTAGCTTTTGAATTGTTTGCTCTTGCTTCCCTATTTCTTTTAATTGTGACATTAGGGTTTCAATTTTAGATCTTTCCTGCTTTCTCATGTGGGCATTTAGTGCTATAACTTTCCCTCTATACACTGCTTTAGTTGTGTCCCAGACATTCTGGTACATTGTGTCTTTGTTCTCATTGGTTTCAAAGAAATTATTTATTTCTGCCTTAATTTAGTTATTTACCCAAGTCATTCAGGAGCAGGTTGTTCACTTTCCATGTAGTTGTGTGGTTTTGAGTGAGTTTCTTAATCCTGAGTTCTAATTTGCTTGCACCATAGTCTGAGAGACTGTTTGTTATGATTTCCATTCTTTTGCATTAGCTGAGGAGTGTTTTACTTCCAATTATGTGGTCAATTTTAGAATAAGTGCAATGAGGTGCTGAGAAGAATGTATATTCTGTTGATTTGGGGTGGAGAGTTCTGTAGTTCTGTATTAGATCCACTTGGTACAGAGCTGAGTTCAAGTCCCAAATATCCTTGTTAATTTTCTGTCTTTTTGATCTAATATTGACAGTGGGGTGTTAAAGTCTCCTATTATTATTGTGTGGGAGTCTAAGTCTCTTTGTAGGTCTCTAAGCACTTGCTTTATAAATCTGGGTGCTCCTGTATTGGGTGGATATATATTTAGGATAGTTAGCTCTTCTTGTTGAACTGATCCCTTTACCATTATGTAATGGCCTTCTTTGTCTCTTTTGATCTTTGTTGGTTTAAAGTCTGTTTTATCAGAGACTAGGATTGCAACCCTTGCTTTTTTTAATTTCCATTTGCTTGGTAAATATTCCTCCATCCCTTTATTTTGAGCCTATGTGTGTCTTTGCATGTGAGGTGGGTCTCCTGAATACAGCACACTGATGGGTCTTGACTTTTTACCCAATTTGCCAGTCTGTGTCTTTTAATTGGGGCATTTAGCCTGTTGACATTTAATGTTAATGTTGCTATGTGTGAATTTGATCCTGTCATTTTGATGCTAGCTGGTTATTTTGCCCATTAGTTGATGCAGTTTCTTCACAGTGTCGATAGTCTTTACAACTTGGTATGCTTTTGCAGTGGTTGGTACCAGTTTTTCCTTTCCATATTTAGTGCTTCCTTCAGGAGCTCTTATAAGGCAGGCCTGGTGGTGACAAAATCCCTCAGCATTTGCTTGTCTGTAAAGGATTTTATTTCTCCTTCGCTTATGAAGCTTAGTTTGGCTGGATATGAAATTCTAGGTTGAAAATTCTTTTCTTTAAGAATGTTGAATATTGGCCCCCACTCTCTTCTGGTTTGTAGGGTTTCTGCAGAGAGATCCACTGTTAGTCTGATGGGCTTCCCTTTGTGGGTAACCCGACCTTTCTCTCTGGCTGCCCTTAACATTTTTTCCTTCATTTCAACTTTGGTGAATCTGACAATTATGTGTCTTGGAGTTGCTCTTCTCGAGGAGTATCTTTGTGGTGTTCTCTGTATTTCCTGAATTTGAATGTTGGCCTGTCTTGCTAGGTTGGGGAAATTCTCCTCTATAATATCCTGAAGAGTGTTTTCCAACTTGGTTCCATTCTTCCCTTCACTTTCAGGTATACCAATTAAACATAGGTTTGGTCTTTTCACATAGTCCCATATTTTCTGGAGGCTTTGTTCGTTTCTTTTCATTTTTTTTTCTGTAATCTCGTCTTCAAACTTTATTTAATTAAGTTGATCTTCAATCTCTGATATCCTTTATTCGGCTTGATCGATTTGCCTATTGATACTTGTGTATGCTTCACGATGTTCTTGTGCTGTGTTTTTCAGCTCCATCAGGTCATTTATGTTTTTCTCTAAACTGGTTATTCTAGTTAGCAATTCTTCTAATCTTTTTTCGAGGTTCTTCGCTTCCTTGCATTGGGTTAGAACATGCTCCTTTAGCTCGGAGGAGTTTGTTATTAACCACCTTCTGAAGCCTATTTCTGTCAATTTGTCAAACTCATTCTCCATCCAGTTTTGTTCCCTTGCTGGCGAGGAGTCGTGATCCTTTGGAGGAGAAGAGGCATTCTGGTTTTCAGAATTTTCAGCCTTTTTGCACTGGTTTTTCCTCGTCTTCATGGATTTTTCTACCTTTGGTCATTGACGTTGGTGACCTTCGGATGGAGTTTCTGTGTGGACATCCTTTTTGTTGATGTTGATGCTATTCCTTTCTGTTTGTTAGTTGTCCTTCTAACAGTCAGGCCCCTCTGCTGCAGGTCTGCTGGAGTTTGCTGGAGGTCCACTCCAGACCCTGTTTGCCTGGGTATCACCAGCGTAGGCTGCAGAAAAGCAAAGATTGCTGCCTGTTCCTTCCTCTGGAAGCTTCGTCCCAGAGGGGTACCCACCAGATGCCAGCTGGAGCACTCCTGTGTGAGATGTCTGTTGACCCCTGCTGGGAGTTGTCTCCCAGTCAGGAGGCACGGGGGTCAGAGACCCACTTGAGGAGGCAATCTGTCTCTTAGCCGGGTTCGAGCACTGTGCTGGGAGATCCACTGCTCTCTTCAGAGCCATCAGGCAGCAACGTTTAAGTCTGCTGAAGCTGCACCCACAGCCACCCCTTCCCCCAGGTGCTCTGTCCCAGGGAGATGGGAATCTTATCTATAAGCCCCTCACTAGGGCTGCTGCCTTTCTTTAAGAGATGCCCTCCCCAGAAAGGAAGAATCTAGAGAGGCAGTCTGGCTACAGAGGCTTTGCCTGGCTGTGGTGGACTCTGCCCAGTTCGAACTTTCTGGCGGCTTTGTTTACACTGTGAGGGGGAAACCACCTACTCAAGCCTCAGTTATTGCAGACGCCCCTGTCCCCACCAAGCTGGAGCATCCCAGGTCAACTTCAGACTGCTGTGCTGGCAGCGAGAATTTCAAGCCAGTGGATCTTAGCTTGCTGGGCTCCGTGGGGGTGGGATCCACTGAGCTAGACCACTTGGCTCCCTAGCTTCAGCCCCCTTTCGAGGGGAGTGAATGGTTCTGTCTCGCTGGCATTCCACGCACCACTGGGGTATGAAAAAAAAAAAACTCCTGCAGCTAGCTTGGTGTTTGCCCAAACAGCCACCCAGGTTTGTGCTTAAACCTCAGAGCCCTGGTGGCGTAAGCACCAGAGGGAATCTCCTGGTCTGCGGGTTGCAAAGACCATGGGAAAAGTGTACTATTCTGGCCAGAGTGCACTGTTCCTCATGGCACAGTCCCTCATGGCTTCCCTTGGCTAGGGGAGGGAGTTCCCTGACCCCTTGTGCTTCCCAGGTGAGGGGACACCCCACCCTGCTTCGGCTTGCCCTGCATGGGCTACACCCACTGTCTAACCAGTCCCAATGAGATGAGCCCGGTACCTCAGTTGGAAATGCAGAAATCACCCGCCTACTGCGTTGATCTCGCTGGGAGCTGCAGACTGGAGCTGTTCCTATTTGGCCATCTTGCCAGCCACCCATATCTTGTATTTTTAAAAATTTTTCCACCCTGGCTAACACGATGAAACCCCGTCTCTACTAAAAATACAAAAAAATTAGCTGGGCATGGTGGCGGGCATCTGTAGTCCCAGCTACTTGGGAGGCTGAGGCAGGAGAATGGCATGAACCCGGGAGGCGGAGCTTGCAGTGAGCTGAGATCTCGCCACTGCACTCCAGCCTGGGCGACAGAGCGAGACTCCATCTCAAAAAAATAAAAAAAATAATAAAAAAATAAAAAATTTTTGCCAAGCATTCTTAATGTGCTAACTTTGTACCAATCACTGATCAAAGTACTTTACAAACTCAGTTAATATCTACAACAACCCTATGAGGTAGATACTCTTTATCTTTCTATTTTACAGATGAGAAGAATGAGACATAGAGATTTTTTTAAAAAACTTAAGAAAAGTAAAATACACAGGGACAGAGGATAAAACAGTGGTGACAAGGGATGAGGGCTGGCAGGGGAGGAGGGGAGATGAAGAAGCGTAGGTCAAAGGATACAAAGTAGCAAATGTGTAGGATGAAAAATTCTAGAGATCTAATGTACAACATGAAGACTATAGCTAATAATATTATATTGCATTTGAAATTTTTGCTGAATGAATAGAGTTTAGCAGCTCTCACCACACACGCACACACACACACATAAGTATGTGAGATTATAGATATGTTAATTTGCTCCAGTAGACTAACCATTTTGCTATTTACATGTATCCTGTAACATGATGTTGCACACCTAAAACATATTCAATAGATTTTATAAAAGAAGAAAAAAAAGAAAAACTTATCCAAGTTCACATAACTAGTAAGCCAAACCTAGGTGATCCCAGAGTCTGCACTGAACTGTTTTCTTCTGAAAACATTTTACAACATCAAAATTGTTCCAATATTGCTTGACGCTCTAGTAAATATGCATTCAGTGACACTGGATTACACAGAAAGCAAAGCAACAATAACAAAATTTTAAAATTGAGATTTTTGGGCACTGCAACATATTCAGCCAGAAACTTTTTAGTTTAAGTTCCATAGTTCATTCTCTTTTCAAATATGACATTTCCTAATTCAGCATCACAGATTTTGTTCAGGTATAGTATTTTGGAGATTTGAACTGGAAAAGTTGAGCAATACATATCCAGATCAAAGGGGGAAAAAAGCAATTTGTTTATCTAATGAAAATTCAGACAGATTCTGGGCATATTTTCATGGGCTGGATTTGGAGGTCTAGGATTGTAGCTTTGAAGTACACTTCAAACTTTAATAATAATCCTTGTCTTAGTGTTTGTCTGTGTTGCAGTGGCCAAATGTGTGAACTCCAGAGTTTTAAATGCTGTTGTGCTCCTGCTGTCATGCCTGATGATACAACAATTGATCATCCAACACAAAGAATAAGAAGGCCTGACGCCTGTAGAGATCAAAACAACTACTATCAAAAACACGTTACATGATCATGACCCATCAAATAGTGCTAGATATCTGGATTGATCAAGTCCCCAGAATAAAATGGTGCATCCTTCATCTTAGTTTGAAGAATGACCAGAATGGGGGAGGGAGCATTAAAATGAAAAATGGTCATGCTGGCAGCTCTGCTGTGAGGGGGAATGAAAAGTGAGAAACCACACCTGCAAGACAATAAGGGCTCCAGAACAAACTGTAAGAAACCAAACCATAATTGCAGACTATTAAAGCTCAAAGTCTTGAACACCAGCTCCTTCAGACCCATAGTTTCTTGAGAAAAGCACAGACAAGCTGATCTAACACTAACAACAGGAACTCTGCAGAGATCCTATATTATAAAAATAAGTTCACTGACTATCTAACTACTCCTTTCTTTTCAGATTTGGTCCAGTTTCTGCCAATACCATCCTGTTAATAACTTCAGCCTCCAAAATTCCCTAAGCACCCCCTTCCAAACTCCTTTGAGGCACCTCAGTTCCCCTGGTATGCATTCTCCCTTGCTGGAAGCAGCAAGCTAATAAACCTGACTACAGCTGTGCTCCTGGTAGTGTTTGGTTGGCTGTCTTTAACACCTTTGTTAACACAAAGGAAGAAGCCCTCTAACACAAAGTGATCTTCCAATCATTCTTCCCTATCATGTATAGAGGGTATACAGAGAAATATATATATACACATATATATAAAATTCAAGTGCATTCCATACTCCTATATTGACTACTACTAACACTATTCTATGGTACTGATTTCATTGATGCTATGTTGGTGATTATATGTTTGTATACATGATCCAAATTAGCATAGGTATATGCTTTTTATGGAAATGTGAGTTTGACCACATTCAATAATATTATGAGTCTATTAATATTGAGTCAGACTCTGTGTACTCAACAATGACTAATCCATCATTTTTCAGAAGTCATTTAAGTATTTAGAGATCTATAACTCTGCAGTGCTTTGCATGAGAAATGTGCACTCTCTTTGCCTTACCTCACTAGACAGTCACCGATAGAGAACTTCAGTGTCTAGCCCTGTCACTTCGACATCTTTCCTCAGAGCTAAATTTACTTTCAGTAATAAAGATGCATGAAATAATTTTTCAAACTTTATATATTAGATCTTTGTCTCTATTTGTCTGTCCATACACATAAACACTCTGTCTCTACACACACACACACTTTTTTTTTCCTTAGAAAAGTAACCCCTTTTAGTATATTTTTGCTAACTGAATACACTAGTGAGAAGTTGCCTTTTAATTATTTGTCTCCCATAAGCAAGCAGCCATGGCCTTCTTAATTCATTTTGATAGAATATTGGAATGCTGGAACTATAAGTGATATTAGTGATTGTAACAGCCAGGGTTCTCCAGAAAAACAGAACATAATAGGACACACGCACACATACACACACGTGCACACACCAGCCTATTCAAAGTGAAGCGTGAAGATGACAAGGCTAAATATGACTTACATCCACCTAATGAATAGCAAATATATTTTCTCTTTCTGATGATTTTCTTAACAACATGTTATTTTCTCTGGCTTACTTTATTGTAAGAATACAGTATAATACATGTAACCTACAAAAATATGTATTAATTGCCTATTTATGTTATCCATAAGGCTGCTTCCAGTTAACAGTAGGCTATTAGTAATTAAGTTTTGAGGAAGTCAAGAGTTACACATAGCTTTTCAACTGTATGGAGAGGTTGGTCCCTCTAACTCTCACATTGTTCAATGGTCTGCTATATATACATATATAGTCTCTTCACTTTAAGGATTTTTTCTCTTTTTTTTGAGATGAAGTCTTGCTCTCTCATACAGGCTGGAGTGCAGTGGCGTGATCTCAGCTCACTGCAACCTCCTGCTTCCCGAGTTCAAGTGTTTCTCCTGCCTCAGCCTCCCAAGCAGCTGGATTACAGGCGTGCACCACTACGCCCAGCTAATTTTTGTAGTTTTAGTAGAGACGGGAGTTTTGCCATGTTGGCCAGGATGGTCTCGAACCCCTGACCTCAAGTGATGTGCCCACCTTGGTCTCCCAAAGTGCTGGGATTACAAGTGTGAGCCACCACACCTGGCCCACTTTAAGGAATTTTTTTAAAGAAATAAGTTCATAGGATTGCAAGGGCTGGCTAGTCCTGAATCTGTAGTGCAGGCCCCAGGCCGGAAATTCAAGGAGGAATTAATGTTGCAGCCTTGAGGTAGAATTTCTTCTTCTTTGGAAAACTTCAATTTCTGTTCTTAAGGCCTTCGACTGATTGTATAAGGCCCACGCACATTTTCAAGGGTCAACTCCTTTAAAGTCAACTAATTATAGATGTTAGTCAACATCTGTAAAATACTTTCACAGCAACTCCTAAGTAGTGTTTGATTAAATAAAGGGGTACTATAGCCTGGAGAAGTTGACACATAACACTAACTACTGTAGAGATCATCTAAACAAACTCAATTAATTTTATACATGGCTAGTCACCTAACTAATACATTTATGGAATACTAGAACGCCTAAATCTATTCATACTAGACTGAGAGTTCTCACCAATCAAAAACCTTGATATATACCACTGTATTTGTAAACAGACAACAGTTCCTAAGTATTTGCTGTTCATGGAATTTCTTATGCTTGTGATTAATGTGGAAAGAGTATCCTGAGATTGTTAGGAGCACTTTATTAAAGGATATATTACATGGATCAACCAACTGCTATTACCAGGATACGCATAGTAAATTTACTGATGCATTTGTAAGTCTTAAGAATGGAATGAAAATATTTGAAACACATACAAATATTGTTGAGCTGTTTTATAAATTGGGTGACTAAAGACCACTAAGTTACTTTTTATTTTACCTCCAACTTGCAATTATACTTTAATAAAACTGTCTAATAGTTTATATATAAAATAAATTTTGCTTAACTCACATTTACTTACTTCACAAATCAGGTAATATTAAGATGTGTCATTTATAAGAATTTGCATTTTTCTTTACTCAGAATGCTTACAGGCTTCCAGTGAGATTGTATCATAAATTAGTTTCTAAATAATGCTAAAAAATTCATTGGAAAATATTTTTTATAATGGAAAGTGGGATTTCTAATTAGATCATTTGGCTTTGTTACAAAATGTGTAGTTTTTAAAATCAAGGATATATTGCTGTGAGATTCTCAATATTCACCTTTTTGAAAAACTAGAATATCTGTAAATGAACTAGATATTGGATAAAAAGCATAACATGACATAATCTTTTAGGTCATAGGAGAAGTCCAAACATTTCATTAGTGACTTCATCATTTAGTCAGAAAAGAAGACTTTGGTTTCCTTAAAATTTTTGGTAAAATATCAGCAACAATTCAAAAAATTACTCAATATGTAACAAAACAAAAGAAAAAAGACAAAAATGCCAAGTTAAAAAAAACAGTGGGCAAAGAATACAAACAAGGAAATTCGAAACAAGAAATGTGAACTCCTAATAGAATATAAAACAAGTTTAATTGTACTAGGATTAATACTATAAAAATTAAAATTAGATATTTTCAGCCTACTAAATTGTGAAGTAGTAAAAGTACTAACTTTAGTGTTGGTGGGATATATACCTTCTGTACTACTGTTGGTTATAGACATTTGTAATTTCTTCCAGTAGGTCAATTTGGAAATCTTTATAAAAAAAAAAATCTTGGAAAAAATGCATCCTTTTCATCTCAGTCCATTTTCTATTACTTATAACAGAATATCTGAAACTTGATAATTTATAAAGAAAATGAATGTATTTCTTACAATTCTGAAGATTGAGATGTCGAAAGTGAGAGCCTTCTTGCTGGTAGGGACTCTACAGAGTTTTCTGAAGTCGTGCTGGGTATCACAAAGTGAGGTGGCTAAGTGTGCTAGCATGCCAACTCAGATCTCTCTTTCCCTCCTTATAAAGACACTAGTTCCCCTCCCATGACAACACATTAATCCATTAACCCATTAATCCATGAATATATTAATCCATTAATCTGTCTTCATGACTCACTCACCTGTTAAAGGTCCAAGTCTCAATACTACCACGTTGAAGATTAAGTTTCAGCATGAGTTTTTGGAGGATACATTCAAACCATATCATTCTTTTTCTTAGTAATTTAATTCCTAGGAATTTATCTTAAGGATATTATTGAATAAGTGGACAAGAATGGATGTAGTAAGATATTCATGTTTGTAATAATTATAAATTAATATAAAAAGGAAAATTGCTCTATAAGTTACAGTTTATTCATGCAATGAAATACTCTGCAGCCTTTAAAATGTTGTACATGAATATTTAATGATGAAAAGTCAGGTTATTTAAAAAGTATACATAGCATACATAATATGATTCCAGTTTTTAAAAGTATGACGGTATACACTGAAAAATGTCTGGAAATGCAAAAAGCAAAGTCTTAGTAGTTGATTTGGACAGTGGGATGACCATCGTTGTTTCCTTCTTTTGGCTTACTTTCATTTTATGTACCTTGAATAACATGAGTTTTCTTCTAATAGGAAAAATAATGAGTTATTTTTAATTTAAAAAGAAAAAGATGTGCCCAATAAAAAAAGATGTTACTAAACAGTAGATGTTTACTTTCCAAACCAGAGACATGCTGCTATGAACTGAATTGCACCCCCCAAGCCCTGTCAATTCCTGCATTGAAGCCCTAACCCCCAATGTGACTATATTTGAGGATACAGCTTTTAGAATGTCATTAAGGTTAAACTAAGTCATAAAGATGGAGTCCTAATTTGATTAGATTGGTGGTCTCATAAGAAGAGGAGGACAGAGAGATCTTTCTTTATCTGCACAGGCTGAGGAAAGTCCCTGTGAGCACACAGTGCAAAGATGGCTGTCCATAAGCCAGAATACACTGGCACCCTGATCTCAAACTTCCCAGCTTCCAAAACTGAGAAAATAAACTTTACTTGTTTAATTCACCCAGTCTATGGTATTTTGTTCTGGCAGCCCTTGCCGACTAAGACACATGATTTCAGTCATAAATTTTACCCTGCCTGCTCCCTAAAAGATTTAAATTGGCTAAAATTGGGCTACCATTAATAAATTCTGTTAAGCCAGGGGAATGAACTTAGTCTAGACTCTGAAGAGGATGTTGTCTTTGGAAGAGCTGCAAGGCTGGTATGAAGATGATGGTGGAAGCAGTATAAGCAATGGCATGAAAGTGGGGCAATATGAGGCATGGCCAGGGGATAAGATGCAGACCAAGGAAAGATGACCAGATGGTTGGGTTCTCATTCTCATGAAATATCCTTTCAAAATGGTTACCAAACTTTCACAAATTGACAAAGAGAAGCTGTCAGGTACTATAATATCCTTTGATATATTTGTATTTTCAGACCTAGGTCATTCTGCCAACGCAGTGAAGGATGACAAGGAAAGAGAAAAGTTAGAGGCAAAACCAATCTCATGTGATTTCAGCCACTGATTTAAAGAAAGAAAAAAAACCCTTTCAATCAGAAAATTTTTAAAGATAACTTTAAAATAGCCCTTGAAACAGATGAATTAAATGTTTTCTCACTATGTTATGGCATATTGTATATATGCAACAAATATTTTCTCATAAGTTTCCCCATGCTTCTTTAATACAACCCTGCCCTAATTATTTTTTTGGTCACCCATTAATTTGGAGGAAATTCTTAGGTGTCTGTTTTTGAAGTCATCTCTTCATGCACCCAAATTGTTCTGACAGCATCAGTCTATGCTTTTTAAAACTGATATCCACTTAAATTCTCTACTGTTTCATGACCAGCTTGTTCTATGCTCCTTCCAGGAAGCAATGGAATCTCTATCCTAGCATCTACAAAACCCCATGTACATCTACCGTGCAATATAATAACAATGATAATATAAATATTTGGCTGAAGCGGAGATAAGTGAGGCAGAACCCATGAATGTCTCAATTGCCACTTTGATATGCTGTCTCTGTCTATCTTGAGTCACTGTCCTGCATAAAGTGTTGAAAGTGTAATTAAAAGATTGGCATAATAGTTCTAATTAGCAAGACGTCGTGCAAGAAGAAATTAATTTTAAAGTTGTGATAACAAGCTCATTGGCCTCCTATGTATGTTAGATTTGGTGGGATGCTTATAGAGGCCATGTCAATGTGACTAATTGGCTGTGGGACTGATGCAATTGGTTAAACTGATTCTCTACAGGTTGTCTCAACTGCTTATGAGTTCTGGATTCAGATGTTATGGGTCCTTGGAACTAAGGTGCTGCAGTGAGCTAGACTGCTGTCCTGTAATCTATATGAGTCATATAACTGAGAATTGTTTTTAATCTTCTTCCATTCCTCTAACCCCATCATCACTGTACTACTTGCAAATCCTCCAGTCATCTGAATGCTATTACAGAGCCAACTAAATGGAGAGGATTCATTTAACTGACACAAAAGAGCTCTGAGAGTCTCCTTTCCCCAACCTCATTCTGCCTAAATTACCACATGATGAACATGCATTTATTTTTGTAATAATAATTAGCATTATTGCAGTTCATATTTTCCAAGAGCAGTAATATTTCATTTTTAAATCTCCATGGCTTTATGAGTTAGGTCAGTGTTTTTTCTGTATAACAAATTTGGAAACTGAGGCATCATGGGGTTAAAATGCAAATGACTTACTCATAGTCACAGTGCCGGGATTAAAGCCCAGGAGAAATGACCCAATTCTGGGTTCAGACCAATGAGCAACACTCCTTCCTCACCTGAGTTTTGGGGTTTATATTAATTTTAGCTTATAATAGTGTGACTGCTACCTAAAAGCAATTTTCTATAGATCTGAGAAAGTTTCATATCCATCATGCTAAGCAACATTCTAAAATCATTTCTACCTTTTTAACTTTGTAATTTATCTTTAAATGCCCATATGCACCCAAGGCACATACATCTAGGAATTGCTAACATGTACCACAATATTTTTATTGCACATTTTGAACAAAAGAATTAGCTAAAAAATTAGATAAAATGAAATCAAATTGGAAAGAGAAAAAAACAACACAAATCTTTCCTTACAATTTAGTCAAACTGAAGGCTACTATAGACATGAAAATATGCTATAACTTAGAAAACCTTAAATTCTTTTGATAAATACCTCTCTGTTATTCCCTAATTTCTTCAGAAGGGCCCCTACCAAATCTTAAATGTTCATATTTTTGTCGATGTAATATAATTTCCCCGTTTTAATAAGTGGTGTGTTATATTTTTATTGAACTTATTTTCTGACTACCGTTTTCAGTTCCAAATGGTCCTGATGTTCTTTGGAAGAGTGTCCAAAGAAAACAAACTTTTTTTTAGCTCTCTCTCTCTCTCTCTCTCTCTCTCTCTCTCTCTCTATCCATATATATATATAGATAGAGAGAGAGAGAGATAGATAGGTAGATATACACACACACAATATACACACACATACATATACATGCACATATATATTTATATATAGTTAATTGACAAGATAAAATTGCATACATTTATGGTTTACAACATATTTTGATCTATACATTGTGGAAGGACAAAATCAAGCTACTTACCATATGCATTACCTCACATACTGTCATTTATTTTTTGTGGTGAGAACACTTAAAATCTACTCTCTTAGCAATTTTCAAGAACACAATATATTGTTATTAATTATAATCACCATATTGTATAATAGATCTCTTGAATTTACTCTTCCTAACTGAAATTTCATATCCTTTGACCATCTCTCCAACCCTCCCCCTGCTTTCAGCCCCAGGTAACTAACAACTATTCTTTTTTTTTTTTTTTTTTTTTTTACTTTAAGTTCTGGGATACATGTGCAGAGCATGCAGGTTTGTTACATAGGTATACATGTGCCATGCTGGTTTGCTGCACCCATCAACCCATCATCTACTTTAGGTATTTCTCCTAATGCTATCCCTCCCCTTGCCTGGCACCCTCTGACAGGCCCCGGTGTGTGATGTTCCCCTCCCTGTGCCCATGTGTTTTCATTGTTCAACTCCCACTTATGAGTGAGAACATGCAGTGATTGGTTTTCTGTTCCTGTGTTAGTTTGCTGAGAATGATGGGTTTCCAGCTTCATCCATGTCCCTGAAAGGACATGAACTCATCCTCTTTTATGGCTGCATAGTATTTCCTGGTGTATATGTGCCACATTTTCTTCATCCAGTGTAACACTGATAGGCATTTGGGTTGGTTCCAAGTCTTTGCTATTGTGAACAGTGCTGCAATAAACATATGTGTGCATGTGTCTTTATAGTAGAATGACTTATAATCCTTTGGGTATATACCCAGTAATGGGATTGCTTGGTCAAACGGTATTTCTGGTTCGAGATCCTTGAGGAATCTCCACACTGTCTTCCACAATGGCTGAACTAATTTACACTCCCACCAACAGTGTAAAAGCATTACTATTTCTCCACATCCTCTCCAGCATCCATTGTTTCCTGACTTTTTAATGATCACCATTCTAACTGGTGTGAGATGGTATCTCATTGTGGTTGTGATTTGCATTTCTCTAATGACTAGTGATGATGAACTTTTTTTCATATGTTTGATGGCCACATAAATGTCTTCTTTTGAGAAATGTCTGTTCATATCCTTTGCCCACTTTTTGATGGGGTTGTTTTTTTCTTGTAAATTTATTTAAGTTCCTTGTAGATTCTGGGTATTAGCCCTTTGTCAGACGGATACATTGCAAAATTTTCTCCCACTATTCTACTCTGCTTCTGTTAATTCTACTTCTTTAGGTTCCACATTTAAGTGAGATCATGTGGTACTTGTCTTTCTGTGCCTGGCTTATTTCACTTAGCATGATGTCCTCTAGATTCACTCATGTTGTCACTAATGACAGAATTTCCTTCGTTATAATGGCTGAATAGCTCTTTCCCATCTTGCATGATGGCAGGTGAAAAAGTTGACAAGCCAGATACTAAGGAGAAGAAACCCAAAGCTAAGAAGTCTGACGCTGGTAGCAAGGTGAAAAAGGGTACCCTCAAGGCTAAAAAGCCCAAGAGGAGAAAGCCCCATTGCAGCTGAAACTCTGTCCTTGTCAAAGGAATTGCCAGATATTCCCAATCTGCTATGTATTCCAGAAAGGCCATGTACAAGAGGAAGTACTCTGCCGCTAAATCCAAGGTTGAAAAGAAAAAGGAGAAGGTTCTTGCAACTGTTGCAAAACCAATTGATGATAACAAGAATAGCAGTACCAGGTTGGTTAAACTTCTCAAAGGGCCTAGATATTATCCTACTAAAGATATGACTCGAAAGATTTTGAGCCATGTCAAAAATCCCTTCAGTCAGCACGTGAGAAAACTGTGAGCCAGCATCACCCGTGGGACCATTCTGATCATCCTCACTAGGTGCCACAGAGGCAACAGGGTGGTTTTCTTGAAGTAGCTGGCTAGTGACCTGTTACTTATGACTGGACCTCTGGTCCTCGATCGAGTTCCTCTACAAAGAGCACGTTGGAAATTTGTCATTGCCACCTCAACCAAAATTGATGTCAGCAATGTGAAAATCCAAAAACATCTTACTGACATTTACTTCAAGAAGAAGAAGCTACAGAAGCCCAGACACCAGGAAGGTGAGATCTTCAACACAGAAAGAGAGAAATACGAGATTACAGAGCAGTGCAAAGTTGATCGGAAAACTGTGGACTCAAAAATTTTACCAAACTCAAAGCTATTCCTCAGCTCCAGGGCTACCTGTGATCTGTGTTTGCCCTGATGAATGGAATTTATCCTCACTAATTAGTGTTCTAAATTCCTTAAGAAGAACCTAATGAAATAACTTACATATTTAAATAAATAAAAAATAAAGGCTGAGTAGTATTCCTTTGTGAAAACAGTCATTTTTTTAACCTTTACCTTCTGTGTGGACCGATAGCACTTACAATAGTATTGTCAGAAATCTTTCTTTATGGTTTGTTGTTCCAGGAGCCTTTACAATCTTGATTTATCATTTTTTCAGTAGAATATCATCAACTGTCCTATTCATCATAGTATAATATTCATGATTCAAGTTAATCTGTGACTATAGTGGTCTTTCAAGCTTATTTGTTTATTGTCTTATATCTCAGTTTGAGTAGGTTACTATGGCAACAGGCACTATAGAAATGTACAAGATAAATAATGGATTATGAATCTTCACAGGTGTCCAGCTAGGATATTTTTAATGAAAAGCCACTCTAAAATTGAAAGAATCTTTCTCATATATATGTTATCACCCACATGTTGAAACCACTCATTGATAAACAGGTATGCCTATCACCAAAAAGCCAGGTGAGTTCTTCTCAATTTAGAAACACACTTTAGGAAGTTACTTTAGGTTTGCACTTAGCAAAATAATTAAACTAGTTTTACTTTATTTCTCTTAAAGTTGCCAAGCCTAAAAGCATCACAAACACTAAATGGGTTCATTGCTTTTCTTCATCCATCTTAGCTCAAATCAGATGTGGCTTAACATTTGCTCTATAACAAGCATTTGTATGTCTTGATGTACAAATTTCATAGGCAAATTTTAAAGGAACTTTGACAAATGGCAATATCTGTAGATGGGTTGAAGCCCAGGAGTATGAGAAATCTGGAATTCATTTTGTGTACAGAATAGTTAAAGGAGCAGGGTGAAAAAAGACAACAGAGCACATGAGAGCTGCCTCCAGGGTTTGAAGATTCAGTGAAAGAGACAACTTATTCTGTAGCTCTCTGGAATGCAAAAATACAATCCAAGTGTAGCACTGAGAAGAGGTAGGTTTGGTTTCCACATACAAAGTGGCTGTGCAACGCCAAGAGCTCGTCGGTATAGAAACAACGGCCTCATGATGTAGTGAGCTCCCTGAGAGAATTCCTGGAGGGCGGGATGCTTGGAAAAGAAAGCTGCTAGGATCCCTTCAAATTCCGTTACATAATTCTTGGATAAGAATTGTGAACATTTGGTGAGCTACCATATGTTTTACCTATTTTAGCTCATTTCATCCTCACAAGAATCTTATGAAGTAGATACTAGTATTACATAAACAAGGAAACTGAGTGGCAACAACAAAATTCAATACTTTGTCCAAGGGCACTTGATAGGAATAGTAGATTTGGAATTCAAAACCAAATAATTTGATGCCACAGCCAAAGCTAACGACTATGCCACAGAGCTCTTCAAACTGAGTGGCGCGTTGGTTCTGTATGACCCTAAATGTCTCCAAACAACCCTTCCGAAGTCTATGTCTATTAATAGTCTCATCTTTAGCAGTGATGCTACATATCACAAGTGTATGTGGTGTCTAAATTCAACTAGATAACTAGAAGTACAACTATTATCTTTGTGTGTTTGTGTGGGCATGTGTGTATGTATGTATGTTAGGGAAGCAGTCTGAGAATATTTGGGCACTGAAAATGAGTTATCATGTATTTGCACTTAAAGCTTCTGTCTTCTGTCCACTTCTCTATCAACACTTTTTTATTGGGTGACTCATCTTGTCTCATGGCTTTACATGCTATCTACATATTGATTTCTCAAATTTAAATCTCCAGCCCTGACTCCCCAGCTTTGATCTCCAGATACATCTATATTCCTGCCTGCTTATCATGGATGTCCAATTTGGGATGCCCAAAGTACAATTCTTTCCAAAAGCTTACCTATGTGTATAGGCTTTTACCAGAAATAAATATTTTATCTCTCTTTTTAAATTGAGTTTTGCCTTTCCACATTATACTAATACATAATGAATATGATTTTACAAGTTCCATTTTCATTTTCCAGGGCACAGTAACTCAAACCGTATTATCTGAAAGCTGTGTTCGATGTCAGTTATTTCAAATACTCTTTCCAGTGACGTCAGCAAGATGGCTGACTGGAGTTACCTGGTACCCGTCACTCCCACAAAGATGAATTAAAACAATGAATAAACAACTGTATTTTGACTAGAGTGACTGAGGAAGTACACTGGAGAGCCCCAGGGGAGCAGGGAAATCCTTGTGAAGCATGGAAGCCCTTGATAACACCACAGAGAGGGGAGCGAGGCATCCTGACTCTGCCACAAAGTCTCCCCTTCCTGAATGAGCTCAGAGTCAGGGGAGACATTTTCTTATAGAGAAAAAGCAAGACAGAGATCCCCATCAGTCCCCACTGCTGCCACATACACCAGCCATCCTTGCTATCTAAAAGTTCCTTGGTCCTCACAGGCCCCAAATCCAGTTTGGAGAGCAGCTGGAAGTACATATAGCTACACTGACTTAGAGTAGAAACCCACCTTGAGCATCTTCCAACCCTAAGACTAAGCACCTATGGTTTGGGGCAATCTTGAAATTGGACCCACTGCTAGGCATCCTGCACCACCATCATGACAAACTCCTACAGCCTAGGCTACTGAGGCAATAACAGACATCACTAATTCGGATTACAACTGAAAAAGCACAGGGATCACACTAATGAATCTACTCAGAAAAAAAAGCCAACGTCCCATACCCAAACAACACCCTAGGGAGTCATCTACAGGCAAAAGTCTCTCTCTATAAAAGTTACTCTATAAAATTAGAAAAAGCTACTATTCCACTAGATGTGCAGAGATCAATGTAGGGACATAAAGACATGAAGCAAGAAAACATGACACCCCGAAATGAATACAATTAGTCTCTAGTGACAGACCCCAAAGGAAAGGACATATATAAAATGCCTGAAAGGATCAATTCAACAAGAGGATATAACAATTGTAAATACATATGTGCCCAACAATGAAGCACCCAAATATATAAAGCAAATAATATTATTAGACATAAAGGGAGAGACAGATGCAAAACAATAAAAGTAGGGCACTTCAACACCCCTCTTTCAACAATGGGCTGATCATCTAGATAAAAAAATTAACACAAACAGCAGACTTAAACTGCACCACAGACCAAATGGCCCTAACAAACATTTACAAAACACTCCATCTAACAGCTGCAGAATACACTTTCTTCTCAACTACATGTGAAACATTTTCCAGGTAGATCACATGTTAGACCACAAAACAATTTTTAACAAATTTAAGAATATAGAGATCATATCAAGTATCTTTTCTGACCACAATGGTATGAATCTAGAAGTCAACAATTAGAAAAACTTTGGAAACTTTACAAGTATGTGAACATTAAACATGTTTCTAAACAACCAAGAGTCAATGATGAAATTGAAAGGGAAATTAAAAATTTCCTTGAGAGAAATGAGAATGGAAACATATCAAACCTATGTGATCTAGGATCTAAAGTTTATAGCAACAAATGTCTACACCAAAAAATAAAGATATATAATAACCTAACAATATTGCACAAGAAACAAGGAAAACAAGAGCAAACTAACCTAAAATTAGTAGAAGGAAGGAAATAATAAAGCTCAAAGCAGAAATAAACAAAATGGAGACTAAAAACCAATTCAAAAAATCAACAAAATAGAGTTGGCTTATTGAAAAGATAAATAAAATGGACAAACCTTTAGCTAGACTAAGAAAAAAGTAAGAAGGCTGAAATAAATACAACCAGAGATGAAAAAGGAGACATTACAACTGATACCACAAAAGACAAAGATCATAAGAGACTATTATGAATAGCTATATACCAACAAATTTAATAACATAGAAGAAGTGGATAAATTCCTGAACATACAGTGTACCGAGATTAAATTATGAAAATATAGAAAATCTGAACAGACCAACAACAAGTGAGGAAATTGAATCAGTAATAAAAAGTCTTCCATCAAAGAAAAGCCCAGGACCTGATTGATGGCTTCCATGCTGAATTCTACCAAACATTTAAAGAAGAATGAATACCAATTCTTTTTTAAATACTCCAGAAAATTGAGAAGGAGGGAATACTTCCAAACCCATTTTATGAGATCAGTATTAGTCTAATTCCAAAAACAAATAAGAACACAACAAAAATAACAAAATTACAGGTCAATATCCCTGATGAACATAGATGCAAACATTCTCAGTGAGATACTAGCAAACCAAATCCAACAGTGCATTAAAAAGATCATTCACCATAATCAAGTGGGATTCATGCCAGATATTCAGGGATGATTTAACATACGCAAATAAAAAAATTTGATCCACCGTATTAACAAAACGACAAAAAGCATATGATCATTTCAAAAGATGAAGAAAAAGCATTGACAGAATTCAACAACCATTCATGATTAAAAATAAATCTCTAAAAATTAGATATAGAAGGTATCTACCTCAACACAACAAAGGCCATATATAACAAACCTATAGCTAACATCATACTCAATGGTGAAAAGCTGAAATCTTTTTCTGTAAGATCAGAAACAAGTCAAGGATACCCACTTTCACCATTTCTATTCAACTCAGTACTGAAGTCCTAGCCAGAGCAATTAGGCAAAAGTAAGAAATAAAAGGCATCCAAATTGGAAAGGAGAATATCAAATTGTTCCTGTTTGTAGACAATGTGATCTTATATATAGAAAACTGTAAATACATCAGCAAAAAAAGAAAAAAAACCTTTTAGAACTAATAAATGAATTAAGTAAAGTTGCAGGATACAAAATCAACATACAAAAATCTGCAGCATTTATATATGCTATAGTGAACTATCCGAAAAAGAAATTTAAAAACCAGTTCCATTTATAATAGCTACTAAAAATAAGATACCTAGGAATAAACTTAACCAAGGAGGTAAAAGATCTCAACACTGAAAACTATAAAACTTTGATGAAAGAAATGGAAGAGAATACAAATAAATGGAAAGATATCCCATTTTTATGAATTTTAAAAAACTTATATTGTTAAAATGGCCATATTACCAAAGAGAGCTACAGTTTTAGTGCAATCCCTATGAAAATTCCAGTGTCACTTCTTGTAGATATAGAAAAAGCAATCCTAAAGTTGATATTGAACCACAAAATACACAAATAAAGCTGGGGGTATCACACTATCTGACTTCAAAATACACTACAAATTATCACGTGTACTCCATAAATATTTGCAATTATTATGTATACATAAATATAAGAATATATAATACAAAACTATACTGACCAAAAGAGCATGGTGTGGGCATAAAAAAAGACACAAAGACTAAGGGAACAGAATAGAGAGCCCAGAAATAAATTCACACATATACAGCCAACTGATTTTTGTGGAAAAAGTCTATTTAATAAGTGGTTCTGGGAAAATTAAATATCCACACACAGAAGAATGAGACTAGACACCTACCTCTCAGTATATACAAAAATCAACTCAACATAGATTAAAGACTTAAATGTAAAACCTGAAACTATGAAACTACTAGAAGAAAAATAGGATAAATACTTCATGATATTGGGCTGGGCAAGGATTTTTTAAATAAGACCTCAAAAGCACAGGCAAAAAAAGCAAAAACAAACAAATGCTGTTATATCGAACTAAAAAGCTTTTGCACAGTGAAAGAAACTATTAACAAGGTGAAAAGACAACCTACACAATGGAAGAAAATATTTCCAAACTATACATCTGACAAAAGATTACTATTCAGAATATATAAGGAACTTATACAATTCAACAGCAAGAAAACAAATAACCTAATTTAAAAATGGACAAAAGACCTTAATAGACATTTCTCAAAAGAAGACATACAAATAGTCAACAGATATGTGAAAAAATGCTCAATATCACCAATCATCAGGGAAATGCCAATCAAAACCACAATGAGATACCACCTTAGTTGACTATTATCAAAAAGACAAAAGAAAACAAGTGTTGATGAGGATGTGCAGAAAAAGAAACTTAGACACTATTGGTGGAATTGTTTACTATCACAGCCATTGTGGAAAACAGTATGGTGGTTCCTTAACAAACTAAAAATAGAACTACTATATGATCCCACAATCCCACCACTGGGTATATATTCAATAGAAATGAAATCTGTATGTCAGAGAGATCGTGGCACTCCCATGGTTACTGCAGCACTATTTTCAATAGCCAAGATATGGAGTCAACCTCAGTTTCAATAAATGGATGAACAGATAAAGAAAATGTGGCAAACAGACCGGGCGTTGTGGCTCACACCTGTAATCCCAGCATTTTGGGAGGCCAAGGTGGGAGAATCACTTGAGCCTAACCTTGAATTCCTATTCAAGGTTATAGTGAGCTATGTTCATCCCACTGCACTCCAGCCTGGGAGACAGGTCTCAAGAAAGAGAGAAAAAGGAAAGGGAAAGGGAAAAGGAAAAAAGTAAGAGAGAGAAAGAAAGAAAAGAGAAAGGGAGAGAAAGAAAGAGAGCAAAAGAAAAAAAGAAAATGTGGTATATATACACAATGTAATACTATTTTGCGATAAAAAAAGAAATCCTGTCATTTGTGGCAAGATGGACAGATCCAGGGGTTGTCGTGTTAAGTAAAATAAGCCAGGCGTAGAAAGACAAATACTCCATGATCTCACTCACATATGGAAACTTTAATAATGTTGATATCATAGAAGCAGAGAGTACAACAGTGGTTACCAGAGACTGGGGAGGGAAAGAGGAAGAGGTGTAAAGGGGGAGGTTGATCAATGGGTACAAAGTTACAATTAGATAAGAGGAATAAATTCTGCTGTTCTATTGCACAGTAGAGTGACTGGCTAACAGTAAAATATTACATATCACAAAGTAACTAGAAAGGAAGCTTTTGAATGTTCTCACCACAAAGAAATGATAAATGCATGAGGTAATACACTACCATAATTCGATTACTATACACATAGATATGTGTTGAAGCATTAAATTGTACCCCATAAATATGTACAGTTACAATGTGTCCATTAAATACATTAAATAAAAATTAAACAATACTCTTTTCACCTTTGAAACTGTATGTACACCTTTTACAAGGTATAATGTTTCAGAATTAGACTGAAAAATAGGAAGATATAATGAGCTATCATTCTAGATCCCCTTTGTTCTTTTTCTGTAATAAAATAATTATCATTTCTGGGGAAAATAAGTTGTCATACCTAAAAAGCCTGGGAACATGATAATCTAGTTGAAAAGCATAAAGACTGGAATCAGATACACCTGGGTTTAATCTGCCATTCACAGGCTATGTAACTCTAGAGGAGTTGCTTAGCCTCTGAGACTCATTTCCTGATTTGTAAATTGGGATGTTACAGGATTTTATTGGATTGAAGTAAAATATTCCGAGCCTAGTGCCTATTACATAGTAGGCTTGAAATAGTTGTTCACCTGCCCTCTCAGCACTCCCAGAAAACATTCTTCTGTTATAGAGTATGAGTGAGGGAGCTGAATGTAAAAGTAGAGAGTTGATATAAACTCTTGGACACTCTGGTTCAGTGTGTTATGTTCCCTTAAACTCTTAATTATGTCTTTCCCTTTAGAGCTTTAACTTTGTTGTATATATATAAAAAAAAACTCTGTTGCATTGCATTCATATTTTGTGACTTATTTTGACTGCTATTAACCTGTCAAGTATTTGTTCTTCTTTAAATTTATATTTTAAAGGGTATGTTACATTCTTTCTCATGATTTTATCAGAGCTTGAAAGCAAAATCTTATTTTGAAGAAGACATTGTCAATGTTATATTGAAGCCAATAAAAAAATTGGATATGCAGGAAAAATATTGCTTCACAGGTAAATTTTAATGTTTAAAATATGACATTTTCAGTCTCTATCTGCATTGTTTATCTCAGAATATTCAGAATATGATGAGTGGCTGAAAGTGAATCTGAATTCTCTCCTACTCCTGGGCAGTAATAAGCCTATAACTTTAGAAATGTAATGAGGAACCCAAACTAAAAAAGAAACAAAGATTTTTCACTTTAGTTTTGTGCGGATTTTCAGAAAGAAGCAAAAGAAATTTGCAGATTTGGCTCTTGAGCAAGTTACATTTAACATGTTGGTATGAGAACAAATGTGACAATTAAAAACAACCAAATGGTTACCTAGTTTAGAGAGCAGAGAGGGAAAAAATAGAAAGTAACACCTTCTGTGGAAGTAAAAGAACAAATGGCAATGCTAGAAATGGAATTGCATCAATATAGTTCTTTTTCCAATATAAAATGCCTTGGAAACTTACAGCAAATAATACAAACTTGACAGAATATGTTCTCAGATTTACTTTCTATATCTTATAAAAAGACTAACAGGCAGTTCAAGCATCGTGTGCACCTTGGCTTTTCTTTTTTATCTCTTAGCCAGTTGGCTTGCTATTGTCCCTTTCCTACTTTCACCACTTCCTCCACTGTGCAGTACTTACCCTTGCTCTTAACAAATACAGATTGTACTCATGAGAAAACATATTGCTCTGAACATACCATAAAACAACAAATTTTAGCCCAGCTTTTCTTTTCCAGTGTTCTACAAATTGTGGCCTAAGAAATATCTGCAGCAGAATTACCTGGTGTATTCATTAATTCTTAGGCTCCACGCTAGACCTAGTAAATCAGAATCTCTGAGGATAGGGCCTGGCAATCCACAAATTAAACATACTTTCCTAGTGATTACACTCAAGTTGGAGAACCACATCACCCAATGATCATTTATTTAAACTTAACATGATTCAAATTACTGAGACTTCCCTCTTCCAAAGACACTCTTTTAACCACAAGAGGGACAGATGAGAAGAGTAGAAAGCCCGGGGCTACATGCTGGAAGACAAGAGACCAACTCCTGCTTCTAACACTTCATGAGCATATGATCGGGCTTTCAGCCTCCTCATCTGTAAGACAGGAGAAAACCACCTGCCCAAGCCATCTCAGAGGGCTGAAGAGAAAACAAAATGTAATGGAAAGTGTTTTGAAAACTGTAAATTTCTACGCAAGTCTGAAGTCTTGTCATATTATTTTGATGATACCTAAGACGATTTTCTGAAAACTGCCTCAGAATAAAGAGAGCGTTTAGAAAAAGAAGGAAGGGTGTGTTTTTTAGATAAGGGGTTAAGACTATGTAAAGAATTATTAGCATAAAGTTTTCCCAGATGACTTCTATCTACTTCCATTAAATCTGGTAACTAATTCATTCATGCCATTTGTGCCATGTACCACACTAGCTGCTAAAGATGCAGTGAAGAAAATGATATTATCACCCTGGATCACAACTATACATGGGGAGACAGACACACGATTCATTATAGAACAATGTGACTACTAATACGCAAAATGCTAGGAAGCAAATAGGCAGGAAGATCAGGAGGGATTTGTGAATGGTTTCATTGAGGAGGATATATTTGTGTTGTGCCTTAAAGGATGTGTAGAGGTTCACTAGTCCTTTAAAAGAGGAAGGATCTTCAGGAAGAAGGGACAGTATCAGAAAAGGCATCTATGTCTAAAAGTGCAGAGTGGGTTTGGGGAGCATGAGGAATAATCTGGACAGGTGAAGCACAAGGAATTTCGCAGACACAGATGGCTTCATGACTTGCTCTTCTGCTAATTAACTGTGTGATTCCCTAGTTTATTCTTTGTTAAATGGAGACAAAAAGAACTTGCAGAATTGTTTTGAGGAATAAGTATTGTGTAGGCCATTCTTGCATTGCTATAAAGGAATACCTGAGACTGGATAATTTATAAGGAAAAGAGGTTTAGTTGGCTCACAGTTCTGCAGGCTGTAGAGCAAGCATGGTGCCAGCCTTTGCTCGGCTTCTGCAGAGGCCTCAGGAAGCTTTTACTCATGGCAGAAGGTGAAGTGGCACATCCCATCAGAGCAGAAACAAGAGGTTGGGGTGGGGGGTGAGGTGCCAGACACCTTTAAACAACCAGATCTTGCAAGAACTTACTATCATGAGGACAGCACATGATCCACACAACCATGATCCAATCACCTCCCACCAGGCCCCACCTCCAACAATGGTGATTACAATTCAACATGAGATTTGAGTGGAATCCCAGATCCAAACCATATCAAGTATAAAACAGTAGTAGGCATTCAATAATCACTACTAGTAGTAGAAATTCAACATTCTAATAATGATTGAGAGTCTATCTAAATAGTGTAAAAGAAAAAGAAATAGGTGAAAAGTCACTGGTTCTCAAGCCCTGAACACATGGACTGGAAACAAACAATACGTGTTCAGGACTACAGGTGTGTTATGGATTTCACAGCTGAAATAAATATAATTATTGAAGATCAGAGCATTTGAAATAACAGCATTAGAAACACTGAGCACTAGCATATGCCCAAAGACTTGCTATTACCACGTTTTCAGCCTACCACCAGCAGGAAATCTGACTCAACATTTACGCATATAACAGTAAGAGTCTATATGCCTTTATTGCTTATTTGCTCAATCCATTTATTGAACTCCCATTATGTTCCAGGCACTGGAAGTACGATAGTGAATAAAACAGTAACCGTATCTGCCATCATGGTGTTATTAAATCCATACACATAATAAACAGTCATTTCAAAAACATTTTAGTTTGATTAGTAGGGTATGATAATGTTTTGGAACACTAACTTTGGCATGAAACAGAGATGTACTTGAATTCTGTCACCACCACTTTTCAGCTATGTGACCTAGGGAAAGTGTACAGTCTGTTCTAGGACTAAATTTCTGCATGTGAAAACTGAATACTTAGCTCATGTGGTTTTTTTGTGAGGATTAAATGAAGCACTTCATGGGAAATACTTAGCATAATATTAGCATGTATATAGTAAGCATTCCATAAATATTAGCTATTCATTTTGGATACAATTCTTTCTATAAAGACTCCACCTAGACATCTCTTTTGGGCACTGGAACAGGCTAGAAAATTTGAATGATTATTTTGTGGAAAAACAACTGAAAATGTTGGCTAAAATATATGTAATTAAGTATTTCTATTTGCAAAGCTTTACTGGCAAGAAAGAAAGAAAAATCCTTAAAGGTCAAAAATGAAGGTAAAGCAAAAATCTAGAAAAGTAAGTACAAAAGCTAGCTTTCACTCTGGAATCATCTATAATCCCTGGTGACCTTGAGCATCAATGTTTATGACCATTTGTCTCACAGACCTTGGATATGAAGCCTAATACCTATCAAAGGAGGGAAAATCCGTAGGAGACTGTGGCAGAAAACTTAGATGTTACTGTAAGGGTTTAAGACATTCATTATAAGGATAAGCTAAAAAATTCCACCCCACTGAAAAGGGCAGAAAGGAAATGCCTATCTTAGTCTCAGCACAGGGTTGAGTAGAAAAAAAAAAAAAAAAAAAAGTCCTTCCTTAGAATTTTTAAATAAAACATGGACCTCGGGCAAGTTTGGAGTCCTAAGCAGCTATTGTAATCTGCCATTTTGAGAGCCCACACCCCAACACATTGCACCCTGCCCTAGGACTCAAGAGCATGAGCGTCTCCACATCCCTGGAGCCCCACTGGCATTGCCTACCCCGAGCAACCACCATGGCTGGCTGCTATTGCTGGGGACAAAACAGGGACCACTGGCTGCAACCCCACATCCTCCAGCAACAAAACCACCATGCATTTTCATGCACCCAGACAGATTTCCTGCCCTGCAGCTGCAGTTGCTGCACCATGGGGGCTGCAGCATGAGTAAAGTGCAAGCTCCCATTACAAGGGCTGAGAAGAAAATGAAGCATGCATTCCCCACCTTCCTGCAGAATGGGTGGGCCCACTCACCCTGCTGCTACCACAATAGCTGGTACCTACCTGCACATGCCACCTACAAGCTTTGAGACTGGTCCACTCAGCACATTGTAACCACTGCAATACCTGCATGAACTTCTCGGGACCCAGAGAGTTTTCCTGCCACTGGTACTGTCATAGCCCTTGCCATACCTGCTGCCCAGGGGCCTAAGAACCTGCACACCCATCAGGCCTACTGCTGTCACTATTAGCATCTGAGCAATCCACTTAGAGGACCAAGAATCAGCCAACGTGGTCCTACTAACACTGGCACCAGAGTACAACATCCGGGGTCCAGGGACAAGCACACTCAGCCCACCAATGTCACCACTGGGACGAGAAGACTCGCCCACCTGGTGTCCCCATAACTAGCAAAACTTTACCATAGCCTCCACTAATAACCACATCCTAAATCATCAAGGAAATCACAGAAACCACTGATGCTGTTTATGGTCAAATAAATCATATAAAGATTACACTACTGCATGCCCCAAGAATCAAAGCCAAAGTGCTGTACACAACAAACAAGATAGATACATCTTTAGGAAAAAGGATATCAACATAGACACAAGAGACATTTAAAAAAACAGGAAATATGAGACCACCAAAAGAACATAATAATTTCCCCTCAACAGTTTTCAATGGCAAAGAAATTTACAAAACTCTGAAAAATAATTCAAAATACAGAGTTTAGAGAAGTTCCATGAGATACAAAAAATGCTGGAAAACAATACAAAGAAGTCAGAAAAACAATTCAGGATGTGAATGATAAATTTACCAAACAGATAAATATCTTAGAAAGGAAACAAATAGAAATTCTGGAATTAAGAATTCATTGAACAAAATGCAAAATATATGTGAAAATTTCAACAATAGACTAGATCAAGCAGAGGAATCCCATAACTTGAATACAGGTCTTTTGAAACAATTCAGTAAGACAAAAATGAAGAAGAGAGAATAAAAAATAATAAGCAGCTGGGTGTGGTAGCTCATGCCTGTAATTCCAGCACTTTGGGAAGCCAAGTCAGGTGGATTGATTTAAGCCCAGGAGTTCCAGACCAGGCTGGGCAACATGGTGAAACCCCTAAAAAATACAAAAACTAGCTGGGGGTGATGTTGCATGCCTGTAGTCTCAGCTACTCAGGAGGCTGAGGTGGAAGGACGGCTTGAGCCTGGGAAACAAAAATTCCAGTGAGCCAAGATCATGCCACTTCACTCCAGCCTGGGTAATAGAGTCAGAACCTGTCTCAATTAAAAAAAAAAAAAAAAAGAATGAGCAAAGCCTACATGACATATGGGACAATAAAAAGATAAAATATTCAACTTTTCAGAGTCCTGGAAGGCAAAGAGTAAATGGCAGGGTTACATTTAACAAAATAATAGATGAAAACTTCCCAAGTCTAGCATGAGATTTAGACATCAAGATGTAGGAAGCTCAGAGATCCCAAGTAGATATAATGCAAAAAAAGTCTTCTCACAACATATTATACTCAAGCTCAAAAGTCAAAGATGAAAATACAATTTTATAAACAACAAGAGAAAAGCATCTAGTTATTTATAAAGGAACTCACATCAGATTAACAGTGGATTTCTCAGGATAAGACTTACAGGCCAAAAGAGAATGGAATAATATATTCAAAGTGCTGAAATAAAACAACTGTCACCAAAGGGTACTCCACCCAGCACAGTTATTCTTCACAAATGAAGGAAAAATAAAGTCTTCCGCAATCAAGCAAAAGCTAAGGGAATTCATCACTAGGCTAACCCTGCCGGAAATGCTTAAGGGAATCCTACACCCAGAAGTGAAAGAATTATATCTACTACCATGAAAACAAACAAACAAAAAAACACAAAACCCACTGGTAGAGCAAACACCAACAAGGAAAAGACTCAAATGTTAGCACTACAGAAAACTACCAAATCACAATGATTAAAAACATAGAAAATAAAAGAATAGAGTATGTATAAAACAAGGAGAAATAATAAAATAACAAACCTCCACATATCAATAATAATCTTAAGTAAATGAATTAAACATCCCACTTAAAAGATACACACTGGCTGAATGAACAAATAAACATCACCCAATTATATTCTGCCTACAAGAAACACATGTAAAGACAAATGTAGACTGAAAGTAAAGGAGTGGAAAAAGGTATTTCATGCAAACAGAAACCAAAAGTGAGGAGTAACTACACTTATATCAGATAAAACAGACTTTAAGTCAAAAAAAGTAAAAAGAGATGAAGAAAGTCATCATATAACAATGAAGGAATCAATTCAGCAAAAGAATATAACAATTCTAAACATATGTGCATCCAACATCAGAGCACCCACATATATAAAGCAAATATTATTAGATTTAAATGGAGAGATGTATTCCAGTGGAATAACAGTTGTGGACTTCAACACCCCACTCTCAGCATTAGACAGATAATCTAGAAAGAAAATTAACAAAGGAACATTGGCTTTAAATTGCACATTAGACCAAATGGACCTAACAGACATTTACAGAATATGGCATCCAACATTCACAAAATGCACAGTTTTCCTCATTATTCAAGACAGACTATATGTTAGGCCACAAAACAGTCTCAACAATTTTTTAAATATCAAAATCAAACCAAGTATCTTCTCAGATCACAATGGAATAAAACCAGATATCAATACCAAGAGAAACTTCGGAAACTGTACAAATACATGGAAATTAAACAAAATGCTCCTGAATGACTATTGTGTCCAAAAAAAGTAAATAGAAAATAAAAATATTTTTTGAAACATGAAAATCAAAACACAGTATCCCCAAACCTGTGGAATACAGCAATAGCAGTGCTAAGAGGGACATTTATAGCAATGAACATCTACATTAAAAAAGTAGATTTAAAATAAACAATCTATAAATGCACCTCCAGGAACTGGAAAAGCAAGAATGAACCAAACCCAAATTTAGTAGAAGGAAAGAAATAATAAAGATCAGAGCAGGACTAAATGAAATAGACTAAAAAAATACAAAGGATCAATGAGGCTGGGCATGGTGGCTCTCACCTGTAATCCCAGCACTTTGGGAGGCCAAGGTGGGTGGATCACCAGGTCAGGAGATCAAGACCATCCTGGCCAACATGATGAAACCCCATCTCTACTAAAATACAAAAAATTAGCCGGGTGTGGTGGTGCACACCTGTAGGCCCAGCTACTCGGGAGGCTGAGGCAGGGGAATTGCTTGAACCCAGGAGGCAGGGGTTGCAGCGAGACAAGATCATACCACTGCACTCCAGCCTGGTGACAGAGCAAGACTCCCTCTCAAAAAAATAAAAAAATAAAAATTATCAATGAAACCGGAAGTTGTTTTTTGCAAAGAAGAACAAAATAAACCACTTGCTAGACAAACCCAGAAAAAAAAAATAGAAGAGACCCAAATTAGAAATGAAGGAGACATTACAACAGATATCACAAAACAAGTGGTACAAAATAAATACAACAGATTATCAGAGACTATTATGAACAACTATACACTAAAGAACTGGAAAACCTAGACAAAATGACTAAACTCCTGGACATCTGCCACATTCCCAGATTGAATCAGGAAGAAATAGAAAGCCTGAACAGAAAAATAACAAGTAATGTGATCAAAAAAGTAATACAAAGTTTCCCAGGCCAGGCACGGTGGCTCATGCCTATAATCCCAGCACTTTGGGAGGCCGAGGCAGGCGGATCACCTGAGGTCGGGAGTTCGAGACCAGCCTGACCAACATGGAGAAACCCCATCTCTACTAAAAATACAAAATTAGCCAGGCATGGTAGCACATGCCTGTAATCCCAGCTACTCAGGAGGCTGAGGCAGGAGAATCTCTTGAACCTGGGAGGCAGAGGTTGTGGTGAGCCGAGATCACGCCATTGCACTCCAGCCTAGGCAACAAGAGCGAAACTCCATCCCCCACACCCCCCAAAAAAGAGAAGTAATAAAAGTTTCCCAACAAAAGTTTGTCCAGAGTCAGATGGCTTCATTGTCAAATTCTAACAAACTTTCAAAGAAGAACTAACACCAATTTTCCTCAAACTATTTCAACAAATTGAAGAGAAGGAAACTTTCTCTAACTAATTCTAAAATGCCAGCCTTACCTTGACACCCAAAGCAGATAAGGACACAATGAAAAAAGAAAACTACAGGCCAATATTACCAATGAAAATAAATGTAAAAGCCCTCAAAAAATTAATAGCAAACTATATCCAACAGCACATCAAAAAAAAATAATATAGCATGATCAAATGAGATTTATCCCAGGGATGCACGGTTGGTTCAACATATACAAATTAACACACATGATATATCACATGAATGAAATAAATGACAAAAACAATATGATCATCTCAAAAGAAAAAAGCATCTGATAAAATTCGACATCTCTTCATGATAAAAACCCTTAACAAACTAGCTGTAAAAGGAATATACCTCAATATAATGAAGGCCATATCTGACAAACTGACAGCCAACATCATACTGAATGGGGAAAACTGAAATCATTTGCTCCAAGAACTAGAACAAGAGATGGATGGCCACTTCACCATTCCTATTCAACTTAGTGGTGGAAGTCCTAATCAAAGTAAACAGGCAAGAAATAAAAGGCATCCAGATTGGAAAAGAGGAAGTCAAATTGTTCCTCTTTGCTGACGATATAATCTTATATCTAGAAAACCCTAAAGACTGCACTGAGAAACTCTTATGTTGCGGGAAGTCAGGGACCCCAAATGGAGGGACCAGCTGTGGTCATGGCAGAGGAACATAGATTGTGAAGATTTCATGGACATTAATCAGTTCCCAAAATTAATACTTTTATAATTTCTTACGCCTGTCTTTACTGCAATCTCTGAACATAAATTGTGAAGATTTCATGGACACTTATCACTTCCCCAATCAATACCCTTGTGATTTCCTATGCCTGTCTTTACTTTAATCTCTTAATCCCATCATCTTCGTAAACTGAGGAGGATGTATGTCGCCTCTGGACCCTGTGATGATTGCATTAACTGCACAAATTGTTTGCAGAGCATGTGTGTTTGAACAATATGAAATTTGGGCACCTTGAAAAAAGAAAAGGATAACAGCAATGTTCAGGGAATAAGAGAGATAACCTTAAACTCTGACCACCAGTGAGCTGGGCGGAACAGAGCCATATTTCTCTTCTTTCAAAAGCAAATGGGAGAAATATCGCTGAATTCTTTTTCTCAGCAAGGAACATCCCTGAGAAAGAGAATGTGTCCCTAAGGGTAGGCCTCTGAAATGGCTGCTTCAGGGGCAGCTGTCTTTTATGGTTGCAGCTGTAGGGATGAAATAAGCCCCAGTCTCCCGTAGTGCTCCCAGGCTTATTAGGATGAGGAAATTCCCGCCTAATAAATTTTGGTCAGACTGGTTGTCTGCTCTCAAACCCTGTTTCCTGATAAGACGTTATCAATGACAATGCGTGCCCAAAACTACTTAGCAATTTTAATTTTGCCCCGGTCCTGTGGTCCTGTGGTCCTGTGATCTCGCCCTGCCTCCATTCACCTTGTAATATCTTATTACCTTGTGAAGCATGTGATCTCTGTAATCCACACCCTATTCATACACTCCCTCCCCTTTTGAAAATCGCTAATAAAAACTTGCTGGTTTTATGGCTCAGGGGTCATCACAGAACCTGGTGACATGTGATGTCTCCCCCAGACACCCAGCTTTAAAATTTCTCTCTTTTGTACTCTGTCCCTTTATTTCTCAGACCAGCCGACACTTAGGGAAAATAGAAAAGAACCTATGTGACTACTGGGGGCAGGTTCTCCCAATACTCTTAGGTCTAATAGAGCAATTCAGTAAAGTTTCAGGATATAAAATCAACATATAAAAATCAGTAGCATTTTTATACACCAATAATAAACTTGCTGAGAAAGAAATCAAGAAAGCAATCTCATTTACAATAGCTACAAAAAAATATATGGGAATAAATTGAGCCAAGGAGATGGAAGATCTCTACAAGGAAGGCTACAAAATACTGAGGAAAGAAATAGAAGAGTACACAACCAAATGGAATGACATTCCATGCTCATGGACTGGGAAATATATTATTATTAAAATGGTCATACTGCCCAAAGCAATCTACAGATTCAATGCAATCTCTATCAAAATATCAATGTCATTTCTCACAAAATAAAAAAAAAAATCCTTAAATTTGTAAGGAACAGAGAAAGAGCTCAAATAGCCAAAGCAATCTTGAACAAACATTGCAAAGCTGGAAACATCACATTAGTTGACTTCAAAATATATTACAAGGCTATAGTAAACAAAACAGCATGGTATGGGTAAATAAAAATAGATACATAGACCAACGGAACAGAATAGAGAACCCAGGAATAAATCTATGTATTTAGAGTCAACGGATATTTAACAAAGGTGGCAAAAACATACCATAGAAAAATGTCACCCTCTTCAATAAATTGTACTGGGACAATTGGTTGTCCACATGCAGAATAATGAAACTTCACACCTATCTCTCATCGTATAAAAAACAACACACAATAGATTAAAGACTTAAAGGTAAGACCCCAAATTATAAAACTACTGGAACAAAACAGGGAAAATACTTCAGGACATTGATCTAGGCAAAGATTTGATGGCTAAGACCTCAAAAGCACAGACAATAACAATAGACAAATGGGACTATATTAAACTAAAAAGCTTCTGCACAACAAAGGCAACAAGAAACAGAGTAAAGAGACAACCTATTGAATGGGAGAAAACATTTGCAAACTGTACATTCAACAAGGGGCTAATATCCAGAATAGACAGGGAACTCAACAGTATAAAAAAAAAATCCCAATAAAAACTAAGCAAAGTACTTGAACAGACATTTCTCTAAAGAAGACATACGGATGACCAAGAGGTATATGAAAAAATACTCTACTTCACTTATCATCAGACATATGCAAACCAAAACCACAATGAAGTATCATTTTAACCCAGTTAGAATGGCTATTACGAAAAGATAAAAAAATAATAACAGATGCTGGTGAGTATGTGGAGAAAAGGAAACTCTTATATACTGTTGGTAGAAATGCAAATTAGCACAGCAACCATGGAAAACAGTAAGGAGAGTTCTAATAAACCTAAAAATAGAGATACCATTTGAGCCAGCAATCTCACAACTAAAAATATATCCAAAAGAAATGAGTGTATCAGAGGGATACCTGTACCCCCATGTTTATTGCAGCACTATTCACAATAGCCAAGATATGGAATCAACCCTAGTGTTCATCAGTGGACTGAAGGATAAAGAAAATGTGGTATATATACACAATAATATTATTTGACCATAGAAAAGAATAAAGTCATGCCATCTGCAGCAACATGGATGGAACTGAAACTCATTATCTTAAGTGAAATAAGCCAGACACAGAAAGACAAATATCATGTGTTCTCACTCACATGCAGGAGATAAAAAAATTAATCTCATGGAGGTAGAAAATACAACGAAAGACACCAGAGTCTGATAATGATGTGTGTGGTAGTGTGTCGGGGATAAAGAGAGGTTGGTTAATGGGCACAAATATAAAATTAGGTAGGAGGTATAACTTCTAATGTTTGATAGCAGAGTATGGTGACTACAGCAACAATGTGTTGTATACTTCAAAGTAGCTAGAAGAAAGGACTTGCAATGTTTCCCACACAAAGAATTGATAAGTTCTTAAGGTGATGGATCCCTAAAATACTCTGACTTGATCATTACACCTTCTATGAATGTAAGAAATACTCACACGTAGCCTATAAATTTGTAAAACATTATGTATCAGTTAAGAAACAGATGTTTTCAGAAAAACCAAAATGAGACACTTTACCAGCCACAGACACCCACTAAAGGAGATTTTAAAGTATATAGTTCAGGCTCAAAAAGGAATCATTCCAGAAGGAGATGCTGAGATGTCAAAAGAAATGTTGAGTCAAGAAATTGGTAAATTTGTGCATATATCTAAACAAATATTGACTGCATAAAAATTAATAAAAATGCCATGTACTAAACATGTGGGAATAACCAAGTTATACTAAAATGACCATGTACTAAACATGTGGGAATAACCAAGTTATACTAAAATGACCATGTACTAAACATGTGGGAATAACCAAGTAAAAGTTGATCTAAAATCTGGAAATATTGCATATCATTTTGCAGAGGATAGGAGTTAAGTGTTCAAAGTCCTTGCATAATTTGAAGGAGTGTGAAGATGTTGATTAACTTTAGACTATGTTGAGTATGCATGTTAACACTTTGGGGAAATATGAAATGAGACCCAGAAAGCCCTGATCAATCCAAAGTAAGGCAATAAAGAAAAAATACACCAATATAAAAAGCAAAATAAATGAAAAACAATACCTAAGGTGGTAGAAATAAATCCTTATTATACCTGTGATCACCATAAATTTAAATGAATTAAAATACAATGATTGTCAGATGTGAAACAAAATAAAATGTACCTATATGATACTTAAAAAGACATATGAGAAACAAAATGGCATAGGAAGGCCAAAATTAATAAATGAGAAAAGATACATTATGCAAATACTAATCAAATGAAAGCTAGTATATCTAAGCTGGCAAAAATATAATCAATAAATATGTAAGTATTTGAACAGTATAATTAAAAATTTTGATCTAATGGACTCAGCAATTGTAAAATATATGTTATTTTCAACTACACACAAAAACTTACAGAAATTGACCATGTACTAAACCATAAAGCAGATCCTAAATTTCACAGAACAGGTATTATGTAGATCATATTATTTCTTCAGAATTCAATTAAGTTAGAAATTAGAAGGCATTAAAAGCCTAAATAAGTGGATATGGGTAGAAAGGCCTAATATATATGCCAATTCTTTCTAAATTGAATTTTAGATTTAATACAACAAAAATCAGAATTCAAAAGGGGTGTGTGTGTGTGTGTGCGCACGTGCAGGTGTAATTTAAGCATTTGATTCTAAGATTCACATAGAAGAACAAAAGCTAGCCATAACCAAAACACTAATGACAAAGAACAAGGGGTTGAAGAGGTCTTGCATTAACAGATATAAAGGTCATAATAAGGCAAGAAACCATAAGATAGTACAGCATTTGTTTAGAGATAGACTAAGAGTCCCACAAAGTAGTAAAACTTTCATAAATGGACCATCTTATATATCTAAATGATTTCTTATAGACCTAGTATTGGAAGTCAATGGGTAAAGTATGAAATATCCAACAAATTATTCTTGGACAATTGATTATCTATACAGAAAAACATAAACTATATTATATACAAAATCAGTTTTATATTGATTAAAGGCAAATATGAAAAGAAAAACTAGAAAACTTTTATAAGACAACTTAAAAGGATATATTTATGACCTTGGTAAATGAAAGGATTTGTTGTTGTTGTTGTTGTTGTTTTGAGACCGAGTCTCACTCTATAGCCCAGACTGGAGTGCAGTGGCGCGATTTCGGCTCACTGCAAGCTCCGCCTCCCGGGTTCACGCCATTCTCCTGCCTCAGCCTCCGGAGTAGCTGGGACTACAGGCGCTCACCACCACGCCCGGCTAATTTTTTGTATTTTTAGTAGAGACGGAGTTTCACTGTGTTAGCCAGGACGGTCTCGATCTGCTGACCTCGTGATCCACCCACCTCGGCCTCCCAAAGTGCTGGGATTACAGGCGTGAGCCACCGTGCCAATGCAACTGACAATATAGAATTTATAAATATGACTATATAAAAATTAAGACACAATAACTAAAGTGAAATTAGGAGTCATAATTTATAGAAGATACAATAAGAATTGGATAATTTAATTTTTAAAATGAGCAAATAAATTTAAAAAGTATTTAATTGAAAAAGAGCACAGAAGACCAAAACATGCATGAAAAATGCAACCGCAACCTAGTAGTAACTGGGAAATACAAACTAAATGTGATATCACTTCAAATCTATCAGATTCATAAAAAAAGAAAATATCTGACATTATTGAATACTGACAAGGATGTGGAGCAGTCAGAGCTTTCATACACTTTCATATTTAGGAGCAAAAAGCGGTACACAATTGTACTGAAACTGTTTTAAAAAATGGAGAAGAGACTTGTCCCTAACTCATTTTATGAAGCCTGCATCACCATGTAAAACCTGGCAAAGACAATGGGGGAAAAAAAAAAAAACAGGCAAAGGCCAATATCCCTGATGAACATTAGATACAAAAATCCTCAACAAAACACTAGCAAAACAAATTCAGCAGCACATCAAAAAGTTAATTTGCCATGATCAAGTAGGCTTCATTCCTGGGATGGAAGGTTAGTTCAACATACACAAATCAATAAATGTGACTTGTCACATAAAAAGAATTAAAAACAAAAACCTTATGATAATCTCAATCGATGTGGGAAAAGCTTTTGATAAAATCTAACATCCCTTCATGATAAAAACCCTCAACAGATTAGGCATTGATGGAACATAACTCAAATAATAAGAGCCATCTATGACAAACCTACAACCAACATCATACTGAATGGACAAAAGCTGGACGCATTCCCCTTGAGAACTGGAACAAGACAAGGGTGCCCACTCTCACCACTCCTATTCAACATAGAACTGGAAGTGCTTGCCAGACGAATCAGGCAAGAGAAAGAAATACAAGGCATCTAAACAGTAAAAGTTGTCAAACTATCTCTCCTCAATGACAATATAATTCTATATCTAGAAAATCCTAGACTCCACCAAAAGGGTTTTGGAACTAATAAACAACTTCACTAAAGTTTCAGGATACAAAATAAATGTACAAAATTCAGTAGCATTTCTATACACCGATAATTTTCGAGCTGAGAGCCAATCAAGAATGCAATCCCATTTACAACAGCCACAAACACACAAAATAAAATGCATAGAAATATATCTAACCAAAAGGGTTAAATACCTCTTCTAGGAGAACTATAAAACACTGCTTAAAGACATCATAGATGACACAAACAAATGGAAAAACATTGCATCCTCATGGGTTGGAAGAATCAATCTCATTAAAATGGCCATACTCTACAAAGCAATCTATAGATTCAATGCTATTTGTATCAACCTACCAGCATCATTTTTCACAGAATTAGAAAAAACTATTCTAAAATTCATATAAAACTAAAAAAGAGCCTGAATAGCAAAAGCAATTCTAAGCAAAAAGGACAAAACTGGAGGCATCACATTACCCAACTTCAAGCTATACTGTAAGACTACAGTAACCAAAATAGCATGGTACTGGTACAAAAACAGACACATAGACCAATGGACCAGACTGAGAGAACCCAGAAATAAAGGTACACACCTACAGCCTCCTTTGGTTGACCTTTGACAAAGTCATCCAAAATAAGGAATGTGGAAAGGACTCCTTATTCAATCAGTGGTGCTGTGATAACCAGCTAGCCATATGCAGAAAAATGAAGCTGGATGCCTACCTTTCACCATATAAAAATTTACTCAAGATGGATTAAACATTTAAATGTAATACTTTAAACTCTAAAAATTCTAGAACATCTAGGAAACACCATCCTGGACACTGTCCTTGAGATAGAATTTATGACTACATTTTCAAAAACAACCACAACAAAACCAAAAATTGACAAGTGAGACCTAATTAAAGAGCTTCTGCACAGCAGAAGAAACTATCAACAGAGTAAACAGACAACCTGTAGAATGGGAGAAAACATTCACAAACTCTGCATCTGAGAAGGGTCTAATATCCAGAATCTATAAGGAACTTAAAGAGTTCAACAAGCAAAAAACAAATAACCCCACTAAAAAGTGGACAAAAACATGAACAGTCACTTCTCAAAATAATACATCCAAGAGGCCAACATAGGAAAATATGCTCCACATCATCAATCATCAGAGAAATGCAAATCAAAGCCACAGTGAGATACCATCTCACACCTGTCAGAATGGCTATGATTAAAAAGTCAATAAACACAGATACTGGTGAGGCTGTGGAGAAAAGGGAACACTTATACATTGTTGGTGGGAATGTAAATTAGTTCAGCCACTCTGAAAAGCAGTTTGGAGGTTTCTCAAAGAACTTAAAACAGAGCTACCATTTGACCCAGAAATCCCATTACTATTATTATCCAAAAGAAAATAAATCATTCAACCAAAAAGACACATGTATGTTGATTGCAGCACTATTCACAGTAGCAAAGACATGGAATCAACCTAGGTGCCCATCAACCATGAATTGGATAAAGAAAATGTGGTACATACACACCATGGAATACTATGGAGCCATAAAAATGAATGAAATCATGTCCTTTGCAGCAACATGAATGCAACTGGAGGCCATTATCCTAAGCAAATTAATGTTGGAACGGAAAAGCAAATATCACACGTTTTCACTTACAAGTGGGAGCTAATCAATAGGTACTCATGAACATAAAGATGACAACAATAGACATTGGGAACTACTGGATGGGGGGAGGAAGGAGGGGGCAAGAGTTGAAAAATTATTAGGTGCTATGCTCAGTACCTGGATGATGGAATCCATCATACCCCAAACCTTAGCATCATTCAATATACCCATGTAACAAACATGGGCATGTATCACCTGAATTTAAAATAAAAGTTGAAATTATTTTTAAAAAGTGGTACAAAAACTTTGAGAAAAAATTTGGCATTCACACACACACACACACACACACACACACACACACACACCCTATGACTCGGCAATTCTACTTCTGTGTTCTATGAATACTCCCTAGAGAAATCTCTTATACCCATTTACAAGAAGAAAGGTAAAGCAATGTTTGCAGTAGTAAGAGAAGGAAGAAAGAAAAAAAAAACAGGAAGCAATTATATGCACTAAAACAGGAGAAGAGAAAAGAACAACACATTGTAGCATGCCATAGAATGGAATAGTAAAGAGCTGTAAAAAGAATGATCCATAGCTACAGGCAACAACATGGAAAGACCATATTACTATAAGGTCAAATAAAAACAACACAACCAAACAAAAACAAATCTCAGAGGATTAGCTAAAGAATAATTTCATTACTATTACATTTAAAAATATACAAAATTAAACATATTAATTATGAATACAAACATATGTGATAAAAATGCATTGAAATGTTAAAAGTCAGTATAATAGTTGCTTCAGGGAGAAGGATGGGATTGGGGGAAATGAGGTTGGGGTGGGACATAGCATGGAGCTTTAATATTTGATCTATGTTAATTTTGTAAGCTAGGTAGTGACTAAACAGGGATTGGATTGTTATATGTGTGTTTTTGTGTGCATGTGCCTGCATATATGTTTTTGCATCTGTATGTATACATATTTTTTATTAATAAATGTTATTCTTAAGAACACTTTTACCGGGCATGGTGGCTCATGCCTGTAATCCCAGCACTTTGGGAGGCCGAGGTGGGCGGATCACCTGAGGTCGGGAGTTCGAGACCAGCCTGACCAACATGGAGAAACCCCGTCTCTACTAAAAATACAAAAAATTGGCCAGGTGGGGTGGCACATGCCTGTAATCCCAGCAACTCCGGAGGCTGAGGTAGGAGAATCACTTGAACTCAGGAGGTGGAGGTTGCGGTGAGCCGAGATAGCACCATTGCACTCCAGCCTGGGCAACAAGAGTGAAATTCCATCTCAAAAAACAAACAAAAAAAACCCACTTTTAGGTTCACAGCAAAATTGAGTCAAAAGTACAGAGTACATGTACTCTTTTTCCTCACACAAGCACAACCTCCCCCGTTATGGAAATCTCCCACCACAGTGGTACATTTGTTACAACTGATGAACCTACATTGACACATTATTTTCACCCAAAGTCCACAGATTACATTAAGGTTCGCTCTTGGTGTTGTATATTCTATGGGTTTGAACAAATGTATAATAACATGCATCCTCCACTACATACATACATACATTACATACAGAGTAGATCTCTATATCTCCTCTGTGTTCCACTTTTTCATTCTTCCCCTCCTCCTAACTCCTGACAACCACTGATCTTTTTACTGTCTATAGTTCTTGCCTTTTCTAGAATGTCACCTAAATTGAACTTATACAGTATGTAGCCTTTTCAGATTGACTCATTTCAATTTAGGAATATGTATTTAAGTTTCCTCCATGTATTTTTATGGCTTGCTAGCTTGCTTCATTTTAGCACTGAATAATATTCCATTGTCTGAATGTACCACAGTTTATCCATTCACCTACTGAAGAACATTGTGGTTGCTTCCCAGTTTTGGCAATTATGAATAAAACCACTATAAACATCCTTGTGCAGGTTTTCGTGTGGTCATAAGATTTCAATTCATTTGGGTAAATACCAAGGAGTGTGATTGCTGAATCTTATGGTAAGAGCATGTTTCGTTTTGTAACAAACTGCTAAATTATGTTACAAAGTGACTGTACCACTTTGCAATGAATGAGAGTTCCTGTTGCTCTACAATCTCACTAGCATTGGTGTTGTCAGTGTGCTAATAGGTATGTAGTGGTTGTTTTAATTTTCAATTCCCTAATGACATATGTTGTTGAACGTCTTTTTGTATGCTAATTGCCAGCTTTATATCTTCTTTGATGAGATGTCTGTTAAGGACTTTTGCCCATTGTTTTCACTGCTTTGTTCATTTTCTTATTGAGTTTTAAAGGTCCTTTGTATGTTTTGGATAACAGTCCTTTATCAGATATATCTTCTGCAAATATTTTCTCCCAGTTTGTGTCTGGTCTTCTTATTCTTTTGATATGTCTGTCACAGAGGAGAAGTTTTTTGTGTTTGATTTCTGGTTAAAAAAAATTAAAAAGCACATCCCTCTTAGGACTGCAGTTTAGAATTTTAATTTACCATCATGAACACTATTTTTAAACTTGTGGAGGGTGTAGAAAGGTGATAACATGAATGTATGAATTTTTCAACAGTTTATGTGCTCATCCTTTATCACAATACACAGACTATCCTTTTAAATTGTATTAAAAACTCCACGGTTTCCTGCTATGTTATCTTGGTGTCTTGGCATATAATAACGTTTCTTACAAGGGGTAAGGGGTGCCACAGAAGTTATCTTTATGGTTGAACATGATCTGGCAGTTCAATATATTAGCAGGCTACATTACCTAGGTCTACAGTGAATTGCATAAACATTCAGCCTAGTAAAGTAATGCTGCTTTGTAAAAGCTCAAGTATCTTACCCTTGATTTTATTAGAATTCACAATCTTTTCCTTAGTGTATCCCTGTAAAGTACAGAATAGAATTTCTGAACAGCTTACACTGAATATTAAAGGAAAGGAAAGTCGCTGACAAAGTCAAGGAATTCTTTTTTTTGTTCTCTTTCCCTTTGAGTAGTGTAATAAACCATTCAGGTAGGTTCTCTGCATTCCAGACATGCAGGCTTCCATGGATGAAGTCCTTCCTCCACAAGTCAACTGCCTTGCTGTCAGCTCCAATGTCAGTCCCTTCAGACTCTCTGTTTCCATAATATACCCTGACCTGGCATGACCACCTCCTTCATGGTTCAGGAGTCATTGAAAAGCCAGCAAAGATCAGAGCTGGGTCTCTCCTGAATGAAGCCACTGACTGTGCCCAATTTATATAATTATAGCCAGACAACTGTTCTCTTGGGACTCAGCAGAGGCAAAGAGAGATGGATTTCTACCACAGTGTTAGAAAATAAAGGACAGTTTCTTATTTTGTAAGCCACCCAGGTGTAGGATTGGACAACATATCACCACTTAGCATTTGGACAGCAAACTGTTCAGAAATCTATAACCTGTCTCGTGTCACATAGCTGGAGAGAGAACTTTTTTTTTTTTTTTTTCACATCTTTCAGACTTGCTAGCTTTAAGGCCATCTGTGTAAAGTCCGTGCAGTTGAAAGCAGGCAACTTTGCCCTCAATATAAAGTTGCCATTAGCTGAATCAGCACCGGTTCAGGGAGGTTTGGAATTCAGCAATTGTAACTTCCTCAATATCATTCGTGGATGTGTCATGTTCAAACCAAACTGGAAAACTTACACCTCTGAGATTTTGAGTACTAGATTGTCTTTTTGGCACAAATACAGGCATTTTTAACGGGAAATACAGGTTCTCAGAGTTAGTTCAAAATATAAATTTTGAAGTTGAAATAAGGTTTGGATTTTGATTAACTGTTTTGTTTGGGAAGATAGAGATTGGCTTGAAGCTCTGGCTTCTTCTGACCCCACTGAATGGCTTTGAAATCATGAAGCAAATACAGTTGTGGTGCCACAGATCTAGTTTTGTAAATCAGAACAATATCCTGTTTGGCTTCTCATTGGGTCAGCCCCCACATGCCACCTGCCCCTCTTGTAGGCCTTAAGGCCCCACCACCGTGTAGAGCTCTAAAAAGTTCCAACACCCAGGACCACCTGCAACACTGCAAGGCGCATTGGCTCCATTTTGTTGTTTTAGTTGATGATGATCCATACTTCAATTGCATAATATTGCAATGATCAGAGAACATTTTCTGGACAGCTTCTTGGCAATGTACCTTCTTTACTAATAAAGCAAAGGACAGCAGCATTGTTGTCTTTGTTATTGTTGTTTTCAGTGAAGTTTCCATTTATTTTTTATTTTAATTTGTTGTTTATGCAGCCAGATAGGCAGGCACTGTGGGTGTGTGTGTGTGTGTGTGTGTGTGTGTGTATGTGTGTGTATTTATTGCTCATAAGTTCGTTGTAATAAATGGGAAAATACATGTCAAGTATATATGTATACAAAAATACATGTGAAAATACACAATGTAGTAACTACATTGGGTTGCATTACAAAAATATTGTTAAATGATGTGGCAGATTCAATTAATTTTCAAAAAACATTCATTCCTTTTCCTTATCTTCATGAAAGAAGAATATTTCCTTAACCTATTAATGCCATACTTGGCCAGTAACTTGCTTTGGCTAATGGAATGTAACTGAAAGTGACAGTGTGCTGGTACTGGAACTAGCCTTAAGAAGTATTCTATGTTCCTATTTAGCCTCCTGGGACCTTCTAATTTCTGTAGAAAGAAAAACATACTCCTGATAGCTGCTGACTATTGAGCCTAATAAGTGTAACACAGTGTAAACTTGACCCAAAGCCTAACGCAGAGCCATTCCAGCCAAACTGCCCACTCAGTAGCAAGAAATAAATGCCTATGTTGTAAATTATGAAGCCTGGGGGTGGTTTTCAATGCAGCATTATGTCATCAGTCAATAGCTGATCAAATGAGTGTTATCTATAATTTTTAAAACATCTTTATTGAGATGTCATTCATATACCATACGATTCATCCCTTTAAAGTATATAATTCAGTGGTTTTAGTATATTCACAGCGATCACAATTCATGGTTTGAACATTTTCATCAACCCCAAAAAAAACCTTATAGACATGAGCATCACTCCTCACCCTCACTCCCAGCTCTAGGCAGCCTCTATTCTATTTTCCATCTCTATAAATTATCCCATTATGTGCTTTTCATATAAATGGAGTCATAAAACATGTGGTCTTTTGTGATTGGCTTATTTCACTTAGCATAATGCTTTCAAGGTTTACTTATGTTGTAGTGTATGAATATTTCATTCTTTTTTATGGCTGGATAATATTCCATTATATAGAGATAGCACATTTATTTATATCTTAAATTTTAACCAGTCTGTTGATTGATATTTACACAGAAAATTAAAATACTAAAGATTGTACCATATATTATGCTAATAAACTTGTTTTAGGAATGTCAGCCTGAGACAGACCTAGGTATTTTTTTTAAGTATTAGAGAGAGAGAGAGAAAGAGAGAGAGAGAGAGAAATTAATTAGCTTATTTTCTAAGACTTTATGCTCAGAAATTAGGTACATATATTGAACATCTCAACTTTCTCTGAAATAACTTCTATCAACCAGTAATTTAGTTAACCCTTTTGTAATGTAGTCATATTGTTATTCTATAGCCTGTCTCAGGTTCATTTTATTGTTGTGAGGATATAGGCAGTTGAATTATACTTTATTTTAACATTATCACAAATACTGTGAGTGCTCCTCAGTACTCCCATGACAAAGGCTTACCATGATATTAATGCTATGGTTTGTTGGGGGCGGGGGGGAGTTAAACTAGAAATAATAGAAATAATTCTGGTTCCATCTCTTATGAGATGTTTAAGGGTGGGTAATTCATGTATTTACAACTTCCAAAATAATAACTGGCATTTATTAAGCACTTATCACGTGTCAGCAATGTTCCCAGCACTTGACATGTATTTTCCCATTTATTACTCGCAACAAACTTATGAGCAAAGAACCATTAATATTCCCATTTCAAAGATGACAAATTGAGACAAAGCAAGATTAAGTGATCTAAGGTTAAGACCATGACTTATATTTAGAGACCTCTGACTCCCAACCCAGCACTAGTTGCAATTGGACACAAATGTCTCTCAGTCACCATTCGCCTATCTATGGAATTGAGTTAATATCCATATGATCTTCACAGCTGGGTGTGACAGTATATGTAAATTATACAGAAAGATTAGGATAGCAAGGAATAGACAGACACAGATTGCCTTCAGTGGTGGGCTTTTTCTAGCTATACGCAGGGGAAGAGAAATGAGATATAACAAATGAACTTTCTGATCACTCTGTTTGATTGCACCATGAAATAACTCTGTATCTCAGAAACTGTCTTGCCTGGAACATACCATAGATCTCACAGAAAGTTGGCAAAATAGGTTATCATCATTTAGGATATATTTTGGGCACCAGTCTCTTCCGAATGCTTCTGTTTTTTTCTCCAATTTATCTGCAGTCATCCGATAGGGAACATTCCTCTTGGGCAGAGTTCCATGCAAAGCCACCTCAGGGGAAAATAGTCTTTTCTAACAAGTCAGCGTATGAATGGAAGCCCTGGGCCTGAGCTTTGGCATTTTTTTGCAGAAAGAACAACTTGGGGCCACCTTTTTTCAGAAGGGAGCTGTGGATCTTGTGTGTACTTAGGACTTGTGGATTCCTCTCTGAAGAAAAGTGCTTCTGGTTAAAATGAAAAGCACTAAATTAAATAGAAAATTATAGCATGCTTCCCTTAACCCCTCCCATTAAATTGTAACCTTGAGGAAAATCAAGAGTTTCTCTAACATTTATGTGTTAGAGAAAAATAATAAAAATACACAATTTTTAAAGTAGATTAAATGATGTGAATATTTCCTAGACTTCGGATTTTTAAAAAAAATTATTAACCAATACTATGCCTTGCTAGAGGGGCAATATGGCATAGCAAGAGTGCAGACAGACCTAGGTTTGAATCCTTCTTTCCTTCCTCTACACACACCACTTCCTCCTTATTTCTACTTTGATACAAAGTTGGGGATTTTGGAGAGACAGGTGAAAAAAGAGTAGCTATCTAAGAAACTTAAGCAGATGAATAATGATATCAGGTAAGGATGAGTGTAAATGGCAAACTAAAAGGAGGACTAAAGAAAGAGAAAAGAAACAAAGTTTGTGACACAAGAGAAACACAAAGATTGCGATTGAAGGAAAGTGATGACAGGTTTAGGAAATAATTGTAAGTGAGGGATTGCAGAATTATTGCCATAGCTTTCTAAAGTAGTCCACCTGACTTTACTTTGTCACCAGTTCCAATCCCTCTTCCTCACTACAACCAATTGATTCTTTTAAATTATAAATCTTATGTTACTGTCCTTGCTTAAAACTTGGTAGTGGCTCCCCATTGAGTACCAAATAAAATACAAATGCTTTTTGTCTGTTTTCTATCTCCTCAGCCTTATGTCTAGCTGTTTCCTCTGCACAATAGATTCTCCAGATCTACAGAACTCCCACCACACAGCTAAATGCACTTTGCTGTTTCACTCTTCCAAAACTTTGCATATGGTATCCAATGCCCCAAATGCCTCTTTGACCCTTCACTTGGGGATTACGACATCCTCAGAGGGCTTACTTTTTAGCTGTTCTTCAGAAATCTCTTTCTTCTTTTCCAAACATTTGTGGAACACGTACTGGTTGGGCTCTATGCAGGAAGCTATCGTGCAGAAAATGAGTAAGACATATTCTTTGTTCTTAACTAACTCACAATTGAAAGTCTCTGTTTTTATCATGCTATTCATGTCCCCTCTTTTTTGAAGACTGATTTTAAGTACAGAACAGTTTACCTTGATTTTTGGCTCCCAAAAACTTGAACTTTAAATTTAAAAACTAGACAAATGTACAATTGTATTCATATATTCATCTTACATTAATTTTAATTATTGTAATTTTATCTCATATTAATCTTATATTAATTGTACTGATTATATCACAAGCCAAAATTATAGAAAGCGATTCCACTTGATAAAATGAAGTTAAATGTTGTTAAAGTATATATAAAGAACAAAGGAATTATGCAGATATAACTGCTTTGTGACAATTAGTAGTTAACTCATAAATACTACATACCTAATATGTGCACAGGTGCTATATTTGTAGGCACCGTGGGCAAATTCAAAAGAAGGCAAAAGCATTCTCTGGCATGTAAAGCTTACAACGTGATTATATCTACCAGGTAGGGACACTTAAATTCACATTTGATAAGGTGGTGGAAAAAGCCTTTCTGCTCTCTTCCTTCCAAATGGAATTTCCTTTCTGTGCCATTAAATGAGGGCTATGACCCACAAGATCATCATGTTTTCAAAGGGGATTGAAAACTTCTTTAGAATAGAAGTGTGTCTTTTTCTTCTCTGCTTTTTTCATTGCCTGAGAGAATACATAGCACATAACAGGCACTTAATTTGTTAAATGAATAAATTTATTGATGGATGGTGAATAAATAGGGTGCTCTGTTCACCTGGTACCCATATTTCTTTTTTTGAGAAGCATCTTTTTTAAAGAAAGAACCCAAAAGTATGTATGACAATTTCTACTCTGAGCTTTTGTTGTCAGATTGTCAATTTTGGAATCAACATAACAGCCATGTTGGTCAAGTTGGAGAGTTTAGGGAAACCCTAAGATATAAATCCAAAACAGTCATTACTGGAGTAGGGGGAAAATCAAACAAACAAAAAAAGAAAGCCATATTGTCAGTATGAAGACTTATAGCTCTGGTTTACCCAATAGGTAGGCTAGGTGCATGACTAAGGCACCAGCATATCAGGGGCAACAAAAAGAGACATATAGCTGTAACAAACTTATTTGGCATTTTACAATCATTTCAGTACACATGTATATATTATTTCAAACAAGGAAACTGTATTTTGAAGTACAAAACACAAATTTTTTAGGGTCTTCGTCTGGCCCTGCTGACAATGCAAGTTTCTACAATGGAACAAGCAGATTTCACTTCCATTAATAGCTAGGACTCTAATTAGCCAGACATCTCAGAAAATGACCCATGCAGTCACTGTATTCAATGGTGAAACAGATAGCCATGTGGTAAAAAGGGAATTGTGGCAGGCATTCCCCTTTTTTTAAGTATTGGGAAGGTGAAGTGATAGCCACAAAACAGGTTTGGATTTTACATTTCCTTATACGTATTTACAGCAAAACAACAACAACAACAACAACGTATATAGTTCTGTGGTTGCATATCTATGTGTCTAGGAGTTTTTAAATTACCAGTTGGTATGGTTTGGATGTTTCTCCCCCACAAATCTCATGTTGAAATGTGATTCCCAATGTTGGAGGTGGAGCCTGGTGGGAGGTGATTTGATCATGGGGATGGGTCCTTCATGAATGGCTTAATGCCATCCCTTTGGTGATGAGCGCATTCTTGCTCAGTTAGTTCATGTGAGATCTGGTTGTTTAAAAGAGTATGGCACCTCACCTCTCTCTCTCTGGCTTTCTCGCCACGTGACATGGTGCTCCCCTTGCCTTCTGCCATTATTGTACACCTCCTGGGGCCTTGCCAGAAGCTGATGCCAGCACCATGTTTCCTGCACAGCCTGCACAACCATGAGCCATTTAAACCTCTTTTCTTTATAAATTATCCAACCTGTAGTATTTATTTATAGCAACACAAGTGGACTAATACACCAGTTACACCAAAGAATTACAAGAAAGGATGGAGGAGATATCCTACACGTTAGTTTTTCGAAGTTCCTTTGCATCTTTCAATACAAAACACTACTGCAATTTTAATAAGCAGAGTCTGTTTATATCTTGTCTTTTGTCATTTGATAGTTTTTCTACATTTCCCAACAATTTTCCTCTTGCAAATAAAAGAGCTTAATTATTTCTATAATGGAAGGATTAGAATTCCCAGGAGCAATTTTTTCTGCTTAAAAATCGTTGTAGGTATAATAAAATTCAAGTAGTTCATGACCAGTGCAGCTCCTTGTGAAGGCACTGGAATGAAATCTGAAAGACAAGAAATACCAAAAATGGTAAGGGTTTTTTTTTTTGGTTTTGTTTTTTTTTTTTTTTTTTAGCTATTATTAGCTGCTATCATCCAGGTCAGGACCAGGGAGAATAAATTAGTGGGGTAAAGCCATAACACAATAGCTGATGCTCATGTAGCTGTTTTTTGTTTATGCAATTTTCACTGCACCAGTTCAAGGCAAGTCTAGGTAAATTATGTAATTGCTGCCCGGAGAATTTCATTTTGTTGTAGTTACAGCACTTTAGATATGCTTTGCATGCATGCCATTTTTTCTTGCCATTTGAAAACAGCTAAGCTAATCTTTTTAGGTTTTGAATATTGCTAAGTTGTACTATCTGCGGCTTTTTAAAAATTCTGTAGTTATTATTTTTCCAGAATGTCCATCTCTTATTCCTACTCTCTAATGAAGGTCTAATACTCTGTAACAGGCTTATTTTATTTAGCAAAAATAGAACATAGGCTTCTAAGATCTTATTTTCTGGAGGCTGGTCTCACTTGATGCCAAGACATAACATGACCAACATCATGTATCTTCATGAACCCAGCCCGTCATCTTTCAGGCATACCCTTGACTACCATTCCCAGAAGAGTAGTGACTATGCTGAGATGTTGATTTGCAGTGATTTTATTTCATTCATTAGGGGTTTATGACACCAAACATTTACAGAATTCCTGCCCTCAAGGAGGTCCAACAAAAACATTCTCTCTTGGCACATTCTTCTCTCATCTATTTAAAGGCTGACTTTTGGGAGTGCTAGAGCTCTGGCTGCTTGCAGAAGGGAAAGCTAAATCTTAACATTTGAAAAAGTTGGCTCATCGGTTTCTTCAGGTCTTGAGGAGGAATAACCATAAGCTTGGTGATTTACATTTTTTGCAAGTTTTGTCTTCCTGTGTCAATTTATAAGAGCTGGTAAGCTTCTGTGATTTTGACTGTGGTCAAAAGGCAAACCAGAACATTCAGTTTTTGTTTTTGTTTTTTTTTTTTTTTTTGAGATGGAGTCTGGCTCTGTCGCCCAGGCTGGAGTGCAGTGGCACGATCTCAGCTCACTGCAATCTCCACCTCCCAGGTTCACGCCATTCTCCTGCCTCAGCCTCCCGAGTAGCTGGGACTACAGGCACCCGCTGTCAGACATAATTCCTCAGTTTAGCCTTCCCACCTCTATACAGTCTGATAACAGACGAGCCTTTATTAGTCAAATCAGCCAAGCAGTTTTTCAGGCTCTTAGTATTCAGTGAAACCTTTATATCCCTTACGGTCCTCCGTCTTCAGGAAAAGTAGAACGGACTAAAGGTCTTTTAAAAACACACCTCACCAAGCTCAGTCACCAACTTAAAAAGGACTGGACAATACTTTTACCACTTTCGCTTCTCAGTATTCAGGCCTGTCCTCGGAATGCTACAAGGTACAGCCCATTTGAGCTCCTTTTTATTAGGCCCCAGTCTCATTCCAGACACTGGACCAACTTAGACTGTGCCCCAAAAAAACTTGTCATCCCTACTATTTTCTGTCTAGTCATACTCCTATTCTCCGTTCTCAACTACTCATACATGCCCTGCTCTTGTTTACACTGCCGTTTTACGCTGTTTCTCCAAGCCATTACAGCTATCTCCTCCTGCTATCCCCAAACTGCCACTCTTAACTCTTGAAGTAAATAAATAATCTTTGCTGGCAGGACTATGCTGAATCTCCTTAGGCACTCTCTATTCAGATGTCCTAGGTCCTCCCAATTCTTAGACATTTTATATCTGTTTTTCTCCTTCTCTTATTCCATTTAGTTTTTCAATTCATACCAAACCGTATCCAGGCCATCACCAATAATTCTACACGACAAATGTTTCTTCTAACAACCCCACAATATCACCCCTTACCACAAATCTTCCTTCAGCTTAATCTCTCCCACTCTAGGTTCCCACACCGCCCCTAATCCCGCTTGAAGCAGCCCTGAGAAACATCGCCCATTCTCTCTCCATACCACCCCCCAAAAATTTTCGCTGCCCCAACACTTCAACACTATTTTGTTTTATTTTTCTTATTAATATAAGAAGGCAGGAATGTCAGGCCTCTGAGCCCAAGCCAAGCCATCGCATCCCCAGTGACTTGCACGTATACATCCAGATGATCTGAAGTAACTGAAGATCCACAAAAGAAGTAAAAATAACCTTAACTGATGACATTCCACCACTGTGATTTGTTTCTGCCCCACCCTCACTGATCAATGTACTCTGTAATCTCTGCCACCCTTAAGAAGGTTCTTTATAATTTCTCCCACCCTTAAGAAGGTTCTTTGTAATTCTCCCCACCCTTGAGAATGTACTTTGTGAGATCCACCCCTGCCCGCAAAACATTGCTCTTAACTTCACTGCCTATACCAAAACCTATAAGAACTAATGATAATCCACCACCCTTTGCTGACTTTCTTTTCAGACTCAGCCCACCTGAACCCAGGTGAAATAAACAGCCATGTTGCTCACACAAAGCCTGTTTGGTGGTCTCTTCACACGGACGCGCATGAAACCCGCCACCATGCCCGGCTAATTTTTTGTATTTTTTTTTTTAGTAGAGACGGGGTTTTACCATGTTAGCCAGGACGGTCTCGATCTCCTGACCTCATGATCCACCTGCCTCAGCCTCCCAAAGTGCTGGGATTACAAGCGTGAGCCACCTCGCCCAGCCGAACATTTGGTTTTTATATGCTTTGATCTGGCCAATTTGATCTGGCCTCTTGTATGTTGATGGTGCTTTTCTCTGGGTGGTCAGATACTACTGAGGAATGTAAATATACATATGCAGCTTAAATAAAACTTGGCCTCCTTGTGGATGGTGTTTAGGACAATCTTAACATGGCACCACATCTGTGGGGGCCAAGGCTCTTCGTCCCCTAAAGGTTTGTTAAAAATCACTGACATAAGGCAGATTGATTAATAGGAGAAAAGGCATACAAATTTAGTTAACATGTATACACAGGAGCCTTCAGAATGAAGACCCAACTTCCCAATGAGATATAGAAACTTATATACCATCTTGAAGTTACAGAAAGAATGGGGCCTTGGATTCTGGTAAAACAGGTTATGGGAGAAGGTAGAAGAGGAATTCTATTGAGGAACAACAAATAATTGCTAGGGAGAATGATTGGATTAAGGAGCAGAGATTAACTTGTGAATAGTTTTCTTTGGAATTTAAATGATCCTTGGAGACAGTCATTATCTTGAAATGGGGTCTGCTCAGGTGTCTTTTTTTTTTTTTTTTTTTTCCCTGTAATGAGTAATGAGATAACAGGGAGGGGAAGAAGAACAACTGTTCTCTTTGGTGGGTCAGTTCTATCTTTATGTAGATAGGGGAAAAGTCTCTTCCAGTACTTGTTGTTCTCCAAGGGTTTTTAATTAAAAATACCCACTATACCAGGGGGCCTTATATTGGGGTGAAATATTATTTCTTTCACATCCAAAAGAAGAGTAACTCTGAGTCAAAGGGCATGTAAGCACATGTAGATTTTTTTTCAATTGGGCCATGCAACATCATCCTAAATGATTTTCTCAATCTCCACTCCAGTTACTAAAACAATCTCTCCTCAGTTTCTAGCTCCGTTCTCTGACTCCAAACTCCACCTGTGCTCATTTGTTCCTCCATCTCCTTCATTCGTTCCCACTCTCTTTCTTGCCTCCTCTTCTGGCCTTGCATAACTAATCTCTTCCCCGAGAAGCTCTTTGCCATTTCTTTTTTATACCCTTTTTTATTTTTTAAACTTTAAATAAGAAAGCATTCCAAATATACAAAAGAGCAAACGTATAACAAATACCCATGTACACACCACTGAGATTAAACATCTTTTATGCTCTGGAATATTTTACATAAAATGGAGACTATCTGCTCCTTGAATGTTGCCAGGAAAAGAAGCTTGTACAACATTTTAAGCCTGGTGTGTGTTTGTTACTGGTGGAAGAGATCCAAGTTACTGGTGGCCTAGCCTTAAGGGTCTGTAGCAACTTTGGTCCTTGCCTCCTCAGAAGAAAGAATTCGACTGCAGGCATAAAGCAAAAAAAGGGACGAGGCAAGTTCTAGAACAGGAATGGAAGTTTATTTTAAAAGGCTTTAGAACAGGAAAGAAAGGAAAATGAGCTTGGAAAAGACCCAAGTGGGCACGTAAAGGTTAAAGAGAGAAGGTCAAGTGCCCCATTTAACCGTGATCCTAGGACTTTTATAAGCTTACCTCTTTCCCATGATTCTTCCCTTAGGGTGGGCTTTCTGCATGTCCAATGCCTTCCTTACCCTTTGGAATTGAGCACGTGCAGTGTGTTTAGGTAGTTATCCGCATGCCCATCTGAGGCTTTCTTCCCTTAGGGTGGAATGTGCCCCCAGAAGTTCACACTTCACCATTTTTGTCTCTTAACATGCATGCCTAGGAAGTTGCTTCTCCCTGGGGCCTACATTCAATTAACATTTTGATGTTAACAGGCGTGGACCATCAGGAAATGGCCTCTCCCTGGCACTGCTGAATTATCATTTTTAGACAGGCAATGTGATAATTGCTGAACCTGGCATTTCTAGTGGTGGGGGTAGAGTCCTCCCCTACCCCACTCATACCTAACTACCTGTAATATGTTTATGTTTGTATTTAGATTTTAAAATAAGGACTAAATTTGTTTTTTACATTTATAGATCCATTCAAGTTTTCTGAGTCATTTTGGTAAGATATAGATCTATATAGATCTAGATCTATATATCTATATCTATATATTTTTTTTAACTAGGAAAAGGTTCATTCTTTTCAGGAAAAAGTTGCCATATTCATTGTGAGATTAGAGTTCCCTGGACCTCCTCATGGGACTTGCAACAGGGGTGTGGCTTGCTTACTCGGCTGCAGCGCTCAAACCTCTTGCGCGAGGGGCAGCATACAGGCGAGCGGGTGCTGGGGCCGGGGCGAGCACTTTTGGGCTCCGGCCTCGTGGTAGCTTCTAGGGGTGTGTTACAATTAATGCTTTTGAAGCAGTTGCCATCTGCAGATGGCTAGGTGTTAACCACTCAGTGGAGAATCAGGGTGACAGCCTATTCATTCCTCTTGGTACCTGGGTCCTTGTCCCCTGTTCATGACAAATCAGGTCACACGGACTTGAAGGATGGTGAATGTGGAGGTTTCATTGAGTGATGAAAGTGGCTCTCAGTGGGATGCGGAGCTGGAAAGGGAGAGGAGTGGGAAGATAATCTTCCCCTGGAGTTCGGCCGTCTTGGCCAAACTCCTCTCCAACCGCCCAGCTGCCTCTTCAACGTTCAGATGCTTCTTCCTTCTCTTTCTCTGCCATGCTGCTCTGTTCCTCTGCCAGTGGAGTTAGGAGTTTTTATGGGTACAGGATGGAGGCATGGTGGGCCAGAGTGGTTTTGGAAAAAGCAACATTTGGGCAGGAAAACAGGGATGTGAAGTTCTCATTTAGGGCTGCAGGCCCAGGGTTGTGGGTGGGGCCTTTGCTGGGGAACCGCTCTCTTCTAGCCAGCATTTCCCTGCCTCCTGTCGTATCCATTGGAATACACTTTTCAAGCTTTTGTCTATGATTTTTTTCTTTGCTCCGGAAAGGTTCTCCTCAAAGGGCGCAGAAAGTAGAACACAGAATTTGGGGATTCTCTGTGCTGAGGGGCTCAACAAGGTGTCCTGTGCTAAGTGTTGTAACTTGGGAATTTGTTTTTAATAAAACTCCTAAAGGAGCAGAAACATTAAGTTTGCAGTAATCACATATAAATTTGGCTCACTGGGGGATTTTCAATAGTGGGTTTTCTAGGCTTTAATTATTTAAACTAGCAAGACCCTGTATTTAGGTTTTATTTCTTATGATGAAATAATTACACCAGAATATCCAAGTGGCGGATTTCTCCCCAGCATGCATGAATTAAGTTAGAAAATACATTGATTTTTCTTCCAATGATAACAAAAGGAAAGGTCACAGCTTCCAAAATGTCTCATTCCGGAGAGATTCATGCTTGGAATAGTGCATTCTCTATTTAATGAGAATAAAACATGTGGGCGTTGAACAAATGTACCATTTTTTGCTTTGATTGCCAATGGAAAGTATATCAAGTCATATAGTAATTTAAGACACGTTAAAATATGTTATTAAATCTTAAGACATCCACTGTAATCCTATTTTATGTTCTAATATATGTAAACCAACATTTATTGTTAAAAAAATTACTTTTAGTTTCTATTTCAATACCCAATCTCCATGGGCCCTACCAACTTGAGCTCTCTGGGACCTGTGGAAATCTAGTTTGAGCTCTTGGGTATTTAATAAATAATCTGTATAATGTTGTAAGGTGTCACAACTGGTGTCCAGATTCTGTGAGGAGGCTTTCAAGGCTTACTAGGAATAGAAGAAAACAAATAGAGTGGCAGAATAATTGCTACCATATTAGCATTTTTTTTTTTTTTAACATTTGGGGCCAGACACTATGTCAGGTACCTTACTGAGTATTTCACTTAATCTTCATAACAATCTTTTAAGGACAGAATTCTTATTATGTTTGTTATGGCTCTGAGGCAGCTGAGGTTCAGAGAAGTCATGTGATTTTTTTCAAAGATACAGAGCTCATAAATGTCAGTGCTAAGCCCTGGGTCTATCATTCTCTAACCCTAAAATCCATATTCCTGATCCATATACAGTATTTACCCACCTGACTGGAAAAGAACTAGAAGCATGGGACCAAAGTAGATGGGATTAAATACTATTTGCAACTCCAAAATAGTATTTCTGGCCTAAAGATTGTAAACCAAAAAGTATCTGACACAAGTCTCAATCACCTTAGGAAGTTTATTTTGCCATGTTTAAGGATGCGCCTGTGACACAGCCTCGGAGGTCCTGACAACATGTGTCTGGGGTGGTCAGGGTACAGCTTGTTTTTATACACTTTAGGGAGATATACATCAATCGATACATGTACGATTTACATTGGTTTGATCTGGAAGGGAGGGACAACTTGAAGCGGGTAGGGAGTTGGGGGAGGAGATGGGAGGGTCCCATGTCATAAATAGATTTAAACATATCCTGATTGGCAATTGGTTGACAGAGTTATTATCAGCAAAAAGGAATGTCTGGGTTAAGATAAAACGTTGTGGAGGCCTAGGTTTTATCATGCAGATGAGGCCTCCAAGTAGCAGGCTTTAGAGAGAATAGACTAAATATTTCTTACCAGACTTAAGGTCTGTGTTGATGTTAATGCTGGAGGGGTACAATGAGGCATATCCGACCCCCACTTCCCGTTATGGCTTGAACCAATTCTTCAGGTGAAATTTTAGAGTGTCCAGGTCTAGCAGGAAGTCCATTCAGATGGTTGCAGGTGGCCCTCAAATTTTATTTTTGGTTTACAAGACTTTTTTAACATGGGGGCCACGGCCGTCGGCCCCCTAACATTTCGCTAAAAAATCAATGCCCTGAGATAGATTAACAGGAGAAAAGGCATACAAATTAATTTAACATGTACCTTCTTCTTCAGAATGAAGATCCACCCTGCCCCCGTTAATGAGGTACAGAAACCTACATACCATCTTGAGGTTATAGACAGAATGAGGGCTCAGAGCATGGCCAAAAACAGGTTTGTTGGTAAAGCAGGTTTTAATGGTAAGACAGGTTATGGGAGAAAAGAAAAGGCCTGGCTAGCAAAGGTAGTCTTATTATGTAGATGAAACCTCACAGGTAGCAGCCCTAAGAGAAAATAGATGGTAAATGTTTCTTTTCAGACCTTTAAAGGTATCAGACTTGAAGTTAATCCCTCCAAGATTAGGGAAAGGCCTAGAAAGGGAAGGCCTAGCTGCATTAATGGAGATTCTCTACAGATGCAAATTTCCCCCACAAAAATGCTTTGCAGGGCCACCTCAGTCTGGTCTTGCAGGCTGGGCTTGCAGCAGCCATTTCAAAATATGTCAAACAAATACACTTCAGGGTAAAATATTTTTATTTCCTTCACTAATACATTTAAAACTTAGAATAGCTCATCTAAACTATAGAATGTACTCGATGCCTTTTGCTGCTCTAAAATGTTTACTCAACAGGGGGATCGTTCTTTGCAACAAACGTTCATCTGCTTCATAGGGTGGCGATACCTTGCTGAGGCCTCTGCTGCCTGTGTTTTTAACGCAGTTACAGCTTCTTGTATTATCTCCATACTCAATGATGAACTTAAATAATGCCCATACTGAAGCCCACAGAGACCTGTAAGTTGTGAGGGCAGAGGGAAAGGAGCAATGTCTCCCTGAGAGATTGCTGAGGAGAGAGGGTGGAGTAACTGATTCAAGGTGTTCAATATGCTATTACATGTTCTGTTCTCTTGAGGGAATAATTTTGTGTTCTGCAGAAGATATTACAATCACAACTATGGGGAAGTAACATGATGTGGAAAACAGCAAGTCCTTTGGAGTCAGATAATGATGATGACATTGATAATAATGGTAATGAGGATAATAACAATAAAAATAGCAGCAGCAGCTATCATTTACTGAGTGCCTGCTCTGTATCAGCTGCTCTTCTGAGTACGTGTATTACCTCAATTAATTATTTACTAACCCTGAAAGGTATTCTTTCTATTATATAGATGTGGAAACTGAGATATGGTCAGAGGTGTTTGAAACAGGGTGACTCCATCTTGAATAGGGGCTGGGTAAAATAAGGCTGAGATCTACTGGGCTGCATTCCCAGGAGGTTAGGGACTCTACATCACAGGATGAGATAGGAAGCTGGGACAAGGTTCAGGTCACAAAGACCCTGCTGATAAAACAGGATGTGGTAAAGAAGCTGGCCAAAACTCACCAAAATCAAGATGGCAACGAAAGTGACCTCTGGTCGTTGTCACTGCTTATCATATGCTACTTATGATGCATTAGCATGCTAAAAGACACCCCCATCAGCACCATGACAGTTTACAAATGCCACAGCAACATGGGGAAGTTACCTTATATGGTCTAAAAAGAGGAGGAAACCTCAGTTCAGGGAATTGCCTAACCCTTTCCCAGAAAACTCATGAATACCCCTTGTTTAGCATATAATCAAGATGTAACTATAAGTATACTTATTTGAGCAGCCCATGCCACTGCTCTGCCTATGGAGTGGTCATTCTTTTATTCCTTTACTTTATTAACAAACTTGCTTTCACTTTACTCTTTGAACTCACCCCAAGTTCTTTCTTGCACGAAGTCCAAGAACCCTCTTTTGAGGTCTGGATTGGGACCCCTTTCTGGTAACAGAGTGGTTAAGCAATTTTCCAAGGTCACATGGGAAGTAGCTGACCTAGGTGCCTATCCCAAGCAGTCTGATTCCAGAACATGTGATCTCAGCTAATTGTGGGTTCAATTTTGAGATCCATCACGTAGAAACTGTATGACTTGGAGCACATTATTTTCTTCCCTGAGCCTCATTCTCCTCGTATGTGAAAATGAGGGCTGTGGTGTAGATTATGTGAAACAATATACAGAAAAGCACCTAAGAGCACAGTGCCTGGTCCATGGTGAAGGTTCAGTAATATTTATTGTTCTTCCTGCTTCCTGGTTGGTACTCTGGACCAGGTTTTCTCAAATTATGATCAAGAGAACACCTTTATCAGAATCACATACAGTGCTTATAAAAAATGCAATGCCAGCATTTCTTATGCTCAAGGATATTCAGTTCATAGCTGGAAGGTTTGGTATAAACAAGCAAAGTAAAATTTTGATGCCACTTTCCAGCAAATAGCAATAAAAAGAAATTACTAAGTACCTTTAAATTCTGAGCAGATGTAGCTTTCTGGCCATCTGAATCAACAGCGTCACAAACATGTCAACAAAATATATAAATCTGACTAAATGTTACATCATCATTCAATCCCATTCTAGATATGATAATGAGGTTAGCAATAATAGTAGTAATATAGGGACCAACTCTATTCATTGTGTTCCCAGAGTACTACCATGTATGTTAGTGAATGTACATACATAAGCACATGCATGAAAGAATGCACACACACACACACACACACACATGCATGCACATGCCTACAGACATCCAAAGTAAAGAGAAAACAAAGTGCAAACATTTCCTCAGGGTTCACATAGACCCGTCTGAAATGCACATGTCAAAAGAGAATTACCTTGTGTGGAGTTAATGAACTTTACATGGGTGGAGGGGGGGGTGTGTGGCCAGAAATAAGAGGCAAATTCTTCTCCTCTAGTTAATCTTTGGAAAACACCTTCTGTCCTGCAAATTTATAAAAGGTCCATGTTCAAAGTCTTTAAAGAAAAAAAAAATCACTTGGGGCATGTTCTATTCAGTATTTGATACTTAAAGGTGGGCAGTGCACTGATTCAATCATTCATTCAAATACTGATTGATTGTCTACCATGTAACAAAACAAAATCTGAAAACCACTTATATCGTGATTTGAACAAGGAATGGTCAAGTTATAAGGGAGGTTTGAGGGTTCAATAGCCCAGTGCTACTCAAACTTTAACATGCATTTGTATCACCTGGAGAATCTTGTTACAATGCAGACAATGATTAGGTAAGTCTGAGGTAGGTGCTTGAGATTCTGCATTTCAAATGAAAGATGACTGTGCTATACTACTGGCCTGAGGACCTCACCTTAAGTAGCAAAGCTACAGTCTATATTGTACATTCCCAAACTTACTTATAGATCAGACGTTGATCCTTCTCATTCATCTCAGGCTCCTTTCATCAAAGTGGGTGACGGGAATCAGAATTGTCTGAAGGTGCTAATTAAATATGCAATCATCCCTAGGTGATGCTGATGCACACTAAAGTTTTAAAACCACTGCTTTAAGAAAAACAGTGACTAAAAATCATTCATATATGTGAAGCAAGCCTCAACTCCTCAATTTTACTGTAGGTCAATTATCCAACCGGCAACACGTTAGAATCACCCTGGGAGATGTAAAAATACCAATGTTCTGGTTCTACCCCTGACCAATTAAATTGGGATTTCTGGTGGTGGGCCACAAGCATACATATTTTTTAAAAGCTCTCTAGGTGATTCTAATGTATAGATGGGGTTGAGAACCACTGCTACAAGGCAAATTGTTTTTTTATTTAAACTTAGGAATGTGGTTGATCCAAGCAGAAATTGTGGAGTTAAGAGTTTGTCTTTTAATTCCTCTTTCTGGGCCTTTTTCATAAGCACTCTTCTTGCCCAAGATATGCATTGCCCTTGGGTTTCCCTGGCTGTCCGAGATTTGCTATCACTGTGACTCAATGATCTCGTGTGTTCCTCGTCCTGGCTTCCTTCCTTCATCAGAAGCAAAGCATGTGCCTCATCTCCTATGAGCCATATATATATATATATATTTTTTTTTTTTTTTTCCTGCTGGTGAGTAGAAACAGGTTAATCAGAAAAACCAATCCCCGGTCATGTGTAAATTAATGTGCTTTCCCTCTTTGGTAACACACTCCCTTAACCCAGTTTAAACAGACTTTAAGGCCCTTCTGAAGTGGGGAATGTCAAGCATGACTGTTGGATAATATATTTGTGCCTCAAATAAGCTGCCAACTACTCCAATAACTGTTAGTCCTAGAGTTGGTTAAGAAAGGACTTCTGTTTTGTGGTTGATTTCATTATGAAAGGCACTTTTTTCCATCATAAATACTGTCCAAGATATTATATGATGTTCTGTGGGTTTTATTTTTACAGAGGGAAATGCTAAATGTGGCGAGGAAATCATTTTGACAGCAGTTGCTTTTGTTATGAAGAAGGGATTTAACAATTTTTAAAATATGTGCTCTTCTAAGCATGCGGAGGTGAGGAAGTCTTTGATCAGATCCTTGTAATCAAGGAGGCACAGAAGAAAACAAAGGATGCACAAATATGAGAAATTGACTACTTCCAGAAGGAAACTGTTACATCAACATCAATTAATATTTATTGAGCACCTACTGGGTACATAACACTCTGATAGCAACTTGAAAAATGACATGGAGTACATACCTATAAAACATAATTGCCAGGGCCTATTTTTGGCTATTTGTTTAAATTCATTATATCAAGGACAAGCAAGCAGGGTTGCTTATAATTTGGTCTCATTAATAAAACTGATTCCTAGGGAGACTCATTCAGAAGGATAGAAAATAAACCATAATGAAATATTATTTTCTATTGTTCTGATAATTATAGCACATAACACACAGGTGGGGCCAAACACTGTAATTGCAAGTGTGATTCTCAAATTTTAGTAATCAACCCATTCCCAGAGGAAGTATGGGATCCAGCACGCTGTTACAGATTTTCTTCACCTATCATTTGTGCAATTCATAAATGCTATTGATTTTGTCCTTATGAACTGAGGTTAATTATGCTGGTATGTGTGTATATCACTGAGATGTGAGGTAAGAGAAATGAGACTGATTCCACAGCTTGCACATAGTAATCATTTACACTAACTTATGCTCATGGATGACAACTCATACATTTATACCTCTTCTGCTTTGAAAATGGAGACAGGGTCTGAACCATGTGACATAATCACTTGAACATTTTAGCTAATATATTTCTATTTGACTTTAGTGAAATAAGCTAAAGAATCTGTGCTATAGGCATGTAAAAAATGCCAGAGTAACTTATGTGGAAGATTCAAGCTGAGGAAATACTAAGACAATCTGAAAGTTTCATAAACATTAACTTGTCATAAGATATGGAAATTGGCCATGTTGCTTAAAATTCAGAGAAAACTGATATTTGTTACAGATTATCACACTAATCAATTCACCTGACCATATTTTAGTACTCTGGTTGGGCATGGTTTTATTATTACTTGGAGTAGAAATCAATTTTGCAAATACTTTATTTCATGTATTTATAATGTACACATTTTTCACTTCCAGAAAATATCCAAGGTGCTTACCTTGTCAGGTAAGAAAAATAGATTAAGAAAAACTTAATGCATGTTCCTAGCACTCTAGGATGTCTATAGCCTGCTCCATACCAAGCCTTGAATATGATACATTTGAACAGCCTAGAGAGGCAAAGTCCCAATACTATGGGTCATATTTCCAATTTTTATTAAAATTGTGATTTGCCTTGGGCCTGTGAGGGTATACTTATCTGCCTAGCTTGATTATATTCTCTCTGAAGGTGGTCCAAGGTGAGAAACTTTCCACAGATGAAGAAATAACTTGGGTGGATTTGTTAGGAAGTTGGTGAATAATATCTATTGTTATTCTCAAAGTTTGCTGTATTTCTTACAGCAAATAGTGAGGTCACAGTACAGATTGGAAATAGTGTGACTAATCCTGGTAACTACTAAGCAACTTGAATAAACAGAGACAGGAAGAAGGAAGAAAGAAAGACAAGCTTATGGGGTACATATCCTGAGCCTGAGAATCTACCTATTTAGTTCACCAGCACTCACTGTTTTCCAAGAGATGATCTGATCAGAAAGGATTACATTTACTCAAGTTTCAGGAAAATGCTTACTCATTTCTTGTCCACACATCTCAGATATTATCTTAAAAGAAATAATTGGTGAAATAGACTCTAGAACAACGTAAGGGGACATTTGTCCATAGTGATTAGGCTTTACTACACTTTGAGCAAGCAGAAGCACTGACTACTTTTGCGCTGGGTGATCTTTTTAAAAGTATGTGGATAGCTGGAGGAGCCAAGACGGCTGAATAGGAACAGCTCTGGTCTACAGCCCCCAGCGTGAGCGACGCAGAAGATGGGTGATTTCTGCATTTCCATCTGAGGTACCGGGTTCATCTCACTAGGGAGCGCCAGACAGTGGGTGCAGGTCAGTGGGTGCGTGCACTGTGTGCGAGCCGAAGCAGGGCGAGGCATTGCCTCACTCAGGAAGCGCAAGGGGTCAGGGAGTTCCCTTTCCTAGTCAAAGAAAGGGGTGACAGACGGCACCTGGAAAATCGGGTCACTCCCACCCGAATACTGCACTTTTCCGACGGGCTTAAAAAACAGCGCACCAGGAGATTATATCCCGCACCTAGCTCGGAGGGCCCTACGCCCACGGAGTCTAGCTGATAGCTAGCACAGCAGTCTGAGATCAAACTGCAAGGGAGCAGCCAGGCTGGGGGAGGGGCGCCCACCATTGCCCAGGCTTGCTTAGGTAAACAAAGCAGCCAGGAAGCTCGAACTGGGTGGAGCCCACCACAGCTCAAGGAGGCCTGCCTGCCTCTGTAGCCTCCACCTCTGGGGGCAGGCACAGACAAACAAAAAGACAGCAGTAACCTCTGCAGACTTAAATGTCCCTGTCTGACAGCTTTGAAGAGAGCAGTGGTTCTCCCAGCACGCAGCTGGAGATCTGAGAACGGGCAGACTGCCTCCTCAAGTGGGTCCCTGACTCCTGACCCCCGAGCAGCCTAACTGGGAGGCACCCCCCAGCAGGGGCAGACTGACACCTCACACGGCCGGCTACTCCAACAGACCTGTAGCTGAGGGTCCTGTCTGTTAGAAAGAAAACTAACAAACAGAAAGGACATCCACACCAAAAACCCATCTGTACATCACCATCATCAAAGATCAAAAGTAGATAAAACCACAAAGATGGGGAAAAAACAGAGCAGAAAAACTGGAAACTCTAAAAAGCAGAGCGCCTTTCCTCCTCCAAAGGAACGCAGTTCCTCACCAGCAACGGAACAAAGCTGGATGGAGACTTTGACGAGCTGAGAGAAGAAGGTGTCAGACGATCAAATTACTCCGATCTACAGGAGGACATTGAAACCAAAGGCAAAGAAGTTGAAAACTTTGAAAAAAATTTAGAAGAATGTATAACTAGAATAACCAATACAGAGAAGTGCTTAAAGGAGCTGATGGAGCTGAAAACCAAGGCTCGAGAACTACGTGAAGAATGCAGAAGCCTCAGGAGCCGATGCGATCAACTGAAAGAAAGGGTATCAGCGATGGAAGATGAAATGAATGAAACGAAGCGAGAAGGGAAGTTCAGAGAAAAAAGAATAAAAAGAAACGAGCAAAGCCTCCAAGAAATATGGGACTATGTGAAAAGACCAAATCTACATCTGATTGGTGTACCTGAAAGTGACGGGGAGAATGGAACCAAGTTGGAAAACACTCTGCAGGATATTATTCAGGAGAACTTCCCCAATCTAGCAAGGCAGGCCAACGTTCAGACTCAGGAAATACAGAGAACGCCACAAAGATACTCCTCGAGAAGAGCAACTCCAACACACATAATTGTCAGATTCACCAAAGTTGAAATGAAAGAAAAAAATGTTAAGGGCAGCCAGAGAGAAAGGTCGGGTTACCCTCAAAGGGAAGCCCATCAGACTAACAGCAGATCTCTCGGCAGAAACTCTACAAGCCAGAAGAGAGTGGGGGCCAATATTCAACATTCTTAAAGAAAAGAATTCTCAACCCAGCATTTCATATCCAGCCAAACTAAGCTTCATAAGTGAAGGAGAAATAAAATACTTTATAGACGAGCAAATGCTGACAGATTTTGTCACCACCAGGCCTGCCCTAAAAGAGCTCCTGAAGGAAGTGCTAAACATGGAAAGGAACAACCGGTACCAGCCACTGCAAAATCATGCCAAAATGTAAAGACCATCAAGACTAGGAAGAAACTGCATCAACTAACGAGCAAAATCACCAGCTAACATCATAATGACAGGATCAAATTCACACATAACAATATTAACTTTAAATGTAAATGGACTAAATGTTCCAATTAAAAGACACAGACTGGCAAATTGGATAAAGAGTCAAGACCCCTCAGTGTGCTGTATTCAGGAAACCCATCTCATGTGCAGAGACACAAATAGGCTCAAAATAAAGGGATGGAGGAAGATCTACCAAGCAAATGGAAAACAAAAAAAGGCAGGGGTTGCAATCCTAGTCTCTGATAAAACAGACTTTAAACCAACAAAGATCAAAAGAGACAAAGAAGGCCATTACATAATGGTAAAGGGATCAATTCAACAAGAAGAACTAACTAACCTAAATATATATGCACCCAATACAGGAGCACCCAGATTCATAAAGCAAGTCCTGAGTGACCTACAAAGAGACTTAGACTCCCACACATTAATAATGGGAGACTTTAACACCCCACTGTCAACATTAGACAGATCAACGAGACAGAAAGTCAACAAGGATACCCAGGAATTGAACTCAGCTCTGCACCAAGTGGACCTAATAGACATCTACAGAACTCTCCACCCCAAATCAACAGAATATACATTTTTTTCAGCACCACACACCTATTCCCAAATTGACCACATACTTGGAAGTAAAGCTCTCCTCAGCAAATGTAAAAGAACAGAAATTATAACAAACTATTTCTCAGACCACAGTGCAATCAAACTAGAACTCAGGATTAAGAATCTCACTCAAAACCACTCAACTACATGGAAACTGAACAACCTGCTCCTGAATGACTACTGGGTACATAACGAAATGAAGGCAGAAACAAAGATGTTCTTTGAAACCAACGAGAACAAAGACACAACATACCAGAATCTCTGGGACACATTCAAAGCAGTGTGTAGAGGGAAATTTATAGCACTAAATGCCCACAAGAGAAAGCAGGAAAGATCCAAAATTGACACCCTAACATCACAATTAAGAGAACTAGAAAAGCAAGAGCAAACACATTCAAAAGCTAGCAGAAGGCAAGAAATAACTAAAATCAGAGCAGAACTGAAGGAAATAGAGACACAAAAACCCTTCAAAAAATTAATGAATCCAGGAGCTGGTTTTTTAAAAGGATCAACAAAATTGATAGACCGCTAGCAAGACTAATAAAGAAAAAAACAGAGAAGAATCAAATAGACGCAATAAAAAATGATAAAGGGGATATCACCACCAATCCCACAGAAATACAAACTAACATCAGAGAATACTACAAACACCTCTACGCAAATAAACTAGAAAATCTTGAAGAAATGGATAAATTCCTTGACATATACACCCTCCCAAGACTAAACCAGGAAGAAGTTTAATCTCTGAGTAGACCAATAAGAGTCTCTGAAATTGTGGCAATAATCAATAGCTTACCAACCAAAAAGAGTCCAGGACCAGATGGATTCACAGTCGAATTCCACCAGAGGTACAAGGAGGAACTGGTACCATTCCTTCTGAAACTATTCCAATCAATAGAAAAAGAGGGAATCCTCCCTAACTCATTTTATGAGGCCAGCATCATTCTGATACCAAAGCCTGGCAGAGACACAACCAAAAAAGAGAATTTTAGACCAATATCCTTGATGAACATTGAAGCAAAAATCCTCAATAAAATACTGGCAAACTGAATCCAGCAGCACATCAAAAAGCTTATCCACCATGATCAAGTGGGCTTCATCCCTGGGATGCAAGGCTGATTCAATATACACAAATCAATAAATGTAATCCAGCATAGAAACAGAACCAAAGACAGAAACCACATGATTATCTCAATAGATGCAGAAAAGGCCTTTGACAAAATTCAAGAATGTTTCATGCTTAAAACTCTCAATAAATTAGGTATTGATGGGACATATCTCAAAATAATAAGAGCTATCGATGACAAACCCACAGCCAATATCATACTGAATGGGCAAAAACTGGAAGCATTCCCTTTGAAAACTGGCACAAGACAGGGATGCCCTCTCTCACCACTCCTATTCAACATAGTGTTGGAAGTTCTGGCCAGGGCAATTAGGGAGGAGAAGGAAATAAAGGGTATTCAATTAGGAAAAGAGGAAGTCAAATTGTCCCTGTTTGCAGACGACATGATTGTATAGCTAGAAAACCATTGTCTCAGACCAAAATCTCCTTAAGCTGATAAGCAACTTCAGCAAAGTCTCAGGATACAAAATCAATGTACAAAAATCACAAGCATTCTTATACACCAACAACAGACAAACAGAGAGCCAAATCATGAGTGAACTCCCATTCACAATTGCTTCAAAGAGAATAAAATACCTAGGAATCCAATTTACAAGGGACGTGAAGGACCTCTTCAAGGAGAACTACAAACCACTGCTCAAGGAAATAAAAGAGGATACAAACAAATGGAAGAACATTCCACACTCATGCGTAGGAAGAATCAATATCGTGAAAATGGCCATACTGCCCAAGGTAATTTACAGATTCAATGCCATTCCCATCAAGCTACCAATGACTTTCTTCACAGAATTGGAAAAAACTACTTTAAAGTTCATATGGAACCAAAAAAGAGCCCGCATCGCCAAGGCAATCCTAAGCCAAAAGAAGAAAGCTGGAGGCATCACACTACCTGACTTCAAACTATACTACAAGGCTACAGTAACCAAAACAGCATGGTACTGTTACCGAAACAGAGATATAGATCAATGGAACAGAACAGAGCCCTCAGAAATAACGCCGCATATCTACAACTATCTGATCTTTGACAAACCTGACAAAAACAAGCATCGGGGAAAGGATTCCCTATTTAATAAATGGTGCTGGGAAAACTGGCTAGCCATATGTAGAAAGCTCAAACTGGATCCCTTCCTTACACCTTATACAAAAATCAATTCAAGACGGATTAAAGACTTAAACGTTAGACCTAAAACCATAAAAACCCTAGAAGAAAACCTAGGCGTTACCATTCAAGACATAGGCATGGGCAAGGACTTCATGTCTAAAACACCAAAAGCAATGGCAACAAAAGCCAAAATTGACAAATGGGACCTAATTAAACTAAAGAGCCTCTGCACAGCAAAAGAAACTACCATCAGAGTGAACAGACCACCTACAAAATGGGAGAAAATTTTCGCAACCTACTCTATCTGACAAAGGGCTAATATCCAGAATCTACAATGAACTCAAACAAATTTACAAGAAAAAAACAAACAACCCCATCAAAAAGTGGGTGAAGGACATGAACAGACACTTCTCAAAAGAAGACATTTATGCAGCCAAAAAACACATGAAAAAATGCTCACCATCACTGGCCATCAGAGAAATGCAAATCAAAACCACAGTGAGATACCATCTCACACCAGTTAGAATGGCAATCATTAAAAAGTCAGGAAACAACAGGTGCTGGAGAGGATGTGGAGAAATAGGAACACTTTTACACTGTTGGTGGGACTGTAAACTAGTTCAACCATTGTGGAAGTCAGTGTGGCGATTCCTCAGGGATCTAGAACTAAAAATACCATTTGACCCAGCCATCCCATTACTGGGTATATACCCAAAGGACTATAAATCATGCTGCTATAAAGACACATGCACACGTATGTTTATTGCGGCATTATTCACAATAGCAAAGACTTGGAACCAACCCAAATGTCCAACAATGATAGACTGGATTAAGAAAATGTGGCACATATACACCATGGAATACTATGCAGCCATAAAAAGTGATGAGTTCATGTCCTTTGTAGGGACATGGATGAAATTGGAAATCATCACTCTCAGTAAACTATCGCAAGAACAAAAAACCAAACACCGCATATTCTCACTCATAGGTGGGAATTGAACAATGAGAACACATGGACACAGGAAGGGGAACATCACACTCTGGGGACTGTTGTGGGGTGGGGGGAGTGGGGAGGGATAGCACTGGGAGATATACCTAATGCTAGATGACGAGTTAGTGGGTGCAGCGCACCAGCATGGCACATGTATACATATGTAACTAACTTGCACATTGTGCACATGTACCCTAAAACTTAAAGTATAATAATAATAATAAAAAAGTATGTGTATAGCCACCATCTCTGATAGAGGAATTGAAATAGAGGGTAGGTTTTTTTCTGTAAGTATATTAAAAATAATATCTTCTTCCAGGAAAAGGATCAGGCATACTTACCGCCCATGATAAACTATTTGGCTTCGTTAAGCTCAGAGTTTCTTTCCTATAATGCATCCCACTGCCTATGTAGATGTCATATGATCCTTTCCATATTTCACTTGGGAACTGTGGCTCAGGGAACTTATACAAATGCTGATACTGTGGGTACTGCTACTGCTATGAATAATAAATTGTCCCTTGCCTCTGATCCAGGAGTCTCCTGTCTTCTACGACGTTAACTTTCTAGCTTGCAAGTAGGGTAAAATCTCAGACTTGTCATGGTTATTAAGAAACAATAGAATGTTAGACCTAAAAGGGACATTAGCGATATGTAGTCCAACATATCAACCCATAAAAGGCTCTGATAAATTCTACAGTGAGGACAGTCATTTAACGTTGATTAACTTGGTTTTGCAAAACATGTTTGTGCATAGATACATTTTTCTTTTTACATAACGCCTATTAGCATTTTTTGGATTTATTGGAGAAAATGCTGCCTTAGGCTGAAGTCCAAACTGCTTAACATGTCCTATGAAGCTGGTCTATCTCTCCTTATCTCTGTTTTATAAATGAGGAAACTGAGACCCAGAATTTATCTCTCCAAGGTCAAAGAGGTGATTAACAATACTCATGACTAAAGATAATTAAAGCATATCCAAAGGCAAACAGCGTAACTCTGAATTTGTTTATTATCTCATTTTAGACTTAACGTGCTCCATCCAGATCTCCTGGCATTTCTCCTACAATATCTGTGTGCCTGTCCCCATGCCTATTTTTGTTTCCAACCACCATGGTCTTCAGGAACAGAAGTATGAAATTCCAGCATCCTTGCCTCAGGTTGGGAGGATTCTGAGATATAACAGTCTAGCATTCCTCCGTGGAGTCCAGCAGAAGCCTACGTTCCCCAGGACTTTTGCCCAAGATTACACTCCTACTTGGCTTTCTATCACTGTCCTGCTTTACTCACTCTCTTACCAGTTTCTCCTGGGAGCACTTCCTTAATAAATCACTTGTACAGAAACCCTCATCTCCAAGTTGGCTCCTGGAGAACCTGACCCAAGATGGTAATCTAATTATTTAAGTTAATTAGACAACTCTCTGAGCTTTGAGAGAGCAGTATTTGTGTGTGTGTTGTGTGTGTGTGTGTGTGTGTGTGTGTGTGTGTGTGTATCCCTTCCCCTCCTCACCTGGAAAATCTGATGAGCGGAATTTGGGTTTCAAAAATAACAACCAATTCTTATCTCTGGCCCATGGTGACTCTATACTCAGTGTATTTTAGAAAAAAAAAAAAAAAAAAAACCACTAGGCTCAATGATTGCCACTACCAGTGGAATAAGAGTTAGAGGAGGTATGATTGACTGACTAAAGGAGGTGAGACAGCACATGCTCAATTCAGAGATATAACTGTCACTTAAAAATTATGAACTGCTTGCTGTCTTCAAGGCACTCGTAGTTTATGTAGAAATAAATGACAGAGTCCTTTCCTTCAAGCAAAATAGTATTTTTTTAAAAAAAGACAAAAGAAAACTTGCACAATGTGAAGAAGATTGTTGCCAGAGCCGAAGAAGTAGACACATTGAGGCAACATAAAATACTTTTGAAAAACAGAATTTTTTTATTCATTCATTCAAAAAATTACTAACTAAATGCCCACTGTGCATTGGGTATCAAGTACAATGCTAGGCATGGAGTCAGTGATGTGTTGGTGAATATTTAACAACCAGCTCAAAACAAGCCTGCTTTGTTGTGTTTGCCAGTTTCTGTTGTGAAAATATTCCCACCATGGCTGATTTTGAGCTACCATGGGGACATCAATGGACTCACAACATTTCTGAAAATTTAACAGTAGGCTCTTTTGAGCCAGTACAAGCCAGTTCCAGCGCAAGCTAGCTCTATCACACCACACTGCCTGAGGGTATAACAGTGAACACAACTTACTGACCAACAGAGACAGAAGCAAATAGAGTGTGCCTTGGAAAACAGAAAAAGGTAGGTGCCCCTAACTGGAACCCCTGAGTTTTAAAGGTATGGCGGCAGGCAAGGATTTTCAAAGAAAAGACAGTTATTTGGAGACCAGAGGCATGAGAAGAAATTCATCCAGTGAAGAAAGGTCTGGAAGTGAGAGAGGATGGCTCCTTTTAGGGAACTGGAAAGAGTAGGAACAGGAAGGAAAGTATGAAGAGGTGAGATTAGAGAGACAGGGAGGGATGAACTGTGACCAGCCTTGAAGGACATATGGAACAGTTTGACCTTTAGCCTAAGGTACCATTTCCTCCAGAAAGTAAGTCCACAAAATGACAATAGGCGTTATGTAAAAAGAAAAAGAAAAACCTATGCTCAAACATGCTTTGGAAATACTAGGCTAATCAATATTAAATAGTTGTCCTCTGTAGGATTTCTCAGATCCTTTCATCTGTTGACATGTTTGTGACTCTCCCAGAATGAGGTATAACATACACGATTTCCTGAAGTTATTTGAGGTTGGAATACTTCCCACTTATTTTGAGGATTATATCTCAGGAGTAGTGTGCTAGAAAACTAGTGTCCATAGAACACAGTCTGGAAAGTGTTCTAAGAACAACGGGGAGGCATTGGAAGTCATTAGGCAACCGTAACATAATCAGATAATGCTGTAGTTATAATTTCTTTCAGTTATTAGTGATTTCTTTTCAATCATGTTTTTTTTTCTATTGCCCCCCACACCTCCCCAACTGGCTTCTATCCCCAAATTGTGGGAAAAAAAAGGCATAGGAAAACTTCTAAATACATCTTAATAGTAAAAACTAAAATAGTTTCACAGGGATACTACATTACTACTAAATTTGTTAGATTTCATTGTTTTGGTTTCTGCCTTTAATGTCTCTTTTAAAAATTTCCATTATTTCTGAAAAGCAGAGAGGGTAAGACCTGGGTTTTTCTCAACATTCAAGCCTAATTTTTTTCAAAAGGGAACAATGACAAATTACAATCTGTCCATCTGTAGAAGATTATGGACTCTCAAATTTGAAGTGGAAATTGTAGCTCAGATGATCAGGTATTATATATATACTTTATAGTAATTTCATTCTACATAAGGAATGAAGGGGACAGGGGTTGAGGTAGATGAGAAAAGGAAAAAAGCGGGGAGGAGGGAAAAAAGACCATTTAGCAACCTATCAGAGCTTGATGAAGCCTGATATAATTAACAAACTTGTGATATCTCTAGCAATTGTAATTCCAATTATTTGCTAGCTAAAGGCAAGTTTCACTGCTCTAAGTTAGGAAATCATGTAAATAGCCTAATTAATATAATTTGCCTTATGCTCTACTAAGAAAACAAAAACAAATATGTCATTTTTTAGAATAAATAGCATGATATAGACTAAATATTATAAATATTCAGTCAGTTTGCAGAACAAATATTGCATATTATGGATCCTTTTCAGCAATTCTATGAAGTTCAGCATGATTTAATGAAATTATGATGGTTGTTTGAGTTTTACAACTACATTACAATAAAAAGAAAGCACTTCCTTTGCATGGATAAGAGAAAGATCCTTGACGAAATAGCATGGTAGAGCTTATAATGCTGTGGGCCTGAGGAGACAAAGATTTTATTCTTTTTCTTGCCAGTTCTCTAATCTCAAGAGAACCCCAAAGTTAAAATAAATCTTTTAAAAATTCCATATGCCAGTGGTGTAAAGACACAATAAATAATTCTTTGCCATTTCATCATGTAGAACTGAGAGATAAAGCTGTTTGTAAAACCCTAAAAGACTTACAAATCATTTCAACAGGTTGTCATATGTTAATGTCAACAATAATTTAATCACCACACGTAAAATGCATAATACAATGGTTGGCCTGCATTGCTTTTTGTCTGGGGACTCCACCTCACCCCTTTATATTTAATCATTTGCCCTCTGTCCTATTCTCAAGTATTTACCCCTCAAGAACAAGCTAAGGCCATTACCATTAAGAAGGAGAGAGAAGGAACGAGGATGGCTGAGTTACTAAACAAGTATTTATTGAGGTTCTATATTCCCAGCACTATACTAGGCACTGCAAAGTAAGAAAAAAAAAAAAAGCCAGACATGACTCTTACCCTGAAGAATTTTACTACATATTTGGATCATCAAAATTCTCATTTATGAGTTAATTGCAGATCAACTAAATGCTATGTATATATGACATTAACCTGAAGGGTAAAAGCCAATAGTCAAGAAATGAGAGATCCACTAATTCGGTAGAGTGGTAACAAAAGACTTGACAATGGACAAGCTAAAGGTTAAGCAAAGTCTTGGGGTATGTTTAGGATATGGAGTGGTAACAATGAGAGAGCACTGTAACCAAGGAGGGATTTGGCATAAGGAAAGGCACAGAAATGTGTCCGTGTGTGTGAGAGAAAAGGTAAAACTGATACCAGAAGTGATCATGTCTACCAGAGTGGAGTTGAGTAAGATTATTAAAGGTTTAGTAAGCCCAGAAAAGGCGCTGGGTTATAATGATGTAGAAAACAGAGAAGTTCCTAGGCCAGAAAAATGATAGGATTGAACCAACAAGATAAACAAGAGAGAAAACAAAGGAAACAGTTTCAAAATTTGGATTAGAGCACAGAAAAGAGTGGAGTCATAGTCAAGAAGGGTATTTTAGTAAGTGATAAGTGAAGTGATGAGCAACTGAACAAAGGCAAGGTAAGTAAAAATGAACAAGGAGGGGCCAAACAAAAAGACATAGCAAATAAAGAGAAATATCAAACCATCTTTTATTGGTTTTTTTAATGACAATTTAAATACAGGAGCCAAAGGAGAAGGAAGAGTTAAAGAGGACCTCAAGGCTTTTAGCTATGACTAGAAGTAATGGTACAACTGAGATAAAATTATGTGATGAGTTCTGATTTATACATGGAATTGAACCATAAGTAGGACAATATTTTATAAGTATTTTGGAGAGTCATTAGCACAGAACTGATTGAAGCAGGACATTTAGACCACCACTATTTTGATATAGATGTCAAAATAGCATTTTCTTGAATACAAAAGCCATGAAAGTTAATGTGGTGAAGACTGCCAGACTCCATTTACCTTTCCTTCCATGGAAATAGACCTGTAGCCTGACATATATATGGCTGGTGTGGTAAACAGAATAATGGCCCCCCAATGATGCCCCCATCCTAATCTCCAGAATTTGTGAATATGTAGGCTCCATGGCAAGAGGAGATTAAGGCTGCAAATGGAATTAAGGTTGTTAATCAGTTGACTTTAAAACAGGAAAATTATCTTGGATTGTCTGGGTGAGCCCAGTGTAATCAGAATGTCCTGTAAAATGGAAGAGGGCAGCAGAAGAGGTCAGTCAGAGACATTTGAAAATGCTATGCTGCCAGCTTTGAAGATAGAGGAAGAGGCCATAAGTCAAGAAATGCAGGCAGTTTCTAGAGCTGAAAGAGTCAAGGAAATGGATTCTTCCCTGGTGCCTGCAGAAGGAATACAGCTCTACCAACACTTTGATTTTAGCCCACTGAGACCCATTTCAGACTTCTGGCCTCCAGAAATGTAAGATAATGCCTTTGTATTGTTTCAAGTCACCAAGTTTGTGGTAATTTGTTACAGCAGCAATAGGAAACTAATACAACTGGTCAGATATACTATACAGACATACTATATTTCTTGTCCATTCTTGCAGTCAGGTATGACCATTTGACTAACTTTTCACCAAAAAAAATGACAGAGATAGCAATGTGCATGGTATTCAGGCCAGAGCCGTTAAGATAATGAGCCTGCTTCCTCCTTCACAGTCCCTTTCACCATCCAGTAAAATAAACCAAAGACATGACTGCAACTATGTTTTGAACATGCAGTAAAGACAATACCCAAGGATACCGTGAAGAAAATGGAAAGAAACTGGACTTCTAAGTTATGCTATGCAAGACAACCTTTCACTGATCTTAAACATGGACTGTTACATGAGAGAGAACTAAACTTGCATCTTGTTTGAGCCACTGTATTTTGGAGTCTTTATGTTATAGCAACTAGTATGACCCTAAACAATACAGAAGATGATTTCCCTGAAAGAAGGAATGTGTATGTGGTAGAGTTGCAAGGATTGAGAGGAGAGTGCAATGTTACAACATTTATGAGTAGCAAACTTTCAAGAAGAAGATCATGATTAATAATTGTAAATGCAGGCCGGGCATGGTGGCTCACGCCTGCAATCCCAGCACTTTGGGAGGCCGAGGCAGGTGGATCACAAGGTCGGGAGTTCAAGACCAGCCTGGCCAACATGGTGAAACTCTGTCTCTACTAAAAATACAACAATTAGCCGGGAGTGGTGGCATACACCTGTAGTCCCAGCTACTTGGAGTCTGAGGCAGGAGAATCGCTTGAGCCCGGGAGGTGGAGGTTGCAGTGAGCCAAGATCATACCACTGCACTCCAGCCTGGGCAACAGAGCTAGACTCTGTCTCTAATAGTAATAATAATAATAATAATAATAATAATAATAATAATAATTGTAAATACACCAGAAAGATGAAGGAGAACACTTAATAGGGGGTGGGGAACCCTTGGTATGGATTAGTGAGAGTCACCCTGGTTCCCTCTCATTTGTCCTTGTCCATCTATTCCTATGAGTTTACATACCATCTATATACATATAACTCCCAAATGTATGTCTTCAGACTAGGTCACCTTTTTAACTTATTTGGTATTTCCATTTGGATATTTCATATAGGCATCTCAAACTTAACAGATCAAAAAATGGACACTTGAGTAACCCTATATCCTTCAGAAAACAAAACACAAAACAAACAAACAAAAAACAAACATTGCTCTTCTGATTGCCTCATCTCAGTAAAAGCACCTAGTTCCCCCAGTTGTCCAAGCTTGAAAACCGAGAATTTCATCTTCTCCTTAACCTTCCACATCTGATCCATTAATCCAATACCAAATCCTGTCAATTCCACATTGAAATATGCCTCAGATTTTACCCTGGTCAAATACACTATCACTTCTTGCCTGAAATTATGTAGTATCTTAACAATTGTACCCGTCCAATCCATCTGTAGCCACATTATAAAACTGTAAATGATATTTCATCACTCCTTTTTAACCTGAAACAGATTCCTATCACACTTGAGGAGTAAATATAAAATTATTAATGTGGCCTTAAGCAACCCTGCATACTACTTCTCAAGTTTACTTTTCCAGCTTTTTTTTTCCTCGTAACTTTTCCCCTTGCTTTTTTTGCTGTGGCTGTATAGAATGTCTCTCAAAGTTTTTAATGTAGCAATTATTTTCTTCCTCAGGGGTTTAACATATTTTTTTTCACTGTCTAGAACCTCCTCTTCTACTCTATTCTCTATCTAACTCTTCTCATCCTTCAGGCCTTGGTCTGAACATGGGTTTTTCAGATAGACATTCCTTATTCCCCAATAAAAATGAAGTGATCACTGTTATTCTCTTAATAGAGTCATTATTTTCCTTTATGGCACTTGTCAAATATTCTTATTTTTGTGACCCTTTGGTTTCTATATGTCTCTACAGTTTCTATGTCTATGTAAACAGAAATTATATTTGTTCTCTCTACTACTCTATAAACAGCTCCTAATTTGTAATATGCCTGACATGTAATATGTGCTCTGTAAATATTTGAGGATGTTGGTGACTTTGGGGAAAATACTCTCCATTTGAGTGGTAGAAGCAAGAACTCAGACTTCATAGCTTTAAGAAGAAAGTTGACAAATAGGAAGAGCTGTTAGAATTGGGCGATAGATGAGGAAGGAAATAAGAAAAAAAGAGATGAGATTGGTTCAGGAAAAGCATTTATGATTGCCTTGAATTAGCCCTATTTCTGCTCTTGACCATTAGACAATTGGCATATATGAAACTCCTACATTTCACAAATACTGGCATTGATTACCATTAGAAACTGTTTGTGTCTTGACATTAATTGCTCTGTTAATAGAAATGTTCCTTGATTTCTAGGACCTAACAACCATAGGAAGAAAAAAAATGGTGGGAAAGACATTTAAATAAAAATGAACATACAAGTAGAAGTAGGAATAATATCTCTAGAAATGATAGTACACAGTAAAGACTTAAGTTTACTGCTAACATTAAGTTTTGCTGGGTCACAAAAACGAAACAAAACCAGAAATCCCTAAATGGCCAATTGTAAGGGGACTTCGTGACAGTGTGAAAGAGCAGAAAGTGGCATGAACTACAAAATAAATGACTATGAGATAATATGCATATAAAAATATAGTCCTAACTATACATCATGGAGTGCAATTATCAACAGGAGAGATTTTATAGACATTTTTCACAGAAGAGAACTTTATCTTGCATGCATAATTTCTCCTGTCCACTACTCCTACTCTTCCAACTATCAGCAAAAAGCATGTCTCATCCAGACCAGCTATTATATTTCCATGATATAAATCAAAGAATAGGCAAAGAATGACAAGGAGACAGGATAAAAAAATCTGCAGAAGAAGGAAAGAACTAAGTGAAAGAGGTTCACTGAATCTGTGAAGAGGTGGGAGAGCAGATAGGACTTAGAGTCGCCGGGCACGGTGGCTCACGCCTGTAATCCCAGCATTTTGGGAGGCCGAGGCGGGTAGATCACGAGGTCAGGAGATCGAGACCATCCTGGTTAACATGATGAAACCCCGTCTCTACTAAAAATACAAAAAAAAAAATTAGCCAGGCGTGATGGTGGGCGCCTGTAGTCCCAGCTACTTGGGAGCCTGAGGCAGGAGAATGGCGTGAACCCGGGAGGCGGATCTTGCAGTGAGCCGAGATCGCGCCACGGCACTCCAGCCTGGGTGACAGAGCGAGACTCCATCTCAAAAAAAAAAAGGACTTAGAGGCTTTGCGGGCTGGAGAGGGAGGATTGGGGTGGGAGAAATATATGGTTTCTAAAGAGTGTGGTGTATGATAAATTGAGGGGATAGAAATAGGACATGCGATGCATTGCTTGAGTTTATGAATTTTTTGATTTTGAAGTGTGACTTTTGGCTATGCCACCACTCAGGACTAAAACACGTGAGTTATATCTTTATTAGGGTTCCATAAATTTGGCTATCATCACTAAATGGACATGTTCCAGAAAAAAGAACTATGAATATCATCGACTCTTCCCTGAAAACTCTGACCAAATCTGCTGCATTTGTTGAATGAAATGATGACGTGACTATATCTCAATCACTGTATGTAGTTGTGATCATCCCAAATGAAGAGAGAAAATCTGGAAAGAAAACTGAGAAAGACCATGGGGATTGGCTATGGACTGAATGTTTGTGTTCCCCCAAAATTCATATGTTAAAGCTCTAATCTCCAATGTGATAGTATTTGAAAGTGAGACCTTTGGGAGATGATTAGGTCATGAAGGTAAAGCCCTCATGAATGGAATTAGTGCCTTTATAGGAAGAGACAAGAGAAAGATGATCTCTGTCTGCCTTGTGAGAATACAAGAAGAAGGTGGCAAGAAGGTAGCCATCCACAAAACTGGAAGGGGCCCTTATCAAGAACTGAATCAGCTGGCACCTTGATCTTGGACTTCCAAATTCCACAACTCAAATAAATAAAAGTTTATTGTTTAGACCTCCTCATCTATGGTATTTTATTATAGCAGCCAAACTCACTAAGACAGGATTCAAGTATAGGGTGACTGCTTGGGAATGACTGACTTTTTTAAGTTTTCTCTCAAACTCTAAGAGTCTATGAGTTATTAATAAGAAGATAGATTACATAAAGTTAAATAATATGTACATGTATACATAAATACAAATATGTAAATAGTTTTTCCAATTTGGAAAGATACAGATGAGTGATGGAGAATATGCTCTGTGTCTATCAGTGTGTATTAATGGTTGGACATAGACTTGATAACAATGTATAGAATGTGAGAACTGATCAATGCCTTAAAAATGCCTTGAAGTTACATTTCAGCGGTTTCAAGGCAAACCGCTACTATCAAAAAGCACAACATGGAGGCAGTTATACTATTATCTTGAGAGAATGGAGACAGTGGCTGTCTGGAAAAATTTGGAAGGTGGGTTCAATCTTGGAAAGGTTGAACAGTTTGGGGATTCAGAGTTGGGACAAGTCAGGATATATAGAGATTCCAGGCCTTTAGAGGCCAACAAGCATGACTATTGCACCTCTTCTCCCCATCACTGTTTTTTCCACTAGCTACAAGTAAACAGTGAAAAAATCTTGAGTTAGAAAGTGAAGAAAGTGGCTGCGCGCAGTGGCTCACGCCTGTAATCCCAGCACTTTGGGAGGCCGAGGCGGGTGGATCACTTGAGGTCAGTGTTCCAGACCAGCCTGGCCAACAAGGTGAAACCTTGTCTCTACTAAAAATACAAAAATCAGCTGGGCGTGTTGGTGGGTGCCTGTAATCCCAGCTACTCGGGAGGCTGAGGCAGGAGAATCGCTTGAACCCAGGAGGCGGCCATTGCAGTAAGCCGAGATCGTGCCACTGCACTTCAGCCTGGCGACAGAGTGAGACCCCATCTCGGAAAACAAACAAACAAACAAAAGAAAGTGAAGAAACTAAAAACATAGATAAGGCTCAAATAGTCTGGATCAATCATTTAATATGCACTTATCAAGTATCTCTTGGGGCACAGCTATGATTCAGGGTATTCTGGGGGAACAGATTTAAAAGACACAGAGACATATTTCTTTCTTTAAGGAATCTGGAGGCTAAGTAAATATATTAAATTTGTACTAACACAAGATAATGTACTGTGTAGCACAGCAAGTATAAAAGTTCTCTCAGGAAAATCAGTGTAATGTAGAGCAAATAGTAGTCATTTGCATTCTATGGACAATATGCAGTCACTGATGGTTTTGAGCACTGAAATAAAGTGCACGATGTGGCATTTTAGGAATGCAGAATGTTTATGAGGTCAGAAAAACAAGAAGGCAGCAAGGTAATTATTGCAGTAGTTTAAAATTCAGTGATTTTACAAAACATACTACATTAGTAGACAGTAAATACATAAAAATCCATTTCCCAGTTAGTGATACATTGCTTTTAAAGGTTCAATAGTATTTAGGTAAACTTTTAGTTGAAACGGCTATAATCATTAAAGTAAAATAATATATATCTCTAATATATGACGATTCACATTGACATATGAAATCCATATGCATAGGCAGAAGAAAATTCAAAGAATATGGCTTTGCTCATATTTTATTAAAAATTTGTATTTTAAACTATGTTTTACATTTATGTTTTTATAACTAGAATATAAGGATTTAAAATAAAGAGAGGGATACTGATATTGTACTTTTTTCAGTGAAAACCACCACAAGGGAAATTCTGTAAGCATTTCAATATAATATTCACCCTTGTAACCAAAGTGAATTATATGGAGGAGCTTAATAAGGATTTGTTGATTTAATTGGATTATAAGGAATTATGCATATTCTATCACAATTATAGTTTCTAGCTGATAAGAACAAAAGGAGATATGGTATGTAGGGTATGGTTGAGAGGACTTTGAGGCATGTTGAATATTTGAAAGAATCATTTGACTAAGTTATAACATACTTTGCATACATATTAACAAAATATTATTTTCAAATAAAATATCAAAGTGAAGTGGCTAAAAAGGGAAGATTTTAAAAAGATCTAAAGAATTACTTTGTCAGCCAGGTGCAGTGGCTCACGCCTGTAATCCCAGCACTTTGGGAGGCCTAGGTGGGCGTATCACGTAAGCCCAGGAGTTTGAGACCAGCCTGGGCTACGTGGTGAAACCCTATCTCTACAAACAAACAAACAAACAAACAAACCAACAAACAAAAAACAATTAGCCAGGCATGGTGGCATGTGTCTGTAGTCCCAGTTACCCCACAGACTGAGGTAGAAGGATTGCTGGAGCCCAGAGGTCAAGGTTGCAGTGAGCATGATTACCCCACTGCACTCCAGCCTGAGCAACAAAGTGAGAACCTATCTCAAAAAAGAAAAATAGCCGGGCGCGGTGGCTCACGCCTGTAATCCCAGCACTTTGGGAGTCTGAGGTGGTTAGATCACGAGGTCAGGAGATCGAGACCATCCTGGCTAACACGGTGAAACCCTGTCTCTACTAAAAATACAAAAAATTAGCCAGGCGTGGTGGCGGGCACCTGTAGTCCCAGCTACTCGGGAGGCTGAGGCAGGAGAATGGTGTGAATCCAGGAGGCAGAGGTTGCAGTGAGGCAAGATCGCGCCACTGCACTCCAGCCTGGGCAACAGTGCTAGACTTTGTCTCAAAAAAAATAAAAAATTAAAAAATAAAAATAATTTTCTCACAACTGTACAACTATTAATGTTGTACATATTAATAAATAAGATAGTAATTAAAATTAGTGAAATAAATTAGAGTAAAACCTTCATGAAAAGCTTATTTTTTTTTTTTTAACAGTAAGCATTTATTTCTCACAATTCTAAAGACTAGGAAGTCCAAGAAGAAGGCACCAGAAGATCTGGTGTCTAGAGAGAGCCTGATTTCTGGCTTGTAAACAACTGCCTTCTCTTGTAGCAGAGAGAGAGAAGAAGCAAGCTCTCTCATGTCTCTTCTTATCCTCATAATCCCACTGATCTGTCATGAGAGCTCAAATATCAATACCTAATTACCTCATATAGGCTCTATCTCCAAATACCATTATATTGGCAACTGGGGTTTCATTTTTTAACTTTTATTTTAGGTTTAGGGGTTCATGTGAAGGTTTGTTACATAGGTAATCACGTGTCACAGGGGTTTGTTGTACATATTATTTCATCACCCAAGTATTAAGCCCAGTACCCAATAGTTATCTTTTCTGCTCCTCTCCATTCTCCCATGCTCCCCCATCAAGTAGATCTCAGTGTCTATTGTTTTATTCTTTGTGTCCATAAGTTCTTATTTAGCACCCACTTATAAGTGTGAACAAGTGGTATTTCATTTTCTGTGCCTCAACTAGTTTGCTAAGGGTAATAGCTCCATCCATGTTCCTATAAAAGACATGATCTCGGGATTTTTTAGGGATGCACAGTATTCCAAGGTGTATATGTATCACATTTTCTTTTTTTTTCTTTTTTTTTTTTTAGTATCTAAATGAATATTATTTCTTTTTTTCCTCCTTCAACTTTTAAGTTCTGGGGTACATGTGTAGGGTGTGCAGATTTGTTACATATGTAAATGTGTGCCATGATGGTTTGCTGCCTAGGTATTAAGCTCAGCATGCATTAGCCATTTTTCCTGATGTTCTCCCTCCCTCCAGCCCCCAACAACAGGCCCGAGTGTGTGTTGCTCTCCCAGTGTCCATGTGTTCTCATCGTTCAGCTCCCACTTATAAGCGCAAGCATGCGGTGTGTGGTTTTCTGTTCCTGCGGTAGTTGGCTGAGGATAATGGCTTCCAGCTCCATTTATGTCCCTGCAAAGGACATGATCTCATTCCTTTTTATGGCTGAACAGTATCCCATCATGTATATGTACCAAATTTTCTTTACCCAGTCTATCATTAATGGGCATTTAGGTTGATTCCATGTCTCTGCTATTGTGAACAGTGCTGCAATGAGCATATGCATTTGTGTATCTTTATAAAAAAAATTTATATTCCTTTGGGTATATACCCAGGTAATGAGATTGCTGGGTCAAATGGTATTTCTGGTTCTAGATCTTTGAGGAATTGCCACACTGTCTTCCACAATGGTTGAACTAATTTACATTTCCACCAACAGTGTAAAAGCATTCCTATTTCTCCACAGCATCGTCAGCATCTATTGTTCCTGTACTTTTTAGTAATTGCCATTCTGACTGGTGTGAGATGGTACCTCATTGTGGTTTTGATTAGCATTTCTCTAATAATCACTGATGTTGAGCATTTTTTCATATGTGCGTTGGTCACATGAATGTCTTCTTTTGAGAAGTGCCTATTCATATCATTTGTCCATTTTTTAACAGGGTTGGTTGTTTTATTCTCACAAATTTGTTTAAGATCCTTGTAGACTCTGGATATTAGAACTTTGAGAGATGAATAGAGCGCAAAATTTTTCTCCCACTCTGCAGGTTGTCTGTTTGCTCTGATGATAGTTTCTTTTGCTGTGCAGAAGCTCTTTAGTTTAATTAGATCTCATTTGTCAATCTTTGCTTTTGTTGCAATTGCTTTTGGCATTTTTATCATGAAATCTTTGCCCATGCCTATGTCCTGTATGGTATTGTCTAGATTTTCATCTAGGGTTTTCATAGTTTGAGTTTTTACATTTAAGTCTTTAATCCACCTTGAGTTAATTTTTGTATAAGGTATAAGGAAGGGGTCTAGTTTCAATTTTCTGCATATGGCTAGCCAGTTCTCCCAGCACCATTTATTAAATAGGGAATCCTTTCCCCATTGCTTATTTTTGCCAGGTTTGTCAAAGATCAGATGGTTGTAGGTGTGTGGTCTTATTTCTGAGTTCTCTATTCTGTTGCATTGGTCTCTGTGTCTGTTTTTGTACCAGTACCATGCTGTTTTGGTTACTATAGCCTTGTAGGATAGTTTTGAGTTGGTAGCAGGACTCCTCCAGCTTTGTTCTTTTTGCTTAGGATCATCTTGACTATACAGGCCCATTTGGTTTCATATGAATTTTAAAATATTTTTTTCTAATTCTGTGAAGAATGTCAATGGTAGCTTGATGGGGATAGCATTGAATCTATAAATTACTTTGGGCAGTATGGCCATTTTCATGATATTGATTCTTCCTGTCCATGAGCATGGAATGTTTTTCCATTTGTTTGCGTCCTCTCTGATTTCCTTGAGCAGTGGTTTATAGTTCTCCTTGAAGAGGCCCTTCACTTCCCTTGTTGTTAGCTATATTCCTAGGTATCTTATTCTCTTTATAGCAATTGTGAATGACAGTTCATTCATGATTTTGCTCTTTGCTTGTCTACTGTTGGTGTATAGGAATACTTGTTATCTTTTCACATTGGTTTTGTATTCCGAGACTTTGCTGAAGTTGCTTATAAGCTTAAGAAGCTTTTGGGCTAAGATGATAGGGTTTTCTAGATATAGGATCATCTCATCTGCAAACAAAGATAATTTGACTTCCTCTCTCCCTATTTGAATATCCTTTATTTCTTTCTCTTGCCTGATTGTCCCGGCCAGAATTTCCAATACTATGTTTAATAGGAGTGGTGAGAGAGGGCATACTTGTCTTGTCCTAGTTTTCAAGGGGATTGCTTCCAGTTTTTGCCCATTCTATAGTAAATAATAACTTAATTGTACATTTATAATTAAGAGTGTAATTGGATTGTTTGTAACTCACAGAATAAATGTTTGAGGGGATGGGTACCCCATTCTCATGATGTTATTTCACTTTACATGCTTGTATCAAAACATCTAAAGAACCCCACAGATATATACACCTACTCTGTACCCACAAAAATAAAAAAAACACAATTAGAAATGACAAAGATGATATTATAAATTATCCCATAGAAATGTAACAGATCTTCAGAGAATAATTTGAACAATTCTATTCACATAAATTAGAAAATCCAGAGGACATGAGCAAATTCCTGAAATCACACAATGTCTCAATATTGAATCAAGAAGAGATCAAAACCTTGAATAGACCAATATCCTGCTCTGAGATTGAATCAGTAATTTGAAAACCTACCAACAAAAAACAGCCCTGGACCACATGAATTCACAGCTGAATTGTATCAGACATGCAAAGAAGAACTGGTACCAATCCTATTGAACTATTCCAAAAATCAAGGAGAAGGGGCTTCTCCCTAACTCCTTCTATGAAGCCATCAGCAGTCTGAAACAAAAATCTGACAGAGACACAACAATAAAAGAAAACTTCAGGCTGCTATCCCTATTGAACATAGACACAAAAATCCTCAGCAAAATACTGGCAAACTATATCCAGCAGCACATCAAAAAGTAAATACATCATGATCAAGTAGGCTTTATTTGTGAGATCTAAGGCTCTTTCTAACATATGCAAATCAATAAGTGTGATTCACTGCATAAAAGTATCAAAAGCAAAAACCATATGATCATTGCAATAGATGCAGAAAAAGCTTTCAATAAAATCCAACATCTCTTCACCATAAAAACTCTCTGTAGACTAGGCATCAAAATAACATACCTCAAAATAATAAGCGCTATCTATGGCAAACCCACAGCCAACATCACACCGGATAGGTAAAAACTGGAACCATTTACTTGAGAACTGTATCAAGACAAGGTTTTTCTCTCTTACCACTCCTATTCAACATAGTACTGGAAGTTTTAGCCAGAGCAATCAGGCAAGAGAAAGAAATAAAAAGCATCCAAATAGGAAAAAAAGAAGTCAAACTATCTCTCTTTCCTGATGATATGATTCTATACCTAGGAAACTCTAAAGACGACTCTTCCAAAAGGATCCAAGAACTGATAAACAACTTTACTAAAGTTTCAGGATACAAAATCAATGTACAAAAATCAGTAGCATATCTATACCCCAATAACATCAAGGCTGAGAGTCAAGTCAAATCAATAACATAATCTTATTTACAATAGCCACAAAGAAAATGAAATACCTAGAAATACAGCACTAGAGGTACAGGAAAATCTCTACAAGGAGAACTGCAAATCACTGCGGAAAGAAATCACAGACCACACAGATAAAAAGAAAAACATTCCATCCTGATTGATTGGAAAAATCAATGTCATTAAAATGGCCATACTGCCAAAAGCTATTTACAGAATTGATGGTATTCCAATTAAACTACCAATGTCATTCTTCAAATAATTAGAAACGACTACTGTAAAATTCATATAGAACCAAAAAAGAGCCTGAATAGCCAAAGCAATCCTAAGCAAAAAGAACAAAGCTGGAGGCATCATACTACCCAACTTCAAACTATAGTGTAAGACTAGAGTAATCAAAACAGCATGGTACTAGTACAAAAACAGATACATAGACCAATGGAACAGGATAGAAAATCCAATAATAAAGCTTCACATCTACAGCCATTTGATCTTCGACAAGGCAGACAAAAGCAATGGCAAAAGGACGCCCTGTTCCATATATGGTGCTGTGATAACTGGCTAGCCACATGCAGAAGAAAGAAATTGGACCACTCCTTTTCACCATATACAAAAATTAACTGTAGATGAATTATGAATTTAAATGTAAGGCCTCATACTCTAAAAATCCTAGAAGAAAACCTAAGAAATACCCTGTCTACATCAACCTGGGCAAAAAAATTTTGGCTAAGTACCATTGCAACAAAATAAAAAATGTGGGAATTAATTAAGTTAAATAACTTTTGCACAGCAAAAGTAACTATCAACAGAGTGACCAGACAATCCATAGAATGGGAGAAAATATTCACAAACTATGCATCTCACAAAGGTCTAATATCCAGAATCTATAAGGAAATTAAATTAACAAACAAAAAACAAACAACTCCATTAAAATGTCGGCAAAGGACATGAACAGACACTTCTCAAAAGAAGACATACAAGCAGCTGACAATCATTTGAAAAAATGCTCAACATTACTAATTATCGGAGAAATGGAAATCAAAACCACAATGAGATACCATCTCATAACAGTCAGAATGGCTATTATAAAAAGTAAAAAACAACCAATGCTGGCAATGAAGCAGGGAAAAGAGAACACTTATACATTGTTGGTGGGAATGTAAATTAGTTCAGCCACTGCAGAAATCGGTTTGGAGGTTTCTCAATAAAAGAGAAGTATCATTTGACCCAGCAATCACATTGCTAGGTATATTTCCGAAAGAAAATAAATTATTCTACCAAAAGGACATATGCAATCATATGTTGATTGCAGCACTATTCACAATAGCAAAGACATGAAATCAATCTAGGTGCTCATCAATGTTGGATTGGATAAAGAAAATGTGGTACATACACACCATGGAATACTATGCAGTCATTAAAAAAAGACAACTCATGTTCTTTGTAGCAACATGGTTGCAAGTAGAGGCCACTGTCCTAAGTGAATTCACACAGGAACAGCAAAGAAAATACCACATGTTCTCACTTACAAGTGGGAGCTAAACATTGAGCACATATGGAAATAAAGATGACAAGAGTAGACACTGGGGACTACCTGATGTGGGAAGGAGGGAGGGGAACATGGGGTGAAAAACTACCTATAGGGTACTATGCTTAGCACCTGGGTGATGGATCCGTACCCCAAACCTTAGCATCATGTAATATACTCATGTAAAAAATCTGCTCATGTACTTCCTGTATCTAAAATAAAATTGAAACAACAAAAGCAATAATTACAGAAGATAGTCATCTCAAGGGAGAAAGTTACAACTAGGCATATATCCCTTCACGTATCTACAAATTCTCAGGTAAATTCTGACTTCAAAATTTTTATCACAAAGGACAATAACAGAAACAGAGAGAAGAAAGGGATTTACTCTCATATGACATGTAGAATTTATGGCATTAGCAGTGAGAAAAACAGAAATAAAGACTTAAAATATGAGGTACAGTTGGCACACTTTGTTCTTCACTGCCTTCGTCATGTACACGTACATAGTGTAAAACCTCATTAACACAAACTCCATTAATTTGGGATCTGTAATAATCTCAACCTACCCAATCTGAATGTACATCTGTACTATGGAGACAAACACAGGTGCACACACACACACACACACACACACAGAGCCTGATCAGCACATAAACAAGACTAAGTGAGAATATTAAAAGAATCCCCACTTTTGCTGAAGCTTTTGTGTACAACAAACATGCTAATCACAAATGATTATTTATTCACTAAAGCTAATTACAAAATTTTGTTAAGACTTGAGGCCAAGTTCTTTTTACTTCTCTCCTGAGATAATTAAACTGCTTTTATTTTAGCATTTTGTTTAACTTAGCTAGGGCTTACCCTCCAAAGAACTGATGAATTAGTCTATCAGGACTAATCTGAATGAATTTGACTATCTGGACATGTGTGCATACACTATTCCATATGGCCAAACGATAAACTCATTTGTCAGGGTTTAGGCAGAATTTTTTTTCCCTCTCTCCAATAGTGTTTCAAAGGCTAAACATCTTTTTGTGGTATTGCTTTCACGATGGAGGACTTTATATACATGAGGTTTTAAATGCACTTTATTTATTATAGGCTATGAATGCACTCTGTACCACAGGACTCCCTAACGAGAAGTTGGCTACCCCACAGTTTGGGTCTGGTGGGCCAGGGCAGCACAGTCTGCTGGCCTGTAATAGAAAATCAAACAGGTCATTTCACAGCCATCAAGCACATGCAGAGCTGCCTTACTGGTTTATATCCCTCTGTCTTTTAGGATATAAAATCATTTCTTACTTTATAAAAACATTACTCTTTCTTATATAATCATTTAATTTACATATACAGGTTACACTTAGTAAAAATATATGAACCAAAATTGCAACAAAATTCCAAAACTATAAACGACCTTTTCAGAATGCACTTTCTTTCCACCTCTCTCTTGAAAGGCTTCATTGCTTTTAGGACAGGAGATATTACTTCTGAACTCAAGATTTAAAGCATTTTCTTCAGCCCATAATAAAAGTAATAAAGCTTTTTATTGTAAAAAAGACTGTAAATATATTTAGCAATAATTTCAACAACTCAGAAGTGGTTCAATTTCTACAGTGGGAAATATGAGTCTCATGACATTTAGGTGCTACCAAGAATTTCCACTATTGATCTCTCTACCCTTGGTAATGTTGAGCTACAATTATTGTAGAGAAAGATTCACTAAAGAGAATAATGTAGCAAATTCTTTCTTAAGTCAAGTATATAAGCACAAAAGTGAGAGGGAGAGATGGGGAAATAATTTCTCCTTTTCCAAAGTTTTGGCAAAATGTCTATTTGTATAGAGAAGGAAGAAGATAGAGTTTTGAGCTGCCAACTGGATTGCAATTGAAACCAGAGCTCTAGATGAGAAATAAAATAAAAAAGCAGAGGTGTTAGACTCTTTAGGACAATGCAGTATTCACATAGTTGAGTGGTAGTCAGAAATTGCCAAGGCCTGCAACAGCCTGGTATAAGGAAAGTGGGAAGGAGTTCTCAGAGTTGAAGGAAAGGGGCTATAAAGTTATCTGGTAGTACTGGTGTTTCTTTGGCTCAAAGGCTTTGCTCCATATTTTTCTTTCTTAAAATCAAAAGTTACCAGGAGGAACTCAAAATCTTCCAAATCTAATCATTTTTCCTGTGATTTTCATTATAAATGTTCTCTGAATATAGGAAAGATGCAAGATGCATTTGGAAAGAATATCCTTTGAAAACAAACTCTAGGCATAAATTGAGTCATTGCTTAATCATGAAGGACTTTAAAAAATCCTGATTTTATAGTTATAGCTTAAGTTTTTGCTTTGTTTTAAGGCGCTTTCAAGAAACCTGAGAAAATTACTAAAGAAATTTTGGGGTTAACATTAAAAAAAATTTACTAGTTTGAAGGGACCAATTTGGATTTCCAAAATGGTTTGAAAATATGAGGTTCATCTGAATAAATTACCTTCAGTTAACTGAAGGTACTTTAGGTAACTGAAGGTCAGAGAGGTTAAGTTTTCCAGTATTAAAGAGCTATAAGACAACTTTAGTTGATTATAGAATTTATCAGAGCTTGCATTTTATATAGTTTTGAAATAACACGGCAGGCAGTATTATGCCTGAACATTTATATTCCTTGGTTGCTTGAATCTGCTTGCTTCTTCAGATCCACCTCTTCTTCTCTGTTATCAAAGCTATTATATGTCACTTCAAGCACAGATCATGATTACAATTCTAGCAGGTTTTCTAGTCTCTTTCTCGCTCTCTTTCAGAATTAAAGTGTATATCTATTATGGAAACTAATGCAATCTTTTTCAAACTTTATTTTCACCAACCTAACCCCATACTAAGGTTACTTACTGTCATGTAAGGAGGGTAACCATATATCTCAGATTGCCCAGGATGGTCCTGATTTATACATGTCATCCTGGAACAATTATTAAGTATCCTCTTTCATTCTTAAAAATTTCCAGATGTGGGTAATAAATGATATGACTTTCCTACATATAACTTATTACTTCTGGATACATTACCTTATATCTCTCAGCCACAATTACTTGGCATCTTACAAGCTAATCGACTTGCTGTTTCTCCTATGCATAACTACTGTCATGTAACTCTACCCTGCCTTCCTACACTTTGAGCCTTAATTATAATCACTCCTTTACATAGAATGTATTCATTCAACAAATGTTTGCTGAGCACCAGTTGTGTGTCTGTCACTGTTTTAAGTGCTGGAGTTAGAGCAGAAGCAGGACAGATAAGGTTTCTGCTGTCACAGAGCTTCTATAGTAGAGCATCCATTGAGCAACTGGATACATGGTGAGGACTACTGTATTTGCTCACATATTTACTCTCTTTGTTCATTGTCTTCTCTCTGATATTCCACCTTTTTGAAAAATTAATGAAGATTAGTGAAGATATGGTCAGTCCCATCTCCATGTTTCCCCTCACAGTACACAGACAGGATCTGGCAACTACAGTGATGTGAAAATTCTGTGTAGAAGCCAAAGGGCTCCCTGAAGGCTCACTGAAAAAATCAACTCACAAAAGGCAGATTCATTGAAGAAAAGACATACAACTGTATTGAAGCCCCAGAGATACATAGGAAATTGTCCATTTTTATGATTTGGTTCAACAAAGTATGGACAGCCATGCGGAAATATGATTGGACAAAAATGGTATGCTCTATTGCTAATAGCCTGAGTGGGGAAATCCAGCAAGGCCTGTCTGTCTAGATTCTTGGCCTCCCTGAGCATGCAATTCTTCCTCTGGGTATGGGGTAGGAACCTTTATGGAATGGGGTTCTTATTACCTACAGTCAAATAAGGTATATCAGATAATTTACTTATGGCCAGTATTTACACAGAAAGATGGAGGGAAAGTTAGTGTAATATTTGTAGGTTTTACGGCTGGCTTTGGGGAAAAGGGGTTCTGGTTCTATGATCCATCTTGGGGAAAAGAGATTCTAGTTTCTATGACTAGCCTTAGGGGAGAATGGGACTGAGAGACATGAAGGCAGGAGAAGGACAGATAAAAACTTTTGCTTCTGAGGCTGCTTCTGAAGCCTTCATTTTAGGGTATTGCTTTTTGAGCGGCTTAGTGTGCCAATGGGAACAGCTGCTTAGTGTGCCAATGGGAAGATCTCAGTGTGAAGCTCCAGGCTGCTAGGAGGAGCTGTATGTTAAGGATTATACTAAAAAAATATAATTCTCTTTCTGGAGTTCAAAGGAAGCAACAATATATACAGGGTTGCCACAAACATCATGCTTTGGAACATCATGGATCTAATTAAACATCATGTTCAACCCCTATTCCCACCCCTCAACACACACACACAGACATACACAGACACACACACTTATTCTTTAAGAACAAAAATCTAGATGAAAGTATTTGACTGAGGAAAGAAGCAGTATTAGGAAATCTAGATAATAAAGCAAAAACTTCTGCAACCTATGACCTTGTAACTTGGGATCAGCACTAGCACAGCAAAAGTGTGTGAGTTGAGATCAAAAATGCCATAAACGTCATCAAAAATTACACATTTCTTGTTTGCTTCATTCTGCCTATTTACATGCATTTTAGGGTGAAACTATTGGGGTGGATAAAAGAGAGAGGTAAATGGGATATATTCATTTATACCCATGCAATTTTGTAAGTTAGTTATGTTCCATGTTATATTTTGTTACTTGTTTGTTTCAACTTCAAACTCTTCAAGGGCAGGGACTATGCCTTCTAGCTTATTACTGCATTCACTCATTCTGCTAATATTGAGTGCATACTATCTGATGGGCACTTTGCTAGATGCTAGACACAGCAGTGGGTGAAAAAGACAAAAATTCCTGCCATCATTATTAACCAGAGCATTTCCCACAATGTGTCTGCCCATGAACAAAGGTCTTGACTAAACACCCCACACAAGGAATCAAGATGAAAGAAATGGTTTTGATTGCCCATTTCTTATATTTATTTCTGAGATTAAGCTGCTATTAAATATGAAAGACTAGTTGCCTTCTCATTTGTCCACCCTTGTAATATTCTTAGCTTCTCGGCAAAGTTTTATATGAGGTGGTAAGGGGCTCCACATATAGAGTGTTATTAGGCTCATTCTAATTCAATTTCCCTTTCTAAAATAGAAAGTTGTAGGAAGGAAGTGGGTGGGTCTGGGAAGATAGATAACATTTATTAAGTATTCATTTTGTTCAGATACTATGCTAAGTGCTTTATTATGTCAGCTAATAATAATACTCTTTATTTACCTCAAGGAGGTTGTCGGGCTTTAAAACATAACAACCACTTCCCAGTTTCAAGGTAACAAAAGACACTCCATGAAACAAATTCATGTGTATGTATCATCACATTTTGATAACACTAATGTGTTTTTGTAACCTTACTTACATTACTTTGTATTTATCGGGTTAACATAATTTGGAAATAAGAAATCCATTTGAAAGTGGGAACTTCTGAGACAATGAATTATTCAAAATGATACTACAAATGTGGGAGATTAACACCAAAATATTTCATTCACTTTTATCATCCTGAACAATACAGATATTCAGAATGGTAACTACAGATTATTTTCAAATTGTGAGAATAAATTGGAAATGTAGTGAATTGGAAATAGTTTATGATAATAATTGTATCATATGGCCATCTAATTAATTTTTTAGAGAAATATGAAAAATAGGAGGCATATCAGAAAATGAAGGCTTAGATTATAAAGTAATCTCACCTGCATTTACTTTACACAGGCAAGCCATGTCACCTACCTAAGCAGTCTCGCTCCCTGTCATCACTATTTTGTGTTCAACATCTCTTTCACCCTTCAGTGCCCAGAGGTCCCTTCTTCTCAATCATTGTCACACTTAGCTTTACCCTCCTAGGCCTTAGGCCTTCATGGCAAACTGAAAGGCCTCCAGGGGCTTGGCAGATACCATAATGAAGTTACACCTGGTATGAGAGACATGGGATATGGTAGGGACTATAGAAAAAGCGAGAACAAATACCCTTTTAAAAGTAGCAGCTCTCCTTCTGCACAGCAAGAGAAATAATCAGCAGAGTTAACAGACAACCCACAGAGCGGGAAAAAACATTCACAATCTATACATCCAACAAAGTAATAATATCCAGAATCTACAAAAAACTCAAATCAGGAAGAACTAAACAAACAATCCCATCAAAACATGGGCTAAGGATATGAATGGACAATTCTCAAAAGAAGATATGCAAATGGCCAACAAGCATATGGAAATGTTCAACATCATTAATTATCAGGGAAATGCAAATCCAAACCACAATGTGATACCATTTCACTCCTGCAAGAATGGCCGTAATAAAAAAAAAATCATAAAATAATAGATGTTGGCAAGGATGTGGTGAAAAGGGAACACTTTAGCATTGCTAGTGGGAATGTAAACTAGTACAACCACGAAGGAAAATAGTGTGGAGATTCCTTAAAGAATTAAAAGTAGATCTACTATTTGATCCAGCAATCCCACTACTAGGTATCTACTCAGGGGAAAGAAGTCATTATACAAAAAAGATACTTGCACAAGCATGTTTATAGCAGCACAATTTGCAATTGCAAATATATGGAACCAGCCCAAATGCCCATCAATCAACAAGTGGATAAAGAAAATGTGGTGTGTGTGTGTGTGTGTATATATGTATACACACACACACACACACACACACACACACACACCATAGACTACTACTCAGCCATAAAAAGGAACAAAATAATGGCATTCGCAGCAACCTGTATAGAATTGGAGACTATTATTTCAAGTTCAGTAACTCAGGAATGGAAAACCAAACATCATATGTTCTCAATCATAAGTGGGAGCTAAGCTATGAGGACACAAAGGCATAGGAATGACACAATGGACTCTGGGGACTCGGGGGAAAGGGTGGGAGCAGAGCAAGAGGTAAAAGACTACACATTGTGTACAGGATACACTAATCGGGAGCTGGGTGCACCAAAATCTCAGAAATCACTACAAAAGAACTTATTCATGTAACCAAACACCACCTGTTCCCCAAAAACCTATTGAAATTACAAAATAAAATTTAAAAAACTTTAAAAAGTAGCATCTCTCATGAAAGAATGCTGACCTAGGGCTTTTAGGTCTGATTTTTCAACAGAAACTAGAAATCTAAGTTTGCAAGTGAATTCTCCCAATGTTTAAATGTTAGCTACTTTCCCACCACTACTCTAGATGACTGCTTTCATCTACTTTACTCTCCATCCATCTCTACCCACCAGAAAATACAAAGTCGTCTGTCCACATGTTCTACATTTCCATTCTTCATATCCTGCTTGGTGATCCTATTTACTAATCCTTGTTAAGGTGTTTACCATTGACAGTGCTTTAATGTACCTTCAAAACTACATTTGCATTTAAACTATGGCTAATGCTTTCTTTAGCAAGGAATTGATATCTAAGGGTAGCTGGCTATTAAGATAGATAGTTGTTTTAAAGAAGGAGGTACCACGAGTCCTCTCAAATCATAAGACATATAAGTTGATTGGCTATGGTTATATGATAAGCTTTGCTCTGCTGCAGGCTAATGTTACAGGTGTGAATTGAGCTAGATTCAATTTCTAATACATTTACTCAGAATGTACTATGTGCCAGTCAGGACTTTTTACTTTATAAAAGTGCTAAATCTTTTACTTATAGATTTTAAATAAGTTACAACATTTATAACTTTTTTTCTCTGAGAAAAATGCCTTATTTTGTGGAGGGTGGAATTTTGGTAAAAAGAATGGTAGGTTTGTCTCAGTTAGCTCTGGCTACCATAAGAAAATGCCATAGACTGGGTGGCATAAACAACAGAAATATATTTTCTCACAGTTCTGGAGGCTAGCAAGGTGCTAGCATGGTCAGTTTCTGGTGATGACTCTCTTCCTGGCTTATAGACAGCTGCCTTCTCACTGATTCCTTACATGGCAAAAATAGGGGGCAGAGGAGGAGGAGGGTACAGAGGAAGGGGATACAGAGAGTGTGCATGTGCATGTGTGTATGTCTGTGGGTATGTGTGGTGTGTGCATGTGTGTATGAAAGAGAGAGAGACAGAGAGAGAGAGAGAGAGAGAGAATGAGAGCGCCTGAGCGCCCAAGCATGAAGTGCCTTATAAGGGCACTAATCCCATTAAGATGGTCTCACCTTCATGACCTCACCTAGAACCTAATTATCTCTCTAAAGCCCCATTTCTAAATATCATCACATTCAGGTTTAGTCTTCAACAAATAGTAGTACATGATATAAAAGATAGAAATCTTCATTTAAAATCTTAATTTCCCAATATGTAATAAGCTATTCATGAACACAAAAATATAATATCTGTTAATGAGCTATACTCTAATTGGTAAAAATTTTGCCATTAGAATTGTTTTCAATTGGGTTTGTTCCTAGAAAGGAATAGTAAATATGCTGGCTTTGCCTCTGTTTCTTTCATGTTCTTTCTCTTTTTTTTTTTTTTCATTAGTCTTTCTGAATCTAAGTTCATGGATGAATTTAACCAGGACACACAATAAAATCCATGGCTGAATTAAGAATCCTTTAGTCATCATAGATGCTTCCCAGCTTACCATTTTAGATATTATTGATATTTTATTTTCTATTATGTTTTTTGAATCCATAGTTAGAGAAGGATCAAGAATGAAGACAAATTAAAATTTTGACACCCCAACCTGCAATAAGAAAATTTGTCAATAGAACAGGAACTAATATTTTATGCTAATTCCCCCTCTGTCTTGGTTTGCATTCAGTATGTTCTCAAATGGTCAATTAAAAAATGTTTGGCAATTACTATGAGCCTAATTCAATGCCAGGTACCACAAAGTAAATAAAAATAGGTAAGGCACAGTGTCTGTTCTCAAGCAGTTTGAAGTCCATCTGGTGAAAGGAATTTATATGCACAAAATGCACAGAGAACCATTAAATTCTAAGATAAGTGGTGCAGAATATCAAAGCAAGAGCAGTTCTGAAAAGCATATAGTCATTTTTCATATAGAATAGTTGCCAAAATGACTAAAAATAAAGATGACTGACAATATCAAATGTTGGCAAGAATGTAGAACAACTGAACTCTCATTCATTGCTGGTGGGAGCATAAAACGGTACTAATACTTGGTGAAAGGTCTGATAGTTTCTTATAAAATTAAACATAATGGATGGACCTTGAAAAGCTTATGCTAGGTGAAATAAGCCAGACATAAAGGCCAAATATTGTATTAATATGATTCTACTTACACGAGGTACCTAGATTAGGCAAATCTATAGAGACAAAAAATAGAATAGAGGTTACAAGGAGTTGGGGGTGGGGCAATGGGGTATTTAAATAGGTGCAGTGCTTCTGTTTGGAATGATTAAAAAAAGGTTCTGGAAACAGATAGGGATGATGGTTGCACAATACTGTGATTATACCTAATGCTACTGAATTGTACACTTAAAAATGGTTAAAATGGTGAATTTTGTGTTCTGTATATTTTACCATAAAACAAATCACAGTCACAAAGAATAGAATAAAATCAGAGTGTATCATAAAAAATAACCCCCCAAACCAAAACAAAACCCTAAAATATAGCACTCCTGTTACTCAGTAATTCCAATTCTAGGTATTTATCTAAGAGAAAAAAAAATACGTCTAGACATCATGGCTACATAACCACTGCCACAATACAGACATCAAGTAATGAAAGTGTGGTGTGGCTAGGGTGGAATCAGTGGGAATGCTATTAACCTTTAAGCTATGAATTCACGGTTACCATAGCCATTACTGTATATATCTTAATAAATTTGTTTCAAGAATTTTAGGGAGGACTATACATTTTTCTTATAGAATAGTTTTACATGTACATGTATCATTTACTATAAACCTCTTTTGGTTGATACCAGGTGAGGTACTTGGTTTATATGTTCTTGACTAACATGAATGGGGAACAGGATTTAGAAGTTCATCACTCTAATCATACTCACCAGAACCCTGTCTCCAAGAGGTATGAAGCAATGTAGAGTAGGAATTGTATAATATTAAAGGATCAAAAAGAGCCTACTAATAGTGAAGAGCTGTTAGGACTTAAAGTTGGACATATTGGGACGTGTTTTAGTAAACTAGCTATCGGAATACTGTATGTTGTAGGCCACCAAACATAAAGGAACAAGTAGATTGTGAAATGACTTGAGCACATAAAAAAGACTTGGAAAGAGGCCAGAGTGGAAGTAGTAATAAGAGATTTTAACTACCCAGGGATAGACTGGCAGCATTAAGTGGAAGAGACAAGACTGAAAGATTTTTATGGCTTCAGAACATGATTACCTTTTGACTCAATCTGTATGTCATCCACTATGATGAGCATGAGGCTAAGTAACATATGGCTGAATACCTACAAACATTGAAATATGTTGTGTTTTAGTCACAGCGCTTCTAGTGGTGAATAGGAAAGGATGATAACGCTTGTTTTTTGTTTGTTTGTTTGTTTGTTTGTTTTAAGGATATTGAGCAGAAGGATTTAGAAAGTGATGATTAGAAAGGTCAGATGCAGCTTTGGACACATCTAGTATTAAGTGGGCAGCTTTGGACAAATCTAGTTTAAGAAAAACAAAGATAATTTTTACAGTTAGAAAATTTGAGAAGGGCACATACAGATGCATATGAAATTAATGAGAAAGAATACTGTAGCAACTGTGACTAAAAAAGGAAACTAGGATTAAAATAAATGTGCAATGTTTTAAAGGAAGAAAAATTAGAGGGACAGGCAAATGATTATAGATACCAAACTACTTTGCTGATTCTTTGGTTTCTTATATTTATTGAAAAGAACTGAGGTGTGCATGAGTGTGAGCAGGGGAAACACTGCATTAATGAGAATGAAAAGAATTATGAAATCTGAAGTGAATGGAGAGAGAAAGGACAAACCTCTTCTGAAGCTCACTGACTATGAGCTAAGATACAGGATCAGAGACTGAAGGAACCGTGTTTCCTAGCCTTCAAGTGGTTGGGCCTAATGAAGAGATCAATTCATCAAGTCTCAGACAAAACAAAGCAAGCCTAAGACAGGAACCCCAAGCATGGCCAAGACTAAGAAGGCAGGGACTGTTCAACTATGCCTTAGAGATTTATACTTTCTGGAAAACAGTACATTTCTTGGCAGCTCACAAATTCCACATGTATGTTGGGAAGGCTCTAAGTGTATTTGATTTGTTCAGAAACAGGTGTAATCCATCTAAAACAACTAGACCATCTATTGTAAGCTGAGAGAAAGAGAAGTGAGAAAGAAATCCTCAAAGCAAATGAATGCCAGTGCTGGCAAGAAAATCTCCCTGGTCTCATCTGTAGTTACAGCTGAGTAAGTACCAGCAATTTCTGGATACATGTGATTTCACCTGTCAAAGAAACTAAATTAGAAATCTCAGTGTCCAACTTTGCCTGACTAGTAGCTTGTAAGCTTCAGGCACTCTTTGGAGAATATTGAATTCAGAAACTGATGGAGGAATTAAAAATCATACAAAATAAACAAGTTCAAAGGTTTTATATACCTTCGAACTGCACCTATTGGATTCTGTTCACTGTCTGAAGTGTATTTTTCTCATTTTGAAAAATAATTATTCTTTTTAAAAATTAAACATGGTATAAAGGGAAGGCAACAGAACATACAAATAAAATATTCACAGATTGGAACACACAAAATATTCAGATTCAAGGTGTGTGTAGTACCAAAATAAGAAAAACAAATCCAACAAGCCTGTCCAAAAACACAGTATGATAACCAATATAATGTATTTATTTTGCTTATCATAGAAGGATTAAGTTGGAATAAAACTAAATATGAACAGTGTACTACTCTCAGTATGGATACCTGCTAAATAATTAAATTTTGCATTTTTTATCATCTGTATATTTATATTGATAAATACATTTACATTTAATAAATATAGCATCTGATAATTTATTCAGAATAATTATTCAGATAATCTGGTAATGGTAAGAGTTACTTTGCATTCATAAATGCTTTGTACTTACATACTGCAATGCTTTTTAATGGAGGAGAGCCAAGCCATCTGGGGTATATTACTTGGAAGATTGTTTCTCTATATATTACAGCTAAAATCAGTCATGGTACTACTCTTAATAGAAACAAGAATCTGTTTTCTTGACTTCCAGTACACTTCTCTGTTGAATAATATTCTAAGGTTTTATATAGAGAACCAGTAGGGAGTTTATGTTATCCTTATAACCTTAAGAAAAAAAAAATTGCTTAAAATTAGCCTTAGCTATAAGGTTAACCTGGAATTGAAAACAGAAAAGGGCTGGCATTCAGAACTGAAACACATAATTAAGAAAGTTAAATCTGTTCCTACCCACAGACCATCATTTCATAAAGAATCTTATTATTTAACTTTTAACAACAAGCAACTGTGAAAGTATTACAAGTAAATAATTTGGAGGAAATTCTTAAAGGGGTGGTAATAGGAAGTAGCAGGTTTTCTGAAATGTAAGAAAACTGATAAGTTAAATACCTCTTCTAGCTTCAGAGAATGGCTAGGTCCTGGTGCTTTGTTTAAAGTAAATAACCAGTACCTGCCTTGCACTGATGACTTTCAAAATCCTGAAAAATTATTCTACAGTCTGGAAGCAGAGAATAGGTTTGGCCAACCCAATTCCTAGGGATGTAGATTTGTGAGCAGTTCCACATGTTTCCTGCAGCAGGTATAATCTGTTCATTAATAATGGCTCTCTAACTTTCACAATTCTATAGGAGCCAAAACCAAAAATAATTACATGCCTAAACATAGGCATGCTATGCACAGGATACTAAAGAAAAATCCTGACTCGTGCCAATCAGTTTATGACTTGAGGCACAAGTTTGATTATCCTTATCTTAATATACAAAATAACAAGTGTTAGTGTTGGCTGTAAAATTATAGTAGTAACTGAAACTGCTGAGTTTTGAAAAGAATTATTTGCTTCAGTATTCAGGAAAGAAGGTAACATCTCACTTTTCGATCTATATTTCCCAAGGGAAGAGGAGAGACAAGGAATGTAATGTTACAGTGATAGATAAGTTTATGCTCTTGAACAGATAATTAGAACATCTATCTCTAAAACAGATTTGGGACCAAAAAAATGCCACGCTCAGAAAAATCCAGATGTTAAAACAAAAGAGATGACTTGGAGAATTACAACACTTTGCTAGGACAAGTTGGGTGGGTTCCGGAAATATACGTTTCTTATAGGAGTGGACGTTCCCACTCTTCCTCCTCCTCCTTGTGGAGCAAGGAATGCCTCATCTGACTGATGAAATTTGGAGAATTCTCTGGCTTCTTGGTTCTGCTGCTTCATGAAAAAGCCAGTTCAATTCACGAAGCTGGTGTTAGAAATCCCAATTGTGACTGCAAGTTAAAGGCAGTCAGATTTACCAACATCACAGGAAATACTTTGATCCCTACCTGACTCCTGTGAGGATTTCTCAGATGGTTCAAAATCTGTAAGATGGGTGGGATTGTGACTTTGGAGACCTGAAAAATGTTCCAAGTAAATAGGTGCCAGGGGTCCTGAAAGTATTCCAAGCTTCATTTCTCACAGAAAGCTTCCCCATCATCACAGTTACACTAGTCTTCAGAGGTAACCTAGTGAAGTGCTCACTGTTGGGTTTTGGAGACTCACTGCTTAGGTTTGGATGCCATCTTCACCTTTGTCACCTTGGGCAAGTCACTTAACTTCTCTAGGCCTTGATTTCCTCATCTGTGAAATAGGGAGCATAAGTAATATTACCAAGTAATTGTCCAACAAAGATAAGCAGTTTTATTCCATTTTAATACTCCTGGATATTAAATACACCTTCATATGTTTGGGGAATACAGCAATTCCAGCATTTCTAAAATGATTGCCTCATTCCTTCTAACAGATATCAAAAAGTACTACTGTTAGAAATGTGAAATTATATCATTCACATCTGACAGGCCTGGGACAAGGTATATCATCTATCCCATCCCCCTAAAAGTATATCAGTTTTCTATTGCTGCTGTTACAAATTACCAGAAACTTAGTGGCTTCCAACAACACACAGTTATTATCTTACTGTAAGTTCTGTAGGTCAGACATTTGAAATGGGTTTCACTGGGAAAAATCATGGAGTTGACAGCATTGTGTTTTTCTCTGGATCTAGGGGAAAATCTATTGCCTTTCCTTTTCCAGCTTTTAGACGCTGTCTGCATTCCTTGGCTCCTGACTTGTTCCTGCATCATCATCTTTTTCATGAGTCACACCTTCCTCTGACTTTTATCTCTCTCTTCCACTTTTAAGAACCCTTGTGATCATATTAGAACCATCAGGATAATCCTCCCATCTCAAGATCCTTAACTTAATCACATCTGCAAAGCTTCCTTTTCCATGCAACCTAATGTCATCACAGGCTCAGCAAATTTGGTAGTCATCTTCGGGGGACTGTTATTCTGCCACACATAACAGGTGAAGAAACTGAGGCCCAGGGAAGTTAAGTGACATTCTAATCTTCACACTCAGTGCATAGTTGGGACTAAAGCCCATGTTTCTTTATACAATTTTTTTATTGATACTTATTTGTACATATCTATGAGGTACATGTGCTATTTTGTTACATGCATAGAATGTGTAATAATCAGGTAGGGTATATAGGGTATCCATCACTGAAGTGTTTATCTAAGTGTTAGGAAGATTTCAAGTTCTCTCTTCCAGCTATTTTGAAACACATATACATTGTTGTTAATTATAGTCACCATACTCTGCTATTGAATATTAGAACTTATTCCTTTGATCTAACTGTATGTTTGTGCCCATTAACCAACCTCTCTTCATTACCCTTCTCCCACCCCACACACACTTTCCAACCTCTGGTATGTATTATTCTACTTTCTACCTCCACGAGAGGAACAATTTTAGCTCCCACATATGAGTGAGAACATGCAATATTTGTATTTCTGTGTCTAGCTTATTTCACTTCACTAATGACCTCCAGTTCTATCATGTTGCTGCAAATGACAGTATTTCATTCATTCTTAATGGTCAAATAATATTCCGTTGTGTATATATACCACATTTTCATGATCTTTTGATGTGTTGATGGACACAGGTTGATTCTATATCTTTGCTATTGTGAATAGTGCTGCAATAAATATGGGGGTGCAGGTATCCCTCTGATACACTGTTTTCTTTTCTATTGGATACATTCTTAGTAGTAGGATTGCTGGATCAAATGGTAGATCTGTTTTTAGTTTATTTTTTAGAAAGCTTCATACTGTTTTCCATAGTGGCTGCACTAATTTACATTTCCACCAAAAGTGTATAGGAGTTCCCTTTTCTGTGCATCCTCACCAGCATTTATTTTTTGTCTTTTTGATGATAGCCATTCCAAATAGAGTAAGATGGTATCTCACTGTGATTTTGATTTGCATTTCCTTGATGATGAATGATTTGAGCATTTCTTCATATATCTGTTGGCCATTTGTATGTCTTTTTTTTTTTTTGAGAAATGTTGACTGATGCCTTTTCCCACATTTTAATGAAAGGATGATGATTATTATTATTTTACTGTTGAAGTGTTTTAGTTCCCTGTATATTCTGGATATTGGTCACTTGTCAGAAGAATAGATTGCAAATACTTTCTTCCATACAACAGGTTGTCTCTTCACTCTGTTGTTTGCTTTGCTGTGCAGAAGTTTTTAGTTTCATATAGTTCAATTTATTTTTATTTTTGTTGTCTGTGCTTTTGAGGTCTTTGCCCAGACCAATGTCCTGAAGTGTTTTCTCTATGTTTTCTTCTAGTAGATTAATAGTTTCAGGTCATAGGTTTAAGTCTTTCATCCATTGTGTGTTGATTTTTGTATACAGTGGGAGACAGGAATCCAGTTTCATTCTTCTGCATATAGATATCCAATTTTTCCAGCACCATTTATTGAAGAACATGTCCTTTCCCCAATATATATTCTTGCCATCTCTGTCAAAAATCAGTTGGCTATAAATATATCGATTTATTTCCGGGTTCTCTATTCTCTCTATATTGGTCTGTGTTTTTATAACAGTTTCATGCTGTTTTTGTTTCTATAGCCTTGTAATATATTTTGAAGTCAGGTAGTGTGATGCCTCCAACTTTGTTCCTTTTGCTCAGGATTGCTGTGCTCTTCTTAGGTTTCATATAATATTTAGGATTGATTTTTCTAATTCTGTGAAGAAAGACATTGGTATTTTCGTAGGGACTGCACTAAATCTGTTGATTACTTTGGGCAGTATCTTCATTTTAACCATGCCGATTTTTCCAATCCATTAACATGGAATGTCTTTTCATTTGTTTGTGTCCTCTTCAATTTCTTCTTTCATCAGTGTTTTGTATTTTTCCTTATAGAAGTATTTCACATTCTTTGTTAAATTTATTCCAAGTTATTTTATTTTTTGTAGCTGTTGTAAATGGGATTGCCATCTTGATTTCTCAGTTCATTATTGGTGTATAGAAACAATACTGATTTTTTAATGTTGATTTTTGAATCCTGCAACTTTACTGAATTTATCAGATCTAGAACCCTTCTGGTGAAGTCTTTAGGTTTTCCTAGCTATAAGATATCATCTTTAAAGAAGTACAATTTAAATTCCTCTTTTCCAATTAGGAAGCCTTTTATTTCTATCTCTTGCCTAATTGCTCTGTCTAGGACTTCCAGGACTATATTGAATAGGAGCGGTAAAAGTGAGAATCCTTGTCTAGTTCCAATTCTTAGAAGAAAGGCTTTAGGTTTTCCCATTCAGTATAATGTTAGCTGTGTTACCATATACAGCCTTTATTATGTCAAGATACACTCCTTCTATGCCTATTTTGTTGAGTGATTTTTTATCATGAAGAGATGTTGAGTTTTATCAAATGATCTTTCTGCATCTATTGAGATGATTGCATGGTTTTGTTATTTATTCTGTTGATGTGATATAACATGTCTAGTGATTTCCATATGTTGAACCATCCTTGCATCACTGGGATAAATTTCACTCGATCATGGTGTATCATTTTTTGGATGTGCTGTTGTTCTGTTCAGGTTTTCTATTTCTTCCTGATTCAATGTTGGTAGGTTGTATGTGTCCAGGAATTTATCCATTTTCTTTAGGTTTTTCCAGTTTGTTAGCATATAGGTGTTTATGATAGTCACTGATGATCTTGTGTATTTCCGTGCTATCAATTGTTCCATTTCCTTTTTTGTTTCTGATTTTGGTTTTTTTGCATCTTCTCTATTTCTTGGTGGGTTTAGCTAGTGGCTTGAGATTTTTCTTTCTGGAAAAACATTTTTTTCATTCTTTGTATTTTGTTGTCTCTATTTTTAGTTCTGCTCTGATATTTACTATTCCTTTCCTTCTACTAATTTTGAATTTGGTTTATTCTTGCTTTTCTAGTTTCTTGGAGTGCATCATTAGATTGTTCACTTGAAATCTTTCTACTTTTTTGCACAATTATTGCTATGAACTTCCCTCTTAGTACTGCTGTTGCAGTATTCCATAGGTTTTGGGAAGCTTTGTTTCAATTTTGTTTCAAGAAATTGTTTTATTTTCTCAATTTCTTCCTTGACATGATGGTCATTCAAAAGCATATTGTTTCATTTCTATGCATTTGTAGAGTTTCCAAAGTTCCTCTTGATCCTGATTTCTAGTCTTATTCCATTGTGATCTGTGGAGATACTTGATATAATTTTGCTTTTAAAAAATTTGTTGAGACATGTTTTGTGGCCTAACACATAGTCTATCCTGAAGAATATTCCATGTGCTGACATGAATGTGTATTTTGTAGCTGTTGGAAGGAATGTTCTATAAATGTCTGTTATGTATATTTGATCAAATGTGCAATTTAAATCCACTATTTTATTTAATTTTCTGTCTAGATGATCTAATGCTGAGAGTGGGGTGTTGAAGTCCCCAATTATTATTGTATCACAGTCTATTTCTCCCTTTAAATCTAATAATATTTGCTTTATGTATTTGGGTGCTCTGGTGTTGCGTGCATGTATGTTTAGAATTATATCCTCCTGCTAAATTGTTCCATTTATTATTATATAAGGACCTTATCTCTTTTTACTGTTTTAAAGTGTGTTTTATCTAATATAAGTGTAACTACTCCTGGTTACTATTGGTTTCCACTTGCAGGCAATATCTTTTTCCACACCCTTACTTTCAGTCTATATGTGCTTTATAGGTAAGGTGAGGTTCTTGTAGGCAGGATATATTTGAATTTTTTTAAATCTATCCAGCCAGTCTATATCTTTTAAGTGGAAAGATTAATCTATTTACTTTCAAGGTTACTATTGATATATGAGGTCTTATTTCTGTCATTTTATGAATTGATTTCTTGGGGTTTAATACCCTTTGTTCCTTTTTCCTCTTATAATTGGGGTTTGGTGCTTTTCTTTTAAAATGGTAACATTTAAATTTTTTCTTTTTCTTATTTGTATGTTTGTTCTACCAGTGGGTTTTATACTTTTTATATTTTCATGAAGGTAAATATTGTTTTTTCACTTCCAAATGTAGGACTGGTCTAGTGCTGATGAATTCCCTCAGCTTTTGATTTTCTGTGAAGGACTTTATATCACCTTTATTTAAGAAGGCTAACTTTGCTGGGTAAAGCATCTTTGGCTGGTAGTCCTTTCCTTTCAGCAATTTGGATATGTCATTCCATTCTCTTGGCTTGTAAGGTTTCTGCAGAGAAATATGCTATTATCTGATTGAGGTTCTCCTTTAAGTCACTAAATGCTTTCCTTCTGCTATTTGTAGAAGCCTCTTTGTCTTTGACTTTTGACAGTTTTACTCTAATGTGATCTGAAGACGACCTTTTTGAACTGCATGTATTTAGGGATCTCTGTGTTTCCTCTATCAGAGTGTCTAAATATCTTGCTAGACTTGGGAAGTTTCAGCTATTATTTCATGAAATAGGTTTTTTATCTCTTTGGTTTTATCTTAGCCTTCTGGAATGCCAAAAATTCAAATACTTGGTCACTTTATGGCATCCTATATGTCATGTAGGCTTTATTCTTTTCTATTTTCTTTTGTGTCTTACTAAATTATTTCAAAAAACCTGTTTTCAAGTTCTAAAGTTCTTTCTTTTGCTTGATCTAGTTGATTGTTGAAGCTCTTGAATGTATTTTTCATTTCATTCAATGAATTCATCTGTTCCAGGATTTCTGTTTGGTTCTTTTTTTATGATACGTATCTCTTTGGTAACTTTTTCATTTATATCCTGCATTTTTTTTCTGATTTATTTGTATTATTTATCTGTGATTTATTTGTATTTATCTTTGTATCTGAGTTCCTTTAATATCTTTATTTTGAATTTTTTTTGGCTACATCTATGTTGTTGGGTAGGCATTGATCTTGGCTGTGTGCAATAGTGTAGGCTCCACATACTTTATTTGGCTAAATATCATCAGTGGCATCTGCTATTTCCTTCATGTCTTAATGTGTGGTTGTTAGTGGAGGCTGTCGTGAAGTTTTGCTGGGGGCAGGAACACTAGGTGGGCCAGTCCTCAAGCCCCAGTGATCACAGCAGTGTGCTGAGTATGACTGTTTTGGGGCCCTAGGGTAGTATGCAGGCATTGTTGTTAGCAGATCCATGCAAGTTGATTCTTGCACCAGCAGTGGGATTGCCCAGGTGCCAGCAATCATTCAGGTATGTGGGCAGGTCCTTGGGCCCCTAGGCAGCAGGCATGGCAATAGTGATGGCAGTCATGGTATCATGACTATCATGGTATCATGGTAGTGGCAGGACAACCTTCTGGCTCCTAAACAATCTGCATTGGTGTTGGCAGTGGCTGTGATGAGCTTGCAGGGCCAGGCCCTGGGCTTGCAAGTGGTGCATGTAGTTGGGTGCCAGCTGTGGTGGTAGTTTCAGGTTGGGTGGGCCTGTCTTCAAGGCCCCAAGAGGAGTGCTGAGGTGCCAACAGTGATAGACTGGACAAAACAGTCCCCAGGCTCCCGGACAACATGCTCAGACACTGGGTAGAAGGTGGGGACTCAAAGTCAGGTATGATGGACCTGTCCTCAAGCCAGCCAGCTTTTGGGTGCTGACTAAGGTGGGAAGGGATGGGGTGATCCCCAAGCTCCTGGTGGAGTGATTGGGTATGGGTGGTAGTGGCTATACTATAGCCTTGATCCTGGGGAAGGCAGAATTGCTTTCAGTGTCAGTAGCCATAGACAGACAGCTGGGGATACATGCTTTAGCCCCTGTTGTGACTGCGAGCAGTGAAGCCCAACTTTGGAGCACTTGTAAATGCACAGCAGCCCCTGTGCTGGCAAAGGGGGAGCAGGGTCACTGCCAGTGGAGCATGCTTTGGTACTCAGTGGCAGCAGTCTGCAGGTAGGGGGAGTTTGTCCTCAGGGCACATGAAAATGTGTGGTGGCCTTGCTGCCAGGGACTGTGGGGTCATTGTGAATGTGTTGTGCTTTGGCCCTGGCAGCTGCAGCCAACAGTGTCAGTGGCTGCAGGCAGGGGATGTCAATGGGGCTCTAGGGATGTGGAGATACAGAGCTGTTGAGCCCCATGGCTGAATGCAGTCTGGTTGGGGCTGGGCTTTCAAAATGGTGCTGTGCTGTAGTTGCTTAAGACTCGGGGTGTGTGGGACCCAGTGTGAGCTCCTTCTCTGGAGCAATGCCTTCATGCAGTCTCCAGGCAGCTTTCTATGTTACTCTCAGAGCCTGCAAGGGTTGAGTGGCTCTCCTATGGTTAGAATTCCAGGAGTCCACAGTGTGAATGTGAATCTTCTGGGGTCTCTTGCTTACTCTTTCTCCGCATTGGGAAGCTACTTTGGGCTCCCAGCTAATCTCAGCTGAGCAGACTGTCTTACTTCCCTCGGCTTTTTCGTTTTAGGTATTTCCTGTCACTTCTCTGTTGAGTTCTGGAGTTCTCTTAGATGATCTATTTGGACTGCGATTGTCTACTCACTGTTTTGGTTCTTCTTTGTGAAGTAGGTGAGTACCAGATGCTTCTAGCCAGCTACCTTGAGGCACCCCCTTCCCATGTTTCTTACTTTCTAGATCTCTGATCTTTCTAGTATGCTTGACTAAAAAAAAAAAATCTCACATTTGACTGTTTAGTAAATCAAGGACAGCAGTCAACATGAGGTTTATGCTATTATATACTGTTTTGACTCTTTCTTAGGGTTAATGAAAACAACTCAGGATGTTTGGAAGGGTGTACATTTTAGTTACAGAAAGGATTAGGTAGATCTATTCTACTAATTCAAGTACAAAAGGTCATAGGCTAGAGAAGAAGTGGTTATAACATAAAATCTAAGCTTGTCTAGTGTTACTACAATATGCAAATCCAATAATTGAAGAAATAGGGTTATCAAACTTAGAAGGTTAAGAGAGCAGACTCAAATGAGCTATAATGTCAACAAATTCATATTTTCTGTGTTTAGAAGAGTGTCACTTGTCCTTTGAAATGCTTGTTTTCTGAGGGACTGAGAATACTATTTCTCTTTTCATGCAACTGGAAGAAAATTCTGTGAATAATTCAAATAAAATACAGAGCATGGTCTGCATTCTTGTGGAGTTTGCAGTATAACCATTAATGCAAAAACAAAAGAAAATGAATAATTAGGGAAAAATTAAATGAAATTCACATGTGCTAATAGCTATAAGCACAATTGGTTCAGAGAAAAAGGTGGATCACTGGGCTAGAGTGGCCAGAGAAGCCTTTATGGTAGAGGTCGAATTAAATTTGGCCTTGAAATCAGGAATACAAGCTTCAAAAATATTCACATCCTTGGTCTCAGTGAATCCAATAAGAATCCAACCAAAGAAATTAAAAATGCAGCCAAATACATCTTAGCACACCTTGTAACAGTGAAAAATCCTGAATGCGTCTCAAATAGAGAAATGATCAAATAAATTATAGTAGAGGAATACATGGGAATAGTATGCAGCTATTGAAATGAAGTTTTTGAAGAACTACTCATGATTGAAAAATACTTATATTGTTGTCAATAAAAAGGATAATACACAACTTTATACTGTATTTATAAAGATCATTTCAACAAAGACTCTTTAAAAGTCAATAAAATGTATTATATTTCTAGTAGAAAAAGAGTAATACAGACACTTGCCTCAGAGACCAGAAAAGTTACAGCAGAGGTTGTCTTATTTCCAAGAAAGCACATACAGTAGCTGCTGGCTATCCAAGTTCCTCCATCCTCTCCTGAGGACTCCTTATATCAAAGAGAGCCTGTAGAAGATACCTTAAGAGTCTTATCACCACCCACTACATGAAATGGCAAGCTCAGCTAATCTAGGATAGATAATGTTGAGTTAAGGCAGGAAAAATATCAAATAGGTGAAAATACAACTGACTCTAAAATAAGTGCAAGGTGAGATTCTGGAGAACAACTCTTGCTTGGATGGCCAGGGGAAACAAAGTAGGAAAAAAGAGAAGCTGTAGAAGGGATACAGACAGGTGGAGGGGGAGGCAACTGAGAACCTGATATGGATGAGACAGCATCAATGTATTATTTGAATCATTTTCTGAGATCATTCTGAAGGTATTCTTGGTCCTGGTCAGATAGGCATAAAAGCAGCCTCCGGCCCAACAACTGAAATCCTGGGTACCTACCCAACAGAAACAAAAAGATGTGTCTGCATAAAAGCTTGCACGCTACTGTTCATAGTGGCTTTATTCATAGAAGCCAAAAAGTCAAAAAAAAAATCACAGATATTCAACTTCTGAATGAATTTTTAAAATGCAATATATCCATAAAATGGAATATTACTCAGCAATAAAAAGAAGCAATGATACATGCTATGGCATGCATGAATCTGTAAAACATTATGGTAAGTGAAAGAAGCCACATGCAACAGGTTTTATTGGATAAATCCATTTATATGATATGTCCATAATAGGCTAATCTATAGAGACAGAAAATGATTACTTAGAGGTGGGGATGGGATGGTGGTTTTGGTGGGTGGTATCAGGAATGTGAATAACTGCTTAAGGGTATGGGGTTTCTATTTGAGGTGATGGAATGTTCTAAAATTAGATCATAGTAATGGCTGTACAACTCTGTACATTTTCTAAAAATTATTGAATTATACACTTAAAATGAGCAAATTATTCAGTAGGTAAATTATACTTTTATAAAGCTATGAAAAAATAAAAATAGCTTATTAAGACCTCTCCCTGAGTCTGCATAAGTCCATGTCTATATGACCACTTGGCCTTCCACAAAGAAAATTTGAACCCTGATAATAGGTTTTTATGTCTAGTGGAACCCTCTTAGCTCCAGAGAGCCTCAGAATACAAGGGTCCCATTGGAGTGGAGTTTTCCCAGGATATATTTTATGATGGTGTGGAAGGAAATTGGCTCTGGCCTATTGGCATCATTGTATAGTTGGGCTAGAATACTTGTACAAGGTGACCTAGGTCCAACTCAAAGGGCACGAGGAAGGAGAGAGAATATGATCATTTAAGGCCCACTAGCCACAAAAGGCTTGTGGGTTACTTGGGGAGATCATCCGAAGCCAGCTACTGTTAGTGTGGCTCTTTCTGAAGCTAGCTCTGGCCAGGTGTCCTCCATGCATAGGCCTCTGTGTGGGTGGTGGTGGTGGGCAGGAGGCAGTGATGTGCGAAAGCTGGCTCCTACTTCCTTGCAATAAGCTATTCAGCACAAATCTCTTCCCAACTCCATGTTCAGTAATACCATGGTAGTAGCTTAAAATCAACCATGGTGAGTTTATATCATGAAAATTGGCAGATGCTACAAATCAAATCAATCATTTATGAATTTTTGTTTTAATAGAGTCACTCGTTAAACATTGAACCACCAATGAGGGCCAAGCATGCATCTTATGTATGTGTTCATCTGTTGGCAATGTGTCATTGGCTCCTGTATTTGAGGTTAGTGGTCTCTCCAGCTTTGTGACTGTTGGGTTGTCCACTGAAAGTCTTGAAGATGTGGGTGTAGGAAGGCTACTGACCCATGTTATCTTTAAGATTCTGGATCTAAGATTAAAGAACATGGCATTGACTAGCAGTCTGCACCCTAAGGAAAGAAAGACACACTAGGCATAGTGCAGGACTTTGAGCATCAGCAACAACTTTGTGTAAAACCCCTGGAATATCTCATCCTCCATTTACCTGCTGTTACCAAACCAAAGAAAATGGAGAAAAACTGGTTCAGTGTTCCCAATTTCCTGAATGCCTTTGATGCCCTTTATGTAGAAGCTCAGCTGCAGTTTCATAAAGAAGCATGTGGGAATGCCACTGATGTGTGGCTATAGAAGAACAAGGAGTATTCTTCTTTGTTAGGATAGAACATAAAGACTAAGTTTGCATTGTAGAAATATTGCTTAAAGTTAAAAAAGAGCACAGTGAGTTGGCAGGTGTTAACTTTCTGAAATCAAGGCCAAAGTCAAGGGTGGAATCTTCATTTGATAGGTGGGTAGAACCATTGGCAAATTCGATGTTGAGAGCTTTGGAATATTAGGTGAAAATGCCTCCAAACTTCTTTGACAATTAATAGTGTCAAAATATAAAATTTCAACAAATTTAGTTAAATGAGCTAATTTGTTTTTATTTGCAATTCATGAATTGGCTAGCATCTCATCTAAAAGTAGAGAGGCACAATGCTGGGCATGAAATAACAGTCAGTTTTCATAAGGTAGCTTGAGCAGGAGCAAGGAAACAGCATAATACAAAAAGGGGATTGGTTAACATGAGATTACTCCAGGTTACTTTTCTTGTAAGGGTTAAAGCAGAGAGGACTTCCTTTTCATGCTGGCTAAAACAGATCTGTTCGGGATTTGGCCATTATCTCTCCAGATTTCTTGGAATGTAAACAGATAAACAACTTAGTTTCGGTTTGGTGACCTGGAATTTTAGCATGAGTGACTTCATTTTGGTCTGGTCTATTGGAGACTAGTGTTAAGAGCTCAGTCCAAATCTATGGTCTCCTATAAATTTTATTTAACAATCGTTTTGGCGTATCTCTTCCTCCAGATGTGGTAGAATTATCAGTCATTTTCAATGTCTTTAAATTTTTTTCTGTATTTTACTAAATTCCCGAATGTGTGAAATTATTGATTTTATAATCAAATTAAAGTTATCTAAAAATAGGATTTTAAAAATTGGAAGTCAGAAAAGAGAACATGATAAATCAAGGGAATAGCATAAAGTAAACAAGTTCAGGACAGGCTTGAAAGTCAAGCACAGAAGTTCGAATTTAATAGCAATAGGGAGTTATTACATACTCTTCATTAGTATAGGGAAAATTTTGTGCTTTAGTGAAAACGAGGCATTGTTTAGAGCACACCCTTTTAGATTATCAGGTTCTAACCTTTGATTGCCCTTGAGCCATTGTACAACTCTAAATTTTAAGGAACTGATGGCAATAATGCAAATGATTCTTGTCTATGGATGTGGAAGTGAATTCTATCCAGAAGAGGGAGGCCACCTCTGCCAAAAAAAAAAAAAAAAAAAAAAAAAAGTTTACCCCCATTTGCAAGTTCATTTCAATATTCTAGATCTATACATGTGTCTTTGTACCCACTGTAAAAGTTGCCAGATTCTCTCATTAATAATGACTTGAAATCACTAACACATGTCACTTTATATCTGTGAAAGAGTCATAATTTTTATTTTTGAAAATTATCTTTTAACAGTAGGCAAGTGTACTGGATGAGAGTAATGTTTTTAATGCAGATATAACACACAGGCAAACTTCCCCAAGTGTGCTGCCTGATAACTTAAAAGGAAGATAACTGAACACAAACAGAAGTCAGAAAAAAAGATTAAAATTATATAAGTAGTTCTATGGTAAAAGCAATCTGAATTTGGCTAAGTACAATAGCAGCCTGTTTTCATCAGCAGTCTGGTTGTTGTGACCTTTCTGCTTTTGCACTGACAGTGTTTTTCTCATTTTCTTTTCTTCATTGCTAAACTGAATAAGATACAAACAAATCTTCTGTTAGACAAGAATCCCATCTTCCTTTTTTGCTTGGGGCCTTTTGTGTTCTATTATGATAATTTACAAAAGTTAATAAATGAACTCCTCAATTATCTGTGCTGACTTGAGGGAGTATCAGCACACAAAAGCATTACTAATCAGCCCAGAACTTTCTCTTCTACCACAACAATATTTAAGAGGGAATGTAGGAGGCAGGCACCAGTGAGTTCCTAAATGTCTGCCCATGGACAATCAAGTCTACCTGGAACACTTTGAAAAGAATCAGATACCTAAGGCACCACTCTACAGATTCTGATTCTGGGGTTATTAATATGCTTCTGAATGATTCTCATCCCAACCCAAGCCCAGTTTGGGAATAGTGCAGGTGAAAGAGTGAATTCAAATGGATCTTTCTTTGATGACTGCCCTCTAAATGGACCTCTTTAAAATGCTTTCCGTTGTTTCAGCCTGCAACAAGACAGTGCTAGAAAGGCAAACACATACTATTCTAACTTGTCCATAAAGAAGGAAGAGAGAGCAGGGATTTCCAATGAGGCTATTACTGGTAAAACTAGTCAGGGGTTGGGTAGGGAGGGGGTTAGAGAAAGGCTTAAGAAAAAATCCTTGTGTTCCCAGTATTTTACATTCCCAATTAACTTGCTTCTTCAGTAATTGGCTGGGACAAAGGAGGTGTTAAAGGCTTTAGCAGAGAAAGCAATAAAATGTGGGCTTTGTGATGGAACAGAAGGGAGGCATTAAAAAGTAGTAGGGAAAGCCCATGCAAAGACTGAGGTGGGTGGAAAAGGGGACCATAAGATCAGCCAAGTGATGAGTGGGAGGTGACTCCTAGAGAACATGCAAAATCAAGATCTTTAGTCATGGCTCAACAGGAGATGAGAAATGTTTGAAACAAAGCAGTCTTTTATGTATCTCACAAAATGGTTCCTTGGGAGGCTATTCAGAACACACTACTTTGAATTACCTGATCTTTAAATGTATTTTGATTGTGAGGGTTTAATTATTTTTAAATGACTAAATTACAATCTACTCTATAATATGGTTATTTTCCTTTGGTTTTTGATCTGTTTTACTGGAAGCCCAGTGGACTTATTCAATCTAGGCTCAAAGAACTTGACTCTTTACAAAGGTTTACCCATCAAAACCATAACAATACATGATCCTTCTTCCCAGTCAGATATGCTACTATGTAAATTTATATATTAGAGAGTGAAAAATACACATCCTGTCAGAATCACTGACCTCAACAAGAAACGATGACTATAACACACAAGTGCAAGATGAACTACTAGCTAGAGGCTTGATAAACAACAAGTCAAAGAATAACCATACTGAAAATGTAATCCTTGTCAGAAACACTGAAATTTCTGGTAGATACTCAAACCAAGAAAGTGACATTTAGTCCAAAGTCCTACCTGTCAGGGGTCATCAGTGGACTGAATTTAAAAAAGAAAAAAATATTATTATTTTTGTCATTTCATATTTAGATATTTACTGTAAATAGAGCAGTCTGTTAAATTTTTTTTCCAAAATAGACAACTAGAAATAGAGATAGTTTTACTTTTTTGAATACTTGCGAATTCCTTCAGAGTCTCAAGGCCTGATCCATTTCTAGGTCTTCAGTTTTCTCAAGTTCTTTGAAGATTTAGGTTGACTGAACTGGAGAATAAAAAGCACAGGACAAAAATGGGTTTTTCAGGCAGTTCCTGCTATGCCAGAGACATCCCAGATCCCAGGCACTCTAAGTGAGTCTATTAAATATTATGGAACATGGTAGAGTATAATTTGAAACAACACAATACAAACAGATGGACTAAAATGTTAGCAAGTCCAGTTCTATTCCCAGGTGCATGAATAACTCTGTGATGTTGTTGATGATAATATTAACAAACCGATGGCTAAAATTTATTAAGCCTTTGTGTAGGTAGTACTGTTCCAAGTGATTTTATCATATCTTATTTCATCCACACAACACTCCAATAAAGTGGTAACCATTATTGTTCCTATTTTATAGGGAGAGAAATTGAGGCACAGAACTGTTACATTAGAGGCTTTTGTTTCATTTACTAATTTATTACAGAAAGAAGGAAAGGATACCAGTTCTTTGTACCAAAGTTCTTCTGAGCTATAAATGCTGAGCACTTTCTGAGGTTCTATAATATCTTTTAATATAACATATGAATTCAATAACACATTTCCTGCCTTCTACTAAATTTATCCTAGGAAAATATCACCAGCTGAAATTTATTACTTGACTTGGAATTTATCAATTCTATTTGCACCCTCTACAGAAAGTACACAGTTGCTTATGCAGTCTTTGAGGTGTGCTTCTAAAGTAATAAAACTGATTTTCATTTGTGGTCAATGAAAACCCCTCTTTTCATTTAAAGTCATACCTATAAGGCAGAAGCATGAAGTTATTATTTATATGATAAAGGTTAACATTGAGAGAGATAAGACTTTTTACTTCTCAGCACAGTGGCTCTCTATGGCGCCTATAGCAACAAATAAACTAATATTACAGAAAGTTACCTCTGGTGGGGCCTACAACCAGGGCTTCAAGATCCTCTCTCTGAGAAGAGTCCTTTTGTAATTAAACTGTTGTTTCCCAATATTGCCTGTTATTAAAATCACTACATTGCTGTTGAATAGAACATTCCAAGATGATGGAAACACATTATAATCTGTGCTATCTAGTATAGTACCCACTAGCCACATGTGGCTATTGAGCACTTGAAATGTGACTAATGCCACAGAGAAATATAATTTAATTTTAATTAACTTAAATTTAAATAGCCACAAGTAGTTAATGACTACTACTATATTAGACAGTGCAGAACGTTTGCCAAAAATTCACATCCCTGGGCCCTATATATATAGATCTAATGACCCGTAGAATCAGAATAATTAGTGCAGTGTCATTTCAATCTGCATTATTAACATTAAGTTAGTCAATGCTGACTGAACATTCAGTTTATTTAGACTTCTTCAAATTGCTATTATTCTTCAAGCCCATAATTCTAGGCCACTTCTGTTTCCAAACATAACACTGCATATAAGATATATTCAGTTATTTATACTCAGCATATTGTCATATTATAGAAAAATGAGCTATATTGTTACCAAGAGCCATGAGTATACTATGCTTCCTACACAGGCCTAGAATTGGTACTTAACTTTAAGAAAGTACCACATATAAAACTTTGCATTTTCAAAAAAGATAAATTAGGAAGTAATTATTCATTTCACAAAAGAATTCACCAAAGGGCTACTTTAAATATATAGCTCTCCTAAAATGAATTCTAAATCAGATTCAATTAAAAAAATTCAATTTGCACACAAATGTTCAAGAACCCATCTGTTGCCTCAAACCATCTACACCTGTGGATCATTTGCAATACCTCTGGAGACTGCAAGAGGTTTTTGCCATAAAAGCTATCATGCTGAAGCTGAAAGCACCCTATTCTATACTTTCAGGAGCTAACCTTCACTGTGTAAGCACATAATCTATGCCTTCTGGTGAGTTTTCTTTCCTTGGATGCTAAGTGCTATCTACAATATTTAGCTCAATTCAGTATCATTGCCAAATGGATCAAACAAAAGATTCTATTTGGAAGTTCTTTGAAAATGAAAACAAAAAGTAACATCCAGACTTCCGGTTTCTGGTCTGGCATGTAAGGAACTTAGAAGTCGCCATTCCAGTAGCCATGCCATTCTAACAACGAGTAAAAAGAATGAACAAACTAATAAATCAACAACTCTTCTTAGATCCGTCAGAGAAGTGAGGTCACAGAGTAAACCTGGTGCCCCCAAAATTGGAAAGACGGACAAACAGATATAGACAATAATAATTTAACAGAGGAAAATCCGTGAGCAGAAATCTCCTCAGGAGCCAATGCCTGGGTAGGAAAACCTGAACTGTAATTGATGAATTGTTTGAGATTCACTGTGGACAAGTCTGAGAATTAAAAACTCCAGAAGGAACCAGTCATCGGGAACTCCTACACAATGGAATTTACCTAAAAATCAATTACAAAAAAAAAAAAGCAAGAAAATCCAAAAATATTTGGAGATTAGACAACATACTTATAAAAAAGACATTGTTCAAAGGAGAAATCTCAAGATATATTTAAAAGTAGTCTGAACTAAATGAAAACTAAAAATAAAACTTACCAACATTTGTGAGGTATGGCAAAAGCAGTACTTAGAGGGAAATTGATAGCATTGCATGCCTTTATTAGAAAAGGAGAATAATTAAAATTAATAACCTAGGCTTCCACTTTAGAAAACTAGAAAAATTTAAATTAAAAACTTCTGCTCTATGAAAGACAGTATCAAAAGAATGAGAAGACAAGCCACAGACTGTGAGAAAATATTTGTAAAAAAAATCTGACAAAGGATTGTTATCCAAAATATGCAAAGAATCCTTAAAACTCAACAATAAATGAAATTGTTAAACAACCTGATTAAAAAATAGGCAAAAGGTTTGAACAGACATCTCATTAAAGAAAATATACAAATGGTAAGTAAGTATATGTAAAGATGTTCAATATTATATGTCATTAGGGAAATACAAATTCAAACAATGAGACACCACTACACACTTATTAGAATGGCCAAAATCCAGAACACTGACAACACCAAATACTGAAGAGGATGTGAAGCAGCAGGAATTCTTATTCATTGCTGGTAGAAATACACAATGGTGCAGTCACTTTGGAAGACAGTTTGGCAGTTTCTTACAAAACTAAACGTCCCCTTACCATACAATCCAGCAATCATGCTTCTTGCAATTTACCCACGTGAAATGATAACTTATGTCCACAAAAAAACCTATACATGGATGTTTATAGCAGCTTTCTTCGTAATTTCTAGAATTTGGAAGCAACTAAAATGCCCTTCAGCCGGTAAATTGATAAATAAACTGTGGTACATCTAGACAATAGAATATTACTCAGTGCTAAAAGACGTGAATGATCAAGCCATAAAAACACACAGAACAAACTTAAATGCATATTGCTAAGTGAAAGGAGACATTCTGAAAAGACTACATAGCTTATGGTTTCAATTATATGACATTCTGGAAAAGGCAAAACTACAAAAACAGTAAAAAGATTAGTGATTTCAAGGGTTAGGGAAAAGGGAGAAATGAATGAGTGGCACACAGAGGATTTTTTATATACTATAATGGTGGACATTGTCATTATGTCCAAACCCATAGAACATATAACACCAAGAGTGAAACCTAATGTAAACTATGGACTTTGGGTGATACAGATAAGTCAGTGTAGGTTCATCAGTTGTAACAAATGTACTACTCTAATGAGAACTGCTGATAGGAAGGTTGAACATGCGTGGGGACAGGGTTCTATAGGAATTCTTCGCACTTTCCAGTCAATTTTGTTTTAAACCTAAAACTGCGCTAAAAAATAAAGTTTATTTTTAAAAAAGTAATACACAACTGTGAAGGTAATATTAGATTGAAAAATGATCCCATTTTGCCCAGAACAACCCCATTTATACCTGTTTCTCTGGCAAAATTTTTAATAGTGCCCCTTTTCTCTCTGTGTCCTGGCTGGGACAATGAGTTGCATACTTCTCCCCCTCCAATATCACGCAGTCTTTTCATGGCACAATCTCATTTGTGCTGTAACAGTGTTTCTGAAACATCTTGCTTAAAAATTTAAAAGTTCAGATCCCTTCCTTGGATATTCTGGTTTAGTAGGTCTGGGATAAAGCTTGGAAATGTGTACTTTTAACAGCATCCCAGTGGATTTGCATAACAGGGCATTAAACCAAAGATGTGATTTAGACAATCTTGAATTTCATGCAAAACTAGCGTATTTCTTTTTTTGTATTAAGATTGGCTCAGGTCATAGAGGGTTTCTTGCTGCAGTCTATCAACAATTATGAGTATTTTGACAAATTCACATTTTATCTTAATAATTTGGTTTGGGGATGGTTCCCATAAAATTGAACATGTTTTAGGACCTAAGCATGTGTCATTACTTTAGCAAAGATAACACAGTGAAGGCTCAGAATAACAGTCCATACATCTAGTTTTCTTTTCCCCTTACTGCAAAAAGACAAGCTGCATTTTCTGAGGTATGTTAACTCTGCTTCCAAGAATATTGAAGAAATGTACACACAAGAAATTGCAGAAAGGAATATAGAGTTCTAAGTGGGGGTGAAAAATCTGTTACTAATTTGCAGATTTGGAGGTTGCCATCACAACTGCAAATCAAAATTATTGTTTTCTTTTTTAAAACAAATAATTTTGCTTGTTATATTTTTGAATATATTCTTATTCATTGCTGGTAGGAATGCAAAATGGTATAAATGGGAATAAAAGACTATAGGTTTTATATCTGAGCAAACCAATTCCTTCAATTCTCTCAAGCTTCTGACAGGACCTAGGTACCTTACCCTATTTTGTGACTCCAAACGCAAATGCAAAGCAAAGCTAAACCGTTGGAATACAAACCCTTTCATGGATTTGTGTGCAAAAGCCTTTGTCTGGAGGTGTCTGTTAAAAAGCATACACTATATAAAGACATCTCTTTTTCATGTCTACTCCTCTGGTGGCCAAGCTGAAACAAAGATCACATTTCAAACATGCCATGCTAGCTATGACATGCTGAGAACTGTGCACAATTTCATCATTTCCATCCTTTTAACTTAATTCAAAAATGCAAAGAATATAGATCAAAAGCTTTGCATTCTGTTTTAAATTATATCTTTGTTACCTAAATTGTTATTTTGACATGTTTAGTACTATTTCCTGTCCAGTAGAAAAAAAAAAAAACTATTTGCCAAAAATTCTACATAATTGTTCTCTGTTATGCAATTTGAATTCAAAGAATAGATAAACCTGGTTAGTAACAGATGCTGCTGCAGTGGTTGGCATTTGGCCAATGCAAAGCAACCTTGAACATATTCACATGACCAAGTGAGAACTCTATAAAAATTCTGTGCACCTTTTCTATCTAATTACTCTATTATGTTTCAAGTAATCACAATGATGTGTATTTTCTTTTGAGCAGGAGAGAAAATTGAATATGCCTTGTTAGAGTAAAGAAAGGAAACTAACAACCACCATACTAGGAAAAAAACTGTTAAAGTATGAACAATCTTTATAAATGTTCAATAATTTTTCATATCTTGCTTATAAACAAGCAAGTTTATTGTATTCTCTATAAATTATCAAAATATAATGTTATTCTCCAGTTGAATTTGAAAGTGTATATTCCTGAAAGGAAAGACAGTTTTTAAATAGAGAAAACTAGAATTATTTGATGGAGTACTACTGCTACCGGGTGTGTGTGTTTGCCTGCATATGCATATGAGGGAAGTAAGGGGGAATAATATTAGCCTCTAAGTCATTTCTTAAAAATTATACCCCATTTAATTATCAAAAAAATTCAAAATCTTAAATCAAGTTGCTAATTAGAACTGTGAAATTTGGGGCTTAAGTATTATATAATTTGTTTTTGGTATTAAAAAAGCACGTGGTAAGATTTAATTTGGTAAATTAGATAGCTTTTAATATAAGTAAAGGTTTTCAACGACCCAAATGCAAATATGTGGCCAGTAATAGAAGCATTTATTTTAGGCCTTTGTCTTATAATTTTAAAAATCTAAATGTTATATATTTTAAGAATGAATTGGCAATGGAAAATATCAGAAATAAAATTATCTACGGTTGACCAGTCTAAAAATGACTTAGCATTAATGCTAAAAACTAGACACTGCACACAAGTAGTTAAATATGGCCTGAAATATGTTTTGTTTGTTCTATGAAGTATTAAAATTCTCTTAAAATTAACGACAAATTAATCAAGAAATCTTACATTAAAATCCTGATCTTCAGCAATTGCTCTGGGAGGCTCCATATCGCTATAAAAGCTGTATTTTTTTATCTCTTTTAGATATTAGAGTCTCGATAAAATACTGGCAAACCGAATGCAGCAGCACATCAAAAAGCTTATCCACCATGATCAAGTGGGCTTCATCCCTGGGATGCAAGGCTGGTTCAACATACGCAAATCAATAAATGTAATCCAGCATATAAACAGAACCAAAGACAAAAACCACATGATTGTCTCAATAGATGCAGAAAAGGCCTTTGACAAAATTCAACAACCCTTCATGCTAAAAACTTTCAATAAATTAGGTATTGATGGGACGTATCTCAAAATAATAAGAGCTATCTATGGCAAACCCATAGCCAATATCATACTGAATGGGCAAAAACTGGAAGCATTCCCTTTGAAAACTGGCACAAGACAGGGATGCCCTCTCTCACCACTCCTATTCAACATAGTGTTGCAAGTTCTGGCCAGGGCAATCAGGCAGGAGAAGGAAATAAAGGGTATTCAATTAGGAAAAGAGGAAGTCAAATTGTCCCTGTTTGCAGATGACATGATTGTATAGCTAGAAAACCCCATCACCTCAGCCCAAAATCTCCTTAAGCTGACAAGCAACTTCAGCAAAGTCTCAGGACACAAAAACAATGTGCAAAAATCACAATCATTCTTATACACCAACAACAGACAAACAGAGAGCCAAATCATGAGTGAACTCCCATTCACAATTGCTTCAAAGAGAATAAAATACCTAGGAATCCAACTTACAAGGGACGTGAAGGACCTCTTCAAGGAGAACTACAAACCACTGCTCAAGGAAATAAAAGAGGATACAAACAAATGGAAGAACATTCCATGCTCATGGGTAGAAAGAATCAATATCGTGAAAATGGCCATACTGCCCAAGGTAATTTATAGATTCAATGCCATCCCCATCAAGCTACCAATGACTTTCTTCACAGAATTGGAAAAAACTACTTTAAAGTTCATATGGAACCAAAAAAGAGCCCGCATCGCCAAGTCAATCCTAAGCCAAAAGAACAAAGCTGGAGGCATCATGCTACCTGACTTCAAACTATACTACAAGGCTACAGTAACCAAAACAGCATGGTGCTGGTACCAAAACAGAGATATAGATCAATGGAACAGAACAGAGCCCTCAGAAATAATGCCACACATCTACAACTATCTGATCTTTGACAAACCTGACAAAAACAAGCAATGGGGAAAGGATTCCCTATTTAATAAATGGTGCTGGGAAAACTGGCTAGCCATATGTAGAAAGCTGAAACTGGATCCCTTCCTTACACCTTATACAAAAATTAATTCAAGATGGATTAAAGACTTAAATGTTAGACCTAAAACCGTAAAAACCCTAGAAGAAAACCTAGGCAATACCATTCAGGACATAGGCATGGGCAAGGACTTCATGTCTAAAACACCAAAAGCAATGGCAACAAAAGCCAAAATTGACAAATGGGATCTAATTAAACTAAAGAGCTTCTGCCCACTTTTTAATGGGGTTTTTTTTTTCTTGTAAATTTGTTTAAGGAACTCTGGATATTAGACCTTTGTCAGACAAACAGACTGCAAACATTTTCTCCCATTCTGTATGTTGTTTGTTCACTCTGACGATAATTTCTTTTGCTGTGCAGAGGTTCTTTAGTTTAATGAGATCCCATTTGTCAATTTTTGCTTTTGTTGTGACTGCTTTTGGTGTTTTCGTTATGAAATCTTTGTCCATGTCTATGTCCTGAATATGGTATTAACTAGATTTTCTTCTGGGGATTTTATAGTTTTGGGTTTTACATTTAAGTTTTTCATTCATGTTGAGGTAATTTTTGTATAAGGTATAAGGAAGGGGTCCAATTTTGATTTTCTGCATATGGCTACCCAGTTCTCCCAGCACCACTTATTATATAGGGAATCCTTTCCCCATTGCTTTTGTTAGGTTTGTCAAAGATCTCATGGTTGTAGGTGTGCGGCCTTATTCCTGAGTTTTCAATTCTGTTCCATTTGTCTGTGTGTCTGTTCCCGTACCAGTACATGTTGTTTTGGTTACTGTAGCCTTGTAGTATAATTTAAAGTCAGGTAGCATGGTGCCTCCAGCTTTGTTCTTTTTGCTTAGGATTGTCTTGGCTATTCGGGCTCTTTAGATTTTCCAAGTACCCAGTTTTTTAATGAAACACTAACGTAGGTGTTTCTGTGAAGGTATTTTGTAGATGTGATAAATATCTACAACCAGTTGACTTTAAGTAAAAGAGATGACCTCAATAATATGAGTTGGTCTAATCCAATCCATTGTAGGTCTTCAGAGCAAAAACTGAGGTTCCCTGGAGAAAAAGATATTTTGCCTGAAGACTAGCCCATCAACTCTTGCCTGAGTCTCCAGCCTGCCCACCTGCCTTATGGATTTCAGACTTGCCAGTCCCACAATGGTGTTAGCCAGTTCCTTAAAAAAATGTAAAATGTTTCTCTTTTTCTGTGTGTGTGTGTGTGTGTGCGCGCATGCATGCACGCGTGTGTCTGTATTCTCCTACTGGTTCTATTTCTCTGGAGAATGCTGACTGATATAGTTATATAATATAATAATAATTTTAAGCAAAAATTATTTTAGATAGCTATGTTAAATATTGCATTATAAAGTTTATTTTAAATACATTCTATTGTGTACCTTAGTTATTCATAAAATATAGGCCTTTATTTTTACCACTTGAAATGCTATTTAATTTTAATCATATGAGAAAAAGTATGATTTTCCGATAAATAAAATGGAACATATAATATTTGAATTTGAGGAATAAATATATATTAAAATGTAAATTGAAATGTAACTATGTGTTATAGAATCAAAACAGATAAAAAAGTTTTCATAAAATCACATTCAGTTTTTATGTGTTTTGTTTATAGAAATCAAAGTTTGCTTTTTTATAATTATTCCCCAAACATTATAATATTCAATGGTTTCCATTTGTAAGCACTATTCTCTAAAAGATATATTGTTACTCTATATGATATTTATTCAAAATAAATAAGAGAAAGTGGATATATTTGTCCCTAAATTTTATACATTGTTTTTTGAAGTACTTGTGATACCCTCAGCAGCTACATAAAATTCTTAAAAAGTTTTATTAAGATATAATTTGCATACCATAAAATTTAACTGCTGTAATTGTTAAATTCAATTATTTTTAATTGTGCAACGTATATAATTGTGCGATCTCATCACAATTCCATTTTGGAGCACTTTTATCATCCCAAAAAGTTTTCTCATGTCCATTTGCAGTCACTCCTCACTCCCATCCCCAGCCCCAAATAGCCACTAGTCTTGTTTTTGTCTCTATAGAATGTAAACTTTAATTTTAGCAACTTCTCTATGGAGCTGAGATCATATTGAGGCAAATATATAGAATTATATTTATACCTTTTATTGACTCATTCATTTATTCAACAAATATATACTGAGCACCTATTAGATGGCTTATACACTGATATACTTTATATGTATCATGATACAAACAGTTGAAAGAAGCATGAGTTGAAACTAAAAATTCCATGAGGCAGGCGAACAAAGTAGATAAGCTCCTTGTCTTATGGAATTTTTATCATGAGTAAAAATTAAATGATACATAGCTGAGAGTATAAGCAATATAAATTAGTAAAGTAGTCAAAATCGCCAAAGCATTGTCTAAACTCAGTGACTGAATCATACTCATGCTCATCAGATATCTACCAACTCTTACATTTATGAACACAATATGCCATCAGATGTTCTTAAATTATACCATTTTATGAAGAATAATTAAATAATTTCTTTTAAAAAAAACTTTTTTGTAGAGATAGGGTCTCACTTTATCGCCCAGCTGATCTTGAACTCCTGTCCTCAAGCAATCTTCCCACCTCAGCCTCCCAAAGCACTGGGATTTTAGGAGTGAGCCACCATACCCAGCAAATATTTTTTAATTTTTGATTTAAAAAACAGAAAAGGCAACATAGACTCAATTACTTAATGACTGCTGTACATAAATCTCTGTAGCACTTCTAACTTTAAGGTTTTGACCCTTAACAGTGTATTTGTTAGTCCTGTTACTCATGTTAAACATCATTCGTTCATTGATTAATTCAACAGACATTCTTTTTGCTTTTGCTAAATACCAGGCACTATTCTGGATGCTGGGAAATTATCAGCGAACATAAACACAGAGTTTCTGCTACTCTGGAGTTTACACTCTAGTGGGAGAGACAGACAATAACAAACTAGAATAAAAAAAATACATGAAGAGAAAAATAAAGCAGGATAAGTGAATAGATAGTGATGGGAGATGAGAAGGTGGCTTATTTAAGTAGGATGGTCAGGAAAATTATTTGTGAGAAGGTAACATTGGAGCAAAATCTGAATGAAATGGGGGTGTCTGAAGGAAGAACAATCTAGGAAAAAGATTTTCTACAAAGTCCCTGAAGCAAGAACTTGCCTGACCAGTTTGAGGGACAGCAGGAGGCCAATGAGTCTGACACTGAGTGAGAGAGGAAGAGAATATTAGATATGAGATAAGAAAGGAAGCCAGGGACTAGCTCTTGAGTCCCTTGTATACCATGCCAAGAAACTGGGTTTTATTCTGAGTGACATGAGAAACCACTGAAGTGTTTGGAGGAGGAGAGTGACATGATCTAATTTACATGTTAAAAGGTTCACTCTGTTGTGTAGAGAACTGTTGTATAGAATTGCTCTAGAGGAGGGAGCAAGGGTGGAAGCTAGGAGACTAGTTGAAAATATATTGCTTGGACGATGACTTCAGGTTGGGGTAGTAGTAGCGGCGGTGGTAAGAAATGGCTGGATTCTGGATAATCTGTATTTTGAAAATAAAGCCAACAGGATTTGCTGATATATAAGACTGGAGTTGTAATTGAAAATCAGATTAACACCCAACATTTCATCCTAAGCAACAAAAAGGATGGAGTTGCCATTAACTGAGATGAAGAAATCTGTGGGGCAAGTTGGTTACGGGGTGTTAAGAGTCAATAGTTCAGTTGAGGATGTTTAGTTTGAGGTGTCTGCTACATATCTAAGTGAAGATCTTGAGCAGGCTATTAGATTGAGTCTGGAGTTCATAGTAAAGGTTAAGGCTGGAGTTTTAAGACTTGTCTATGTAGAGATGGTATTTTAAAGCCATCAGCCTGAATGAGTTCACTCAAGACACGAACGTAAGTAGAAGAAAAGATAGAGGTCTTGGGATTTAGACTTGGATAACTACAATGTGTAGAAGTCTGGGAGATGACAAAGATCCAACCAAGGTGATTAAGCAAGAACAGCCAGAAAAGTTGATAAAGAATAAAGAATGGTATTCCTGAAGCCAAGTGAGGATAATACATCTCAACATATGATTGCTATTACAGAAGAGAGACAATGAATGAAAATAACTGTCAAAAATAGTTACTAATATTTTTCGAAATGGACATTTCTCAGGATTTATCACCTGGTGAGAGCAAATTAGATCAAGATAACATTAGTGCATACATTTTATTAGCTCGCTACTTTTATTTTCTGATGTTAGCCCCTTATGTAGCCCCCTACAGATGTGAATAGCACAGGCTGTGCTGTATTCAAAAACCTTGTTTCCCTTTGGAAATTATTTGTATATTAGTAAGTTATATATTTATTGTTCTTTTTTTTTTTTTTTTTTTTTTTTTTTGGGAGATGGAGTCTCACTATGTTCCCCGGGCTGAAGTGCAGTGGCTATTGAAACCACCATTGCAAAATTATAACCGAGACAGCAAAAGAGATCTGACCTAACAAACTCCATCTTGCTTCCAACATCCAAGCTGTCCTTGTTCATTCCTGGGCATAGGCTTAACTAACTTTGGGAGGAACTTAGTTTATAGTTTCTAGTTTGAAACAAAAATAACAACCCATTACCAAAACAAAACCCCTTCCTGCCTGGGGATTAGACTTCCTTTGCAAGACTAACAAATTAGCCACAAGATTAGAAATTATGGTTTGCAGCTGGAGGCTGCAAGAGTCTAAATCTCCCCAAATTGCTCCTGATAACATCATTATTGTAAAACCTAAGATTAGTGCTTAAGGTATTTTGCAGACCCTGCACTCGATGGGTCAGCTGGCGCCACCCAGATGGATAAACTGGCTCATCTGGTCTTGTGGCCCCCACCGAGGAACTGACTTAGCACAAGAGGACATCTTCAACTTTCTACGATTGCATCACCGACCCAACCAATCAGAACTACTGACTCACTGGCTCCCTAACCACCAAATTGTCCTTAAAAACTCTGATCCCTGAATGTTCGGGGAGACTTACTTCAATAATAATAAAACTCCAGTCTCCTGCACAGTGGGCTGTGTGTGAATTACTGTTTCTCTATTGCATTTCCCTTGTCTTGATAAATTGGCTCTGTCCAGGCAGCAGGCAAGGTTAACCCATTGAGCGGTTACACTATTCACAAGCATGATCATAACACACTAAAAACCTTGAACTCATGGGGCTAAGCAATACTCCTTCCTCAGCCTCCTGAGTAGCTGAGACTCTAGGTGCATGCCACAACACATGGCTTCTATTTCTTTATTAAAGGTCAATTCTCTTATGAAATTTCTTTTTATTCTTTTTGAGACAGAGTTTCACTCTTGTTGCCCAGGCTGGAGTGCAATGGCGTGATCTCGGCTCACTGCAACCTCCGCCTCCCGGGTTCACGCGATTCTCCTGCCTCAACCTCCTGAGTAGCTGGGATTACAGGCATGCGCCACCACGCCCGGCTAATTCTGTATTTTTAGAGACAGGGTTTCTCCATGTTGGTCAGGCTAGTCTCAAACTCTCGACCTCAGGTGATCCGCCCTCCTTGGCCTCCCAAAGTGCTGGGATTACAGGCGTGAGCCACTGTGCCCAGCCTTTCATTCTTTTTTCTAAATAGACTTCTGTTTGGTCCATGCTTAGGCTTGCTTGACATGCCCAAATATTTTTGAACTGCAGCAGTGGATGCAGCAGGACTTATTTTTCAGATGATTCCTCAGCAAATAGACTTCAGTTGAGCCTTTATCAGTTTGTCAGAACATGTCCAAACATATTTGAACTGCTAGCTGTTTCTGGCTATACACCAACCACAATCTGGATTACATTTTATGTAAGGGTATGTACAAAATACAATAGAAAAAGTGCTGTAAGAAAGCAGAAAGGACAGAGGAACTAATTTTTCCTGGGAGTAATTGGGAGAGCTGGAAAGTCAAGCAATAGGAAAGTTTTTATGTAAAAGCTCTGACCTTGAAGTAGACCTTCAAGGATATGTGTGATTTTGGCAAATGATGAAATCAGGCAAAGCACTGTAGGTATAAGATACATGAACAAAATCATGGAAGTATAAAAATAAATATGCTCAAGAATAAGCAGATAGACTTATTCCTGGAGTACAGAGTTCACCAATGTGATGAAAATAGAAAAATGTACCTAGTCAGATTGTGAAGTTTTTTGCATTGTGCTAAGAAGTTCAAGTTTTATTCAAAAGGTAATGAGAGCACTGAAGTTTATTTTTTAAAATGAAGGTTTTTCAGCTGGATAGTTGCATTATTTATTGAATCTCTATTTTAAGAAAAATAACTGGTTACTGTGTAGATAATGGAAAGATGAGAACTATTAAAATAGTTAAGAGAAAATGAAGAACAAAAGTAAGGGAGTATAGCATTGGGATGGTGAAGGGCTAAATGTGATCAAGACTTCTTAGACATAAAATTGACAAGATATCTGACTAATTGTATATAGTTAGTGAAATAAAATTGATCCTGGGGTTCCAATGTTGAGAACTGTGTAGATGGTGGGGCTACAGGAAATAAAAAAGTAGATACAGATATGTAGAAAGAGATAGTGAGTTAAATTTTGAACTAGTTGTATTTAAAGTATGTATACTATCTTCAACTACTGGTCTTTAAAAGATAACTGGAAATATGGGCCTGGAACTCAGAAATGAGGCAAAACCTACATATGTAGATGTGAGAATTATCAACATAAATATTAGTTGAAGTCATGAGCATAACTGGGTTACCTGGGGAGAAAGAAGATAATGAATATTTGTTAATTCATTACACATATTTCTAACAAAGAGGTACTACGCTCTAAGGATTGTGATAGGAACTGAGAATATTATAAAAAAGAGACAATTTCTTTTTTATTAATGTGAAGCTTTATTACAATCATGTGAGGACATAATTGTCAAAAAACAAAGTACCTAATAAGTGAATTACATATTTGGTAATTGCCTGTGAAGGAAGTGTACATGGTGCTAAAAAAATATCTTATAGCAGAAGGACCCAAAATAATTTTCAGGGATCAAGAAAAGATTCCTGAAGAAATACGTTTTGCGATTTGGAGGATGAATAGAAGTTAAGCAAGCAAAAGCAAATAGGCATTAGAGGGAGAATTCTAGGCAGAAAAAAAGTTTCTGCAAAGTCCCAGAAAGCAGAAGCAATGTAGAACTTAGCAGAACTGAAAGCAGGCCAGTGTGCTTACAGCACACAGAGGAGCATGTTTATTTTCCGAAATATGATGAATTCAATAAAGGGAAAACCTCATCCTACAAAATATCTAATAATTCTGAATAAAATATAGCAAACATCCTTTTATAAGCATATCAGGACTTGCAGTAAATTCTTGGGAGCTTATCAATCTATGATTTGTTAAAAATTATAAACATGATTCTCATATAAATGTGAAGTTAGGATGTGTTAAAGATTTATTTAATTCATTAATAAGAGAATGAGCAGAATGGTAGAGCTTGGTCAAAGAATGAGAGGAATAGGGGTTTTATAGTCCTATCACCTAATTTTTAAGTCTTTGATATATTTTTTTCTTGACAGGCCCCAAACAAATATGAACCTCAAAGCAGGAGTCATAAACATAAATTCCATGATAACAAGTACTTTGTTTTATTTTCTGCTCTATATCTAGTGCCTCTAATAGTGGTTGGCATAGTAGACATTTAATAAATATTTGCTGAATAAATGAATAAATTTATATTTTAGTTTATCTGAGCATATTTGCTGTTTTTCATAAATGGAACTTAAAGCTTAATGGCCACATAGGAACAGGGGGCTAGGGCTTGGGCCTGTGAGAAGTAGGAATTTAAAACTGAGACTCTTTTAAAAAGCCAAAATACTTTATGGTCTATACCCAAAGAATAAAGACAGACTAGAAAAAATAAAGCTACCAGCAAGGATGGTCTGTTTATATTGTCCTGGGCTCTAGATTACAAAAATGTTTTTCCCCTGAAAATTCATTACTACAGATCTTCCCTCACATGAATTTTATACTACTTTCATATTCTAGGAACACCAAAGTCAATAAATTGACATAATAAATGATCTTATTCTGGTGACATTTCTAAAGAACCAGTCAGAAGCAAACACAAATACCAAATGTCTCCAGAAGGATATACCCTTATCCCAAGATTGCCACAATAAAAACCCCACCAAACACAAACTCATAATCAAAAATTACAAAGCATACCAATACACAAACTGCCATGAGCAAAAGTTGACAGAAATAATAGTAATAAACAGCAGACCTAAAGAAATAATTCATAACACTACTTTAAAAAGCAGAGATCAATAATAGAAAAGGTTCAGGATAGATTGAGAACACTCAATGTATGTTTAATAATAATTCTAGCAGGAAAGAGTAATGGGTATGGGAAGAGGAATATTCAAAGCAATAATGTTAAAAACTTTTACGCAAGTGATGGAAGACATAAATCCTCATATTCAAGAAATACAATGAAAGCAAAGGAAATAAGGGTTTGAGATGAAACCAGAGATTCAAAAGGAGTAAACTCTACTGAAAATAAATAAATAAAAGAAACAAGAGAGTGAGACAAAGCCCAGATCATAGAAAGCTTTTCTAGCTATTTTTAAAAGTTTGGCTTACATCAGCAAGTGAGAAACCACTCATTTAAAAGGAGTCTTAAGTGGAGAAGGTGATCCAATTTTACTTGAAAAATAACCATTTGACAATTATATAAAAATGGATTGTAAAAGGGCAAGACTAGGTACAGGGAAACCAGTTAGGAAGTGACTATGGGGAGAAATTATGGTGGACTGAACTTGGATGGTAATGGTGAAAACAGAGATAAATGGACATTTAGGGAATATAATTAGCAGGATTTGATGGTGGAGTGCATGTAAAAGTGAAGAAGATAAACGAATCAAGAATGACTTCCAATTTTCTAGCTTGCAAAGCTAGATAAGCAGTGATAACATTTTTTGAGTTGGAGAATATTGTATGGAGATTATGTTTATGGAAGTAGGATGGAGATTATGAGTTTAATTTTCAACAAGAGGAGTTTGAGGCGCCTTTGAGACATAAAGGAGCAAAACCATGGGATTGCTATAAGAAAAGAGTGGGTTGAAAAATAGAAGGCAGTAAAGATGACAAAGAAGGAAAAATCAAAGAGGATGGAGGAAAATGAGTAGAACTTGGTGACATGAAACACAAGGGAAGAAAGATACAAGAGAGTTTCAAATACTATATGAAAGCAAAGAAGCATACACACTGCAAAGATTGCAGTGGAATTAGCAAGTAGCAAGTCATTGATTATCTCAATGAGGACCACTTGCTCCCATTTATAATAAAACCTCATCAGCATGAATAAAAAGAGGAGGGTTACTTTCAAGTGAAATACCACTGTGGTGATATCATTTTAATAAATGTCATGGGTCTTAATTTACGCTGGGAACAATACAAACATTGCCATGTTTTAAACATTAATACTAACAGCAAAAACCTTGAATACCACCAGTGGTTACTAGAGCAGTTGACAAAAACAAAACAAAAAATCTCAATAAACAACAAAAAGCCGTTCTGCTGGAAATCGGACTGTTAGATAAATTATTAGATTGCGTACGTAGGGATTAAAAATGATCACAAGACAAGTAAACAGGGAAGTAGAGAAAAATACCTTAAGAAGCTACTTATAATAAGACCCAAGTTAAAGAAAAGTGACTTCACTTTGAAATGATGAGAAAGCTATAGCAAATGTACAAAACAAGGTAGAGACTAGCTTACATTCTATTAGTTCATTAACAAATACTTACTAGATGCCTACTGAGTAAGGCATGAAGGAAATAGAGTAGAATGTGCTTGGGTGGATATGGGAGGGAAGTGGAAATAGGTTAGGGATCACAGATGTTACATGTCATATTTGGTCATTAAAAAAAAAGCTGACAGATAATGGTTTGTGTTTTAGAATCTGTCAAATGAGATATTAAGTGTGTTAAAATGATCTTGCCCAAGCAACATCATCAAAAGATCTTAACATCAAAATGACTGTGTTAAAATGATTACCTCAAACTGGCCGCATCAAATTGTTTCATGTTATGTACCTTAATGGGAGATAAATTCAACTAAGTAAATGTCACTTGATTAAGGAGAATATTAAATGTCAGGTAGAAGAGTTTGGACTTACTAACTTAGGCAAGAAGAAACTATTGCAGATTCTGAGTACAGAAATGGCATGATATACATTGTACTTAAGGAATAATCATTCAGGTAAACTCAGATGGATGCATCAGGCTGTGATGTCTGGATGACACTAGCTATTAGGAATATCCTCTAATTCCTCTTGCTTAGATTCCAGGCTCTCCAAAGTGATCCTGTATTTCTAATTTGGCTTCCCTTACAAATTTGCCTATAGAGAGAGAGAGAGTACTGCTCAGTGGACACAAGCACCTGGACAGTTGACAGCAATGTGTCTTATTATAAATTAATAAATTGAATCTCTGGTTTATATATGTAAAAAGAAATATTAACCTGGCAGCAATAGTTGGATTGCAAACTTATCTTTAAATAATCTTTAAATCACAAGGAAAGGAACAAAGATATTTTCATCATGAATATTAAAATAACCTGAACTGAAAAATCTTATAAAAGAATTTTAAAAGTTAGACTTTGAAATGTGAGCTCTGTAAGCACATGCCAGCAACAAATACAAATACACATTATGCTAAGTGAAATAAGCCAGACACAGAAAGAAAAATACTGCATGATCTCACTTATATGTGGAATCTAAAAAAGTCAAATACACAGAAACAGAGTAGAATGGTGGTTTTCAGAGCAGGGAGGGGAAAGAAACAGGAAGACATAGGCCAAAGGATACAAAGTTGCACTTAAAGAAACAGGGAGACATAGGCCAAAGGATACAAAGTTGCATTTATATAGGATGAATTAGAGATCTAATATACAGCAGAAGGACTATGGCTAATAATATTGTATTATAGACTGAAAATTTCCCAAGAACACTGTAGGTTTTAGGTCCTCTTACCACATACACAAAAAAGATGGGTATGTTAATTGACTGTAGTAATCATTTCACTATGGAGATGTATTTCAAATCGTGATGTTGTACACCTTAAATATACACAATTTAAAAAAAAAAAAGCCCAGGTGCGGTGGCTCATGCCTGTAACCTCAGCACTTTGAGAGGCTGAGGTGGGAGGATCACTTCAGGCCAGCAGATAGAGACTAGCGTGAGAAACATAGCAAGACCCCATCTCTACAAAAAAATAGAATAAAAAATTAGCCAGGCATGGTGGTTTGTACCCATAGTCTCAGCCACTTGAGAGGCTGTGGCTCAGTGAGCTGGGATCCTGCCACTACACTCCATCCAGCCTGGGCAAAAGAATGAGATCTTGTCTCTAAAGCCCCCAAAACAAAAAATAGCCCCCAAAATACTACACTCATAGTGTCACATATTGGTCCACAACTTGCCACCTCAATACCTTTTGCTCACGTTCTACTGAAATGCTTCTTCTATTCCTCTCCCCTTCTCTCTCCCTCCCTGTCAATTTCTATTTTCTCATTACCCTTCTTGCAAAACCAGCTTGTATACCACCTGCAACAATAAGCCTTTCCCAAATCCCCCGAGTCAGAATTACTTTCTTTGGTCTCATAATTAGAACGCTTACCACTTTTGCCCCGTGTTACAGTTTGTGGTTGTACACATATCTGTCTCAGGAAAATGTTAGCTCCTCGAGAGTAGGAATCATCACTTGCCCAGAGTGGATGTTTGGTAAATGTGTACTGAATAGAATTATCTCAATATAGCAACATAACTTCATCATCCATACTAGTGCAGTCCAATAGATCTTTCTGTGATGATGGAAATATTCTATATCTGCACTTTCCAATATACAGTAGTCATTAGCTACACGTAGCTACTTGACATTTGAAATTGGGCTAGTGTGACAGAGGGGCTGAATTTTTGGAAATTATTTAACTTTAAAATAATCACATGTGGCTAATGGCTACAGTTTGGGATAGTACTGACTATGACTATGTGGCAAATTTAGCAGGTGTGCAGCTCAGTCAATTCTGTAAAGTATCAATTAATTCTTTACTGTCAAGTAGAGTCTAAACAATCAGTTGATTGGCAGGTTTTTCTTGCTTTACCTCACTGGTTTTATGCTGTGCAGACAGATCTTTCATTAACACCGTATGAGCAGTCTGTTTATACTAAGTAAAATTTGTAGAACAACAACAAAAGCGGCAGCCCTTGACCCTGGTTCCAAACAGATTGATATTTTAAGGAGGAAACAGTAATCTAAGGGCATTAGAACATTTAAGCCTTTTTTAAAAATATTAACCCCACGTGCTAGGAAGTAAATTAAAATTTAAAATGCAGCACTGGTTATAATTCTCTGATTTGGGCAAAACAGGTTTAGAATTCACTCAGTATGGCAGTGGTCATTTCTCCAGTGCTTGTTACAGAGACAGCTAGAGTATTTTGCCCGTTGTCCATCTCTCAGAAGTGTACTCCTTAGCCCTAGGGAGCCCAGGTGAAAAAGCAGGGGTTGCTCAGCACATACCAATCCTCACAATCAGAGAAACAATTCAAAAGCCACAACAGAGGGAGTGGAGCCCAGTGGCTCCTTTGAATGTAGAGACAGCTCACTTGCCAGCAAGCACTTGTGTGGTGACTTGCTGAGAATCCCTGTTGCCAGGAACATCCCATACTCAGATAAAGTCCCTAATTCTGCTGCCTTAGCGCTCTAACCCTTAATTTTACAACTTATTTATAACAGAAGAGATTTCCTTTGGGCAAGAGGAGTCCTCTTCGGGCCAAGTTGATTATCATTATTTTGTTAAAAGATATAGCAACTTTGCAGGCACCAACCTCAAAGGTATTTCACTATGTGATTATCCTTGATAAGTTCCTTTTTCTGACTGGTATAATAGCATTTTTGGCCTACTGAGTTTTTCATAGATGCTGTTAGTACATAGAATACCTCCTCTCTGCCTAATTTCTCTACCTTATTTTTATACCTATTTTTATACATAAACTACTAGCGAGGGGTGGGGAACAGGCCTCAGAAAAGGACATTGAATTGGTGCAAAGGGGTCAATGGAAGAGTGAGGTGGGTGAGGAAGTTGGTAGGTCTGACCTCCGTAAACTGTCCAGCCTTGTGGACTAGTTTTGTGGGAGGCTATTAGACAGGCCAGAGTTTATAATTTTGATTCTGTTCCAGCTAGCAATATGAACTCAGGCAAGTAATGTGTCTAGTACTATAAAATAATAGTCCTTACCCAGCAGAGTATTGGTAAGAAAAACATGTCTACAAAGTACATAGCATTATTTGAACTATCTTCATCACTAAACTAAAAACTCCACAAAACCAAGGACTGTTTTTTTCACCGTTGTAACCCTAGCAACTAGCACAGTGCTGGGCACGTAGTATATTGAGTGAATAACTGGATGGTTAGAGGAGAGAGGGCTAGAAACAGACCTGTTTAAAAGAGACAATGTAACATTCTGACACAAAAGGAGTAATTTATGGTGAAAACTGGCAGAGAAGAGAAGGAGAAAGTGCTCACAGCCTCTGCAGTTGGCTTTGGCTTATGGCAAGTGTTGGGAGGCTCTGGAATCAGCTGCTGTGGTATGTACATAGGCTTGCCTGTGATGCATAGTTGCTGCAGTTGAGCTATATCAAGGGATTAATGGGAACAGTGTTTTCATAGTGGATGTGAGAGAACAGGAGGGATTAGAGCTGATAGGTTCATTTATAGGCAAACATGGAACCTCCTAAAATAACTGGGGAAGTTTTTGAGAACAGCTATATTTCAGCAACCTGGTTGGAGCTCTATAACTCAGTTCTTAAAAGTAAACTTGACCTTATTTTAGACCCTTTTCTATTTCTAGAAAGAAGATCTAGAACAGGTACTGACACTATTCTCAAGGTGGTCTATCATAGCAAAGTCACAACATTTACTGAATTGTTTTCAAATTAAACATAAAGGCACTGGGACTTCCTCAAAGTAAATATTGTTATTTCCAACCACCTGTATTTTGAAACTCCCCATAATGAGTGCTTTAATGATTTCTACTTTTTGCTCCTTCTTTATTTTTCCTTTTTCTCCTAAATTCTTATATTTTTCTTCATTTCCCCTTGTCTTTCTATGCCACAAGACTTCCAATGTAGTATCTAGTAAAGCCCTCAGGAATTTGTAGTTTCTCTACCCATCCTGTACATTTGGAACTAAAGATATTGCCAATCTCTATTTTAGATACTACTGTATGGTAAGTAAGTTCAGAAAAAAATTTATACTTAATTTCATTATGGGGAGCGCAATTAGCAGCTACTTAAATGTGTTAAATGAAGCTATGTGGCCTGAGAGAAATAACAAATATTCGTCTAGATTTTCATTGATGCAAAGCTTGCTTTCATAGCTTATACATTAGTCTTCATGAATTTTAAAGAGGTAAGAACAAACAAAGAGGAACAAAATAGAGAAGGTTAAAATCGGAGTGAAATGATATAGGGAAGGCTGGGACTAAAAGAGAAGAAAACCAACATGTCACAGTTTGAAACTGAAGAGCATATTCACTCCAGGGCTTTAAATATCATGTTTATGCTGTTGATTTTCCAATACATGTCTTTCCCCCCAAGCCTCAAAATCACATATATAGCTCGAGCTGAATGCCTCCCTGTCACCTCAAATTCAGCGTGTTCAGAATGAATGTAACATCACCTCCTCCCTCCCCACTCTCTCTCTCTCCTGTGAGGAGCCCCATCAACATCACGAAGGCCAAGGCAGAAATCTCTTCTCCTCCCTTAGGCCTGATTTTTCATAAAGCAAATCTGATCTTGTCACTCTGTTTTAGAAAACCTTCAGTGGTTTGCCATTGCCTTGGGATAGAATCCAGGGCTTTCTGTGATTTGTCCCCTGCCTATCTCTCTAGCCACTGGCAAATAGAAAAACAAATCTGAACATAGTAAAGAGAGATTTTATTCAGAAGGATTATTGCAAAGGGAGAGAGGTAGTATTGGAAGAGGGTGAATCTGTGACCAAAAATCTACAAATTTCAAGAATTAGGTAAAAAACAGTTTTCTTTAATACAAAGTAAAAAGGACTATACAGAAGCAGGTATGAGGAAGTGGAATGAAAGTGCAGGGTGGCATAATGGGATAGTAAATAAGAGAATGTTATTCTGAGGCCAGCCTATTCTCAGGAATGGCTATCTGCTGGTGTTGTAGGAAAAAAAAAAGGGTTCTTGTCACACTACCAGGAAGAGTTAGGCATGTGACACTTTGAAGGGTGAAGGAGAATGGATTTATTGGGCAAAAAGGGAAAAAAAAAAAAAGGTAAACAGGAAACCTCAGCAAAGCAAGCGAGAGTCCTGTTAGGTTTCCTGCCTCATAGATTGTATCCCAGGTTACCACACCGGAACAGGAGAGGCCAGGCTCCTCCCCCCTGCAAAGGGAGCAAACTTCCCAAGGCCCCATCCCATCCACCCAGTGCACAGGTGGGCATTATTCAGAAATAGTCAGAAAAAGAGCAGGCTTCATCTGGGACCGGCAGTATGGTTTTTCAGCCTTCAGGCTGTTTTAGGCTTGAAGGCAGGGTTTTGGGTGGGGGGTGGGGGCTTGGGGCTGCCTCCTGTCTCTATCATTTGCCCCTCTAAAGAAGTACATCTAACTGCCAGCCGGTCGTGGTGGTTCACACCTGTAATCCCAGCACTTTGTGAGGCCAAGGCAGGCGGATAACCTGAGGTCAGGAGTTTGAGACCAGCCTGATCAACATGGAGAAACCCCGCCTCTACTAAAAATACAAAATTAGCCAGGCATGGTGGCACATGCCTGTAATCCCAGCTACTCAAGAGGCTGAGGCAGGAGAGTCACTTGAACCTGGGAGGCAGAGGTTGCATTGAGCCAAGATCTCGCCATTGCACTCCAGCCTGGACAACAAGAGCAAAACTCCATCCCAAAAAAAAAAAAAAAAAAAAAAAAAAAGAAGTAGTAGTACATCTAACTGCTATTAGGATAAGGATAAGGATGGAGACTGATCTTAAGTGCTTCCTGCTGACAGGGGGTGCTGTTTTGGGAAAACAGTAGTGAGATCTCCCTCAGAGGCCTATCTAAGGGTTCCCGGCAAAAGGGGCCATAATCCAAGACTCCAGCTGCATGACTGGAGTTTGATGGCCTGAAGAAGAGACAAACCAGGTTATTGGAAAACATGTATCAAAGTGAAACAAGCAGGGGTAAGGACAGCTAAAAAATCCTGAGCCCTTTTACTGGTTTGCACAGGGAGAGGGAGGCCAAAAGCCCAACCTTTTACCCTTTGGCTGGCATGTCAGGCTTCTTGGTTCCTTTCCCCTGAGCCCAATCCTAAGCCAACAAGTTTAAGATTTGAAAAATTAACTTTTCCCAGTTTGGAGGATGCATCTGAGGGGAGTGTCCTGTAGTACGGAAACACAATTACCTATCAGTGAAGAGAGGACAGAGGAGGAAAAAGGAAAAAAGGAGGTTTATTTTCCAAAGGAGTCTTGGGGGTTCAGGATGCACTCCAAAGGGGTACAGACTGAAGATTAATGGCTACTCATCTAGAAAGAGGGAAGCAAGGCATCCCAGGTTCCCTTCCCTTCCTAGCAAATACCTGTGGTACATGAGAGAGAGAAAGCAAAGCATTGCTCTTTCTTTCTTCTGTCTTTGTATCCCTGAGTCCTGGCAACCACGACAGGGTGCCACCCATGGGTGTTAAAATGGCTTTCACTCATGTTAACAGGGGCGTCTAGGGGGTAGAAGTATCCACTCTTTCCCATGTACACCCTATCTCCCCTGTTGTCAGTAGTCTTTGAATTCCCTAGACCTCATTTATGCCATGGACATTAGCGTAACCTTTATCCATGAAACGGGAAGTTTGGTTTAATCAGCAGAAATCAGTCATGCTCACCTGTGCTGTGCCTTTTAACTTGTGTTATCATCTGCCTTTGAATCTCTCAGATCCAGTTTTCTTTCCTAGGGCTTTGACCCAAAGCTTAGAATTGAGTTTGGGACAAAAATGTGTCTTGCAGTGGGAGGTGCATGGATTCCTTATCATAAGCCAGATACTAAGGTGAAGCTGTGGAATTGAGTCCTCCTCTAACAAGGGAGAGAAAAGGATGTCTTATGACATGCCCAGATAGCTGGTAGCTATGGTTATGCTTGCTAGGGTTTGGGTGCATGATGCTTGGCTTTAGTTAGCTCCCTTGGTCTTACTTTCCCAAAAAGGAACTCTCTGGGTGATGGGCATCCTATTTATTCCCATTACCTGGCAAGATTTGCAGGATAATTGCTCAGAACTAGGATGTTGATCCAGATTTTTACATTACCCATCCCTTTTGTTCTTTCTGAGCTGCAGCCGGAGATTGCTGGTTGGTTCACAGGAGCAAGCAGGGTAAGTCTAAAATGTAGGCAAAAGCTTAAAAACAATTAAGGAGCTTAGAATTTAATGAGAAATGTATAAGTTTTGAAGCATAATTTCTCTCCAGTCCTCATTTTTGGTTAAAATAAACAGTCATGATGGGACTGAGTTGTTTGCAAAATAGACCTTATAGTTGGCCTGATTATTTGCATAAAGTGCAGCAAGAATAACTATTTCTACATAGGCCTTTTAGATTGGCTTTGATAGAACTCTGTTCCACAAGGAATCTCAGATAAGATCGTTTAAAGCTGAGCCCAGCCATTGGTTTGTATCCTCAAATACCTGTAAGTTGGGTGATCCTTTCCTCTTAAGGTCTCAAGAGAAACTTGGAGCTCCTGGGTCTGTTAGAAAGTGACATTCTTTACTGACCACAGGTCCAAAACCCTGTATAGGGACAGCATTGGGAAGGGTATGAGGACAGTCTCCCCACGGGGTTTTATCAGTTCTGCAAGTTGAGCTTGACTCCTTAAAGAAAAGCATACCCTTCCATTCAAAGCCTTGATAAAACAACCAGTTTCTCCAATTGCATTCTGTTGCAAAAGAAAATGGATTCTTATTGCACAGATGCAAATAACTATATTGCCATAAGTTAAGAATACTCACAGTTTCCAAATTCTAGAGGAAACAGGCAGAGAGAAACAAACATGCTGCAAATTTTGTTCACAGAAGTATACCTTACTCAATTATTAAAGGCTGTAAATAGTTAAAAATAAGTTTCATTGATTCTAAAAAACCAAACAAGTATCAGCAACATTCCAAGCAAAAGTCAAAAACATTGCTTCAGTTTTCTGAGTTCAGTCCATTTAGTTAACTCTGGTTTTGATATTCATGAATATTTTAGGTCTTTAGGAGTCCTGTATGTTTTTCCCTTACTCCAATGTCACAATCTCCAAAGTTATCAGAAACTTGTATTTGAGAGTACCTGTCAGAGTCCCATAGCTTATTATAAACCATCTTTTGAGAAGGGTTAAAACAAGACAATTGTCTGTGAATAACAAAATATCCAGGGTAGTTACAGTTAGAAACCCAATTAACAAAGAAGTTTGGTTATCTCCATGGTTTACAATAACTTAACATACCAACCTTAGTTATGATTGATAGCATATACTCAGACATTAGAATTTTAGAAATGCCATACAGTTTTGGAACATATATTAATATTATTCACAAAAATATAGCCTTAAGACGATTGAACACTATGTTAGCAATCCCATGTACCTAAATGTATCAAATAATCCTGTTTACCTCTCTTTTGGATACTCCATGGACCCTCTGAAGCCTCCAAAAGCCAGGTGTCAGGAAAGAAAATTTTGAAGCTTAAGTTTGATTTTGAAAAGTCTGTTAAATTTGTTAGAGGTTTAAAACACTTGATGTTATAAAATAGAGTTCCAGATTACCATAAATTATTTATTTTGCCAAAATGACTCAGAAATTTTAAAAAAGCAAAAACCTTTTATAATCCTTTACAAATTTTTGCTGAAGAGCAGATTCATGCCTTAAGAGTACCTTGTTGTGCTTTTATTTCAATGTTTAATTTACAGAAAAAACATATAACTTTTCGAATGTAGTCAATATGTTCACACAAGGAACTTTTGCAAGATTTTTACAATCCTTCCACCACTTGTTTGAACTGTTAGCTTTATTTTATCTAATTCAAAACAATCTTTAACCCTAGGCAAGAATTTACATTTCATGCCTTCTTATAATCTTTTATTAAAAACACATTTTATTGTTGCTACACATCTCACATGTAAATTTATTCCCAGTAGTTTCAATTACATGCTATAATGGTAACTACTAGCAATTTTTAACTTTAGTGTAAAACCTGGTAAGTTTTTTTTTTATTATGTGCTAGGTGCAACCAAGGTTTGATGCCTTCCAGCATAATTAAGGGCACGGTTAGTTCTAAATGTCCCCAGGCCTTTCCAGTTGTGAAGCAGGCAAGTCAAATAGTTCTCAAAACCCAAAAAGTGGTTTACAACCTTAAAACATTTAGCAAACCTAGCACCTGACCTGCCCAATTTAGTCCACCTATTTATATTTTGACAACATCTGCTTTTCACCAATAATATTTACGGCTATTTCTCAAAGATTAACGTCATGTGAACTGAAAGGTACCACAGCTTTTATCTTCCCTTTAAAAAATATTTGATCCATACACTTATCTTCTTTTATGCCAATTAATGAGCTCTTTTTATAGACATCACACTCAGAACACATATATAACGACACAGACAGGCAGAAGAAAACCCAGTCTCCGTAAGATCTCTCATTTGCCAATCTCCTAATTGGATTATTGGCCTCCAGGTGGAGCCCTTTAAGAGACAGAGCTAGGAAAATACACAGCTCCTAAGGCCTAATAAACGGGCACAGGTGGGGCAAAAACAGATTTTGAGAGGGATCAATCCACTTTCAATTCCTGCAGTTCCATGAGGAAAACAGAGGTCTCTCCCCTCATGTGTGCATTAAAAGTGGAAAGTCAAAATGGAGAAAAATAATTTAGTCAACTGAAAAACAAACTTTTTCCAGCAAAACAATGTCCAAGAAAAGAAAAACGTAAAGTCCTTTTAAATATACCTATAATTTGGATATCCATTTTTAATTAAGCTGAGCATGCCTTAAAAAAATCCTTTTAACTCCCTTACTATCTGACTCTAGCAGTGCCAAGTGGCCAATATTTATGGCTTTCAAACTTTATTAAAGGCTCACAGAAGGGAAAATCCAAAGTGGTTCGTGGAGGGGAAGAGAATTAACAGATAGCAAAGGTCGCACAGATATCAAACCAGAAAGCACTCATTCCCTAAGCTGGGATTGAACCCAGGGCCGCCATTGTAAAATGGCAGAGGCTAGAACAAAATATTGCCAGGTGGTTGTAGGTCTTGGTTTCAAGGACTTAAAACAAGATGGAGGCCTGCGGCAAAGTTTGCTAGGGACCATATAGAAAGTCAGGCAAAACACACCAGATTGGCTATAGTTTAAGGCCAACCTCACAAATCCTTTCTTACAATTAAAACTCTACAGAAAATATAAACAGTAATCCCCATCATTCCCGGCCCAGCAAAACGTCTTCCAAAAGGAAAAAGAAAAGCCTCTCTTAAAAGTCAACTACTGACAAGCTAGAGAAAAGAAAAGATACCTGGGGAAGACCCTCTTATTCTTATGCAAATAGTTCCTCTTGGCGAGGGGAGGGGAAGGCTCTGTGGACGTGTGGCAGGGAGCACAGGCCAGCCTGCTGCTGGGCACCCTGGGGCCATACATTCCAGCTCTGGCCGGGAGGGGAGCTGGGGAGCCGCCATTCCCCAATCCATCCCGCGCGTGCCTGCAGCCATTGGGGTGGGGTGGTGTGCAGTTTCTTCTACCCTCGGAAGAGGTCCCAGGAGAAAATGACATAGAAACCAAAGGAAAAAAAATTGGTTCGCATATTACTCACCCTTCTTCAAGCCCCACATCCGGACGCCAAAAATGTTGTAGAAAAAAACTGGGTTCTTGTCGTACAACCAGTAAAAGTTAGGCACACAGACACTTTGACGAGTGAGGGGGAATGGAATTTATTGGGTGAAAAGGAAAAAAATAAAAAAGGGAAACAGGAACCCACAGAAAAGCGAGAGTCCTGCTGGCAGGTTTCCCGCCTCACAGATTGAATCCCGGGTTACCACACAGGAACTAGAGAGGCCAGGCTCCTCCCCACTGCAAAGGGCGCAAACTTCAAGAGGCTCCAGCCTGTCCCCGCCAGTGCGCAGGTGGGCATTATTCAGAAAGAATCAGTCGGGAAAAGGTGGGCTTTATCTGGGACCGGCAGTCTGGTTTTTCAGCCTTCAAGCTGTTTTAGGCTTGACGGTGGGGTTTCTCCTGTGACCCTTGGCTGCCTTCTGTCTCTATCACTCACACAGGCTGAGGTCAGGCCAAAGTTCAGGGACCTGGGGAAGGGATAGAATCTTAACCAAACTGGGTTAACAGGCATTTTGCTCCCATTGATCAGTAGGAACAAAATAGCTAACCAATTATGGGGCAAAAAACAGGAATTTTTTGAAGTGTCTGTGTCTGGCCTTGTCATAGATAAACAAGGGGGCATTAGTGAGTCTTAACTAAGTTATAAGGAGAAGAATGGTTCTTTGTAGTAAGCACTTTCTTGGAACACAGAGGGTGGAGGAATACTTTAACCCTTGTTTTCCAGGAGAACAAGAAAAATTTACCATTGTCACTACATTACTTGGTTCTCTCAGTTTTTTGTTGCAAGAAGACTGAACTTGAAATTCCTCACACAGGTGTTAATCTGTATTGCCACAAGCTAATGTTTTCTACCCAACTACTATTTATCCTGCTTGTTCCAACCCATCATTCCGCAAGCAATTTATATCACTGAACTGGGTGGTGTTTCCAAATCCCGAACAAAGATAGGTGATTTGCCGTGTATTTCCATTGACAATGTTGCTTTTTACCTGAGCCCTGTGCTCCTGGAAAATAGTAAAAATTAGGAAATCCTCCCTCACATTTATGTTCCTGGAATTTGCTTATTGCAAGGAACCACCCTTCCCATCAGAAATTAGAAATGACTCATAGATGCTCCCATTGTTTTCTTATGGCAAGACAAAAGCCATCTGTTAATCAGGGTTCTCCAGAGAAACAGAACCAATGGTAGGTAGGTAGATAGATAGATAGAGAGATAGATGGATAGATAGAAACACGAGGACATTTATTATGTGAGTTGTCTGACATGATTATGGAGACTGAGAAGTCCTAAAATATGCCATCCACAGGCTAGAGAACCAGGGAAGCCTGTGGCATAATACAGTCTGATTCCAAAAGGCCTGGGAAACTAAGAGGGCTGCTAGTGTAAGTCCCAGAGTCCAAAGACCTGAGAACCTGGAATCCTAATGTCAGAAGGCAGGAAAAGATGAATGTTGCACCTTCAAGAGAGAGAGAGAATTTGCCTTCCCTCTGCCTGTTGTTCTATCTGGGCTCTCAATGGATTGGCTGATGCCTGCCCACATTGTTGAGGGTAGATCTTCCTTACTCAGCCTGTTTTTAAAAAATATTTTTTACTTGTGCCTCAGTACATAGATTATTGATTCAAATGCCAGTCTCTTCCTAATACACTCTCATGAACATATCCAGAAATAATGCTTTACCAGCTACCTGGACATCCCTTAACCCAGTCAAGTTGACATCTAAAATTAACTATCATAGCCTCCAGATTCCCATTCTTTGTTCCATGAATAGTGGAACTGTTTGTCCGCATTGGTCAATAGGAACAAAATGCCCATCAATCTGACTTGAGAAAACTTTAGTTGAGCTTCTCTCCTTTCCCCAGGGCCCTCAACTTTGAGCTCATCTTATACTGGAGTAGTACTGGTTACAGTAGGTAGCTAGTCAGGCATATGCAGGGCAGGAGAGGGCTCCCCCACACACGCCACCAGGAAAGTCAGGTGACTGTCAGAGGATGGTCAGGCAGTTGTTAACTGTTTCTCTAAAATAATAATTTGTCACAGCCAGGACCAGGGACAGGCAGTCTCCCTATATTGATAGGAAACACTTAAAACTGGGGATCAGCAGCTTCCTGATAAGATCTCAGGAGTTGGGTGAATGAACTCAAGCATGCACATTATGAGGCAAAATGGCAGAGTATGGCTTTCCAAGGACATTCCACAGGTAAAGGGAAGAACGCCTCAAGTCAGCATGCCTACAACTCCAGTAAACACATTGCACATGCAGGCAGCCCACCCCAGGGGAAGAATAAAGGGAAAAGGGATGCAAGACACTGGAAGCAGGCCAGCATATAAAACCCTAAGTCAAAAGGTCAAACCACGCACTTGTCCTTCAAGTTGCCTGCTTGGGCCTCTTCCTTTTGTTGTTGCTCTAAAGCTTTTTAATAAACTTTCACTCCTGCTCTAAAACTTCTTGCCTCAGTCTTTCCTTCAGCCTTATGCCCCTCAGTCAAATTCTTCTAAGAAGGCAAGATTTGAGGTTGCTGCAGACCCAGATGGACCTGCCACCAGTAACAGTACTATTAAGTAAATTCTATCTTTACCACCTTTAATTAGTATCCAGCTTCATTTTTCTTTAACTATCAGAGACTGTTTTACCCTGAGGTCAGTCTATCTTAGGAAGGGCCATTAAGAGGGGGTTGTGTGCTGGCTCTGGTTGAGGGTGGACCAAAGTTGAGGGCATTTCAAAGGGAGAATAAGGGAGTAGTAAGGGGAAATGACTAGGGCAGGGGATGGGATAGGGATGGGGTTGAAGGGGCTTGAACAAAGTTAGAGACGTGAAAAAAAGCAGGTAAGGGTGTTGGTCAATGTCAATGCAGTTAGGCCATCTGTGTTTGCTGATTGATATGTACCTAAGTTAGGCCTATCTTCCCACAGACACTAGGAGACAGGGGCTCTCTCCTTCCTGATGATTATATTTCAAAGGAATGGCTCTCAAATCATTGAGAAAGACACTCCTGGGTTGTAGAAGATACATATACGTCTCAAAGGGACAGAAAAAGGGTTTGCAATTGTAAGTTATTTTTAAAGTAAATCCTTCTAAGAAAAGGGAGGTCAGGGGCCTGTAGTTAGTTTTGGGTTGGAACATTCAGGAAATTTTTTTGGCAGCATTAAGCTTTCTCTTGAGGGAAATTAAGGGTACTAGGGTCATCATCCTAAAGACATGGCCTTGAGCTGTTAGACACTATGCTAGTGTTTGTTCAAGTCTCTTGGTATGGAGGGGGAGAGATAGATAAAATCATTTGTGCTGAGAGTATACAGCTTTCATAGAACAAGGTTGAGGCCCAGTTAAGAATGGTCAGAGTAGCGTGAGTAAATTTTGGTCAAGAAGATAGTCTTTGTTATGATGTACTGTCAGATCATACCACATCCACACACTCATCCCACTCCCCAGTACTGTTTTTTTTCTAGACTTGTTCACTTCTCCCTACAAAAGTAAAGCCCTTTTCTGCCTGGCTTTTGAGATGTTTGCAGAGGTCAGCATATTCCCCATTGTAATAGTCATCCACTTCTTCTGTCATAGTTCTTGTCCACCATCTTGCAAAAATCCTTTGGAATAAACTCTCTTCTTACCTAAGCCTGGGTTTTTTTATTTGACATCGTAGCACTCTATAATTATCATATTGTATTGTAACTACTTGTTTCATGTCTGTCTTACTGTAAACTCTGTAAGAACAAGGACCGTGTCTGTTACCCAGTGTTTAGTGCAGCATGTAGTATCAAATAGGCACTCAATAAATATTTATTGACTGAAGCATTTATGGAAGGATTCTGTATTGAGAATGTATTTCTAATTATAATACTATATACAGAGTTATGTCATTCTCCTCTGTATATTGACCACATTATCGAATATGAAAGTTTTTAAGGGGAAGAGGGAAAATAATGGTGCTAGGAATTTCCTTTGCTAAAGTTTATCTCCTTCAGTCACTGAAGAAGAACAGAGACTGACAATATTACCTTTCTTTTCTTTCTTGTAGAAATATGAACCTTCCCATTATAAATTGTAGAAGAGGAAAAACTTGTCTGCTATCCTTTTAAGTTCAGGCACTGGGGCCTGTAAATTAAGCTGACAAAAGCCATAGGAGCAAAAGAAAAGGCATACAGTTGTGAAGCCCGAGTGTCTGAGATAGGTCTCAGGTTAATTTAGAAAGTTTGTTTTGCCAAGGTTGAGGACACATGCCTGTGACACAGCCTCAGGTGGTCCTGATGACATGTGCCCAAGGTGGTCAGAGCACAGTTTGGTTTTGTACATTTTAGAGAGATTTGAGACCTCAATCAATGTATGTAAGATGAACATTGGTTAGGTCTGGAAAGGCAGGACAACTGGAATCGGGGAGGGGGCTTCCAGGTCACAGGTAGATAAGAGACAAATAGTTGCATTCCTTTGAGTTTCTGATTAGCCTTTCCAAAGGAGGCAATCAGATATGCATTTATCTCAGTGAGCAGCGGGGTGACTTTGAATAGAATGGGAGGCAGGTTTGCCCTGAGCAGTTCCCAGCTTGACTTTTTTCCTTTAGCTTAGTGATTTGGGGGCTCCAAAATTTATTTTCCTTTCACAGTTTTTATTAAAGCTAATATTTTTATGTGGGTGAAGGCCTCACAGAAAACAAGTAAAAACTCAAAGAAGCAATTAGACTTGGGGGCTTATACCATTTTAACAAAAGGAAATACATTGTAGACAACTGACTAGACAAAGAAAAGTGAGTTTGGTTTTCTAGGAGTGATAAATTGTGGGAAAGTGACTAGGAAATACATAGAGTAACTAACGGAAGATAAAGCTTGTCTTGGTAAGATTGGTTTATGCAGACTTAGTATTAACTCTTATGTGATGATAAGTGTTGCTCTCCCCTTCCTGGTTCAGGGAGGGCACCTTTTTAATGGAAAATTCATTCCTTGCTTTTAGGCAGATAGGGGAGGACAGAAAGCTCTTCCTGCATCTACTGTTTCTCAGTTTCCTTCAGCTCAAAATAATCTCCATGCCAAAGTGGCTTATTTTAAAGTGGCATATTCTGATCTTCTTCAAGATCCTTGGCCATTTATAACAGAAAGAATTTGAGGATTTTTGTTTTGAGATCTACTTTGTTGTTATTTCTTTTAATCAACCTGAAGATATTTTTCATTTGTTCCTGTATTTTAAAAGTAAGCCAAAAAGGTAAAATTTATGTTTTATTTTCTATTTTTTCCCACTGGAATAGACTGCACACTTAACTGTGCACTTTGGTAAACTGTTCAAATTAATCCCAATGATTATATTTAAGGTAAAGAGCTATTTGCTGAGTATTTAGCAGCCCACTAAGATCATTGATCTCATTGATATCATGGCTCAGTTTCCAGAGTGAGATTGATAATTAACAATGTAGATTAGTTGCTACAGGCAAGATCTTTGTGTGTTGATATGCTGTCTTTCAGCTCTCTTTTTAAGAGTGCTAATCACATTTGCATACTTTTTTCATCGTGAAGACTTTTATTGCTGTCTATAAACTTTGAAAATATCTTGAGCATAGCAGCAACTTTGCTCAATTGTTCATAGTCTTAGTTCTTTTACACTTTAATTGTTAAATGAAAGCAGCATTGCTGAACAGAAACGACATATCTCAATTTGAAGAAAAGGAAAGACACCTCTATTTTGAAAGTAGCCAAAACTGAAATAATGTAAAAGATTTATAATCAAATGGAATGAAGCTGCTTTGTGATTTAAGCTTTACAAAGGATAGCAACTAGAATTATTCAATATGAAGGTCAAGCTCAAGAAGCAGTGTTCACTTTTTAAAACCAATTTCTAGTTGACATGGCAAATATAAATACAGCACCATACAAGGGCAGGAGGAGGGGAGTGTCACAAGAAGCTCTACACTGTGTTTATAATCACAGCTGGCAATGTTTACCTAACTTCTAATCCAGTTAGTCAACCACTGTATCTCTATGTGAGCAAGATGATGTAGATTATTGAAAATATTCTATATGCCAAAATAAAGCCAACAGGCTCATGAGAAATAGTTTTGGCTAGGTTTATTTGATTTGGCAGGAAACAAAGAAAATGACAGCAAGAATGGAGTGGCAGTTTGAGATTTAGTTTTCCTACAAAAATATGCCAATTAATGTATTTTGTTAGTACATTACAATGATTCCAGTATAATTTTTCATGACATAGCCAAGCATGGCTCAAGTATCTATAGTGGCTTAGGACAGATTGCAAAATGCATAGACCCTCTGGTGACTGAGACGGCTTCAGGTTCTGCCAGACCACCAGGCAGAGATATAGCTACAGAATACATTATTGTATGCCCAGAGAAGGAATCAGTAACAGAGAGAGAGAATAATGGGATATCCCTGAAGATGGTCAAGCACATTGATTCAAGTGATATTGAATGATCAAAGCTAGGAGGTGTGCAGCATTCCAGGAAGTCTACCATAACATAAGAGGGTTCATGGGCTGTAGGCAAATCCCAGGGATGGACATTACTGGTAAGACAAAGAAGTCCCTGGTCCTATAGAGATCTAAGTAATGGGCTATAGAAGAGGAAAAACCTTTTTCCCCCTACCCATTTTAGGTTCATTGGCTGGGACCTGTGAATTAGACTGACAAAAGATAAAATAGCAAGAGAAAAGCAAACAATTTGATTAACATGTGCCCCATATATACACATCGAGCAACAGACACTAAATGATGTGAAACTCAAAGGGATAGTTAAAATGTGTGCTTATATAACATCTTAACAAAATAAAAATAAATATTTAGAGAAGTGGCAAAACAAAGGAAAAGGACTTTGAGTTTCTAGGAAAGTAAATTTGGGGAAGGTAAATACATGGGGGAAACTAATGGAAGATAAGGGCTAGTTAGTAACATTTGTTATGAAGACTCATCTTGGGGGGTCCCTAGGCTGCTGAGGGTCTAGAGTTGCCTGTGATGATTAATTTCAATTTTTCTTGGTTGAGTGGTGAGGGGAGACACCTTTACAAATTTATGTCCTGCTTTTAGGCAAATAGGGGCAGGGCAGAGAGCTTTTGTATCTTGGGATCTGCTTCTTCCCAATTGCTTTTGCCTCAAGAAAATCCTTATGTCAAGGTGCCACGTTTTGGGGTGGTATATTCTGCTACTCTTCAAGGTGTATTAACAAGACTCAAGGAAATAGCAGAAGCCTATTTTCAGAATAGAGGCATCTGGTTTACACTGGACTAGCAGAAAGGTCACTCACAGCTGAGAGATGGGCTAGAAAGACTTCATTACCTCCTGATTAAGGACAGGATGAAGGACAGGATTGGTCCTCCACTGTAGACTGAGGTTAATCAGTGCAGTTGTGGTGTGATTAAGGACAAAAAAAGTGAGACAAGGTCAGTGACATTCAGAGCCAGGGAACAAACTTCAAGAATTCAGAGTTAAGTCAAGCAAAGGGTGCCTTTAATTTGTTGGAATTCATTATCTGGTATTTCATGAAAAAGATGTGAATGCTTTGAATATACGTAGAGGGCAGCCTTTACACCTGCACACTCAATTGCATTGCCTCTTACCAGCTCATGGACAATTAAGGTGTCATTTTTCTCCTTTTCTTTAATCTATTTTTTTCCATCATTACTAGATCATTTCCATCAGTATGCACACATGTGGCAATATCCCACTTTGACACAACTCTCCTTCGATGTTACATCTTTTTGAGATATTTTTAACTTCCTTTGCTCCCCATTTAGCAAAACTGCCTTAAACCCCTCAATACTCACTGTCTTTAGTTCATCACCTTCTGTTATCTCTTGATCTCACACTAGTCAGGTTTTTATCGCGGTCACTCCATTGAAGTAACTCTTGACAAGGTTACCAATGATTTCCATGTTCCTAAATCCCACACTCAATTCTCAGTCCTCATATTATTTTCCTATAAGCTGCATTTGACATAATTTGATCATTTACTCCTTGGCTTCTGTCTCCTTCCCTTTTGGCTGCTTTTTCTTGGCATACTTTGCTTGATCATCCTTATCATCCAGATATCTTGAGTGTTGGAACCCCCGGTGGCTTAGTTCTAGAATTTTTTCCTTATATTTTCTTATTGCAAGGCATGTGACTTTCTGCTTGAGGACTTTCTCTGGCCACAGGAGTGTGCTCTACCTGTAACTCGGGTGGGCTGCCACTGAAATTTAGTACTGTTAGATCAGCCCTTAATCAATAATTGACAGAAATTAGTGGATAAATATCCCGACTTCTTTACTGCTTCAGAGAGATGACATTAGGACATGTTCTATAGTTTCTTGGAATTCTCCTTCAGCTGGATCGAGCTTCAGTTGCACACAGAAGTAAACTTTTTGTTTATTAATGCATGCTGTATTGGCTTTCTTCCCTTTTCTGTCTCACTTCTCTATTTTCCAATTGGTGCTTCCTGGGGTCACCTCTTGTTTAAACTTGGGCATTTAAACTTGGATATTAAACAGATTCTGAGACAGAGATGTGTGTGCAAGAGGTTTATTGAGGAGTGATCTCAGGAATGACATTAGTAAAGTTGTGAGAGAAGCAGGATTGGTCACAGGGAGAAGCCGAACTACAATGCAAAAGAACCATTGGTATTAGCTGACTCTGTGGGGAGCTTTATAACTAGGATGTCCTTCAGAGTTAAGGCAAAAGGGTCAGGGGCTTGTATCTTGCATAGACCAGTCATTGTATGCAACTTGTCCCTGGGAAGGGGCTATAACCTAGACAAGATAGCTCTTATTGGCTAAGGGCAATGTTCAGAGAAGGACTCAGCAGTGAGCCATCAGCAGCAATACTCCTGACAACTGGGAAAATGAGCAAGAAGGGATGCTAATGGATCGCCAAAATTCACTACATTTGATCCCTGTGATGCTTGAATTTAATTGTTTCATATGGTAAGTTTGCTCATCTGGGAAAGGCTCCTTTCAGGATTCTGGTTGCTCTCTGTGGTATTATAAAAAATGTATTTGGCTTTTTAGCAATGGGTTTGCCACCAGAACACAGGTGTCATGAAAAGCACACCTAAAAGCCAAAATGGGAAAGGAAAAGGCTCATATCAGCATCACCGTCATTGGACATCAAGATTCGGGCAAGCCCACCACTAATGGCCATCTGGTAGACAAAAGAACCATTGAAAACTTTGAGAAGGACGCTGCTGAGATGGGAAAGGGCTTTTTCAAGTATGCCTGGGTCTTACATAAACTGAAAGCTGAGTGTGAATGTGGTGTCACCATTGATATCTCCCCATGGAAATTTGAAATGAGCAAGTACTACATGACTTACTGATGCCCCAAGACACAGAAACTTTATCAAAAACATGATTACAGGCACATCTTAGGCTGACTATGCTGTCCTGATGCTTGCTGCTGGTGTTGGTGAATGTGAAGCTAGTATCTCCAAGAATAGGCAAACCTGTAAGCATGCCCTTCTGGCTTATATACTGGGGGTGAAACAATTAATTATTTGTCTTAACAAAATGGATTCCACTGAGCCACCCTACAGTCAGAAGAAATATGAAGAAATTATTAAGGAATTCTGCACTTACATTAAGAAAATTGGCTGCATTCTTGGAAGAAGTGGCATAGGTACAAAAAAGAAAAAAGAAAACAAAATTGGCTAGAACCCCAGCACAGAAGCATGTGTGCCAAGTTCTGGATGGAATGGTGACAATATGCTGGAACCAAGTGCTTAGCATGCCTTGGATCTAGGAATGAAAAGTCACCTGTAAAGATGGCAATGCTAATAGAATCATGCTGCTTGAAGCTCTGGACTGCATCCTATCACCAACTTGTCCAACTGACAAGCCCTTTCATCAGCCTCTCCAGAATGTCTACAAAATTGGTTGTATTGTTACTGTCCCTGGTGGCCAAATGGAGGCTAGTATTCTCAAACCTGGCATGGTGGTCACCTTTGCTCCAGTCAATGTTACAACTGAAGTGAAGTCTGTTGAAATGCACCATGAAGCTTTGAGTGAAGCTCTTTCTGGTGACAATTTGGGCTTCAATGTCTAGAATTTGTCTGTTAAGATGTTCATCATGGCAACATTGCTGGTGACAGCAAACATAATCAACCAATTGGCTTCACTGCTCAGGTGATTATCCTGAACCATCCAGGTTAAGTCAGTGCTGGCTATGACCCTGTACTAGATTGTCACACAGCTCACATTGCTTGCAGGTTTGCCAAGCTGAAGAAAATGATTGATTGCTGTTCTGATAAGAACCTGGAAGATGGCCCTATATTCTAGAAGTCTGGCGATGCTGCCATCATGGATACGATTCCTGGCTAGCCCATGTGTGTTGAGAGCTTCTCTGACTATCCTCCTCTGGATTGTTTTGCTCTTGGTGATATGAGACAGACAGTTGCTGTGGATGTCATCAAAGCAGTGGACCAGATTGCTGTTGGAGCTGACAAGGTCACCAAATATTCCCAGAAAGCTCAGAAGCCTAAATGCATATTATCTCTAATACCTGCCACCCCAGTCTTAATCAGTGGTAGAAGAATGGTCCCAGAACTGTTTGTTTCAGTTGACCATTTAATAGTAAAAGTCTGGTTAATGATAAGGATGCATCACAAAACCTTCAAAATAAAAGGAGAACCCCAAAATGGTTTCCTTATTTTTATTTTTATTTTTTTGCATGTGGCAGTTTTAAGTTATTAGTTTTTAAAATCAGTATTTTTTATTTTCTTTTTTCTGACTTCTATTTTTTAAGTTCAGAAAGTATATGTGTGGATTTGTTACATGGGTGAAGTGTGTGTCATGGGGATTTGATGTACAGATTATTTTGTCCCCCAGGTAACGAGCATAGTACCAGATAGGTAGTTTTTGATCCTCATCCTCCTCCCACCCTCCACCTTAAGTAGGCCCAAGTGTCTTTTGTCTATTTTCCCCTTCTTTGTGTCCATATGTGCTCAATGTTTAGCTTCCACTTGTAAGTCAGAACAGGCAGTATTTGGTTTTCTGTTCTTTTGTTAGTTCATTCGGAATAATGGCCTCCAGCTCTATTGATGTCAATGCAAAGGACATGATATTGTTCTTCTTTATGGCAATGCAGAGTTCTGTGGTGTACATGTACCACATTTTCTTTATCCAGTCCACCACTGATGGTTATATAGGTTGCTTTCATGTCTTTGCTATTGTGAATAGTGCTGGGATGAACATACACATGCATGTGTCTTTATGGTAGAACAATTTAATATTTCTTTGGGTTTATACCCAGCAATAGAATTGCTGGATCAAATGGTATTTCTGTATTAAATTCTTTGAGAAATTTCCAACTGCTTTCCACAGTGGCTAAACTAATTTACATTCCCACCAGTGGTGTGTAAATGTTCCCTTTTCTCTGCAACCTTGCCAGCACCTGTTATTTTTAGAGTTTTTAATAACAGCCATTCTGACTGGTATGAAATGGTATCACATTGTGGTTTTGATTTGCATTGCTCTAATGATTAGCGATGTTGAGCATGTTTTCATATGCTTGTTGGCTGCATCTGTTTTGTCTTTTGAGAAGTATCTGTTCATGTCCTTTGCCCATTTTTTAATGGGGTTGTTTTTTGCTTGTTAATTTAAGTTCCTTATAGATTCCGAATATTAGACCTTTGTCAGATGCATAGTTTGCAAATATTTTATCCCATTCTGCAGTTTGTATGTTTATTCTGTTGATAATTTCTTTTGTTGTTCAGAAGTTCTTTAGTTTAATTAGGTCCCACTTGTCAATTTTTTTTATGTTGCTTTTGTTGTCTGAATCATGAAATCTTTGCCAGGGCCTATGTCCAAATGATACTTCCTAGATTTTCTTCTAGGTTTTTCCTGGTTTTAGGTATCACATTTAAGTGTTTAATCCATCTCGAGTTGATTTTTATATATGTCGAAAGGAAGGAATCCAGGTTCAATCTTCTGCATGTGGCTAGCCAGTTATCCCAGTACCATTTATTGAATGGTCCTTTCCCCATTGCTTGTTTTTGTCAGCTTTGTTGAAGATCAGATGATTGTAGATGTGTGGCTTTATTTCAGGGTTCTCTAACCTGTTCCATTGGTCTATGTGTCTATTTTTGTGCCAATACCATGCCATGTTGTTTACTGTATCATTGTAGTATAGTTTGAAGTCTGGTCAGGTGATGACTCCAGCTTTGTTCCTTCTGCTTAGGATTGCTTTGGCTAGTCAGGCTCTTTTTTCATTCCTTATAAATTTTAGAGTGTGTGTGTGGTTTTTTTTCTAATTCTGTGAAAAATGTCACTGGTAGTTTGATAGGAATAGCATTGAATCTGTGAATTGCTTTGGGCACTATGACCATTTTAACAATATTGATTGTTCCTATCCATGAGCTGGAATGTTTTTCCATTTGTTTATGTCATGTCTGATTTATTTCAGCATTGTTTTATAATTCTTGCTGTAGAAATATTTCACCTTCCTTGTTAGCTGTATTCATAGGTATTTTATTCTTTTTGTGGCTATTGTGAATGGGATTACTTTCTTGACTTTTCTCTCAGCTTGGTGCATTGATTTTGTATCCTGAAACTTTGCTGAAGTTGTTTATCAGATCGAGGTGCCTTTGGGCAGAGACTATGGGGTTTCCAGGTATAGAATCATATGACATGGGAAGAGAGATAATATGACTTCCTTTCTTTCTTCCTATTTGGTTGCCTTTTATTTCTTTCTCTTGCCTGATGGCTCTGGCTAGGACTTTCAGCACTATCTTCAACAGGCGTGGTGAGAGTGGGCATCCTTGTCTTGTTCTGGTTCTCAAGGGAAATGCTTTCAGCTTTTGCCGTTCAGTATGATGTTGGCTGTGGGTTTTTTATAGATGGCTCTTATTCTGAGATATATCACTTTGATGTCTAGTTTGTTGAGGGTTTCTAACATGAAGGGATGTTGAATTTATTAGTATTGAAAGCCTTTATGGCATCTATTGAGATGATTATGTGCTTTTGTTTTTAGTTCTATTTATGTAAAATCAGTACTTTCAATGGAAACAACTTGACCAAAAATATGTCACAGAATTTTGAGACCCATAAAACAAATTTTAATGAGAAAAATATATATATTATAGATATTTGTCTAATATAGAAATAGATTTTATATATTTATATAATATATTTAGCTAATATAAATATATAATATATTTATATACAAATAAATTTGTATATAAATATTTATATGTAAATATGAATATATATTTATGTTATCTAAATATATATTTATATTATAAAATATATTTTTGAAATAAATATATTTCAAAAATATATTTATTTCAAATATATTTAGTTTATATAAATATATATTTAGTTTATATAAATTTATTTTCTATACATGTATTTATTTTATATAAATATAGATATATTTTATATAATAAGCATTAATTTTCTATAAATATATAGAAGTTTTAGAAAAATATACATATTAATTTTATATTATATTCATAAAGATTAACAAAATAGATCGCTAGCCAGACTAATAATAAAGAAAAGAGAGAAGAATCAAATAGACACAATAAAAATTAAAAAGGGGATATCACCACTGATCCCACAGAAATAGAAACTACCATCAGAGAATACTAGAAATACCTCTATGCAAATAAATTCGAAAATCTGGAAGAAGTGGATAAATTCCTGGACACATAGACCCTCCCAAGACTAAACCAGGAAGAAGTCAAATCCCTGAATAGACCAATAACAAGCTCTGAAATTGAGGCAGTAATTAACAGCCTACAAACCAAAGAAAGCCCAGGACCAGATAGATTCACAGCCGAATTGTACCAGAGGTACAAAGAAGAGCTGGTACCATTCCTTCTGAAATTATTCCAAACAATAGAAGAAGAGAGACTCCTCCCTAACTCATTTTATGAGGCCAGCCTTATCCTGATACTAAAACCTGGCAGAGACACAACAAAAATAGAAAATTTCAGGCCAGTATCCCTAGTGAACATCAGTGGGAAAATCCTCAATAAAAGACTGGCAAACTGAATCCAGCAGCACATTAAAAAGCTTATCCACTACAATCAAGTCAGCTTCATCCTTGGGATGCAAAGCTGGTTTAATAGACGCAAATCAATAAATGAATTGATCACATAAACAGAACCAATGACAAAAACCACAAGATTATTTCAATAGATGCAGAAAAGGCCTTAGACATGCTTCAATGCCTCTTCATGCTAAAAACACTCAATAAACTAGGTATTGATGGAACATATCTCAAAATAGTAAGAGCTATTTATAACAAACCTACAGCCAATATCATACTGAATGGGCAAAAGCTGGAAGCATTCCCTTTGAAAACTGGCACAAGACAAGAATGCCCTTTCTCTCCATGCCCTCTCTCTCCACTCCTATTCAACATATTATTGGATGTTCTGTCCAGCACAATCAGGCAAGAGAAAAAAATAAAGGTATTCAAATAGGAAGAGAGGAAGTCAAATTGTCTCTGTTTGCAGATGACATGATTGTATATTTAGAAAACCCCATCATCTCAGCCCCAAAACTCCTTAAGCTGATAAGCAACTTCAGCAAAGTCTCAGGATACAAAATCAATGTGCAAAAATCACAAGCATTCCTATACACCAATAATAGACAGAGAGCCAAATCATGAGTGAACTCCCATTCACAATTGCTACAAAGATAATAAAACACCTAGGAATACAACTTACAAGGGATGTGAAGGGCCTCTTCAAAAAGAACTAGAAACCACTGCTCAAGGAAATCAGAGAGGACACAAACAAATGGAAAAACGTTCCATGCACATAGATAGAAAGAATCAATATCGTGAAAATGGCCATACTGCCCAAAGTAATTCATAAATTCAATGCTATTCCCATCAAGCTACTATTGACTTTCTTCACAGAATTAGAAAAAAACTACTTTAAAATTCATATGGAAACAGAAAAGAGCCCGTATAGCCAAGACAATCCTAAGCCAAAAGAACAAAGCTGGAGACATCACACTACCTGACTTCAAACTATACTACAAGGCTACAGTAACCAAAACAGCATGGTACTGGTACCAAAACAGATATATAGACCAATGGTACAGAACAGAGGCCTCAGAAATAACACCACACATCTACGACCATCTGATCTTTGACAAACCTGACAAAAACAAGCAATGGGGAAAGGATTCCCTATTTAATAAATTGTGTTGGGAAAACTGGCTAGCCACAAGCAGAAAACTGAAACTGTACCCCTTCCTTACACCTTATACAAAAATTAACTGAAGATAGATTAAATAATTAAACGTAAGACCTAAAACCATATTAACCCTAGAAGAAAACCTAGACAATACCATTCAGGACATAGGCATGGGCAAAGACTTCATGACTAAAACACCAAAAGCAATGGCAACAAAAGCCAAAATAGACAAATGGGATCTAATTAAACTAAAGAGCTTCTGCACAGCAAAAGAAACTATCATCAGAGTGAACAGGCAACCTACAGAATGGGAGAAAATGTTTGCAATCTATCCATCTGACAAAGGTCTAATATCCAGAATCTACAAGGAACTTAAACAAATTTACAAGAAAAAAACAACCCCATCAAAAAGTGGGCAAAGGATATGAACAGCCACTTCTCAAAAGAAGATATTTATGTGGCCAACAAACACATGAAAAAAAGCTCATCATCACTGGTCATTAGAGAAATGCAAATCGAAATCACAATGAGATACCATCTCACGCCAGTTAGAATGACAATCATTAAAAAGTCAGGAAACAACAGATACTGGAGAAGATGTGGAGAAATATTAATGCTTTTACACGGTTGGTGGGAGTGTAAATTAGTTCAACCATTGTGGAAGACAGTGTAGCAATTCCTCAGGGATCTAGAACCAGAAATACCATTTGACCCAACAATCCCATTACTGGGTATATACCCAAAGGATTAGAAATCATTCTACTATAAAGACACATGCACACATATGTTTATTGCAGCACTATTCACAATAGCAAAGACTTGGAACCAACCCAAATGCCCATCAATAATAGACTGGATAAAGAAAATGTGATACAAATACACCATGGAATACTATGCAGCCATAAAAAAGAATGAGTTCATGTCCTTTGCGGGGACATGGATGAAGCTGGAAACCATCATTCTCAGCAAAATAACACAGGAACAGAAAACCAAACACCTCATGTTCTCACTCATAAGTGGGAGTTGAACAATGAGAACACATGGGCACAGGGAGGGGAATATCACACACCAGGGCCTGTCAAGGGGTAGGGGACAAGAGGAGGGAGAGCATTAGGAGAAATACCTAAGGTAGATGACGGGTTGATGGGTGCAACAAACCACCATGGTACATGTATAACTATGTAACAAACCTGCATGTTCTGCACATGTATCCCAGAACTTAAAGTATAAATATAAATATATATATATATATATATATATATATTTATAAACTGATTCAAAGAAAAGTACAAGTTAAAGGAATCGGGTATGGATTAGCATAGAGAAGAGATGCATAAGGGACTTCTACATTATGGCTTTCAAATTTTTGATAATGAAGTTGTTAACCAGTTGGACAAAAAACAGAAGGGAGTTAAAATTAAAATTAGAAAAATGTCACTTTGGCCAAAGGGTGTATTTTTTTTTTTTTTTACATAACATTCTTCTGTTCATTCACCAATCATTTTTGTAGCCTCCATTTTAGTCTGGGCTATTCCAAGGTGCTGAAGTTTTTCAATGATGAGCAGTCAGGGTCTCAGATTCTACCAGGCTTGAAGCTGGATGGAGCTGGATGTCAAGGTTATAAAATGCCAAGAAAAGGCCATTGAAACTCATTAAAGAATCTCTTTGCATTGTTAAAATAAATAAATAAACAAATAAGTTTTATATAAATAAATATACATATTAATTTTATATAAATATATATTTATTTATGAAAATATATTTTAAATATATAGATATGAATTTATGTAAATATATATCATACAATATATATTTTTGTATAATACATCATTTAATATATTTGATCTTTGTACTCAGTTCTTGGCACAGATCATTGGCACTTCCTGAGTGATAGTAGTGCCTTTTGTTATTCATAATGAATCCCTTTTAACATCATCTGCGTTTATGCTAATGAAATGACTAAGCATGGGGTCCCAAATAGCTTTAGGTAGGGGGTTAGTCACTAGAAAGACAAAAACTCATGATTAGAGGGTTAGAATTTTCAGTCCCATCTCCTAACAACTGGGGAGGGAATGGAGGCTGAGTTTGAGTTCTATAAAAACTCTTGGACAATAGGATTCAGAGAGCTTTGGAGTTGCTGAACACATTGAAATGCTAGGAGAATGGTGCATTCATAATGGGAATGGAAGCTCCATATCCCCTCTCCCATAACTTGCCCCATGTATTTCTTCCAGTTAGCTATTTCCATTTTGTAGCCTTCATAATAAACCAGTACACCTAACTAAACTATTATCTTGAGTTCTGTGGGTTGTTCTACTCAATTATCAAACCTGAGGAGGTATTTGGAGTTGTGGAAACTCCTGAATTTATAGCTAGTTGGTCAGAAGTATAGGTGGTTCTTAGGACTTGTAACTGGTATCTGAAGTTGGGGAAGTCTTGTGGGACTAAGCCCTTAACCTGTTGTTTATGTGCTAACTCTGGGAGTTAGCTTCAGAATTAACCTGAATTATTGGACACCCAGTTGGTGTCAGAGAATTGGTTATTGGTGTCAGAATAAAACATGTACACATTTGGTTTCAGAAGTGGTGTCGGAGAAAACACCACCAAGATCTTGTCCTTTTTTCTTGGAAGACATAAAAAAAAGGTTAGTGGTATCAGTTCTTGTTGCTATAGCTGTCTTGAGGCCAAAACAGATACTCTTAATCCCTCTTTTTTCATATTTGCTAGATTCCCTTTACCATCAGTTAGTACCCCTATTGATCCAGGGGGCTTACCTGGTGAGATGACCATACTCTCTTCAATGGACTGAATGTGTTCCTCCAAAATTCGTAAGTTGAATTCCTAACCCCAGTCACTTGTGTGACTGTATTTGAACATAGGGCCTTCAGGAGGTAATTAAAATGAAATGAGGTCATAAGCATAGGGCCTGATATGGTTTGGCTATGTGTCCCCACCCAAATCTCATGTCTAATTGTAATACCCACATGTCAGGGGAGGGGTCTGGTGGGAGGTGATTGAATCATGGGGCAGACTTCCTCCTTGCTATTCTTGTGATAGAGTTCTCACGAGATCTGTTTGATTGAAAGTGTGTAGCACTTCCCCCTTCACACTCTGTCTGCTGCTTGGACATGTGAAGATGTGTTCACTTCCTTTTTGCCTTCTGCCATGATTGTAAGTTTCAGAGGCCTCCTGGTCATACTTCCTGCTAAGCCTGTGAAACTGTGAGTCAAACCTCTTTTCTTCATAAATTACCCAGTCTTGGGTAGTTCCTTATAGCAATGTGAGAACAGACTAATACAGGGCCCTAATCTGATAAGATTGCTGGCCCTATAAGAAGAGGAAGAGAGGAGATTTCTTTCACTTTTCATGCACTTACACCAACGGAAAGATATGTGAGAACAAAGAGGCTGTCTGCAAGCCAGAAAGGAAGGCCTTATCAGAAACTAAACTTTTCCAGACCTTGATCTGGGAGTTCTAGCCTCGAGAATTATGAGGAAATAAATTTTTGTTGTTTAAGCCATCTAGACTGTGATATTTTGTTAATACAGCTCAAGAAGACCAAAACACTCTCATCCCCAAGGGTTCTGAGTCCCATGTCACTGTCTTAGTCCATTTGTGCTAGTATAACAAAATACAAGAGACTGGGTAATTTATAATAAACAGAAATTAATTTTTTTACAGTTTTGGAGGCCAGGAAGTCCAAAGATCAAGGTGGTGGCATACAGTGTCTGCTGAGGGCCTTCTTGCTGATCCTCCCATGGTGGGAGGTGGAAGGGCAAAAAAGGGGACGAATGCTGTGTCCTCACATATTAGAATAGCAGAAGAACCAAAATGGGCCTAAGCTAGTTCCCTCCAACCCTTTTATTATCCATTTGTGAGGGCAAAGCTCTCAGCTCTCATGACTTAATCACTTCTCCAAAGGCCCCATCTCAATACCATGACAATGGGGATTAAATTTCAATGTGAATTTTGGAGGAGACACATTTAAGCCATAGCAGTCACTATGCCTTTCTCAGGTCATGGCTTCTGCCCTTGTCCATTTACTACAATACTGGGCAGGAGAGTACAAATAGACAATGGATAAATAGAATCCCAAATGTATTCTTCCCTGTTCCCATTATGTAATAGCTATCCTATCTCCTCCAGGTTATCAAAGTCAAATACCCCTGCCAATATGGTGACTAATTTTTTTGCTTGTTGGTCTCTTGGTTCTCAGAGCCTAAAGTTACCAGAGGGCAGCTGTAACTTAAAGTTAATAAGGATTTTTACTATATCCCTGGTTTAAGCACATTCTCCCTTGGAACCAGGATTTCTAGACCCCTGAAAATTTCTATGTCCTAATCCCTAGTCACTGTGACTATGTTACATTACATGGCAAATGGAACTTTACAGATGTAATTAAGGTTACTAATCAGCCGACCTTAAGAGAGAGAAATTATTCTGGTAGCCAGGTAGGCCCAAACTAATCACATGGATTCTTAAAAGCAGGAAAGTGTTCTTGGGAGGCTGAGGCAGGAGAATGGCATGAACCCGGGAGGTGGAGCTTGCAGTGAGCCGAGATCATGCCACTGCACTCCAGCCTGGGCAACAGAGCAAGACTCCATCTCAAAAAAAAAAAAAAAAAAAAAAAAAAGAAGAGATGCATTAGAAGAAAAAGTCAGAGATTTAAAGCATGAGAAGGACCTGATACGCTGTTGCTGGTTTTAAGATGGAGGAGGCAACATGATGAGGAATGCAGGTGACCTTAATGAGTGGAAACAGGTTTCCAGCTGAGAGCCAGCAATGAAATGAGGACCCCAGGCCTACATCCATAAAGAACTAAATTCATCCAACAACCTCAAAATCTTGGTAGTAGATTCTACTCCAGAACCTTGAGATAAGATGCCACATCAGTCGATACCTTGATATCAGCTTTATGAGACCCTTGACAGAAAGAGCCAACCATAACATCTTAGCTACAGAACTATGGGTTAACATTTGTGTCATTTTTAGCTGCTAAGTTTGTGGAAATTTGTTACAGCAGCAATAGGAAATGAATGCATCCACAGAGCCTGAAGTTGCAGAGATAAGAAGCACACATTGCCAAGTGGGTCAATGAGGGTGATTATAAGCAGGGCCATTCCTACTTTTACCTCTGGGCTCTCAGAGACATGTATGATACATACTGGGGAGATGGCATTATATAAAGGTCATTTAATTAGGTTACATACCATATCCTTGTGGGTTGTACCCCATCCTTTTAAGATATGGTCTCAAGCTGGCTTCTCAATTGATTCTTTATTATTACATCAATTTATAGGTGAGCAGCATCTAAATTATGCAGTATGTCATAGGATCAGAGAATCTCATGGATATAAGCCCACTACTAAAATCCCTTTTTTGTAAAGCTGGTCCCTTGATCTCCAACAAAATTGTGTGGTATCCTATTGAGGCAGCAAGCGCTCTGTAAGTTCCCAGGTAGTCATGCTGGCCAAGGGAAGAAAGGAAAGCTCATAGCTAGGATATATGCCAATTCCAATAATAAAGAGAATTGCCTCCACAATCCAGGATGGAAGGCATCTGATGTAATTTCCTTGCCACCAAGTGGCTGATTGGTCTCCTTGAGGGAAAGTGCCATGATAGTGACTCAGATATAGTCTCTGTTTATAGCTGGGGTTCTACGTTTGGCGGCAGTGGTAGCTAGATCAGTCTTGGTTAGTGAGACTCAATGATGTTTAGCCCATGCTTAGCCTCCATACTTGTGATGAGGGTTTTTTCATGCATATGCCCATTGTACCAGACTGGAGTAGCCTAATTGGCCTAATTATGTTTTCTCTTGTTATTTAGTGCCTCTTTCATGCTCTCTGGTAAGTGTTAAAATGCAAAACAGTATCTTCACATTGCACGCCAATTCCCATAAGTCAATCCACTATGTTTCTTACACTGACCTCTTTATCCTTGATTTTTCAATCTTTTTTCTTCTAGGTTCCTGACCAAACAGCCAAGCCATTTTCTGCTGCCTGTAAGTTCACATACATTCTAACTTCTGGCCAATTTTTTTCTCACAAATTGGATAATCTGTTGCATCACAAGGAATTCTGGCCACTGGAAGGATTTTTCTTCATGACTATCCTTTAAAGCCACCCCTGAGTAGGGCTCTCGAGCAGCCAGAGTTCATTTTCAGCTTCCACCCATATATTAAGCTGATCCAGTCATGAACTAAGCTTAGCGTTTTTCTTTTTCCATTAGCCGATCATAAGGGACTGTCTCCATCTGACTATAGGGGTGAACTTAGAAGAGAAACTAGTGTAACATAGCAGATGATTTGGGGGTAAAGACCACTTGCTCTTGCAATTTACAATTGACTTTTGACCCTGCTAGTGCTTGATCCTGGATGTACTGCCTCCAACTAATGATGGACTGATCTTGATTCTGCCTGACATTAAGACTTGTTTGATGTGAGAGAACCCAGATCCTGATGAGCAGTTTTGGATGCATTTACAACTTTCAAAACATGCCCTCAGGTGAGGAATGGGCCTGTGGTAGAGATAGAACACCTGACCACAATCTCCATGAGTTTGTTCTCCACATAGCTGCTAAAAGATGATTTAACGGTGCTATGGTCTGAATATGTTTATCACCTCCATATTTGTATATTGAAATCCTAACCTCAAGATCGAGACCATCCTGGCTAACATGGTGAAACCCCATCTCTACTAAAAATAAAAAAAAAATTAGCCAGGCGTGGTGGTGGGCACCTGTAGTCCCAGCTACTTGGGAGGCTGAGGCAGGAGAATGGCGTGAACCCAGGAGGCGGAGCTTGCAGTGAGCCGAGATCACGCCACTGCACTCCAGCCTGGGTGACAGAGCGAGACTCCGTCTCAAAAAAAAAAAAAAAAAAAAAAATTCAAAGCTCAAGGTGATGGTATTTGAAGGTGAGACCTTTGAGAGGTGATTAGGCTCTACCCTTATAAATGGGATTAGTGTTCTTATAAAAGAGACTCAAAAGAGAACAACCCTCCCTGATTCTGCCATATAAAGTTAAAATGACTATCTATGAAGGGAGCCCTCACCAGACACTGAATAAGCCAGCACCTCAATCTAAGACTTACTAGCCTCCAGAACTGTGAGAAATAAGTTTCTGTTACTTATAAGCCATCTGTTTATGGTATTTTGTTATAACAGCCTGAGCTGACTAAGACAAAAAAACATGTCAAATTATGTCACTTTTCTGGTCAAGACCCTTCAATGGCTTCTTATGTCACTCAAAATAAAACCCAAAATGATTGCAATGGCCTACAAGGCCTCATATGATAAAGTACTTTCATATATCTTTGCCTTCATTTAAAGCCACTGTTGGCCAGGTGCAGTGGCTCATGCCTGTAATCCCAGCACTTTGGGTGGCTGAGGCGGGTGGATCACTTGAGGTCAGGAGTTTGAGACCAGCCTGACCAATATGGCGAAACCCCAGTTCCACTAAAAATACAAAAATTAGCCAGACATGGAGGCACATGCCTGTAATCCCAGCTACTCAGGAGGCTGAGGCAGAAGAATCGATTGAATCCTGGAGACAGAGGTTGCAGTGAGCCAAGATGGTGCCACTGCACTCCAGCCTGGACAACTTCATCTCAAAAATAAATAAATAAATAAACAAATAAACAAATAAATAAATAAAACCACTGTTGTCTCTTCTCTTACTCTGTCCTACCCACACAGGCCTCCTAGCTGTTCTTAGAATACACCAACCATGCTCACATATCAGGGTCTTTGGACTCACTGTATAATTTGCTCAGAACATTCTTTTCCCAGGCACCTGCATGGCTTACCCCTTTACCTCATTCATATCTCTGGTCTAATGTCTCTGTGTCAGAGGGAAATTGCTTGGTCACCTAAGCTAAAAATGTATTTCCCATTCATGCTGTGCTATACTTCCTTAATCCTTCCTTGTATTTCTTCAGAGCATTTATCACCACTACCATGTATATTATATATTTATTTGGTTATTTATATTCTGTTTTCTCCTACTGTATTATAAGCTTCAAGAGCTCAAGAATTTTTGTCTTATTTGCTATTCATTCTAGCCCCTAAAAATATGTCTGGAATAGTAGGTATTCAATAAATATTTGTTGAATGAATGAATGCATGCATTCGTCATTCTTTCAGGCTGCCTACACAGCAGACAGAGTTACCCTATCAGAATATGCGAGATCAGGTCACTCTTCTGCTCAAAATTTTCCAGTGATTTTCTATCTTAATCAGAGTAAAAGCTAAAGCCATAACTTTGGTCTACAGAACCTTACATGATCTGATCTCATATCCCTTGCTTAGTCTCTTTAACCATACTGGCCTCCTTGCTGTTCCTGGAATATCTCAGGTATGCTCCAAATTTAGAGCCTCTGGACTTGCTGCTATCTTTCCTTGAAATGCTCTTATCCAGATAGTTGGATGAATTGTTGCTGGTTTACCTTTGGGTTTTTACTCATATGTCAGTTTCTCAGGAGGTCTCTTTCTGGTCATCTTACTTAAAATTGCAATTCCAATGTAATTTTCCCTGTCCCTGTTCTGCTGCCTTCTTTCTCTTCCTAGTAATTATAAGCATCTAATAAATCTGCTTTTTGTCTCTCTTCCTTCACTGAACTGTAAGTTCCATGAGAGCAAGTATTTTTTTTCTCTTTTTGTTTTCACTGATATGTCTCTAGCACTGAGAACAGTGCCTGGCATGTGGTAGGAACTTATTACATATTAATGGCATAAAGAAATTCAATTTCTAGAGGTAACAGTGCCAGTGAGTCTTGTGATATAATCCAGGGCTCAGGGTCTGTGTCTTAGTCCATTCAGGCTGCTATAACAAAAACATGATACACCAGGTATATTATAAACAACAGAAATTAGTTTCTCACAATTCTGGAGGCTAGAAAGTTTAAGATTAAGGCAGCAATGGATTCAGTGTCTGTTAATAGTCCATTCCTCATGGACTGTGCCTTCTTATTGGGTCCTCACATGGCAGAAGGGACAAGGCAGCCCTCTGGGGACCCTTTTATAAGGGCACTAATTCCATTTATGAGGGCTCCATGCTTATGATCTAGTCACCTCCCCAAAGACCCCACATCTTAATACTATCACATTGCCAATCAGGTTTCAACATATAGGAAAGACATATTCAGACAACAGCAGTATGTAAATTGTTGTTTGCTTCAAGTGGAAGAAACAATGGCATTGAAAATGGTAATGAATTTATCACTGGATCAATTCTGTGGTGCAATTTTGGTATTTCTTTATTTTTTTAATTAATATTTTTTATGCCAGATTATCTTATACTTTTAGAGATTCTGAGTGCTTTTTAATATCCTTGATATCCTTGAATAAACTTCTTTTATGCTTAACTAGCCAAAGTTGTTTTCTGTTGCTGGCATCTAAGAATACTAAGTGATATAGACATTAGTATTACTCCAATAAGGATTGGCTGCAGCAGCATATCTTCTAGGACCTATGGGAGATCTGGAATTGGTTTCTGGTTGAGTTGCTACTGAAGGTAGTGAAAAATCTAAATAGTATTAAGAGGTAGGATCCATGGTTGAGTTCCATGTAGAATTATTCCTTCATTGGGTTAAAGATCTCTATACTAGTGGAGCCCATGTTGTAAGGCTAGGAACAAAAAATTTTATAACGGGGCCTGGAGCAAATGAAAGCTGCAAACAAGTTGCTCTGACACTTGGATCTTATGACCCAGTAGACTCATAAATATGAAATGTGCCCATGGCATGTTGGGATGCAGGATGGATCCTGGAATAAACCTCCTGTAGCAAGAAGAAACTCAATGCAGACCCAAAGGGTTTTGGAACACAGTTTGTTTACTTTGGCAAGTCATCGTTTTCTCTTTGAGAAACAGCTCCTAACTTGCTGATCTTGGCTCCACATCAAGTACTAATATGACCTGAGCTAATCATCATGAGACAGGTGTAATTTGATTCACTAAGACATAAACTTGGACATACAACAGCATTTCATAATTCAGAGCAAGTGGTATACACAAGATTAGATTTGAAGAGATCCTGAAGGCCTAAGTAATTTGTATGGGTAGATGACTCATACTCCCAATATGCCTATTTCAGCTGCACTGGCATTCTTCTTGCAAATGACACCTTTGACTTCCTGGAGATTTTTTGATGACCAGCTAACAAAGGAGAAAAAAATTTAGCCTGGTTTATAGATGGTTCTGAATAATGTGCTGACACTAGTAAAAAGTGGACTACTGCAGTATTACAGGCTCACTTAGAGGTTACCCTGAAAGACACTGATGAAGAAAAATCCTTCCAATTGGCTAAAATTCAAGCTGTATATCTCATTGTTCACTTTGTCTGGAAGGATATATGGCCTCAGGTGTGGATCATTAGTTATTCATGGGTAGTGGCTAATGGTTTGGCTGGGTGATCAGAAAGTTTGAAAGAATAAAATTGGAGGATTGGTGATAAGAAAGTTTAAGTAAAAGGCTTCTGCATGGATCACTTAGAATTGGCACCAAGTGGGAGAATGTTTGTATCTCATGTAAACATTCACCCAAAGTCATCCTTGGCAGAACAGGCTTTCAATAATCATATAAAAAATGTCATTTTCTTATAATAACAGTTGGAGTCCTTTCCTCAGTCTTCCAGTGCTCACTCAGTGGGTTAATGAAAAATATGGCCATGATGGCAGGAATGGACTTTCTGCCCGGCATCAATAATAGGAAATCTCTCTCACCAAGGTTGGCCTTACTAAATGCTCAATTTGCCTACAGTAACACCTGATTCTGAGCCTTATATACCCGGGGACCAGTCAACCACCTAGTAACAGGTGACAACAGTGAACTTTGTCATGAAGAGGGCTGCATTATTATTATTATTTTATTTTATTTATTTATTTATTTTTGAGACAGAGTCTCACTCTGTCACCCAGGTTGGAGTGCATTGGCACAATCTCTGCTCACTGCAACCTCTGCCTCTGGGGTTCAAGCAATTCTCCTGCCTCAGCCTCCCAAGTAGCTGGGACTACAAATGTGCACCCTGCTAATTTTTGTATTTTTAGTAGAGACAGGGTTTCACCATGTTGGCCAGGCTGATCTCGAACTCCTGACCTCAGGTGATCCACCTGCCTTGGCCTCCCAAAGTGGCTGCATTATTATTATTATTATTATTATTATTATTATTATTATTATTATTTTATTATTTTTGCTGGGATAAAATATTTTGATTTTCTTTCTTGCTTCTGTTAATTTACTGAATGCCATAAACACAGTCATACTATCCCACACAATATTACCTTTAACAAAAGAATTTATCTTTTAGCAAAAGAAAAGAAGTAAGGCAATGAGTTGGCTGATTTCCATGTGATTCACTGGTCTTATGAAAAACTGCCACCTAGAAGCAAATTGGTTTTTGGAATGATACACCCTACTAAAGACATAATGATTATGTCAGTTAGGAGACAGATATGTGAGGTTGGGATACCCTTCTATGGGATGCAGTATTTAATCTAAACCAGTGATCAATGTATGGTCCAGCTTCTTCCATAATTATAGGTCCCATAGGTCTGAGAACCAATGGGAGAAAGTGGGAATGGCACCTCTTTCTCATTATTACACCTAATAAAACACTCATGATTTTCACTTCCCATTTCTTCAATTCTAGGGTTTGTTGATTGAAAGATCTTAGTACTCAAAGGGGTAATATTTCCACCTGCAGAAACAATAATAATGGTTACACTGAACTGAAAACTGAAATATCAACCATTCACTTCAGGTGCCTTATTTACATGTGTTAAACAAGCAAAACATGGAATTACATTAGTAACTTGGATAAGATTGCTGTTACACAATTTAAGTAGAGAGAAGTAGCATACATGAGGGTGCTCTTAGTATAGCTACACCCAATGGTCAGTGATAAAAGGAAATAATATTAAAACTCTAATCAAGTAGAAAACACTACCCCAAAATATGATACCTTGGGAATGAAAAAAAAGAGCAGAAGCAGGAAAATCTTCCTGACCTTCTCCTGCCCCCTTTCTTCTGAAACAGGCCATAGAAACTAGAATTCCTCTCACTGCTTATTCCCTGGAGCAGGCCGTAAAAGCTACGAAGGTCATCCTCTGACCTTCTGCCTCCCTTCTTTCCGGAAGACTCTCATGTGATAGGTGTCCTGCCCTATACTCAGAGGGAAGGAATGTCAGACAAAGACACCAAGAAAAATCTGAACAGACCTTGCACAGTACCCCCCACCCATTAGTTTATTACCATGACGTCATACCCTTTTGTCCTTCAATCATACTTCTGCAAGACTGTCCATAAAAATATACACATCTCTCTGTTTCTTTGGGTCTTCATTTCTGAAGGCTCTCTTGTCAGGTGAAATTTACATTAAATAAATTTGTATGCTTTCCTCTTGTTCTTCTGTCTTTTCTTATTGGGACCTCAGCCATTAATCTTATAATAAATTAGGACAATATTTGTTTTTTTCTCCCCTACAAGGCAGAACCACTGAGAGCTTAGATCCTTCAGGAATAAACATTTGGTCACTCACAGGTAAAGAACCCTAGCAAGTAAAGATGCTGGCTGAGAGAAAAGAAAAAGTGAAATGGGAAGCAGAGGAAGAAAGTCATTAATACCAACTGTGGCCTTATGACTAGATACAGAAAAGAGGACTGTAGCCTCAATCTATGTCATTCTCCTTGCTGCTGTATGCATTTGCATATTTTAACAAATTTTATCCTACCTTCCTAAGCATTAAACAGGCAAATTGTTAATCATTAAAATTATGGGGTATTTGTTATCATTAAATTTATTTGTTCGAATATTGAAAAAGAATAATTTTATGTTGTAAAAAGGGGAACAATGGCCATTACTGAGACATCATGGTTTTAGAACTACATAAAGCAAGGAAAAGAACTTTTGGTTGATAACTTTTGTAGAGATAGCACAGTTTTGTTCAACTTAATGAATGATATTTTAGAATCAATAATGTATTTTGCTTTTTAGTAAACCTGATTGAAAAAGACATTGTTTAAAAAGATATTTTTCTTTATTAAATTATAAAGTTTTTTTTCTCATGTTTGAGAAAATTTGGATTTGATTGATTACTGGCTAAATACGTGCCCAATAAATAAGTTTGTGATATTCTTAACTGCATTCTTAAAATGTATATATTGTATAAAATTATTTTTAGAACTAGAGACACACTGCCATAGTGTGATGTACCAGAAGATGTTTCAGAATGTATTTAAGAGAAAATTATTTTTTTATGCCAAGATTTTCATAGTGGTGCTTGTGAATTTGGCTTTTGTCCAGTTGTATTTCAATAAAGAAAATATTCTCCATGGTACAACTGATCTTCCTCTATTCCATTCTATAGTGAAATCACGTCCAGAAACTGAGACACTGAAAGAAAGTGACTATAATGAGATAAGTGGAGGGTTATTTTGACCTTATTGTAGAATCTAGAAGAAAGGGAATGTTGCTAAGAAAGAAACATCAGAACAACAGAAAATTGTTGGTTAATTAATAGTTTCATTTAAAAATATTCCTTGCTTTCCCTTTTGCCCCATGTGAAAGTCTCCTATTAAAATTTTACTAAAATGTAAATACCTCCTGCTGTGAAAATCTGTTTTAAACCATCCTTAATGATTTTAATATGAGAGCTTCTAATATATCTTGAAGCAATTCAAGGAAAGGATAGCTGCAAAGGATACATTTAACTTACTTTAAAATTTTCTTTTTATTTATTAAACTATTTTAATTAACATTTGACTCTTAAACATGCTTGAAAAACAGGAGAAAATACCAAATACTTATTCTTACCATTGCTATTCAATTTTCCACTTTTTACTAATGACCTTTTATAAAAGGTAAATTTATGAAAGGATATGGTATAGTTTTTCAATGATAAAATATTATATTAACCTTAACTTTGAAAAGAGCACATTTTTGCAGAAGGGAAATATGTAAGCATGTGAATTATTTTTCTTTGGTTATAACTAGCAATTTGTTTCTGTGGGATTTGTGTGGCTGGTGAAGTATTCAGTGCACCTACATTCATCTATTTTTAGCACTGGCACATGGTCATAGACTGAACTATATATGGAAAACATGCTCATACACTCTTATTTTGCTAAAATATAGTGTTTAGTGCCTTGTTTTCCATCAACTCAATATAAGGGATTTTTCATGTGGAAATATAATTCCCCTGCCCTCTTTCTTTGAGCTGTGCTCCAGTCTTAAAGCCAGTAAAATTCATGTTTACTATTCTCTAGTAAAAATAGCACAATGGTGAGAAAAATTATAATTGCACACCATTCACTTTAATATCATCATTACAATAAGAGTTTAATTTACCGTCATCTGATATTTAGTAGCAAAATGAATGTAGTTCACTTTGACACTGCCCTGATTGCAGATATCCTAATGAATAGTTCTATGATTGATTGGGTAGATGACATCAGCACAATTATAGGCCTGTGTGAGCATTAAATAGCCAAATTGTTGGGGGGAGAAACACATGAAAGCCTGGAGTGGAATGTAGATAGGGTTGGAATATAAGCAGGGTTCGAGTAGAATAGAACCCTTCTTTATGGAAATGTGCTTGGAACAATTTCACAGGAAGCAGTTGCTGTTAGGCACTATTGCTATAGCTGGAAGAACAATTTTCTCTTTTGTAACAACAGCAACAACAAAATGCACTGCCCCAGCATCACACCCTCTTTCTTAGCTTAGGTTGCCAAGACAGGATTTTCCCAACGAGATCTTCAATTCAATTCTATAACATGATTCTTTCTTTCTGATATTGTAAATTAAAAATCAATGAATTGAGAATCACAAGCTTTTTAAAACAAAAATTCAAAAGCATGGGTTATGTGTGTCTAGCTGAATTAAATAAAACCGTTTCATCAGTCAATTATGCTGTTCTTCATTCATCCTTATTCAGGATGTTGGTTTGAAGAAAATTTTACAGTGCTCCATTCTCAGTCGCTCCTTGCTCTCTTTTTCTACCCCCCCACCTCAATACACATGCACACACACCCTACACAATTAGTTAAAACCAAACTAAATTATTTGGGTCAGAGCTTTCTTAAGCTTGTTGAAGCTCTCCCAGGATTGTGCTTAAATATTCCTGTTGTAGCTTGGATATATAACAGCTGGAGGTATGGAATGGTGGACACACACGGAAGACTAGGTCATCATTTTCATAATTTCAGCCTTTAATGGGTTTATAATTCAGCTGTGCTAGAGCACTGTATGTGCTGATTTACATGTCTTCAATCGACACGGACATTTCCTGAAAATAAAACACTGGGATTAGTATTACGAAGCAGGTTCCAACGCAAAAGATTAATCTTCGTTAAAAAAGAGGATCCACTCTTCAAAAGGCTACATTTAACTCATGCTGTACATTATATATCTTAAAATAACTATGTGAAGGATTAAGAAAAACACAATAATGCTATTCAATGATTTCTTGGTCTCTCAGATATTGGTACTACATGCTATGAGTTTGAGATACTGGAGACAACATAGTTGGGGCTGAGTCGTAAAATAGCACAGCACTATCCCTCCTCATTGTGTTTTAGTTGATACCAATGATATATTATACACATGGTTTCCCAAACTTGGATGCTAATCAGAATTAATGTAGGAGCTCATTAAAAACAAGAATTTCTGGGCTTTAACCTCAGACTTATTGAGTCAGAATCTGTATTTTCTCCAGCACCCCCAATCGCTAATGATTTTGACACAGCCAGAAAGAACCCCAATCGCTAATGATTTTGACACAGCCAGGAAGAAATTATGCTTGAAACCTCTCTGTATTAGATTGAACATCTAAGCTCAGATCCTATTCTTGGCAGCAAAACTGGTTTGGTGTCCATGCCCACAACGCTATTTCCCTTCTCCAAACCTATTTCACCATCCCAGATGTGAGGAGATATTGCTAAATACAAATAAATGAATTATTACTCTGGGCCTCAAACATCAAACAGGATCTTAAAATTATACTACATTTAGGCTCTGCTTATACAAAATGAAATTAGTGTTCATTTTGTAGGGACGATATAGGAACATGATTGCAATTTTTAACATTATGAAACATACAGGTTGGTTAATTTGGGCTTATTTAAACAAATCACAGAAAAACTAGAGCCAAGGGACAATATTGCAGTTGAAGATGGTTAATTTAAGAGCAAATTAAGATCTTTTCATGAAGCAGGTAGTCAATCTATGAAAGTAATTAGAGTGATAAATGACCAACCCCAAAACATAAATAGGTTCAAGAAGCATTTTAAAAAGTTGTGGAGGATAAGTCCATAATGGATTTTTATGGAAGATTAGAAAGCTTTGAGATGACCCAGTATTAAAGCAAAAATTGGAAACAATGGAAGTGCAAATGCAAGTTTTTCCATCTGATAAAAATTCCTGAAGACCCAACCACAGGTGGCTAAGATATAGTTTGCTTTTACATCAATGGATTTAAAGAATTTTGAGATTACTGAATATTATTTCCTTTCTTCCACTACAGAGTAGGTTGTTACACAAATCAAATAGTCTCACTGATTTTTAGAACTTTTAAAATGATTTCAGTGTGGAAACTGGAGCTAGTGCTTACAGATTTCAGAGGTACAAATGTAATCTGAAACAAAGCAGCTCATTTTTACTTCTTGTATAATGATGTGTCATCAAAATTAGACATACTAATGGATCATTAAGTTATTAAAGTTGTCTCTTTTAATTTGTTCTGGTACCTGGTATTCTGGTTAATTTATGGTGATTGGCAAATGTGCTGATAAAGTGCCCTGGGTCATCTGTATAAAACTCGGGAGTAGATGCTATTTAAATTAGCAGTTTTCTAAGCACACTTAAGCAATCAGTGTGGCTTCCACTTAAATTTTGGACAAGACGTAGAAGAATTTTCTATTAATTTCAAGCAGTTCAGTAATGCATGTTGAGATTACTATTAGGTTGGTGCAAAATGAATTGCAGTTTAAACGTTTACTTTCAATGGCAAAAACCTCAATTACTTTTGTACCAAGCTTAATAAGATTTATAGTAGATCCATGGTATAATTTCTTTATCACCCCCACCCCAGCCCTCAGCATTTCTCTTCATTTATAATTCAAGGGAACAATGGAATTGTCTGAATGCATCTCAAATCAATGAATCACCTTTTATCTTTAAAGTTCCTGGAGTGAAATAAACTTAACTTCAGTTCTCTTGGTTCCCAAACTGCTTCAAAATTTGAATCAATTTTTTTTCAGTATTCTTTAATACTGATGTCGACTTTTAATTCTAGGATTATGAAAATCATCTAAAATGAATAGAAAGAATTTCTAATTGGGACAAAATGAATTCTCTGCTGTTCCCTACCTTATGCTTTTACCAAGCTTTTTTTCTGGGGATTAGGAAAGTATATTTCGAGTCTTGACTATTGGTTATCTTTTCTCCTTTGCTGTGTCCTGAGAGTTAGAGCAAACTGAAAACATGACAAAGTATTAAGACATTTTTCTAAACTAAAGCCTAGTTTTCCTTGATGTCCTGTTATCACTGCGAAGGTCAAGGTTATAAGTACCAGCAGAGTTAATCTGGCTCTGCAACTATGCTGTAATATTCAACACAGGAAGTTTCTGTGCCTAGTGTATCTCTGACTCTACCAGTTGCTGGGAAATGGCAGATTGAAGGACATTCAGAGTGGTTCATAACTTTGAAAAATCAATTATCAGTTAATAGAGCCTTTAGGACACCCTAGTTTTCAAGCATGGCATTCTGCCACAAAAACACTCAAAAACTTTTTGCTGTTATAGTTACATTGTAGACAAAAATCCATTCTGTTTCTAGCTCCTTTCGTTAATCAATGCTGGGACAAAGCCTAAGGATTTGTTCACTTAGAAGCAGGCACATTTGATCTGGAAATGCCTTAGTGTAGTCCAGATATGTACCAAATTTCCGATTTTGACTATGTCTTCCACTGTATCTAGTGGACAACTTTCTACATTTTGTTTTACCCCATGTAAATGTAAGGAAGTTGACACGATATATATATATATATTATATATAATTATATAATATGTAATATATTATATAATTATATGTAATATATATTATATATTATATTATATATATAATATATATTATATATTATATATATAATATATATTATATATATATAATATATAATATATATTATATATATAATATATATTATATATATTATATATATATAATATATATATATAATAGAAGACAGCTAAACAAATTGATAAAGGTGAATAGAGCTGTTAAGAAAATAAATTGTCAGAGTTAGATGACATCTCTGCCTCCTGCCATCCCAGTAAATCTAGCAAACTCAATCGTAAGACGAAGTGGTCCTAACCTGTGGAACCCTATCTCATATCCTGATGGAAGTTTTTGGCAAAATAAAAGTGAAGTCTAGTGTGACTGAGTGATCTTTTTAGCCTGGGGTTGGAAGGTTTCCCAGATGGTAGCACTTTCACTGCTAAAACTGGGACAGTCCTGGGCATTCTGGCACTGTCAGCCACTCTAGGTCTGATGACATTATTTTGTTTCTGAGCAGGAACACATCTCAATGAGCCTACAGACGCCCAGATATGTTGAAGACCAGGCCATATGTTGAAGACCAGGCCATACTCCATATAACATACTATCATTCTTTGAGGTCTTAATGATCCTTCCTTCTCTCTCAACCTCTGACTGGCCTGAGAGATAAATGAAAAGGAGCAAGAAAAGGCCATGATTTGGGGGCCACATGATTTAGTACATTTGGGAAATGATTATATCATGTAAAAATGGCAATGGAGTTGTAAGGAATCCTTGCCATCTTTGTATGAACCTTATTCAATATGGGTTTATCACAGGGCTGAAGTACTTGCTTGGTTAAAAGTACTGACAACTATTCAGTTCAAAATAATTTTTCAACATTTTCAGAGATATTGATGTCAATTAAAAATCCTGGTTGCTATCTTAGAGGTGGAAAATAAAAATAATTATTTTTGTTTGTGTTCTGAGTTTTTAGTGCTTAAGTAATAAACTAGAAGTAATGATGCATACAGATATTAGCAGAGTACTACAACATCTAACACCACAGACAAAGAGAATAACAAACGAAGGCAAATTCTACTACTAATAGATATCTCTGGATTTGCAGCACCTAGAATAATGCTTGGTATGTAGTAAACCCTCCCCAAATATATCTGGAATGAACGAATGTTTAGCAGCTATGACATCAAAACACACGAATTAAATCTATCAGCAAATGTTTACTGAATTCCTGCTAAGCACAAAGCACAAATCTGAAAGTTCATTTGTTTTGCTTATCCATTTCTCTCTATTATTGTTTGAGTATTTTGTTTATCCATGTCAAAGTTCTGACCTATTAAGAAGTGCAGGGATGGGGTGTGGAGCCAAGAGGGCCGAATAGGAACAGCTCCAGTCTACAGCTCCCAGCATGAGCGGCACAGAAGACAGGTGATTTCTGCATTTCCAACTGAGGTACCAGGTTCATCTCACTGGGGAGTGCCGGACAGTGGATGCAGGACAGTGGGTGCAGCGCACCGTGTGTGAGCCAAACCAGGGCGAGGCATCACCTCACCCGGGAAGCAGAAGGGGTCAGGGAATTCCCTTTCCTAGTCAAAGAAAGGGGTGACAGAGGGCACCTGGAAAATCGGGTCACTTCCACCCTAATACTGCACTTTTCCAACAGGCTTAACAAACGGCACACCAGGAGATTATATCCCACACGTGGCTCGGAGGGTCCTACGCCCATGCAGCCTCGCTCATTGCTAGCACAGCAGTCTGAGATCAAGCTGCAAGGCAGCAGCAAGGCTGGGGGAGGGGCACCTGCCATTGCCCAGGCTTGCTTAGGTAAACAAAGCAGCCAGGAAGCTCGAACTGGGTGGAGCCCACCACAGATCAAGGAGGCCTGCCTGCCTCTGTAGGCTCCACCTCCGGGGGCAGGGCACAGACAAACAAAAGACAGCAATAACCTCTGCAGACTTAAATGACCCTGTCTGACAGCTTCGAAGAGAGCAGTGGTTCTCCCAGCATGCAGTTTGAGATCTGAGAATGGGCAGACTGCCTCCTCAAGTGGGTCCCTGACCCCCGAGTAGCCTAACTGGGAGGCACCCCCCAGTAGGGGCGGACTGACACCTCACATGGCCGGGTACTCCTCTGAGACAAAACTTCCAGAGGAACGATCAGGCAGCAGCATTTGCGGTTCACCAATATCCACTCTTCTGCAGCCACCGCTGCTGATACCCAGGCAAACAGGGTCTGGAATGGACCTCCAGCAAACTCCAACAGACCTGCAGCTGAGGGTCCTGACTGTTAGAAGGAAAACTAACAAACAGAAAGGACATCCACACCAAAAACCCATCTGTACGTCACCATCATCAAAGACCAAAGGTAGATAAAACCAAAAAGATGGGGAAAAATCAGAGCAGAAAAACTGGAAACTCTAAAAATCAGAGCACCTCTCCTCCTCCAAAGGAACACAGCTCCTCACCAGCAATGGAACAAAGCTGGATGGAGAATGACTTTGACGAGTTGAGAGAAGAAGGCTTCAGAAGATCAAACTACTCCGAGCTAAAGGAGGAAGTTCGAACCAATGCCAAAGAAGTTAAAAACTTTGAAAAAAAATTAGACGAATGGATAACTAGAATAACCAATGCAGAGAAGTCCTTGAAGGACCTGATGGAGCTGAAAACCATGGCATGAGAACCAGATGATGAATGCAGAAGCCTCAGTAGCCGATGCGATCAACTGGAAGAAAAGGTATCAGCAATGGAAGATGAAATGAACGAAATAAAGCATGAAGAAAAGTTCAGAGAAAAAAGAATAAAAAGAAACGAACAAAGCCTCCAAGAAATATGGGACTATGTGAAAAGACCAAATCTACGTCTGATTGGTGTACCTGAAAGTGACGGGGAGAATGGAACCAAGTTGGAAAACACTCTGCAGGATATTATCCAGGAGAACTTCCCCAATCTAGCAAGGCAGGCCAAATTCAGATTCAGGAAATACAGAGAATGCCACAAAGATACTCCTCGAGAAGAGCAACTCCAAGACACATAATTGTCAGATTCACCGAAGTTGAAATGAAGGGAAAAATGTTAAGGGCAGCCAGAGAGAAAGGTCGGGTTACCCACAAAGGGAAGCTGATCTCTTGGCAGAAACTCTACAAGCCAGAAGAGAGTGGGGGCCAATATTCAACATTCTTAATTAAAGACTTAAATGTTAGACCTAAAACCATAAAAACCCTAGAAGAAAACCTAGGCAATACCATTGAGGACATAGGCATGGGCAAGGACTTCATGTCTAAAACACCAAAAGCAATGGCAACAAAAGCCAAAATTGACAAATGGAATCTAATTAAACTAAAGAGCTTCTGCACAGCAAAAGAAACTACCATCACAGTGAACAGGCAACCTACAGAATGAGAGAAAATTTTTGCAACCTACTCATCTGACAAAGGGCTAATATCCAGAATCTACAATGAACTCAAACAAATTTACAAGAAAAAAACAAACAACCCCATCAAAAAGTGGGCGAAGGATATGAACAGACACTTCTCAAAAGAAGACATTTATGCAGCCAAAAGACACATGAAAAAATGCTCATCATCACTGGCCATCAGAGAAATGAAATGCAAATCAAAACCACAATGAGATACATACCAGTTAGAATGGCGATCATTAAAAAGTCAGGAAACAACAGGTGCTGGACAGGATGTGGAGAAATAGGAACACTTTTACACTGTTGGTGGGACTGTAAACTAGTTCAACCATTGTGGAAGTCGGTGTGGTGATTCCTCAGGGATCTAGAACTAGAAATACCATTTGACCCAGCCATCCCATTACTGGGTATATACCCAAAGGATTATAAATCATGCTGCTATAAAGACACATGCACACGTATGTTTATTGTGGCACTATTCACAATAGCAAAGACTTGGAACCAACCCAAATGTCAATCAATAATAGACTGGATTAAGAAAATGTGGCACATATACACCATGGAATACTATACAGCCATAAAAATTGATGAGTTCATGTCCTTTGTAGGGACATGGATGAAGCTGGAAACCATCATTCTCAGCAAACTATTGCAAGGACGAAAAACCAAACACTGCATGTTCTCACTCATAGGTGGGAATTGAACAATGAGAACACATGGACACAAGAAGGGGAACATCACACACCGGGGACTGTTGTGGGGTGGGGGGAGGGGGGAGGGATAGCATTGGGAGATATACCTAATGCTAAATGACAAGTTAATGGGTGCAGCACACCAGCATGGCACATGTCTACATATGTAACAAACCTGCACATTGTGCACATGTACCCTAAAACTTAAAGTATAATAATAATAAAATAAAATTAAAAAAAAAAAAGAAGAGTGAAAGGCAGTTCTTCCCCAACCCCAGCCCCATTCCACTCTTCAGAGTTAATAACTGCGGGCAGTCTGCTGGATATCTTTCTGGTCTTTTGAATGCAAATATTAATATGTAGCTGTATATTTTGCATAAATGGGATTGTATCATATATACGGCCTTGCACACAACTTTTTTGCATAGAATATTTGCAGCCTTTTTTCCTTGTTGAAACACGTGTATCTTATCCCTTTTACTCGCTAAACAATATATACCATTGTATAATATACATAATTCATTTAAAAAAAAAAGAAGTGCAGGGATAATAATAGTTTAATTTTTAGCTCAACTGATAGAAATGTTGTTAAAAATCTCAGAAGTCTTGTTTTCTAAAATTCTGGGAATGGGCCCTTTGGATCCCTAATTATTGTATTACCTAGATTGATACCACTTTTTTTCTCCTTCGTTCCTTCCTTCCTTTCTTTTTTTTTTTTTTTTTTGTCTTTAAGGTAGTGTCTTGCTCTTTTGCCCAGGCTGGAATGCAGTGGTGTGATCATAGCTCACTGCAGTCTTGACTTCCTGGGATCAAGCGATCCTACCACCTCAGTCTCCCAAATAGCTGGGACCACAGGCGTGTGCCACCAAGCCCGGCTAATTTTTTTTTTTTTTTTTTGGAGGCAGAAATTCCCTGTGTTACCCAGGTTGGTCTCTAACTCCTGGGCTCAAGCAATCCCCCTGCCTCAGCCTCCCAAAGTTCTGGAATTACAGGCATGAGCCACCATGCCTGCCAAGATGCCACTTTCTAAATATAATGTTCCAGCTAACTGTGGTCAGGTTTAATAGCTATGTGGTTCATATCACACTTTTCTATTTCATTGATGGTTGTGTCAGCAGGATAGAGTTGACAGCCTCAAAAAAGTTCCTTCTTCAGTCTATCTGGTCTACTGCAGAAAGAGATAAATTTATTCTGATAGGATTTGGTTTTCACAAGCCTATTACTTAATTTCTTTTTCCATTCAAATGGCCTGCATATAGATTTGGGGCAATTTTTCCAAACTTGTTTTATATAAGAAAAGAAGGTAAGCTTAGATGTCTATTATTTCTAGAATCATTTTCCTCTTGGGGAAAATAGATAAATATAAATGTATAAATATACCCTCACTGTAGCCCTACAAAAACTTTGACCTTATTTTTATAGAATTTTGGAATAAAAATCATCAGGATCTTCAGATTTTAATACTATTTTTATAACTGAAAATTATCACACAGTCAGCACAGTCTTTTGTTTCCTCTGACAATTAATAGAATTCTACAACATGATTTTTTTGTAGAAAATGAATACAATACAGTCATGTATCCCTTAATGATGGGTGTGTTAGTCTGTTCTCACACTGCTATAAAGAGCACCTGAGACTGGATAATTTATGAAGAAAAGAGATTTAATTGACTCACAGTTTCTCAGGCTTAACAAGAAGCGTGACGGGGAGACCTCAGGAAATTTACAATCATGGCTGAAAGCGAAGGGGAAGCAAGCACATCTTACCATGGTGGAGCAGGAGAGAACGTGAGTGAAGGGGGAAGTGCTACATACTTTTAAACCATCAGATACCACATGCAGCCTTGTCAAATGTGAAAAACCATTTGTCAGTCTGTTTTGCTGTGTCTCAATGACCCAGTTCCAGAAAAGGCAGAAACCAAAACATTAACTTGTATGTTTATCTTCATATCTCATGGCAGGTTACAATTATTATGTGTTCTATACAGGTTTGACTCTCCCTTATACAGCCAGAAACAAAAGAAGGCAGGTTACATGGAAAGACAGTATAAAGCATCTGAGAACTACGGCTTTATAATTACAGGAACCTGGGTTTGCCTCCTTTCTCTTCCATCTTCTAACTGAACAACTTTAGCGTGTGAAAGCCATAACATCTGTAGTTTTCTGAGGCTTGATCACACAACAAACATTACCAACTCATCTTTTGTCACAGTTTACTACTACAACAGGAACAGAGGCAAAAGAGTGGGGACATAGACAGATCTAGGGTAATTTCTAGGCTATGCATGAAAGGAGTCCTTTAGTTTGTTATATGAGCTTTGACTCAGATATATCGCTTCCCTCTGATTGAGTTGCACTAGGGAAAAGCCAACTGAAAATACTAGGAATTAATTATTAAGTCATGTTTATATATTTATATCTTTCATACATATTCATCTATTTATTTAATATTTAGTGCTTTAATTATTAAACTGTTTTTGAACATTGTTTATGGGAGAATATTTTTGGCAGCCAAAATATATTTTCAAGTATAAACAGCTGAGTAAGAATCAGAGCGTCATAGAAACAAGATAGAGCCTCCATTTCCTGAGTCCGTTATGGTGTTTTTGAAGTCAAAACACTTAAAACAGGTAAAAGGATAGACTACTTTTCCCTATTTAAAAATATCAGCATGCAATCCATTCCCTGAGAAGTTTAGGAGGTGACTCTATACAAGAAAGTTCTTTATTTTAGAATTGTAAGAAAAAATAGCAAAAGTGCTCCTGTTGTTTGGAAAGGTACAGAGAAGGTATCAAAAGTTTTCGGTATTTTAGGTTAATTTTATATGAAGAGTAAAATGAAGAACTAGAAGAATTAAAATGATTTGAGACTCAAAACTTTTAGAAAATATTGTTATTGAACTGCCAGCAAACGTAAGGATATTCAGCAGGTTTAGTGCTTGATTGCACGATGAAGGGGGTAAGAAGTAATTATTGTCAAATTAAAATGGATTGACTTTGGTCTCATGTCATTTCTTATCTAATGATTTAATATAACATATAGTTGTAAAGGAAAGCAGCATTATGTCATTCACATTTTGCAAAATTGAACTGTCCCTAGGCTACTTTGGAAGGGACAACTGCCTAAAGTTTCCTTTTTTCACACAAGATAGTCCACCACCCCATCAGCAAATTATTTTAAATTAATTTGTTCAGCATGAAAGGAAATAAGAAGACATGGAAACCACTCAAGGAATATGAAATTCAATCCAATTTCCCATTTTGTGAGCACCTATGATGCTGCATCTATAAGCACCTATGAGCTGTTATGGTGGAAATGTATTGAGAATCCAAAGAGAAGAAGACATAATTCCTGCCCACAAAAATCTTATAATCTCAAACTGAAAGGAGAAAGGAGAACTACAGAGTACACAATATTTAAAATACTCATATTTAACTAGATAAGCAGTGGGGGAGGGGGAGAGAAAGAGAGAGACAGAAAATGTAGCCTTTCCACTATTTAGTGTGCAATGCCCTATGATTAGCATGATAATGGAGGATAGGAAACTGAAATTCCATAGTCACAGTCCCCACTTAACTGTTACAGGGTGAACAACCCTCTGTGCTGAGTGTGATTCTTGGGTTTAAGGTTTATATTTTTTGTACAATCTGGTTCCTACATGCAAGTTAATTACTTTATCTACTGTTCAACCTAAGGGATAAACTTCCTGAGACATTTCTTTTCAAAATTAATTTGAAACTATATGAGTTTTTTATTTTCTTCTTATATCTTTAGAACCTTACTCTCAAGTGAGGTTTGATTCTGCTGTTTAACTAACTAGGAATATGATCATAATGGAGTACAAGAGGGATTAAATTCTTTCCAGAGGTGGGAAAGTGAAGGTTTCAAAAAGGATGTGGCCTATGAAGAGTAAGATTTCAAGAGACAGATTTAAAAAAATGCTATTATAGGCAAAGTGAGTAGTCAACCCCTATGCAAATGTATAAAGCATCCAATGTGTGACAAGTATGGACAATGTAAGTAGACTGGAGTAGGTAGTGAATAAGGCATTTGAGGGCAGTCATGAGAGGTAAGGCTAAAAAGCTAGGTAGAGTTAGGTAGTGATAGTTCTAAGAAATACAGCCTTTGCTCTGTAGGTGGTGGCAGTCAGCGAAGGTTGTTAGTGAAGTGATATCATACTTGTGTTTTAGAAAGGTAATTCTTAGCTGCTACCTCATGCCTCTGGCCTGGCAGAAGTTTCTTCTTGTTTTCCAGAAAACCACAAGAAGAGAGTATAGACAGCCATTGCAGTACATTGAGCTCCATAGAGATAGCAGTGAGGCAAGCAAGAGAGAGCTAGATGGGCAATGGGTGACTCTGTGTCTTGCTGAGCAAAAATAACTAAATGTGGGCAAAGGAGTTCCTAAGAAGCTGAGAGGCACACTGTCATCATATGCATTCTTTGCAGACTTGTTGGGAGGAGCACGAGAAGGAGTACCCAGATAGTTCAGTCAACTTTTCAGTTTTCTTTTTTTTTTTTTTGCCTTCTGTTTTTTGAGAGACGGATATCACTCTGTCACCGAGGCTGGAGTGCAATGGCGTGCTCTCGGTCCACTGCAACTTCTCCGAGTTTCCAAAGAAGTGCTCTGAGAAGTGGAAGACCATGTCTGTGAAAGAGAAAGGAAAATTTGATGACAGAAAAGACAGACAAGGCCCTTTATGAAAGAGAAGTAAAAACATATATTCATCCTAAAGGGGAACCAAAAAGAAGCACAAGGATCCCAATGTACTCAAGAAGCATCCTTCAGCCTTTTTCTTGTTCTCTTCTGAATATTTGCACAAAATCAAAAGAGAACACCCCAGCCTATCTGTTGGTGATGTTGCAACAAAACTGGAAGAGGTGTGGAATGACACTGCTGCAGATGACAAGCTCCCTTATGAAAAGAAGGCCATGAAGCTGAAGAAAAAATACTAAAGGAAAAATGCTAAAGAAAAGCCTGATTCAGCAAAAAAGGGAGTCATCAAGGCTGAAAAAAAGCAAGAAAAACAAGGAAGAGGAGGATGATAAAGAAGATGAAGATGATAATCAATAAGTTGGTTCAGGCAGATTTTTTCTTCTCTATAAAGCATTTTACCTCCCTGAACATAATTTACTCCTTGTAAAGAAAAAATGGAAATTTCCAGCTGTCTAGGATTTGTTTTTAAACTGTACAGTGTCTTTTGTGTATAGTTAACACACTGCCAAATGTGTCTTTAGATAGCCCTGTCCTGGTGGTATTTTCAATAGCCACCAACCTTTCCTGGTATAGTATAGGGGCTGTAAATTGGCAAGGAAATTTAAAGCATGTTCTTGTTGATATACACCACAAATTAGTTATATATGATGAAATGGTTTGGCTTTATGTCCCCACCCAAATCATCTCGAAATGTAATCCCCAAGTGTCGAGGGAGGGACCTGGTGGGAGGTGATTGAATCATGGGGGCGGATTTCCCCCTTGGTGCTGTTCTCTTTATAGTGAGGGAGTTATCATGAGATTCAGTTGTTTAAAAGAGTGTGGCACCTCCCCTCTCTCTCTCTTCCTCCTTCTGGGGCCATGTAAGACATGCCTGCTTCCCTTTCACCTTCCACCATGATTGAAAGTTTTCTGAGGCTTCCCCAGCCATGCTTCCTGTACAGCCTGCAGAACTGTGAGCCAGTTAAACCTCTTTTTTTTTTTTAATAAATTACCCAGTTTCAGGTATTTATTTTTAACAGTATGAGAATGGACTAATATACCTTCCTTATGATTTTCTTAATAACATTTTCTTTTCTAGCTTATTTTATTTTTATAAGAAGTTTATGATACATATAAAAACTATTTTTGTAAAAATTACAGTTTTTACTGTATTTTATAAAAATACAGTACTATATTTTGTAAAAAACTGTATTATTACAAAAAACTATTTTTGTAAGAATGCAGTTTATGATACACATAACATACAAACTATGTATCAATAAACTGTTTATGTTATCGACAAGGCTTCTGGTAGACTAAGCTATTAGTAGTTACGTTTTTGCAGTGTCAAAAGTTATACACAAATATTCAACTGTGTGGGAGGTCAGCATCTCTAACCCCCATGTTGTTCAAGGGTTAGCTGTATTTTGTGGGAACAGTTAAACTACAGACACCCAGGTATTCAATGGCCAAAAAGGATACAGGTGAGCATGGTACCATTTATATATTTTTGCCATGCTTCTCGGGACAGGGAATAATAGTGACAGTGGCATTTGAGCACTTCTGTGAAAGAATGAGTCCTTCTTGAACAGAGGGAGTAGGAGCTACACGTGCTAAAACAGAAACCTAACATAGCTGGAAGGGGTCCTAGTGACCATCTAGCCCAAGGGTACACAAATTATGACCTGCAGGCCAAATCTGGCTATTTCTTATACAGCCCTAAGAGTGATTTTTATATTTTAAAAGGGTTGTAAAAGTGTGTGTGTTGGGGAAGGGGGGTGGATATATGTATGGGATATATACCTATACATGTGGTCTGCAAAGCCCAACTTAGTTTTCATCTGATCTTTTAAGAAAAATTACCATAGTCTAATTTTTTTTTCTTCTTTTTTTTTTATTATACATTAAGTTTTAGGGTACATGTGCACATTGTGCAGGTTAGTTACATATGTATACATGTGCCATGCTGGTGTGCTGCACCCACTAACTCGTCATCTAGCATTAGGTATATCTCCCAATGCTATCCCTCCCCCCTCCCCCCACCCCACAACAGTCCCCAGAGTGTGATATTCCCCTTCCTGTGTCCATGTGATCTCATTGTTCAATTCCCACCTATGAGTGAGAATATGCGGTGTTTGGTTTTTTGTTCTTGCGATAGTTTACTGAGAATGATGATTTCCAATTTCATCCATGTCCCTACAAAGGACATGAACTCATCATTTTTTATGGCTGCGTAGTATTCCATGGTGTATATGTGCCACATTTTCTTAATCCAGTCTATCATTGTTGGACATTTGGGTTGGTTCCAAGTCTTTGCTATTGTGAATAATGCCGCAATAAACATACGTGTGCATGTGTCTTTATAGCAGCATGATTTATAGTCCTTTGGGTATATACCCAGTAATGGGATGGCTGGGTCAAATGGTATTTCTACTTCTAGATCCCTGAGGAATCGCCACACTGACTTCCACAATGGTTGAACTAGTTTACAGTCCCACCAACAGTGTAAAAGTGTTCCTATTTCTCCACATCCTCTCCAGCACCTGTTGTTTCCTGACTTTTTAATGATCGCCATTCTAACTGGTGTGAGATGGTATCTCATTGTGGTTTTGATTTGCATTTCTCTGATGGCCAGTGATGATGAGCATTTTTTCATGGGTCTGTTGGCTGCATAAATGTCTTCTTTTGAGAAGTGTCTGTTCATGTCCTTTGCCCACTTTTTGATGGGGTTGTTTGTTTTTTTCTTGTAAATTTGTTTGAGTTCATTGTAGATTCTGGATATTAGCCCTTTGTCAGATGAGTAGGTTGTGAAAATTTTCTCCCATTTTGTAGGTTGCCTGTTCACTCTGATGGTAGTTTCTTTTGCCGTGCAGAAGCTCTTTAGTTTAATTAGATCCCATTTGTCAATTTTGGCTTTTGTTGCCATTGCTTTTGGTGTTTTGGACATGAAGTCCTTGCCCATGCCTATGTCCTGAATGGTAATGCCTAGGTTTTCTTCTAGGGTTTTTATGGTTTTAGGTCTAACGTTTAAGTCTTTAATCCATCTTGAATTGATTTTTGTATAAGGTGTAAGGAAGGGATCCAGTTTCAGCTTTCTACATATGGCTAGCCAGTTTTCCCAGCACCATTTATTAAATAGGGAATCCTTTCCCCATTGCTTGTTTTTCTCAGGTTTGTCAAAGATCAGATAGTTGTAGATATGCGGCGTTATTTCTGAGGGCTCTGTTCTGTTCCATTGATCTATATCTCTGTTTTGGTACCAGTACCATGCTGTTTTGGTTACTGTAGCCTTGTAGTATAGTTTGAAGTCAGGTAGTGTGAGGCCTCCATCTTTGTTCTTTTGGCTTAGGATTGCCTTGGCGATGCGGGCTCTTTTTTGGTTCCATATGAACTTTAAAGTAGTTTTTTCCAATTCTGTGAAGAAAGTCATTGGTAGCTTGATGGGGATGGCATTGAATCTATAAATTACCTTGGGCAGTATGGCCATTTTCATGATATTGATTCTTCCTACCCATGAGCATGGAATGTTCTTCCATTTGTTTGTATCCTCTTTTATTTCCTTGAGCAGTGGTTTGTAGTTCTCCTTGAAGAGGTCCTTCACATCCCTTGTAAGTTGGATTCCTAGGTATTTTATTCTCTTTGAAGCAATTGTGAATGGGAGTTCACTCATGATTTGGCTCTCTGTTTGTCTGTTGTTGGTGTATAAGAATGCTTGTGATTTTTGTACATTGATTTTGTATCCTGAGACTTTGCTGAAGTTGCTTATCAGCTTAAGGAGATTTTGGGCTGAGACAATGGGGTTTCCTAGCTGTACAATCATGTCGTCTGCAAACAGGGACAATTTGACTTCCTCTTTTCCTAATTGAATACCCTTTATTTCCTTCCCCTCCCTAATTGCCCTGGCCAGAACTTCCAACACTATGTTGAATAGGAGTGGTGAGAGAGGGCATCCCTGTCTTGTGCCAGTTTTCAAAGGGAATGCTTCCAGTTTTTGCCCATTCAGTATGATATTGGCTGTGGGTTTGTCATAGATAGCTCTTATTATTTTGAAATACGTCCCATCAATACCTAATTTATTGAGAGTTTTTAGCATGAAGGGTTGTTGAATTTTGTCAAAGGCTTTTTCTGCATCTATTGAGATAATCATGTGGTTTTTGTCTTTGGCTCTGTTTATATGCTGGATTACATTTATTGATTTGCGTATGTTGAACCAGCCTTGCATCCCAGGGATGAAGCCCACTTGATCATGGTGGATAAGCGTTTTGATGTGCTGCTGGATTCGTTTTGCCAGTATTTTACTGAGGATTTTTGCATCAATGTTCATCAAGGATATTGGTCTAAAATTCTCTTTTTTGGTTGTGTCTCTGCCCAGCTTTGGTATCAGAATGATGCTGGCCTCATAAAATGAGTTAGGGAGGATTCCCTCTTTTTCTATTGATTGGAATAGTTTCAGAAGGAATGGTACCAGTTCCTCCTTGTACCTCTGGTAGAATTCGGCTCTGAATCCATCTGGTCCTGGACTCTTTTTGGTTGGTAAACTATTGATTATTGCCACAATTTCAGCTCCCGTTATTGGTCTACTCAGAGATTCAACTTCTTCCTGGTTTAGTCTTGGGAGAGTGTATGAATCGAGGAATTTATCCATTTCTTCTAGATTTTCTAGTTTATTTGCATAGAGGTGTTTGTAGTATTCTCTGATGGTAGTTTGTATTTCTGTGGGATCGGTGGTGATATCCCCTTTATCATTTTTTATTGTGTCTATTTGATTCTTCTCTCTTTTTTTCTTTATTAGTCTTACTAGAGGTCTATCAATTTTGTTGATCCTTTCAAAAAACCAGCTCCTGGATTCATTAATTTTTTGAAGGTTTTTTTGTGTCTCTATTTCCTTCAGTTCTGCTCTGATTTTAGTTATTTCTTGCCTTCTGCTAGCTTTTGAATGTGTTTGCTCTTGCTTTTCTAGTTCTTTTAATTGCGATGTTAGGGTGTCAGTTTTGGATCTTTCCTGCTTTGTCTTGTGGGCATTTAGTGCTATAAATTTCCCTCTACACACTGCTTTGAATGCGTCCCAGAGATTCTGGTATGTTGTGTCTTTTTTCTCGTTGGTTTCAAAGAACATCTTTATTTCTGCCTTCATTTCGTTATGTATCCAGTAGTCATTCAGGAGCAGGTTGTTCAGTTTCCATGTAGTTGAGCGGTTTTGAGTAAGATTCTTAATCCTGAGTTCTAGTTTGATAGCACTGTGGTCTGAGAGATAGTTTGTTATAATATCTGTTCTTTTACATTTGCTGAGGAGAGCTTTACTTCCAAGTATGTGGTCAATTTTGGAATAGGTGTGGTGTGGTGCTGAAAAAAATGTATATTCTGTTGATTTGGGGTGGAGAATCCTGTAGATGTCTATTAGGTTCGCTTGGTGCAGAGCTGAGTTCAATTCCTGGGTATCCTTGTTGACTTTCTGTCTCGTTGATCTGTCTAATGTTGACAGTGGAGTGTTAAAGTCTCCCATTATTAATGTGTGGGAGTCTAAGTCTCTTTGTAGGTCACTCAGGACTTGCTTTATGAATCTGGGTGCTCCTGTATTGGGTGCATATATATTTAGGATAGTTAGCTCTTCTTGTTGAATTGATCCCTTTACCATTATGTAATGGCCTTCTTTGTCTCTTTTGATCTTTGTTGGTTTAAAGTCTGTTTTATCAGAGACTAGGATTGCAACCCCTGCCTTTTTTTGTTTTCCATTTGCTTGGTAGATCTTCCTCCATCCTTTTATTTTGAGCCTATGTGTGTCTCTACACGTGAGATGGGTTTCCTGAATACAGCACACTGATGGGTCTTGACTCTTTATCTAATTTGCCAGTCTGTGTCTTTTAATTGGAGCATTTAGTCCATTTACATTTAAAGTTAATAGTGTTATGTGTGAATTTGATCCTGTCATTATGATGTTAGCTGGTGATTTTGCTCGTTAGTTGATGCAGTTTCTTCCTAGTCTCGATGGTCTTTACATTTTGGCATGATTTTGCAGCGGCTGGTACCGGTTGTTCCTTTCCATGTTTAGTGCTTCCTTCAGGAGCTCTTTTAGGGCAGGCCTGGTGGTGACAAAATCTCTCAGCATTTGCTCGTCTGTAAAGTATTTTATTTCTCCTTCACTTATGAAGCTTAGTTTGGCTGGATATGAAATTCTGGGTTGAGAATTCTTTTCTTTAAGAATGTTGAATATTGGCCCCCACTCTCTTCTGGCTTGTAGGGTTTCTGCCGAGAGATCCGCTGTTAGTCTGATGGGCTTCCCTTTGAGGGTAACCCGACCTTTCTCTCTGGCTGCCCTTAACATTTTTTCCTTCATTTCAAGTTTGGTGAATCTGACAATTATATGTGTTGGAGTTGCTCTTCTCAAGGAGTATCTTTGTGGCATTCTCTGTATTTCCTGAATCTGAACGTTGGCCTGCCTTGCTAGATTGGGGAAGTTCTCCTGGATAATATCCTGCAGAGTGTTTTCCAACTTGGTTCCATTCTCCCTGTCACTTTCAGGTACACCAATCAGACGTAGATTTGGTCTTTTCACATACTCCCATATTTCTTGGAGGCTTTGCTCATTTCTTTTTATTCTTTTTTCTCTAAACTTCCCTTCTCGCTTCATTTCATTCATTTCATCTTCCATTGCTGATACCCTTTCTTCCAGTTGATTCCATCGGCTCCTGAGGCTTCTGCATTCTTCACGTAGTTCTCGAGCCTTGGTTTTCAGCTCCATCAGCTCCTTTAAGCACTTCTCTGTATTGGTTATTCTAGTTATACATTCTTCTAAATTTTTTTCAAAGTTTTCAACTTCTTTGCCTTTGGTTTGAATGTCCTCCTGTAGATCGGAGTAATTTGATTGTCTGAAGTCTTCTTCTCTCAGCTCGTCAAAGTCATTCTCCATCTAGCTTTGTTCCGTTGCCGGTGAGGAGCTGTGTTCCTTTGGAGGAGGAGAGGCGCTCTGCGTTTTAGAGTTTCCAGTTTTTCTGTTCTGTTTTTTCCCCATCTTTGTGGTTTTATCTACTTTTGGTCTTTGATGATGGTGATGTACAAATGGGTTTTTGGTGTGGATGTCCTTTCTGTTTGTTAGTTTTCCTTCTAACAGACAGGACCCTCAGCTGCAGGTCTGTTGGAATACCCTGCCGTGTGAGGTGTCAGTGTGCCCCTGCTGCGGGGTGCCTCCCAGTTTGGCTGCTCGGGGGTCAGGGGTCAGGGACCCACTTGAGGAGGCAGTCTGCCCGTTCTCAGATCTCCAGCTGCGTGCTGGGAGAACCACTGCTCTCTTCAAAGCTGTCAAACAGGGACATTTAAGTCTGCAGAGGTTACTGCTGTCTTTTTGTTTGTCTGTGCCCTGCCCCCAGAGGTGGAGCCTACAGAGGCAGGCAGGCCTCCTTGAGCTGTGGTGGGCTCCACCCAGTTCGAGCTTCCTGGCTGCTTTGTTTACCTAAGCAAGCCTGGGCAATGGTGGGCGCCCCTCCCCCAGCCTCGCTGCCGCCTTGCAGTTTGATCTCAGACTGCTGTGCTAGCAATCATCGAGACTCCGTGGGCGTAGGACCCTCCAAGCCAGGTGCAGGATATAATCTCGTGGTGCGCCGTTTTTTAAGCCTGTTCGAAAAGCGCAATATTCGTGTGGGAGTGACCCGATTTTCCAGGTGCGTCCGTCACCCCTTTCTTTGACTCGGAAAGGGAACTCCCTGAACCCTTGCACTTCCCAAGTGAGGCAATGCCTCGCCCTGCTTCGGCTCGCGCACGGTGCGTGCACCCACTGACCTGCGCCCACTGTCTGGCACTCCCTAGTGAGATGAACCCGGCACCTCAGATGGAAATGCAGAAATCACCCCTCTTCTGCATCGCTCACGCTGGGGGCTGTAGACCAGAGCTGTTCCTATTTGGCCATCTTGGCTCCTCCCCCTACCATAGTCTAATTTTAACCTTTTCATATTATAGGTAAAAACTAAGGCTTATTTATTCAACGTATACCTACCTACATACATATATACAATGACCTCTGAGCATTCAACCTAATGCCACTGAACTAATTTTATTTTCCAAATATTTATATTAATTTTATTCAGGAAATGAGGGAAGGCCAAATTTGATTACCCTTAAAAGTCAGGCATGTTCCATGGCACACGGTACAGTACACATGTGTTACATTTTGTCTCACCTCCCACTCATTTATTTTATGGTAACAGTACCTTACAATACCCTTGGGGAATCATTGATCTATATAGTTTAATTGGAACTGATCTCACCAGTCCTCCGGGATAGGGTTATCTTATTGGCCTAAGGCAATGAAGACATCCCATGCCTCTGGCCACAGTGATTGGATTAGGGATGGGCATACGCCCCAGTACAAAGGACTGATAATCAGACCCAATTCTTTATGTTAGTCCTTTTAGAAAGAGGAATATTCACTCTCTTTCCTGCTGGGTTTGAACATGGAAGCAAAAGTCCTGGAAATATGGACACCCACACACCATACAATCGGAACATGAGAATGAAGTCAACATAAAGGATTGAGAAACTGTAAGACAGAGTCTGGTGACATTATTTGGAACCGCTGGATCAAGCTGTACCTGAAACATATTGATTAGGGAGACCAATACATTCCTTTTTAATTAAGTTTGTTTCAGCTTGGTTTCCTGACATTTATAACCAAACTGCAACCCATGGGCAAAATCCAGCTCACTGACTGTGTTTGTATGGCCCATGAGCTAAGAATAGTTGTATTCATTTTTAAATGATTGAAATAAACAAGAAAAACAAAAGACAAATATTATTTTATGACACATGAATATTATGTGAAATTTAAATTTCAGTGTCCATAAGTACAGTTTTATAAAAACACAGCTACTCATTCATTTATGCATCATCTGTTTCTGTTTTTGTGCTACAGTAGCAGTGTTGAGTAGTTGTGACAGAGACTTTATGGACAGCAATGTCTAAAATATTTATAACTGAAGCAGCTGACTCCCAAAAGTTTTTTTGGTAGTTTTTTTTTTTTTTTTTTTTTTGAGATGGAGTCTTGCTCTGTCGCCCAGGCTGGAGTGCAGTGGCGCGATCTCAGCTCACTGCAAACTCCGCCTCCCAGGTTCACACCATTCTCCTGCCTCAGCCTCCCGAGTAGCTGGGACTACAGGTGCCTGCCACCACGCCTGGCTAATTTTTTTGTATTTTTAGTAGAGACGGGGTTTCACCGTGTTAGCCAGGATAGTCTTGATCTCTTGACCTCGTGATCTGCCCTCCTCGGCCTCCCAAAGTGCTAGGATTACAGGCATGAGCCACCGCGCCCGGCCTGTTGTTGTTGTTTAAGGTTTCTGTTGATCTCCTAGGCAGACAGTAATGGGGTGCATTGAAATTTGTGATTCTATCTAGGACCAAAGAGTTGAAGTGCAATCAGAGACAGAGAGGTAGGGGTCACTTCTAACCACTCAGGGAATAATTCAGTAGGTACATAATTTATTCACTATCAGGTAGGAGAAATTGTCAGTAAGAACAGAGAATCTGAGTAAGTCATTAAATGTGATCAGGTGAAATGTTTTCTATGTGAAGCCTCGGAGAATCTATCTTATATCACCAGCTGTAAAGGTAGGGAGTGAAAAGGGGAACTAATTCATTTCCTATAATACATTAGATACCATCCTAGATTTTATTTTTATGTTATGTTTGACTCATCCTCAAAACAATCATATAAGCTAGGTCATATTATTATTCTACTTTTATGATGAGAAAACTGAGATTTTGCCTTACTTTATTCAGCTAGAGAATACCAGAGCTGAGATTTGAACACAAATCTATTGGGTTCCCAAATGCATGCTTTTTGTGCTACATCATGGGTTGGAAGAATCTGAGAATGAGAAAAACAAAAGAATTCTAAAAGTACGAGGATTGTAGGAAACTGAGTTAGAATATTCTATTTGGGAGCTTCATTAAACAAGAATTACAAACTGATGGAAGAGAGTCCTTTTCCAGTAAGAGGCAGCACTTTTGAGAGTGAAAATGAGCACTATAAGTAATTATGCTGGGCCAACAGAATTAATCTGAGCTTGTCTTGGGCTAACCAGAATATATGGTGACCCTAATTAGTAATAACAAGGGCCATCTGATGATAGGCGGAGTCATGACAATGAAGTGGTGACAAATGACCAGATTATATCAAGGTCAGCTGACATCATTGGAGCAGAGACTGCATTGGGATGGAGGAGATAAATGAATGCTAGCAGCTGCTCAGGACAATTATAGTGCCAATCCTGGAAAAGGCATAAGACACCAAGCTACCCAGCTACCTTGCTAGGGTGGTAAGGGAAGGACTTGAGGGGATTGGATTCTGGGCATTTTTATTGAGATCAGAGTTAGAAATTACTGTCACTATAACTCAGCCCCCCATTAGAATCCCCCAAGCTGTGGAATCGGAGGTTAAACTTACCACCAGGAATATTCCTTTTCCTTTTTAAGAGCAATGATCAAAAAGACCAGTGTAGGTTTGCAGCTCCTAGCTAGCTTGCAGGTAGCTATTGTGTGGATCCCTCTGAGACATACCTGGTTGGGCTTCTCTGAAGAAGTAGCTGAACAATAGCAACTCTCATGTTGCCTTTCTTCTCATTCCAGACATACTTTCTAGTTGGTCCCAGCCTTGTACCTGCCTATAGGGAATTGCATCCTCATTACTGCCTCACATGGTTTTCCAAGGCAAACAAAAACAAGGTTTCTATTTAGCCTTTCCTATTTTATTTCTTTCCTCTTTTGATGGTGTCAATTTTCTGTCCCTCATCTTTAGCCTTTGCCCCAATTCCTGTCCTGCTGTCTGATCTCTAATATAGTTGCTTTATTAGTGGGTGCCATTTTGAAGATGTGGAAACGAGCTTTTCTATTTTTCTGAGGATGTATTTATAATCAAATAAGGTAGCAACAGGGATAAAGATGTTCACTTTACCCATGTTTCCCTGCCTGTACCCCTGCTTACACAAGGTTTTTTTTAATCTGTAAATATTTTTTTGTGTGCTATCAAAACTCATAATAAATTGTAGAACTTGACAGCTGCACATTTATTGGCAAACACCAGTTTGAAAGGATGTGTCCCTAGAGGATCAGTCTTGACAGTGTTTTTGACCAACACACATTGAAACACTGGTACAGACATCAGTCGACTACAGCCAAGCTCTATTCATGGATTGTGCTGATTCTGCACACACACACCTTCACCCTCCATGACCAACTATCATTTGTTTATTCACTCCAAGTCTCATCAGCCTGTGCACTGCTTCCCTGATAGATGCAAGACAGCATCTTACATACTAACAGCATCGTGTATAATGCCCAGATTTGATATGCTTTTACCACGAGGTCCCACAACCTGAAATTTAAATGTGACAATGTTATTATGTTATAGTTTGTCTTGAAAAACCACATACTTCTGGATAGACAAGACAGGCAATCTTGTACTTAGGGTATTTGGGTGTTTCTTTCAAGTACCTTGTCAGGAGATACTGCAGGGAAAAAGTGAAGAACCAGAGCTGATATGGGGGTACAAAGTCAGTCCTCTAGGCAAACAAAATTGCTTGTTTTTTACCACTAAACAGCATTTAAAAAAAAAAAAAAACAACAACACACTAAAAAAACAGCCCAAGCAGACACACAGGAGACTTCTTCATATGCAACATAAAGGATAGCCAGGAGAAAATCATGATTCTGCAACTAACGTACTACTCTAAATGGAGGGCAGTAAAATGCTGCTAAACTTTATAAAACTCATGTTGCATTGGCTTTCTTTCTCAAAGGAATCACAGAGATTACTTTTCCGGAAGCACTTTCCTTCCTTTTGCTTTACCGTGACTTAATGTGCAGAAAGGGAATTGTGTCCATTAATGATGTTCCTACTTCCAATCAAATTGTGGTTTCTAGATTACTGTTTCCTCCTAGTTTTCTCTAATTAAGTGGCATCTATGCTGCTTAGCAATTAGCTCTAAGAGCCTCAAAATGGTTTATAGGTTTGGCTGGTCTGAAGGGTGGAGAGAGGATTGTAGTTAGAGTGCCTTATGCTCTCCCTCAGTATTTTTGTCTACATGCCAAATTAAACAAAGTTGAAAGCTTTGTATTATTAATTTGAAGAAAATGGCTTTGTGATACAGTATACTCAATGCCTGAAACATTTAAAGTATATTAGTACCTATCATAAGCTGTGCATATTAAATTCTAGCTATTGAAACAAATGACAAAAAAGGTTGAATTTAAATGATTTAAAAGGTCCAAGAAAGAATTGCATTTGCCTGTCCCTGATTTGATAGTTCAGTAGGCAATGGCATCTTCATATACATTAAACATTTTATCAGATTTATTCACATTAGATGATTATTTCCCAAATATAATACTACTATTTTTCATGGGTCCATGCATAATTTAAGTAATCTTGTAAAAAGAAAGTCAATTAATCTTTTGATAGCCAGGAAATTATGTTGTGGTAAAATTAACAATCTTAATGTAAGTGGAGAGTCTAATTTTAACTGCAACCCTTCACCACCACCCCTGTTGTCCTTTGGTTGTTACTTTCTGTGAGTATATATAAGTTGTTTGATATTCCGACAGCATATATTTAAATGTGCTAGGGACCTTGTTAAATGTTGTCCTCAGTTAACTGCAGTGATTTGGATAAACAACAACAAATACAGAAGCAAAGGACAAGCTAAAAACATTTTCTCGTTTCTTAAAGCTTTGTTTGATAATGATACTTTCAAAACTTCTAAAACTGTCAGAAATAGTTATGCTTTACTATACATGTGTGAAATTGCCGCTTAAAAATATGGAATTGCTCTGGTCTTTTTGATTTCGCCTAGTATGAAGAAATAAATACATTGTTTGGATGCAGGAGATGATATTTGCAAAGTCATGAAGAAATAAACTTCTAAAGAATCTATAGCGGGCATTTTTGCTTTCTGTAGTTAAACTTTTATTATGCCAAAGCCCTACATGAAAACTGAAAAGCTTTGCCAAGTTCTAGAACTTCTTTTATATTCCACCTGTCAGTTTTAGGACACATAATTAGAGGTCAGATTTTCAACAGTTAAAACATACAGCTAATTTATGTATATATATGGTAGCAATTTCCTGAGTACATGACAATATCTAGATAGTTTCCCAGTATTTTCAGTTTACATTGGAGTGTTTAGTATCATATAAATCTAGGATGATTCTATAATACAAAAATTCTATTGCAGATGTTTGTTTAAATAATAAGTACTAAGATTTGAAAAACATATTAATAGAATCTTAAAATATCACTGCACCAATTTACTTCTACATAAGCCATCAAATCTTATGACTACAAACTATCTGACACCTGTGTTTCTGTTTCTCAGCAGTCTTGCAGAGGATCCTGAATAATCCACCTTACATTTATCACATGAGAAGGCTAAGGCCCAAAGAGATACAACTGCTGGATTTACTGGGCATTCAAATGACTGTACAATAGTAAACAACAGCAATACAACCATGACTCTTCCATTCACTCAACAATCATCAGTTGGCTTGCTTACTGTAAGTGAAGCACTATGATAATCATGAATGGTGCGAGAAAGCAGAACACAGTCTTACTTCATACAGCTTTGATAATGATTATCTTAAAGTTTCTTAGGGTGTCATAAATAGATATGTTTTCTCATACCTGTGTAAAATTACTGTTTCTAGAAGCATAGAGTAAATTTGAATTAACTTCATTTATAAATAATAATACATAACATTTTAAGGGAGAAGATGATTAAATGTAAATGGGAGAGGCAGGCACTAAGTCAATGAGAATTTTATTTTATTTTATTTTATTTATTTATTTATTTTTTTGAGATGGAGCCTCGCTCTGTCACCTGGGCTGGAGTCCAGTGGCACGATCTCGGCTCACTGCAACCTCTGCCTGTTGGGTTCAAGCAATTCTCGTGCCTCAGCCTCCTGAGTAGCTGGGATTACAGGCACGTGCCACCATGCCCGGCTAATTTTTTGTATTTTTAGTAGAGACGGGGCTTCACCATGCTGGCCAGGCTCGTCTCAAACTCCCGACCTCGTGATCCGCCCACCTCGGCCTCCCAAAGTGCTGGGATTACAACCTCAGCTCTGTTCCACAGGTCTGTTATGAAGCTGCATCTCAAGAAATCTTAACTGGGAAACCTTTCCATCTCCTCCATATAATGAAGGTATTCAAGATTTCCAAAGGTATTGGCTACAACAATGATTTGTTATAGCTCCAATCTTAGACATTCCCTATGATTTTTGACTTTGTTGTTTTTTGTTTCCCTTACTAATTGAACTGCCAAATGCTCTATTCTCTCTTTCTCTCTCTGACACACACATAACCTGTGTTTTTCTTTCTCTCCCCCTACAGAGCAACGTGCTGACTTTTTGGGCATCTCATTTGACTGTCATACCTTCTTAATTCTTTTTTGTTTGTTTGTATTTTTATTTTGATAAATGTGTTTTATTTCTTAAATTAAAAAATTAATTTTGTAGGCACATAGTAGATATATGTATTTATAGGGTACATGAGATGTTTTGATACAGGCATGCAGTGCTAAATAATTACATCATGGAGAATGGAGTAACCATCCCCTCAAGCATTTATCCTTTGCATTACAAACAATCCGATTATACTTTTTTAGTAATTTTTAAATGTACAATTAAGTTATTATTGACTATAGTCACGCCGTTGTGGTATAAAATAGTAGGTCTTTTTCATTCTTTCTAACTAACTAACTTTTTTGTATCCATTAAACATCCCCACCTCCCCCAGAGCTCCCTACTGCTCTTCCCAGCCTCTGGTAACCATCGTTCTACTCTCTTTGTCCACGAGTTTTGATTTTTACATTCCACAAATAAGCGAGAACATGTGATGTTTGTCCCTCTGTGCCTGACCTATTTCACTTAACATAATGATCTCAAGTTCCATCTATGTTGTTGCAAATGACTGGATCTCATTATTTTTATGGGTGAATAGTACTCCATTGTGTATATGTGCCACATTATCTTTATCCATTCATCTGCTGATGGACAGTAGGTTGCTTCCAAATCTTAGCTATTGTAAATAGTGCTGCAACAAACATAGGAGTGCAGATATCTCTTTGATATACTGATTTCCTTTGTAGTTTTGTAGTTTTCCTTTCTCATTGTAGTTTTGATTTGCATTTCTATGATAATCAGTGATGTTAAGCACATTTTCCTATGCCTGTTTGCCATTTGTATGTTTTCTTTTGTGAAATGTCTATTAAAATCTTTTGTCCATTTTTTAATTGGATTATTAGACTTTTTCCTAAGGAGTTGTTTGAGTTCCTTATATATTTTGGTGATGAATCCCTCATCAGATGGGTAGTTTGCAAATATTGTCTCCCATTTTGTACATTGTGTCTTTGTTGATTGTTTCCTTTGATGTGCAGAAGTCTTTTAACTTGAGGTGATCCCATTTGTCTATTTTTGCTTTGGTTACCTGTGTTTGTAGGCTATTATTATTTTTGTGGAATGTTTAGGTGTTTCCAAATATTTTATATATATGCGTGTATATGTATATATATATGTGTATATATATGTATATATGTATATATATATGTGTGTGTGTGTGTGTGTGTGTGTATATATATATAAAATGAAATTTTTGCCCATACCAAGGTCCTGGAGAGTTTCTCCAGTGTTTTGTTGTTGTTGTTGTTGTTTTTGGTTTTGGTAGCAGTTTCATAGTTTGAGGTCTTAGATTTAATACAAAACCCTTCACCTTAACTTCATCCCCCTCTCTTTTTTACTTTTTGTTGTTTCTATTTATATCTTATTGTACTGACTATGTCTTGAAAAGTTGTTTTAGTTATTATTTTTGATTGGTTCATCATTTAGTCTTTCTATGTAGGATAAGAGTCGTTTACACACTACAGTTTGGACCTCTGGAATCAGCAATTACTCCCTGACTAGGGTTATTTTAAATATTCTCTCCCTGGGAGGAAGTCAGTTGAGTTTGATCTGGTTTTCCTTTATGCTCTCACAGGACAGCACAGAGTTCAATATCTCACAATTGCTGTCTTCTCCTTCCCCCAGCACCCGGAGACACTCTCCACCCACATCATGCCACTTTTGCCAGAGAGTGGGGGGTGGGGAAGGAGTGGTGTCAGTGATTCAAGATTGTTTTTACTGTCTCCTCAGTGCTTGTTTCAGCGGTATGAAGGTAAAACCAGGTACTACCATGAGGGGTCACCTGATTTTTGGTTCCTGTGAAGATTTTTTTTTTTCCTATGTAGATAGTTGATTTAACTTTTATTAACATTATATTAACATCATTCTTGACCTGTCATTTCCCACTCATACCCGAATGCATATGACATTTGAGATCTATGTCAATTCATTGCATCTTATCTCTAATTCTACTGAAGTAATTTCTTACCAATTGTTTGTTATATTTTTTCTATAGTGTACCTAAGTTTATTCCCAGATTTTAACCATATTAGAAAATTGAATTGCTGATTCCTGTATCATAAGAGTAGGCAATAATCCGTGTACCATTGTAGATTGTATTCATCTATCCTTTCTTTGATTATAGACAATAAAGCCCTGGTATGGTAAACTGTATTTTTGTTGAAAATATTTTGACTCTATCCTATAGGAACACTCTATGGAGGATTTCCTTTCTCCATTGACATCAGAATTGTTCTTGTGAATTGCTTTGTTCAATTAAGCATAAATGCCTTTCAAGCTGAAGCTTTATGAGATAGCATATGCTATTGTATGCTCTCCTTTCCTTACTGTGAAACCAGAAATGTCCTAGGAAGAGGCTGCTCTAATAATCTGGGTCCAAGAGCAAATGTATCATGGAATATAGCTATAGCTGACCTTAAATAGAACTGTAGTTTGAGTGAAAAATAAATCTTTATGGTTTTAAGCCAGTTAGTTTTTGTGGTTATTTGCTATTATAACACAACTTAACCTAAGCTGACTGACGCACTTGGCAGCTGTGCTTATAATCTGTAATTTGGCAGTGGTACTTAGCGTGGCATCATGGACATAAAAGTGTACATGTATGTGTTAATATCTGCCCCTTCTCCTGTTGTCAAATTTCATCCACATATGAAATCTTAATGTATTTGTTTTCTTTTATTTTCCTCCTATATCCATACACCATTTACTTATTAATTATAACCTTTTACTGGTAAAATTTTTAGAATGGGGATGTTCTAATTTTAGCTGATACTCAGATCTCTAACTCCTATCCCTTTCCAAGAAGCAGTAGCTCTTGATGTGGGTTTAAAGACTCACAATTAGGGAAGCCTATGGCCTGGGCAAGGTCTGAGTGGGACCCTACAGGAGCAAAACTGGTTTTGCCAACTGCATGAGAGCTGGGTGAAGACTCTCGCTACTGGCTATCTCCCACGTCCCTGGCAAACTATAGGACACAGCATAGGCACCAAAACTCCCTCTGGAACATAACCCCTTTGGCCTGAGAACTACCCCTACATCCTCCACAGTGGCTGTGGCAAGCCCTGCCCAGGTTGAGTCTGATGCCACACCTGCCTAACCCTGCCCCAACCTGAAGGTTTATCTCTACCCACCCCGGTAGCCAAACACAAAAGACAGAAACTCCTGGGTGCTTTATGGTGCTACCCAACACCTGAGAACCCACAATACTTACACTGGCCAACTTAGGGCAACCTTAGTTTCCCCTACTACTACTGCAGCTGGTGCTCCTTTGAAAGTACCACCTCCTCACTGGAGGCCAACCAACTCAGGCCATTACAGCAACTCATTACAGAATAACCCTGATCCTAGGAAGGAAAATACAACAGATAATTCCACTGCCTGCAACATCCTGGCTAACCAGAGGTCCTGACTATGTCCACATGACAACTTCATTGCTAGCATAACCAGCATTTGAGAAAGCCAGCACACTAAACATATCTACAACCAGGAACCCTCACAGAGTCTACTTCACTCCCTTGCCACCTCCATCAGAACAGGTTCTGGTATCCACAGCTGGGAGACCTGAAGACAGATTGCATCAAAGGATGCTCTGCAGACATTCCCCAGCACCAGCCCAGAGCCTGGTACTACTGGTGGGTGGCTAGACCAAGAAGAGCAATAACAATCACTGTAGCCTGGCTCACAGGAAGCCCCATCCCTAGTAGAAGAAGAAGAGCACCACATCAAGGGATCACCCTGTGGGACAAAAGAATCTGAACAGCACACTTTGGGTTTCAGAACTTTCCACAGAAATAGTCTACCCAAATGAGAAGGAACTAGAAAAGTAATTCTGGTAATATGACAAAGGAAGGTTTTATAAAACCCATAAAAATTCACATTAGCTTTCCAGCAATGGATCAAAAACAAGAAGAAATCTCTGAATTTCCAGATAAAGTATTCAGAAGACTGATTACTAAGCTACTCAAGGAGATACCTACTGGAGAAAGGTAAGAACCAATGTAAAGAAATTTAAAAAAATACACAATATGGATGAAAAATGCTGCAGAAAAATAAATATCATGGAGAAAAAAACCATCACAACTTCTGGAAATGAAAGACACACTTAGAGAAATACAAAATGCACTAGAAAGTTTCATCAATAGTAGAACAAGAAGAAGAAAGAAATTCAGAGCTTGAAGACAAGGCTTTAGAATTTATGCTATCAGACAAAGACAAAGAAAAAAGAATTAAAAAACTTGAACAAAGCCTCCTTGAAATTTGGGATTATGTTAAATGGCCAAACCTAAGAATAATTGGTGTTCCTGCAGAAGAAGAGAAATCAAAAAGTTTGAAAAATTTATTTGAGAGAATAATTGGGGAAAATTTCCCTGGTCTTGCCAGATATCTAGACATCCACATACAAGAAGGTCAGAGAACACCTGAGAAATTCATCACAAAAAGATCATCACCTAGGAACATAGTGATCAGGTTATCTAAAGTCAAGATGAAAGAAAGATACTTACGATCTGTGAGACAAAAGCATCAGGTAACCTATAAAGGCAAACCTACCAGATTAACAGCACATTTCTCAGCAGAAACCTCACAAGTCAGAAAGGATTGGGGTCCCATCTTTAGCCTAATGAAACAAAATAATTCTCAGCCAATACTTTTGTATCCAGCAAAATTAAACTTCATAAATAAAAGAGACATAAAGTCTTTTTCAGACAAACAAATGCTGAGAGAATTTGCCAGTACCAAACCAGCACTACAAGAAATTATAAAAGGTGCTGTAAATCTTGAAACAAAACTTTGAAATGCACCAAAATAGAACCTCCTTGAAGCATTAATCTCACTGGGCCTATCAAACTTAACACAATGATAAAAAGAACAAGGTATTAAGGTGACAAATAGCATGATGGATAGTTACAGTACCTCCCATCTCAATACTAATGTTGAATGTAAATGACCTAAATGCTCCACTTAAAAGGTATAGAATTGCAGCATGGATAAAAATCCACAAGCCAAGTATCTGCTGTCTTCAAGAGATTTACCTAACACATAAGGACTCACATAAACTTAAGATAAAGGAGTAGAAAAAGATATTCCATGCAAATAGAAACCAAAAGTGACCAAGAGTAGTTATTCTTAGACAAAACAGACTTTAAAGCAGCAACAGTAAAAAAAGACAAAGAGGGACATTATATAATGGTAAAAGGATTAGTCCAGTGGGAAAATATTACAATCCTACATATATATGCACCTAACACTGGAGCTGCCAGATTTATCAAACAAGACCTAAGAATGAGACAGATGGCAACACAACAATAGTAGGGGATTTTAATACTCCACTGAAAGCACTAAACAGGTCATCAAGATGGAAAGTCAACAAAGAAACAATGGACCTAAGCTATACCATAGAGTAAGTGGACTTAACAGATATTTACAGAATATTCTACCCAACAACTGAGAATATACATTCTTTTCATCAGCACATGGAACATTATCCAAGATAGACCATATGATAGGTCACAGAACAAGTCTCAATAAATTTAACAAAATCAAAATTATATCAAGTAATCCTCTCATACCACAGTGGAATAAAACTGCAAATTAACTCCAAAAGAAACCCTCAAAACTATACGAATACATCAAAATTAAATAATCTCCTCTTGAATGATCTTTGGGTCAACAATGAAATCAAGATGAAAATTTAAAAATTGATTGAACTAGATGATAATAGTGATAAAACTTACCAAAACCTCTGGGATACAGCAAAAGTGGTGCTAGGAGGAATGTTCATAGCATTAAATGCCTACATCAAAAAGTCTGAAAGAGTGCAAATAGACAATCCAAGGTCACACCTCAAGGAAATAGAGAAACAAGAACAAGCCAAACCCAAACCCAGCAGAAGAAAAGAAATAATAAATATCAGAGCAGAACTAAATGAAATTGAAACAAAAAAAAATACAAAAGACAAGTAAAACAAAAAGCTGGTTCTTTTAAAAGATGAACAAAATTATTAGACCATTAGTAACATTCACCCAGAAAAGAAGAGAGAAGTTTCAAATAAGCTCAATCAGAAATGAAACATGAGATATTACAAGTGACGCCACAGAAATACAAAAGATCATTCAAGGCTATTATGAACACCTTTATGCACACCAACTAGTAAATCTAGAGGAGATGGAAAAATTCCTGGAAATATACAACCCTCCTAGATTAAATCACGAAGAAATAGGAACTCTGAACAGAACAAAAACATGTAGCGAGATTGAAACAGTAATAAAAAATTTCCAACAAAAAAAGTCCAGGATCAGATGGATTCACAGCTGAATTGTATCAGACATTCAAAGAATTGGTACAAATCTTACTGAAACTATTCCAAAATATGAAGAAAAAGAGAACCCTCCCTAAATCATTCCATAAAGGCAGTATCATCCTAATACCAAATCCAGGAAAGGAGATAACAAAAAATGAAAACTACAGACCAATATCCCTTATGAACATAGATGCAAAAATCCTCAACAAAATACTAGCTAACTGAATGCAACAGCATATCTAAAAAGATAGTATGCCATGATCAAGTAGGTTTCACACTGGGGATGCAGGGATGGTTTAACACATGCAAGTCAATAAATGTAATGCATCACATAAACAGAATTAAAAACAAAAATTATATGACCATCTCAATAGATGCAGGCAAAGCATTTGACAAAATTCAGAATCTCTTTATGATTAAAACCCTCAGCAAAATTTCCATAGAGGGGACATTCCTCAAGGTAATAAAAGCAGTCTATGAAAAACACACAGCCAACATTATACTAAACAGAGAAAATTCGAAAGCATTGTCCCTAAGAACTGGAGCAAGACAAGGATGCCCACTTTTACTACTTTTAATCAACATAGTTCTGGAAGTCCTAGCTAGAGCAATCAGACAAGAGAAAGAAATCAAGGGCATCTAAATCGGTAAGGAGGAAGTCAGACTCTCACTGTTTGCCAATGATGTGATCATATACCTAGAGAAAACTAAAGATTTATCCAAAAAGCTCCTAGATCTGATAAATGAATCCAGTAAAGTCTCAGGCTACAAAATCAAGGTACACAAATCAGTAGCACTGCTATACACCAACAACGACCAAGCTGAGAATCAAATCAAGAACTCAATCCCTTTTACAACCACTGCTACTGCCAAAAAAAAAAAAAAAAAAAACTTAAGAATATACCTAACCAAGGAGGTGAAAGATCTCTACAAGGAAAATTGCAAAACACTGCTGAAAGAAATCACTGAAGACACAAACAAATGGAAATACATCCCATGCTCATGGATGGGTAGAATCAATATTGTGAAAATGACCATACTGCCAAAAGCAATCTACAAATTCAATGCAATTTCCATCAAAATACCACCATTATTCTTCACAGAACTAGAAAAAAAAATCCTAAAATTCATACAGAATCAAAAAGAGCCCACATAGCCAAAGCAAGACTAAGCAAAAAGAACACATCTGGAGGCATCACATTCCTTACTTCAAACTATACTGTAAGGCCATAGTCACCAAAACAGCATGGTACTGGTATATAAATAGGCATGTAGACAAATGGAACTGAATATAGAACCAAGAAATAAAGTCAAATACTTACAGCAAACTGATTTTTGACAAAGCAATAAAAAATATAAAGTAGGAAAAAGACACTCTATTTAACTAATGGTGATAGAATAATTGGCAACCCACATGTAGAAGAATAAAACTAGGTCCTCATCTCTTACCTGATACAAAAATCAACTCAAGATGGATCAAAGACTTAAACATGAGACCTGAAACCATAAAAATTCTAGAAGATATCATTGGCAAAAAACTCTTCTAGACATTAGCTTAGACAGAGTTCGTGACCAAGAACCCAAAAGCAAATGTGACAAAAACAAAGATAAATAGATGGGACCTAATTAAACTAAAAAGCTTCTGCATGGCAAAAGAAATAATCAGTGGAGTAACCAGACAACCCACAGAGTGGGAGAAAATATTCACAAACAATGCATCTGACAAAGGACTAATATCCAGAATCCACAAGGAACTCAAACAAATCAGCAAGAATAAAAATAATTAATTCCATCAAAAAGTGGGTAAAGGACATGAATAGACAGTTCTCAAAAGAATATGTGCAAATGGCCAACAAACATGAAACAATTCTCAATATCACTAATTATCATGGAATTGCAAATCAAAACCACAATTAGATACCACCTTAAGAATGACCATAATTTAAAAATAAAAAAAAAAAAACAGATGTTGGCATGGATGTTGTGAAAAGGTAACACTTTTACACTGCTGGTAGGAATGTAAGCTAGTACAATCACTGTGGAAAACAATATGGAGATTCCTTAAAGGACTAAAAGTAGAACTACCAGCAATCCCACTATGGGGTATCTATCCAGAGAAAAAGTCATCGTATGAAAAACATGCATGTTTATAGGAGCACAATTTGCAATTGTAAAAATATGGAACCAGCCCAAGTGCCCATCAACTAATGAGTGGATAAAGGAAATGTGCTATATATATATATAAATACTACTCAGCCATAAAAAGGAACAAAATAACGGCATTTGCGGCAACCTCAATGGAGTTGGAGATCATTATGCTAAGTGAGGTAACTCAGGAATGGAAAACCAAATATCATATGCTCTCACTTATAAGTGGGAGCTAAGCTATGAGGATGCAAAGGCATAAGAGTAATATAATGGACTCTGGTGACCTGAGGGGTAGGTTGGAAGGGGGTTGAGGGATAAAAGACTACACATTGGGTACAGTGTACACTGCTTGGATGACAAGTGCCCAAAAATTTCAGAAATTACCACTAAAGAACTTATCCATGTAACCAAAATCCTCCTGTTTTCCCAAAACTATTGAAATAGATTTTTTTTAAATGACAAATATGAATAAAAGGACTCACAATTAGAAAAGCAGCAATTCACCTCAAGTAAACATGGAAAGGGCTAAGTACCATTCTAAGTTTATTGACCTTGTGTTGTTTAATGATAACAATGACATTAAACTTAGTGTACTATTTTAGTCACCATTTCAAGATAGAGAAACTAAGGCAGAGGAAATTTAAGTATTTTGTCCAAAGACACACATACGGTAAGTGTCAAAAACACGATTTGAATCCAGTCAGTCTGGCATCAATGTTCCCTACTTTTCACCATTACTCCAAACTCCCTTTATTAGGATTAGTAGGGAATGGTGCTTTTCTTAGGAGAAATGAAGAGTTTAAAAGCTCTATCTTTCCTGGGATCTGATCTCTCTAAACTTGCCCCCTTATATTTCAAGGTAAAATTGGCTGATTCCTGTTTGTGTGAGGCTCAGGGATAGGGAGGAAGAAAGTACGTGGTTCTCATTAGGCTGTAGAAAGGGGAAAGTTTTCTTTGGCTTTGCTATTTTGTGCTGCTTGTAGCCGAGGTGGTAACATCTAGAAGGCTAGGGTCAGGATATGCAGGCAAAACCAAGCCTCTTAAGATTCACATATGGCCCATTGTTGACACCAGGGAAAGAATTTTGGTTTCAAAACCCCAACTAAGAGAAGTACGTGCATTTGGCTGGACAGTTCTCTGTAAGTTTTACCCTCAGGAAACTGGCACAAGTAAAAGCTAGTGAGGATTTTAGGGGCATGAGGACCCCAAGGAATCTTCATCAGAGAAATATTAATATAGTCAGTCTTTTTTTTTCTTTTCCCATATTTGCGCTAGTCTGGGCCATCTCTATCATCACGTTATTGTAGTAGTTCTCATTTTTTGGTCAGATAACTTCACCTGCTTCCTACTGATGATTAAAAGCATTCAAAAGTATTTCTCTTGGTTGCACCCCCAGCCCCTTTCTGTTTTATTTCTCATTTTTCCCTTTTGAGTGCCCTGTGTCCCACCCATGTCCTGCATTTCCGGCTTCAGTTTCTTTGCCCAAAACTGTTTCCAAATGCCTAAAATACCTCCCAATCGCACTTCCACATATTCAAATTTGTCAAGTCCAAATGCAAACTTGTCTTCTCCAAGAAGATTTTTCTGATTCCTTAGCCTGTTGTAGTTTCTCACTCTTCAGAAAGCCAAGAGAAATGATCTGTTTTTTCTCTTATAGTAGATGTGAATTATTACTTTGCAGTAAATTAGCTGTGTTTTATCTACACCATAAGACTGTACACTTCTTTTTCTTTCTTTTTTTAATTTTTTTTTTTTTGAGATAGAGTCTCGCTCTGTCGCCCAGGCTGGAGTGCAGTGGCGCGATCTCGGCTCACTGCAGCCGCTGCCTTCTGGGTTCCAGCTATTCTCCTGCCTCAGCCTCCCAAATAGCTCGGATTACAGGCATGCACCACCATGCCCGGCTAATTTTTGTACTTTTAGTAGAAACGGAGTTTCACCATGTTGGCCAGGCTGGTCTCAAACTCCTGACCTCAGGTGATCCACCCGCCTCGGCCTCCCAGAGTGCTGGGATTACAGGCATGAGCCTCCATGCCTGGACAGACTATACACTTCTTAAGGGCAGACATCACTAGGCATTTATATTCCCACAGCTCATACCCTTTGTTCCTTTATCCAGTCATTTATTTAGTTAACAGTAACGAACAAAAGATAGGCATTGCTTATATTCATGAAGCCAATATAGGGTAAATACACACAGTAAGCCTTCAAATATTTGTTGAATGAGTGTTGATCATAGTTGATGTATTTACTGGTTGTATTAGACCATGCAGGCTGCTATAACAAGATACCTTAGACTGTAATTTATAAACAATAGGAATTTATTGCTCACAGTTTTGGAGACTGAGAAGTCTAAGATGAAGATGCCAGCAAATTTGGTGTCTGGTGAGGGTCTGTTTCTCATAGATGGTGCCTCTGTGTCCTCACATAGTAGAAGAGGCAGAGGGGAAAAACAGCCTCCCTCAATATCCTTTTATAAGGGCACTAATCCCCAATAGGTTAGGGATTAGAGTCTGCCCTCATGACCTAATCACCTCCAAAAGGCCTGTAGTAGTTCTCCTTAGGCTATAGAAAGGGGAAATTGTCCTTAATACCACCACAATGGGGAGTAAGCTTCAACATATGAATTTTGGAGAAACACCAACTTTCAGACCATGGGACTGGTCTTTATTGTAATAAATAGGCCTTTAAGTATAAAGAAATATTAGGTTTATATTTAAAAGTACCTCAAGGTGTATACAAAGGTCTATAGAATTCCTTTAAGATTTAACATCCACAAGAAAGCTTAAGACACCATAAATTCAATGTAAGTTGATAATAATAGACACCTTAAAACATTTTAAATGTTGTTTTAATTTTTAAGCCTATCATCTAAAAGCCTGTGAATGGGGGAATAATTATGCATTCTGGCCAGAATTTACATGGTATGGAATCAGGGTCTCAAGATTAAATCAGCCATTCTCAGCATAGAAAATGCTCCTAATTCATTTTACTATTACAGTAAAATGGTCTATGGAACCAGATAGTTTACTCTTGCCATTAAAACATTAATTCTAATGGCGTAAATGGCAAATCAAGTTCTCTGACAGAAATTAGTGGGACTCTAGTTTGATATGTGCAAATTATAAAGTCAACAACAACACATAAGCAGCTAACTCAGGAGAATAGTATTTTTAGGAAAACTCCTGCCTTTAAGCCCAAGCAATTGTGATCACTTTGAGAATTGTTCTTCTTGGTTATCTGGGATAATCCTCACCACCCTGTCAAAATTGACTATAAAAAGCATCCTATTTTGTGTGAAGTTTGCTAATTTTAGGATCACTAGAAAACAGTATCTCCTGTCTCCTCGAACTCCGGGACCCCGGTAAACCTAGTCAGGAATCCTAGGATTGTGCAACTCTCATGTAGCCAGGTAGGTGGCAGGGCTGTCTCCAAAGTCCTGCTGTCATTGGCCTTCAATGCATCTCACCTCTGATCCCTCCTTTGTGTGTGCCTAGCACTTTGTGTATATGTCTATAAGTGTACTTACAATATTGTATTCTAATTGTCGGATTGCCAATCTCTGTCACTAAATGAGATGTGTCTTGAGGGCAAGGACTGAGTCGTTATGTCTCAAGCAACTAGAATGAATCTTTAAATAAATATTTGATGACTGACTTAACAAATTGCATATGTTATGCAGAGATGTCTTAAGAATAGAAATGGTGCCAGAAAATCAAGAACACTTACTTAACCTTTACTTTCCCCACTGATTAGCTGGCGAATAAAATCACTTAATTAGAAATTCAGTTATTTTCCTTTTCTAAAAATATCCAAGTACTCCTGGTGTGGCTAACATATAAAAACCTATAGGTGATTTTTGGGTAAGTTCAGTGGTTCTCAAACATCGGGGTGCATCAGAATCACCTGGAGGTATTGTTAAAACACAGATTGCTGGGCTTCACCCCCAGAGTTTCTGATTTAGTAGGTCTAGGATAGGGCCTAAGAATGTGCATTTCTAACACATTCTCAGGTGACATTGATGGTGATGGCCCAGGGAACACATTTTAAGAACCACTGGCTTACTGTAAAGGAACTATCAGATCATTACCAGAGGGTAGATTTTGATGGCTATAGACAGTGCAGGAGAGTATGAAAGGAGGAAGAAAGAAGGAAAAATGGAGAATAAACATAGCTCCAAGACAAGTTACACTTTACAATTTTTTTGACGGCCTGAAATAGTAGAAATCTTTGAAGTGTAATGTGTAGTTGTGGAATTGGCACAGTGCACTCACCTTGGGAATAGAAAATAAGACTTTCTAAATACAATATTCTTTACACCTTAAAAGGGGTATTTCAATAAATGGGATAAATGCTTATTTAACAATTTACAAATATAGCATGCTTTTTCCAAGTCATTTGGCCTTTAAAATGTGTGATTGCTTTTTTTGTCCAACAATAAGAGGCTATTTTGTGCTATTTTCCCCATGAATACTGCTGTTATTACTTAATATTTATTAAATAGCCACCATAGTGGCTTTATTCTTACAGAAGAGGTTTTTCTTCTTTGAATTTCTGTGTGAAATAGGATTTTCCTGCTGCCTGTCAAATTGAAACCATATTAAACAACACAGAATAACTTGAAGCAGACTGGGGTAAGAGGAATCAATGCCCACTTTTCTGAATTTAGAAAAGCCAACAACAACAAACGAAACATTTCCTTCTTTTAGCTTGATCCTAATGTATCTATTAGTAATGCAGTTGCAAATACATCCAATCAATTAAACAGGTCACACACTGATGAGCCTTAAGATTTATTGTTTAGAAGTGAAATGTAGGAACATATCATGTCAAAGGAAATAGGATCCATAGTTTAAGGGAAGATAAATCAGACTTTGAAGGTAATAATCTTCAGAAAAGTCATTTTAAAGAGACACTGTACATGTTGGATTTGATAACTTGAGGAGAATGAGAATTATAATAGTGCTAAAGGGTGAAGCTGAGAATTTGAAGACCAGGGAAAATTTAATAAAAAAGAGTCATACTTTATGACATGGATTAGGAAACTGCAAGGATAGAATTCACAGTCCTAATTTCTGTTATTTGGAAAAAAGAAAAAAATCTATTTCATGATGAGACATAATCACAATTCTAGCAGTCTCAAAATAATTATTTCTAGTTCAAAACTATATAATAAATCACAACACAAAATAAATATGCCTTCAGACATATTGAGGCTGGGTTTTATTTTTCTCTTTCTCCTCTGATTCCTCTTTCTCCTCTGATTCCTCTCCACCAGATGTGTGAATGCATAAATAATGGAAGAAAAGACTAAGACAGGAAATTACCACACAGAACAATTTGAAGAAAGCATCAATTATGGTTCTATTATGGGTTGAATTGTGTCCCACAAAAAGGTATGTTGAACTCCTAATCCCCCATACCTCAGATTGTGACCTTATTTGAAAATAGGTTTGTTGCAGATGTAACTAGTTAAGATGAGGTCATGCTGGAATAGGTGGCCCTTAAAAGAAGTATGACTGGTGTACTTATGAGAAAAGGAGAGGAGACACAGATGCATAAGAAAAATGCTATGTAACAACAGAGGTGGAAATTTGAGTGGTGCACCTACAAGCCAAAGAATGCCGAGGATTGCCAGACATCTCCAGAAGCTAGGAAAGAGGCATGGAACAGATCTTCCCTCAGAGGAAACCATTCCTGCTGACACCATTTCAGACTTCTAGCCTCCAGAACTGTGAAAGAATATGTTTTTGTTGTGTTAAGCCACCCAGTTTGTGGTGCTGTGTTATAGCAGCCCTAGGAAACTGATGTAGTTTCTTTCTCAAAACTTCATATGTTTCAAGATTTATTCACATAAAGGGCTAAACTTTCCTTCTACGTTAACTCATATTTCAAAACTCAAGTCAGTGAAAACCTTTAATGAAACTAAAAATCATGAATAAATGAGATGAGTTTTTATTAGGATGATTCTCAGGAAAGTACATGTAATAACAGTCAACACACATCCTAGGGCACACTATCCAAATAGAAATGAAAAAAGAGATAAAGTGGGAATAAAAATGCCTGAAAATATTCTATATTTTATTTTTAATAGTAGGAAAACTTTTTTGTTCTCACTAATATGTTATTACAAATGTTACATATAGATTATACTTTAGTGAGAGCAATGCTACTGGATGTAGTTAATTACTTTTAAATTCTTAGTTTAATAGTTTGTGATGCAATGATTTAATGGTCTGGTTCTAAATTTCGTATATGTTGATACCTGGTTTTAATGGTTATTATAGTCAAAAAACCTACTTCACAAAAATATATAGGACCAAATGAAAAGAGTGCACTGTTGGCTGCATTTATTAAATACTGATGTTCAATTCTTTGTTCCAACCACCAATTTTGTAAATGTTTTGGTTAAATTATGTTGATACATTAGTTTTTATTTTAAATAATTTAGAAGTAAATTGCAAACATCATAGTACTTTCTCTTTTCACATTCAGCTTGTATCTACTAATAATAAAGACATTCTCTTATATAACTACTATATTAATATGGCACCTAAGAAAAATGACAGTAATTCTCTAATGTTACCTAAAATGTAGTCCATATGAAAAACATGATAATTGTCCCAAGAATGTCTTTTATAGCCTTTTTTGAACCAATGGGCAATGTAGGTTCACATATTACATTTTTTGTTTTATTAGCCTCTCAGAAAAGAATATCTGTCTTTCATCCATTTTATTTTTCATGACATTGACTACTTTTTAGTCTAAGATTGCTTTCCTGTAGAATATCCTGGATACTGAGTTTGTCTTATTGTTTCCTCCTGGGATTGTTTAACTTTTTACAAGTCACATGTATTTCTTATGAACTAAAAGTAAGGCCTCTAGAAGCTTGATTAAATTAAGATTAAATGTTTCAGCAGGAATATTTTAAAGACAATATCATTTATTTCCATTTGCATTATATTGATAGGCACACCACATCTGGCTTCCCCTATACTAGTAACAGTACACTTGATCATTTGCTTATGGTGGTGACCTCCAGACTTCTCCACTATAAATGTACTTTCCCCTAGGCATATTTCCACAAGGCCAATATTCTTTCCACAACAACTTTTCACTAAACTGCTTTAGCATTCATTAATAATCATTGCCTTGATCAATGATTACTTTAGAGGTTACAAAATAGTGGTTTTCTAAATTTCTCATTTATTTTATGTTTAATTTATTAACTGGTATTCTGGAAAGAAGCAGTCTCCTTTTATCTACCTTTCTTCATGTCTGGGGCAGGAAAGTGCAAGGTGAGACTAAAACATCTTGTTTCAGAGATCACAAGGTGGTGCTTGAAGACCAATAGAGACATGTCACTTCACAAGCGTAAAGGATCCACCTTGAAGAAGCTCCCACTCAAATTGTTTCAAATGTGGCCAGTGGGACCTCATGCTTCTTGAGTGTCATTACTTACTTCTAGGACTATCAATAGCCAGAACTAGGAAAAATGCTTTTTAAAATTATGAGTTCATCTTGATACTGTCATCTTTTTATTTTTATTTGTGGTAAAAATACACATAATAAAATGTAACATCCCAATCATTTTTAAACATACATTTTGTTAATGTTGTGAAACAGATCTCTAGTACTTTCATCTTGCAAAACTGAAAGTCTATACCCATAAAACTCCCCCTTTCTCCTCCCCCCCAGCCCCTGGAAACCACCATTTTACCTTCAGTTTCCAAGATTTTGACTTTATAAGTATCTCAAATCAGTAGAATTATACAGTGTTTGCGCTTTTGTGACTGGCTTATTTCACTCAGCATAATGTCCTCAAGGTTTATCCATGTTGCAGCATGTGACAAGATTTTTTTCTTTTTTAAGGATGAATAATATTCCATTGTTTGTATATACCATGTTTTTGTTTATTCATTCATTAATGGACTTTTGGGTTGCTTCTATCTCTTGGCTATTTGTGAATAATGCTGCAATGAACTTGGGTGTGCAAATATCTCTTCAAGATCCTGCTTTCAATTCCTTTGGATATACACCCAGAAGTAGGATTGCTGGATCATATGGTAATTCTATTTTTAATTTTTAAAGGAAGATTTGCACTGTTTTGCATAGTGGATTTCAGTTCATTTTTTTAAGTTGCAGAGCTTTTTTTTGTAATTTATTCATTACTTCTATCTCATTTTTTAAATCTTTTTAAATTTTTTACCATTTTTAAATCAAAATGTTTGTTTTCATGTTGAAATTGTACATGAAACTTTAGAAAATATACAACAGATATAAATTTCAGGAGATCATTGTTACCCTCCAACACAGTAACATTGGAGCCAGTGGCATTATCCAGTCATCAAATAGATACATTTAACATGATATTATGATTCGTGGAGTGCTTTCTACCATTTGTCCTTCTCAATATTTTATTTCAAGTAAACAACATATCATTTGTTTGTTGAATATAAAGTTGGTCTACTTGCATGTACTTGTTATAACTGGGTTCTATTATGGTGTATTTTTTTGCTTTTATTATTATTTTTAATTGACACATAACAATTTTACATATTTATGGGGTACAGTGTGATATCTCAATACATATATACAATGTATAATAATCAAATCAAAGTAATTAGTATATCCATCCACTCAAACATTTATCATTTCTTTGTGTTGGGAACATTCAAAATCCATTCTTATAATTATTTGAAAATATACCAAAAATTGTTGTTCATTCTAGTCAGTCACCCTATAGTGCTATAGAACACTAGAACTGATCCCTCCTCTTTAGCTGTACTTTTGTATCTGTTAACTGGCCTTTAGCTATCTCCACCTTTCCCCTACCCTTCTCCACTTCTGGTAACCACTATTCTTCTCTCTTCATCTATGAGATCAATTTTTCTAACTTCCACATATGAGTGAGAACATATGGTATTTGTCTTTCTGTGTTTGGCTTATTTCACTTCACATAATGTCCTCCAAATTCATCCATGTTACCACAAATGACAGAATTTCCAACTTTATAAAATTATATTTCTTTTCATTACTCTGAAAATATCGGTGCCTAACCACATGTATACATACACATACACTTATTTACATTATCTTACACTATATCTAAATTAGTTTCAAAATTACAATCAATATTAAAAATAAAAACAAACCTACTGAGTTTTCTTTGCGGCTATTTTTGTCTTTTTACTGTGTCTAATTAAGGATGCACAGGCAGAGTATTGCGTTAAAAATTATTTTAAATAATTATTTTCTCTGTATGATTGTTTTTCATATATATTTATGCTCGTACGTTTCCACTTGTGTTGAAAAATTTATGTTTTATACTTTTTAATTTAACTAATTTATTTTTGAGATGGAGTCTCGCTCTGTCACTCAGGCTGGAGTGCAGTGGTGCAATCTCGGCTCCCTGCAACCTCCACCTCCCGGGTTCAAGTGATTCTCCTGCCTCAGCCTCCTGAGTAGCTGGGACTACAGGCGCCCGCCACCACTCCTGGCTAATTTTTGTAGTTTTAGTAGACAAGGGGTTTCACCGTGTTGGCCGGAATAGTCTCGATCTCTTGACCTCATGATCCACCTGCCTCATTCTCCCAAAGTGCTGGGATTACAGGCATGAGCCACTGCGCCCGGCCCCATTTAATTTTATCTTTCAAATAAAATTACAGCAGTTGCGTAGTTTAAAAGTTAACAAGAGGCCGGGCATTGTGGCTCATGCCTGTAATCCCAGCACTTTGGGAGGCCAAGGCGAGCAGATAACTTGAAGCCAGGAGTTCAAGACCAGCCTGGCCAACATGGTGAAACCCCCTCTCTATGAAAAATACAAAAAATGAACTGGGCATCATGGTGGCATGCACCTGTAGTCCCAGCTACTCGGGAGGCGAGGGCTGAGAATCACTTGAACCTGGGAGGCGGAGGTTGCAGTGAGCCTAGATCATGCTACTGCACTCCAGCCTGGGCGACAGAGCGAGACCTCGTCTCAAAAAAATAAATTAATAAGGTTAACACTATATAAAAAGATACACTCAGAATACTCAGAGAAGACGTGCTCCCTCCACCTATCCTCCATTTTCATTAGTTTATGATGTTTCTGGTTAGTCCTTCCATCCTTCCTGTATTTCTTCTTGCAAAACTAAATCAAATAATCTTCAGTTTTTAAAAATGTTGCATGTACCTCACTGTGTCACTGTATCGTAGTTTGTAGGACCAGTGCCTTATGAGTGAATATCTAAGTTGTTTCACATTTTTGTTATTACAAATAATGCTGCAATGAATAACGTAGGGCACACTCCTTTGGAGTTGTATCTATGAGGTAGATTCCTAGAAGTTGAATAGCTGGATCAAAAACTAAAACCACAGAATTTTTGTAGATATTACCAAATGCCTCTCCATGGGGGTTTAAACATTTTGCACACTTACCAGCAATTTAAGAGAGTGACTATTTCTTTACACTAAGCTAACAAACTTTATCGTCAGTGTATATGAAAAATGCTACCTCAGTATGGTTTTAACTTTAATACCTTAGGTGGGAGAGTGTTTTCTCACATATAAAAACTATTTGTTTTTCTTTTTCTGTGAATTGTTTATGTCTTTTGTCATTTTTTTTCTATTGTGTTTTCAATTTTTTAAAGGTGCAGATAGAAATCTTTTACTTGTTTTTATAGGTGGCACACGTAGTTTCTGCAATAAAATCACAGAATGTTAGAAATATTTTCAAACACTCCTTTTAAAGATGATCTTTCCATAATGTGAGTTTCTTTTGAAAATGAGATGTCCTCTTTATTATTGTTACAATATCACTTTTCCTTTGAAGGTAGATGGGTTGTTTATTCTTTTTAAAACTACATTCTAAGTAACACATTACTGAGAGCCTTTTGTCATCAGAGTAAAGGTCATCACACTTGAAACACTTATCTTTTAGTAAAAGAAAAATGCCTAATGCATCTTTAAGCTCTAAAACTTCTTTAAGTACTTCGTCTTAAGGTAATCAAAGAACCTCCGTGTGATACAAAATAGTTTCTGTGTCACTCACCATATATGTATTGAAGATATGTCACCATGTATTGGTCTTTTTTGTGTGTGTGTGCGTAAATGACATCCTGTAAATTATAAGTAAAATCTTTTTCTTCTTACACCTCCAAGGATCATGTTATATACTCCACTTTGGCGATCACTATTAAGTAGAATAGCCAGTGCCTATTCTGTCTAAGGCAAAGAACCATAGTAATGTCCCTGACACTAGACTAGATGGTTTTGTGTCTTGTAAACCTCAAAACCTTCTCATGTTCTACTTAGTAAGTAAGATCTTGAGAGTCACAACTTTAGATTTCACTCAGGTCTAAAATATAGTTTCCAGTTAATCTTGCCAGAGTCTCATATACTGTTTTAAGCCATCAACCTAAAGTGAATACAATTTTTTTTTAATCTACATTCCTTCCCTGTTTTTCCTGTTAAAGAATCCCATTTTGGTTTTTACGAATGATCCCTCCCCCGACCTGGTGAAACTTTCAATCAAGGGATCCTCCTTTACTTGCCATCAAGTAGGCATAGGAGCCAGACTTGGCCAATCAGAGCACTTCGTCACCATAGGAAAAGTGATCAAGTCAAGATTGGCTAAGTGACACAAATCAGACCAATGAAAGTTATTTGTAGGTATGGATTTTGATAGAAAGTAGGTCTCTAGTCTTCCCAGATAGTAAGTGCTAAACAGTAAATGAATCATGAACCGCAAGTGAACATCTTTACCATATTGTGAAGACAGCCTATCTCAAAATGAATCTAATGGACAGCTAATCAGAGATTAAAAAGAAAGAAATTGAATCTTGATTTTGTTGCTGGAGCATCTGGGATCCAGCCACACCTGAAGGAAGACTATCCTTATAAATTCTATTTATTTTACTTATTATTATTTTTAATTGACAAATCAAAATTGTATACATTTATCAGGTACAGTGTGATGTTTTGATATATGTATACAATATGGAATAATTAAGTCAGGTGAATGTATCCATCTCGCATACTTATCATTTTTTATGGTGAGACATTTGAAATGTATTCTTAGTTATTTTGAAATATATAATACGCTATTATTGACTATAGTTGCCCTGCTGTGCAATAAATCTCAGAACTTATTCCTCCTGTCTATCTGAAACTTTGTACCCTTTTATCAACAGGTGTAAGTGAGATCATGTGGTATTTGTCTTTCTGTGTATGGCTTATTTCACTAGCATAAAGTCTTCCAGATTCACCTATGTTGTAGCAAATGACAAGATTTTCTCTCCTTTTAAGGCTGAAGAGTATTCCATTGTGTATATATACTATTTTTAAAAGTCTATTTATCTGTTAATGGACACTTAGGTTGATTCTATATCTTGGCTATTGTGAATAATGCTGCAATAAACATGAATGTAAAGATATTCATTTAACATACTGATTTTACTCCTTTGGATATATACCCAAAAGTGGGATTACTGGATCACACGGTAGTTCTATTTTGAGTGTTTTTGAGGAAGCTATATACTGTTTTCCATAACGGCTGTACTAATTTACATTCCCATCAACGATGTACAAGAGTTCACTTTTCTCCACTTCTTTGCCAAAGGTCATCTTTCATCTCTTTGTTAAAAGCCATTCTAACAGGTGTGAGGGGATATTTCACTGTGGTTTTAATTTGCATTTTGATTATGGATGCTGAGCATTTATCACTAATCTATTGCGATTTATGTGTATTCTTTCAGGAAATGTCTGTTCAGGTCCTCTGCCCATTTTTTAAATGTAATTATTTATTTTCTTGCTATTGAGTAGTTTGAGTTCCTTATATAATTTGGATGTTAATCCCTTATCAGATGTATAATTTGCAAATATTTCGTGTGTCAAGAATACACAATAGGGAAACAATAGTTTCTTTAATAAATAGTGTTGGGAAAATTGGATATCCACATGCAGAAGAATAAAGTTGGAACCTAGTCTTGCACTATATACCACAATCAACTCAAAATGGGTTAAAGACTTAAATATAAGACCTAAAACTATAAAACTACTAGGAGAAAACATTGGGAAAAAGCTCTGCACCATTGGTTGACTATGACCCTGAAAGTAGAGACAGCAAAAGCAAAAATAGACTAATGGGATGGCTTCAAACTCATAAATTTCAGTTATATAAACCAGTAATTTCCCTTTTTAGTTTCAGTAGGATTAAACTTTTGTCGTTTGCAGACAATTATCACTTGGGAGTGGCAGTCTAGCTGGAAACTGTACTTTCATATCTAGGTGGAGCTTTGGGACCAGTTATTGCAAATGGAAAGAATACAACAGGTAGGCCTTCTCTGCTTGTTCTCTTTTACCTTTAATCAGCTGAACACAGATGACTCTGGGGATCTAGGGAATGTTAGAGCTACAAAGAGAAAGGTACTGGAGTGCCTAAATAATTGTACAGAAGGCTGACACTTGCACTGGATTATTTTATGAGCAGAAATATATGTGTGAAGTTATTGAAATTCTGGGGTTTGTTAAAGCAGCTAGTATGACCCTAACTAATATACCATGTATTGTCCTTTATTAGCTTGTCTTATATTATTTATTTGATTGTCCTGTCTCACTCTTAGATTGAAATTACCCTAAGGGTAAATACTAGGCCTTATTCATCTTTATATCCCCTCTGACAGAGGTACTCAATGAGCATACTTTGAATTAAATGATATCTCAGAGTGCTAAAAATATTTAGTTCAAAATAACTCAGAAATGACTTGTGCAAGTTAATTATGATTACATTTTAAAAAATAACAGCTTTATGGAGATGTTTCACATACCATATATTTCACACAAAGTATATAGTTTTTAGTGTATGCACACAGAATGTACAACCATCACCAAATCAATTTTAGAACCCTTTCAATACTCCCAAAAGAAATCCCTTACCTATCAGCAGTTACTCTGCATTTTCCTGTAACCTTGCTCTCCTTTTATCCTAGGCAACTACTATTCTACTTTCTGTTTTATGGATTTCCTATTCTATACATTTCATATAAATTTAATCATACAATATATGACCTTTTGTGACTGGCTTCTTTCAATTAACACAGTGTTTTGAAGGCTCATCCATGTTCTAGCATGTATCAGTATTTCATTCCCTTTTATTACAAAATAATACTCTTTTGTATGAATATGCCACTTTTTGTTGATCCATTTATGCATTGATGAACATTTGGATTCTTTCTACTTTTTAACTATTATAAATAATACTGTTATAAACATTTGTGTACATGTTTTCATGTGGATGAATTATTTTAATTATTTAAAAAGCTTTATTTTTTTTTTTAATAGAGATTGAGTCTTACTATGTTGCCCAGGCTGGTCTCGAACTCCTGGCCTCAAGTGACACTCCTACCTTGGCCTCCCAAAGTGCTGGAATTACAGGCATGAGCCACCATGCCTGGCCAGGATGTGTGTTTTTATTTCTTTTGAGTATATACCTAGGAGGGGAATTTCTGAGTCATATGGTAACTATATGTTTTAGCTTAGAGAAATTGCTAAACTATTTTCCAAAGCCTCTGTGCCAGTTTACATTCCAATCAGCATTGTAGGATGATTCTAATTTCTCCACATTCTCACCAACATTTGTTATTGTCTGTCATTTTTATTATAGCCTGTCTAGTTGATGTGATGTAGTCTCTTATTGTAATTTTGATTTACACTTCTCTGATGACTAATGATGTTGAGCATCTTTTCATGTGCTTACTGATCATTTGTGTATCTTATTTAGAGAAATGTCTATTCAGCTCCTTTCCCATTTTAAAACTGCCATAGTTGGCTTTATGTTATTGAGCTGCAAATTTTTATATTCTGGATACAATTACCTTATCAGGTATTTGATTTGTGAATATTTTCTCCCATTTTTGAGGAATTGTCCTCTCACTTATTTGATGCAGAAAAGTTCTAAAACATTTTTTGATGAAGTTCAATTTGTCTATTTTTCTCCTTTGATGCTTGTGCTTTTGGTGTCATAAGAAATTACTGCCTTATCCAAGGTCATAAATATTCATAGGTATGTTTTCTTCTAAGAATTTTATGGATTTAGCTCTCACACTAATGTCTTTGATCCACTTTGAATTAATTCTTTATAAAGTATGAAATAGGGGTCCACCTTAATACTTTGGCACATGGATATGCAGTTGTTCTGCATCATTTGTTGAAAATACTATTCTTTTTCCATTAAATTGTGTTGACACTTTTGTTGAAAATCAATTAGTCCTAAATATTGGGGTTTATATCTGGACTTCTAATTCTATTCCATTGATTTACATGTCTATCCTTATGCCGATCCCACACAGTCTTGATTACTATAACCTTGTAGTATGCTTTGAAATCAAGACATATGAGTTCTCCAAGATTGTTTTTGGTCTTCTGTGTCCTTTTCCATTCCATATAAATTTTAAAATAACTTTATCAGTTTCTGCAAAGAAAGCAGCTGAAATTTTGATAGAGATTGTATTGAATCTGCAGATTAATTTGGAGACTATTAGTTTCTTAACAGTCTTAACTTATCTAATCCATAAGTGGGGGATGTCTTTTTATTAATTTAGTTCTTCTTTTATGTCTTTCAATGATGTTTTGTCATTTGGGGTGTCAAAGTTTTGTATCTTTTTTGTGTGATTTACTCTTAATTATTTTATTTTTGATGATGTTAGAATTGTTTTCTTTATTTCATTTTTGGATTGTTTATTGCTAGTTTGTAGGAATACAAATTTTTCTGTATAATGGTCTTGTATCTTGCAACCTTCCTGAACTTGTTTATTGTTCTAATAGTTTTTAAGTGTTTTTAAATAATTTTTATATAGAGGATTATATTATCTGCAAATAGAGTATAGTTACATTTTTAAGAATATAATTATAAGAATATAACAGACTGCAAGAAGACCCTTAAAGGGAACTTTCTGCTGGTTTAAGAATATCATTTGTATAAGTCTAAGCTAAAAAAGCATGCTTTTAAAATGCTGCCAGTTTTAAGGCCAAGGAAGAGATTTTCAGGATATTCTCCTTTCTCAATAATCTTATTTATGTGCAATGCTTTCTTTGGTGATCCATGAGAGAAAATTCTAATTGCTGAGTTGAAGTTAACTAGATATGAAGATAGAATTGTTGTATAGTGTAAATAGACTATTACCATATACTTCTTATCTGATTAGAATAAAGATCTGGCAAGATGTTGTTGTATAAGATTTTGATTATTCATAGTTTCTCAGAAAACATTTCCTGCATGGGAGAAAGGAAACATTGTGGGTAGGTTGCAGGAACCCATACCCTGAAGCCTCTCTAGCTTTTAAATCACAAATAACTGTCCTGATGAAGCATCTACATTACTCTCCAAGTAAATGATAGAAACATATTTCTATCATTTATTTTATCTCCAAATAAATGATAGAAGCATCTACATTACTCTCCAAATAAATGATAGAAGCATCTACATTACTCTCCAAATAAATGATAGAAACGTATTTGTTGGAGTTACTCTGTAGAACACCCATCATATGTGTCTGTAAATGCTATAAAAACTCATCTATAGGAGCCAATTCCCCACTTAACACTAAGGATTACAGGATAACATAGCAGCAGGGAAGAACATAAATTTGGATTCAAACAGATGCAGGAAAAACAACAATAACAGTGAGTTTGAATCCTGGCTCTACTACCTAGTTAGCTTTATGAGTCTCATTTCTTTATTTATGAAATTGAGATACTAATATAATAACAGTCTTACAGGACAACATGAAATAGATTTAATCTCTAAATAGAGATTTGTGGTTGATAATAGCCCACCTTTTACATATCTCCAAGTCTAAGAAAGCAATCAATAAAGGTTAGATCCTTATACTCACCAAGGGCAAAAGAATTCTCAGGATAACCCTACAGTTCACTGACAGGTCTAAATCACAGTAATCTCTTGTATATGTTGTAGATATAAATATTTTGGGGCCATTGCATATGCAGAGTTTCCCAAATTTATAGTGAACCTTGAATAATTTGGTGTCATATAGTTGCTTTAATAGAAGTAATTCACAAAACATAGTTCATGCACAGGTATTAATCTTTTCAACATAACCTTCCTTTGAAGAACCACTCTTGCCTCAATGCATTATAATTCGGTTAAGTTTATGTGCTTTCATTTACGTTGGTCTTCCACAGGGATGTGGGGTGAGGACAGCCCAGACCTGGCCAAAAAGTGTTTCTCATGACTCTGGCCAGAATGATTAGCTCAGTGATAGCCATGTGACCCAATACAGCCTCAGCAGAACTTACCCTGGAAATTTATAAGAGCTATTAAGAAATACACTATCATTTTATCTAGGATTGGGACCTACAAGAATAACATGGGTTTGAGGCTACTGGCAACTATCTTGTTGCCACATAGAGAAAGCCCTCTGGGAAACAAGGCAAGTAGAAATAAGCAGAGCTGTAGCCAAGAGTTTGAAAAAGAAACAGTTTTGATACTATCATTTCAACTGGATTTCACTGTGCATAAAAACATGCCCCCCCAACCCCACCCCCGGCTTCTCCTTCTTCACCACCTCCCTCTTTTATTCAGCTAGTTTGTGTTTGGTTTCTGTTTCTTAGAATTGAAAATATTTTCACTGACACATGCATTCTTTTCAATACTGTACAAATTTAGGACTCCTTCCACGACCCCATGCTGAATTTAGCAGGTAATAATAGAGGAAAAGTTACAAAGCAGGGATGTGGAAGAAGAGAAAAAGAAAGGACTCAAGAGAAAACAGTTCAAAAGAATAAAATAAAAAAGGCAAAATAAGTGGATACTCATGATAGTGAGGGATAGAGACAGTGGTACAAGTCAGTTCTTCTCAAGTAATATTTATGTCCCTTACTCATAGCCTCTACCATGGAAATAGTTTAGGTTTAAATCATTATTTATAAAACTAAAGTTATTACCCATAGAACATTTAAGTGGCATTCTTAAAATCACATGTATTTTAAGCTCAGTATATTGTGATTCTGATGACACTGAAGAGCCTCAAAGAGCAGCACTATGGTGATGTCAAACATTAAAGCACAAAGTTGGAATAATGGGTCTAGTTTTTTCCTCTTGATCAATCCATTAATAGAATTCTTATCCATCCTACTACATAAAGGCACACAAAAATCCTTTGAAAAGGTCATTATCAAAAATTTTGAGCTATTTTCTGATGTTATAGTTGAAGGGGGAAGTATGTTAGTTTAAGAAACCGAAGGCTGTGTGTCAAAGAAAAGATGAGACTGGTCACAAAAGAAGCTTTAGAAAATAAATGTCTTTGAAAGCCAACCTAAATGTCATCCTTGGCCATAAGGTGTAAGGAAGGAGGTTTCAGGGCAGGTAGGGCACACACGTAATTATAGGTGTACATTATGAAACCCACTTCTGTAGCAGCTAAGTTAGGAGTCAACAAACTACTGCCTTTGGGCACCATTGACCTACTGCCTGTTTTCATAGGGCCCATGAGCTAAAAATGGTTTTTATATTTTTAAACAATTGGAAAAATCAAGAGAGTAATAATGCTTGGTTACACAGAAAATTATACAAAATCCCAATTTCAGTGCCCATAAATAAAGTTTAATTGAAACACAGCCATGGCCATTTGTTTCAGTGTTGTTATGGCTGATTTGCTCTACAAACACAGAGCTGAGTAGTTTCAACAGAAGCCATGTGGTTGAAAGCATAAGTTTGCAAAACCCTGAGCTGGAGCCATGGGGACAGAAAGCCAAGAAGGCTAAGGAGGTGATAGTGTGGTTAAGAAGACAGGGTGTGGAGTCAAATTTCCCTAATTCTGTTGGTTTATCCTGAGTAAGTTACTTAATGTATTTTAGATTCAGTTATCTTTGCTGTAAAATGAGGATGATAATGTACCTGCTCAACAAGGGTTTTGTGAGGATCCATTGAAATAATATCAACAAAGCATTTAGCATATGGTAAATGCTAAAAATGTTAACTATTAGGCGGATATGGCATTGTGCATCTACCAGGAAGAATTTGGGTCCCTTCTTACCTCCCCTTTGAATTGTTATTTTATTCCTTCACTCAAACATATACAGTCCATGAGCATGCTGTTATGAGGCACAATTAAGCCACGAAAAATACAATATTTTGGTGACCAGCAAGGGATAACTTTTGTTGCTTTTCATTTGTTTTTTGTTTTGTTTTGTTTTGTTTTGTTTTGTTTTGTTTTGTTTTGAGATGGAGTCTGGCTGTGTCGCCCAGGCTGGAGTGCAGTGGCGCAATCTCGGCTCACTGCAAGCTTCGCCTCCCGGGTTCACGCCATTCTCCTGCTTCAGCCTCCCGAGTAGCTGGGACAAGCCACTACGCCGGGAAAATTTTTTGTATTTTTAGTAGAGACTGGGGTTTCACCATGTTAGTCAGGATGGTCTTGATCTCCTGACCTCGTGATCTGCCCGCCTCGGCCCCCCAAAGTGCTAGGATTACAGGCGTGAGCCACCACGCCCGGCCTGCTTTTCATTTGTTGATTTGCCTATTACCTTCAGTGAATTTATCTGGCTGGTTGATCACTTTCTATACAAGAGTAAGATGTCTGTGCACTCTGACAATGAGGAAGGACACAAAGCAAAGTGCCAAATATTCAATGCCCTTCAACCACACTCAAATGTGTACATGACAGATAGAAAGATTATAGTATTTTTTAATGTTTGAGTCAGTATATTTATTGGTGGTGTTAAGAATAAGCATGTTTATTGTTAACTGTTGTTATATTGTTCTTGGTTTCCACTATGAGCTCAGGGACTGGAGGGCCAATTTGGTGGTTGAGAGAGTTTCAGAATTTTTATAGAATGGATGATTTGTTGTGTGGAGACCCAAAGACCTGAGCTAGTCTCTGTGTCTATATGCCCATGTTTGTCTCTTGAGATAATGCATTTTCCATTTTTATCTTCTTTACTCAGAAATCTCTTACTGCCTGTATTTTGGTGACAGAAACTGCAAGTGCATGAGCGCATTGTAAATGAGAGTATAAGAGAATGTAAATGAGTTGTCTTAAGTGTCACAACCAGCAATGATACTGGAAATAAATCTCAAGAGTTTCTATTCCCAGGTATGATTCTCTTTCAGTTTTCAGACCAATGAAAATTTAATAGTTGAGAAAACATAATTTTATCCTTTCATTATAGAGAGAGGATGCCTCAAAGTTAGGCAGTCAGAAGGCAGTCAAAAAGTCAGAAGGAAATAGAATAAATGCATTTACCTTTCAAAGTTAACAGTTGTCTAGGAAATAAGAAGGAGAACTGGTATACTAAAGAATATAAATAACAACTCATTACTGAGTGGTTATTACTTATCAGCTCAAAGTTCCATTTTAATTCTCCTTTCTTTACCTAGTTTCTGATTGTTACGTATCTGGAATTAGAAGTGAATAACAAGATGATCATATTTTACTCACTGTGAAGTACTGCTCACCTAAGGTAATTGGGTAAAGTGATTGGATGATTTAGAAAATAGAGACAAAGAGATAAAGTTTTCCCACCAAATGAATCAATCTTCAGGCTAGGATTAGCATGACAAGACCATTGTAGCCATGCTAGACCATCTCACCATGAGTTCTAGCAGGCAGATATGATCACTTGTGAAAGTCAAGATTGACTATGTTAAGGACCCGCTTCTTGCTAGGAAGAGCAAAAGCAACTGTTCAGGAGGGATCTTCTTTATCCAGCCTGACAGCCATGTTAGATCTCAAAGCCTGGAGAAAACATATGTGAATTGTTTTTAAAAAAATTTTAATCTAGACATCAAATAGTTAAAGCTTATTTTTTCTGCATAGCTAATATGTGAGTATTGATATGTTAGTCATGTCATGTGGTTCTTTGAAAACCAAATAATGAACAAAAGCACATTGTCACATCAACTTACCTAAAATTTTAAAATCAACTTAAGGCTCTTTATCAGAGAATGTTGTTTGCCAAACTGATGATTATTTTTCAAAAATGCACTCTCTGTATAATTAATAAATTATATGTTCGTATGAAATACACCTATAGTCCCTACAGGTTTTGGCACAAATCACAAGTTTTATAGAGTGCAAATCATCACAATTTGAAGATTTATTGACTATGGTTACCATTTTAGTTTTGATTTCTAAGATTGGCCAAATGACTCGTCAATTTAAAATAAACATAGTTAATGAAATTTGGCTGTTGATTGAAATAAATTTTAAAAGTTGGTGGACCAATAGGGATATTTTTATGTTATAATCTTTGATACTTACTCATCTTGACCTTGTTTTACTATTCATAGCATTTACATATATTTGCTGTATGAATGAGAGAACCATGGAGAAAGAGTAACCTAGAAAGTATATTCTACACTTATACATAAGTATTTAAATATGATGGGAGATCTATTACTTTTCAAAATAAAGCAAGCTCTGATAATTCTTGATAATAGATCATGATGGCTCAAAAGAGAAAAGTAGCTATGTTTGCATGTCAAAATGCAGCTTGAATAATTTCATTTTAAGGAATGATATGAATGGTAAAATGAAGCTACACAAAATTACCTATGGACCATTTAAAATGAAGTCAACTGAATAGCTTACTTAGAAAATATGTGAGGATTTTTGAACTGAAATGTTTTTTCTTGAAATATTAACATTATTTTCTTGGTATTAAAGGAAATGCTCCTGACCGTATTATAATGCTTGTGTATTTGCCCGAAAATTCCAAAGGGTATGGAAAACTTTTTCATCCATTCTGGATAAATGAAGGTCTTTTTTGTGTGTACTGTCCACTATTTGCAGATGATTCTTCTGTTTGTGCATGTTACTTGCTTTAGCTTCAAGAAGTAAGAAGAAGAGCTGACATTTTTTGATCACTTGCTAAATGATAGCCACTTAATTTAATTAATTTAATTTTAAACCTTTAAACAACCTACAGAATGGGAGAAAATTTTTGCAAACTATGCATCCAACAAAGGTCTAATATCCAGCATCTATAAGGATCTTAAACAAATGCACAAAAAACCCGTTAAAAACTAGACAAAGGACATGAACAGACACTTTTCAAAAGAAGACATACATGCAACCAACAAGCATATGAAGAAAAGCTCAACATCACTGATCATTAAAGAAATCCGAATCAAAACCACAATGAGATACTGTCTCACACTAGTCAGAATGGCTATTATTAAAAAGTCAAAAAACAACAGATGCTGGCAAGGTTATGGAGAAAAAGGAACCATTATACACTGTTGGTGGGAGTGTAAGTTAGTTCACTATTGCAGAAGACAGTGTGGTGATGTCTCAAAGACCTAAAGACAGAAATACCATTCAACCCAGCAATCCCATTACTGGATATATACACAAAGGAATATAAATCGTTCTATTATAAAGACACATGAATGTGTATGTTGATTGCAGCACTATTCACAAAAGCAAAGACATGGAATCAACCTAAATGCCCATCAATGATAGACTGGATAAAGAAAATATGGTAGATACACACCATAGAATACTATGCAGCCATAAAAATGAATGAGATCATGTCTTTTGCAGCAACATGGATGGAGCTGGAGGCAATTATTCTTAGCAAAAGAATGCAGGAACAGAAAATCAAATACCACATGTTCTCACTTATAAGTGGGAGCTAAATGATGAAAACACATGGACTCATAGAAGGGAACAACACACAATAGGGACTACCAGAGGGTGGAGGGTGGGAAGAGGGAGAGGATCAGAAAAAATAAGTAATGGGTACTATGCTTAATGCCTGGGTGATTAAGTAATCTGTACAACAAACCCCTCAACACGCGTTTACCTATATAACAAACCTGCACTTGTTCCCCTGAACTTAAAAGTAAACAAAACAAAACAAAAACCTTTAAAAGATAAGCATTATCGCTATCCCAATTTTGCTAATGAAGAAATAGGATTTGACAGGCGATGTGTCTAGGTGTCAAATAGTAAATGACACAGGCTGGATTTATACAAAGCCATGATTGTCTGTAAGGTCGATGGTCTATTTATTTTATAACACTTCCTTCATCTTTTTGTCTACTGAGCCCTTGCTATATCAATGGTATTGTAGTAGGTACTCAGATGCTTTACAAGCCTCATGATACTTTTGTTTATAAAGAAATGATTCATTATTGTACCTTGTTTTTTCTGTGTTTTCTCAGATTTGCCATCCTATTTGTAGTTGTGCTTTCATGAACTTTTATTTACTTTATATTTTCTGAGTCTGAGCTTTTTAGGACATTTATTTGGACAATATCTGAATTGACAATATTATGTCAACTAGTCAATTAAAAGTCTCAGTTCCTTCATTAGTAAAATAAGATACTTATTCTGCCTACTCATTGATGAGAAAATCTATTTAGTTTCCATTAAAGTGCTTCGTGTATCATCTTACAAATTTATGGTACCATTGACATTTGGTTATCAAAAGAATTTAATAATAGATAAATTTGTATTGCAAGGAAAATTGTTGGCAAACATATGAAACTCTTCTATGTAAAATTTCTTTTGTGCATTTTAACACAGTAGTGGTGTATTAGTTTAGACTGCTATAGCAAACTACCATAAACTGGATAGCTTATAAACAACAGAAATTTATTTCTCACAGTTCTGGAACTGGGAAGTCCAAGATAAAGGCACTGGCAGATCCAGTGCCTGGTGAGGGCCCACTTTCTTGTTAATAAAAGATATCTTCTTGCTTCATCCTCACATGGCAGAAGGACACAAAGCAGCTCCCTGGGGCCCCTTTTATAAGAGAACAAATCACTTTCCAGAGGCCCCACCTGCTAATATCATCACATTGGTGACTAGGTTTCAACATATGAATTTTGGAGGGACACAAACATTCAGACCATAGCAAATGAGTCTCAGTAGCAGTGGGAGAAAACAAACAAGTGTAGCTGCCTGAAGAAATGTACATACATTTAAAGATGATTTTATGAATGGTACAGAATTAATATACAGAGGATATTATATCCATACCCATTTATTTCATTATTGGCTCCATGTAAAGTCATGTAATAAATGATTTTTATGTAAACTAATTAATGCAATTATGTTTACAATCAGCAAACCCAAGAAATAGGTTAATACTACTATACCCTTTCATTGTTATATCCAGTTCTTCCAAGTTAACAATCCTCAAGTTATTTTCAATAAAGGAATAGAGCAATTAAAAATCAAACTTAAGACAACCTGTTTAGTAGTGCCAGAGTTGTGCAGTTTATTATAAGCTATGATAACAGTGAATAGCATTCAGCACATCTATTTATATGTAAGTGAACAACAGCTCAAATGACTTCTGATTTTATCCTTTTTTTGTTTTGTTTTGTTTTTTTGAGACGGAGTTCTACTCTCGTTGCCCAGGCTGGAGTGCAATGGCACGATCTTGGCTCACTGCAACCTCTGCCTCCCGGGTTCAAGTGAGTCTCCTGCCTCAGCCTCCCGAGTAGCTGGGATTACAGGCATGTGCCACCACGCCTGGCTAATTTTGTATTTTTAGTAGAGACAGAGTTTCACCATGTTGGCCAGGTTGGTCTTGAACTCCTGACCTCAGGTGATCTGCCCATCTCGGCCTCCCAAAGTGCTGGGATTACAGGCATGAGCCACTGTGCCAGACCCTGATTTTATCTTAATTGGTTAGTCTTTCCTGATTTTTATTCATCGAAAACTGCTTAGAGACCTAATTTCCTAGACCATTACTATTACTTAATATTTATTGAGCTTCTTAAGCATTTGTAAAAGTAAAAGTAGCCCTAGCCCTCTCACAATGAGTTTATTTATTTCTTATTCCTGCTTTGAAATAGGCTTGAAATGTGGAGCAGCATACTTCTAAAATATTCAATGAAACATTTCCACATTTAATGAGGTTCTGATTTGGTTAAAGATTTGTAGGTTTCAGACTACTCATTCGAATTTTATCTAAACAGGTTTGCCCATCCTTGTTATGGATTTACACTAATGTCTTACAGCACCTTCGCCTTCTTAACCCGTTTGTGATTCCACATGAATTTGCAAATAACTCAAAAGTCAATTATTTGAAGTGTTTAGGGTTTTTTTTCAGTTATCTCTTAAGAATGAGATTGCTTTAAACTTTGCATAATTCAGAAGGGAGCCCTAGGTATTATTGGAGAATATGCCATTACCAGAGGAATTTTGTTCTGGTACTTTTCATTTAGCTTCTACTAAACACACTGGCACCTGTGTACATAAAAGTAAGTATCATATGACCACATCTTACTAAACATATCAGCAGGAATTTTACCCTGTTAGACTGATGTTGACCAATGTACGGCTTCTAAGAACCATCCAACCTTTTGGATCAACATGAGTGTCAGAATTCTACAAAATTTTAGTCATTACCTTCAGAGAATTATCAAAAAGTTAATTTAAACTCATCAAATTTCATTGATACTTTTAAAAGTAATTGATCTTGTGAACATTAATACTTTGAGTAATAAGGCAGAAGTTATTCTAATCATCTTTCTTTTTGTACACAAAGGTATTCTGAATTCTTATTCTTTCCCTTAGACAAGATTCCAAAGGGAGTGATCATCTGTTCTTGAGAACCATGTTTTGAATATGCTGTCTTCCCTTGATATTAGAGGGTAATGATTTTGGTCTTGTAGGATCTAGAGGTTCTCTCAGCTTTGAGGGCAGTTGGTGAGTACAGTGACACAATTTACTCTGCAGACCCCTGGATCTGGACCAGACCATACCTCGGCTCAAGAGTCAGCGTGGGAATTGATAACCTATGCTGCCTGGCCAATATCTGAATCTTATTGGTGCCATGGAGTTGAAGACGCCAACTGAGGCTTTAGTGGTGTAATAATGAGAGTGTGGGCTCTAGTAGAAGGCTGCCTGGGTTTGTATCCTAGTTTAACAGTTTACTACTTGTACCAACATGGGCAAATTGCTTAATTTTTCCAAACTCATTTCATCATATTTAAAAAGGAGAGTTTGCTGGTGTCTATCTCATAGGATTATAACGGAGAGTTAAAGAGAGAATATATGAGAAACACCAAGAATAGTACACGGAACGTAGCAAGCACATAATAAACATTAACTTTCATTACTGTTATTATTATTATTGGTAACAATAATGATAAGCATACTTGTATAACTTTATAAAGTATATTTATAGTAACATTGGTGGCACTTTTATTTTACATGGCATACCATATTGTGCTTCGTTAGTTAAAGAATATTCCCACTTAAGGAATGTCTAGATTGTGCCAGCTTGAGTCCAACAAGAAACAAATGCAAAGTCAGGATTAGAAAAGCAAACAATTAATTGGAGAAAATACCTATGAAGGGTAAAGGTAGAGGAAGCTAGAGTAGGCAGGGAGAGCCTTTAGAATGTAATGCGGATCTGACACTTATGAAAAAAGAAAGAGGACATAAAGGAACATTGGGCAGCAAGAGGTACAGACTGCAGCCACTTTTGAGAAGACCTTCGCCAGATAAACGGGAAAGGGGAGGTCCCTGAGCCATGGTTGTGTGCTATAAGGATCCCCTGTTGGACAGGAAAGTATCTTCATTAGTACCCCTACCATATTCCATCACTGACTAGGAGAACCAGGGAGTACATGTGGCCTTACCATTAAAAAGGAGACACATCTGAAAGCAGTCAGTTAACTGGGCACTTCACAGCAGTTTCTCTTGAAAGACTTCTAAGCAGTGTATCTCAATGGCTGCCATATGCATTAAAAACAAAATAGATTTAAACTCATACATTAGATATTTTTAAAGTTAGTGATTTTTTTTTCTGTTACAAATGGTCATTTCTTTACAGATGAGTCCACTACACAGGTTAGGGGATCACTTATTAATTTAGGTATACACTTAACTAATCTTTGATGTTAATGCTACGATTTCACTTCATTTTTATAAAGCAAAGTATTCCAAATAATATTCCTAGAAGTTTATCGGTATTTTTTATCTTTCTAACAAACCAGCATTTGAATTCATTGACTTACAATACAGTTTATCTAGAACTAGAACACATTTTATGGCTTTCTATTCTGATATTTATTATTTCTATTTTCTTATTTACTTCTAGTTTCATTTTCTCTTCTCTTTTTTTTTGGATAAAAGCTGAATCATTGATTCGAGACTTTTTATTTTTTCCCTAATATTTTTTTTAAATGCTGCTTTAGTTTTATTCACAAATTCTGATATGTTATTGTTTCATTTTCATTTAATTCTTGATACTTCATAGTTTCCCTTGTTATTTCTATTTTGACCTAAGGGTCTCTTTTTTTTTTTTAGAAGGTTCTTACTTAGTTTGCAAGTATTTGGGTATTTTTTTCTGAAGATATTTGTTATTCTAATTTAATTCCGCTGAGGTCAGAGAATATACTTTGCATGCCTTGAATACTTTTAAATTTGTTGAGACCTGTTTTAAGTCCCAGAATATAATCTGCCTCGGTGAATGTTCCACACAAGCTTAAGAAGAATGTGTAACATGCTATTGTTTGTTGGACATGTTTTTTATAAATGTCAAATGTCATGTTGCTTAATGGTGCTGTTGTTCAAGTCTTTTGTATCCTTACTAATTTTTGGTCTATTTGTTCTTATCAATTTTTGAGAGCATATGTCTTAGTTCCAGGTGCTATAACAAAGTACCATACGTGGCTTATAAACAAGATAAATTTGTTTCTCAGAGTTCTGGAGGCCAGAAGTCTGAAATAAGGGTACCAGCATGATTGGGTTCTGGCAAAGGCCATCTTCCAGGTTTTGGCCAGCTGATTTCTCCTTTTATCCTCACATGACAGAAAGTGAGTGAGAGAGCTCTCTGGGGACACTTTTATAAGTGCACTGAATTCCACTCATTAGAGCTCCACCCTCATGACCTATTTACCTCCCAAAGGCCCTGTAAAAGGGGAAAATTGACGGTGTCTACTTTATAAGATTATAATACAGAGTTAAAAGTTATAATGCATAAAAAGCACCAAGAATAGTACATGGAACAAAATGAGTGTATAGTAAATATTAAGTTTTATTGTTAGTAGTAGTAGTATTGGTACTACTATTCCATCACATTGGACTACTATCATATTGGGGGTTAAGATTTCAACATATAATTTTTGGGAGGGCACATGCATTCAGTCTATAACAGTGTGGTACTGAAAATCTCTGACTATAATTTTGATTTGTCGGTTTCTCCTTGCAATTCTATGAGGTTTTTTTTTTTTCAGTTATCTGGTAATTATAAAACAGATTTGTTTATATTTAGTATTATAAGTGCAGACATCAAAGAGAATATTTAAATTTTTGGTAAAAAGCTCTATGAGTTTTTGTTCCTTGTATTTTGAAGCTCTGTTATTAGGTGCACAGGCATTTACTGTTGTTATATCCTCCTGCTAAATTGACTCCTTTATCATTAGGACATGATCTTGTTTATACCTGGTAGTATTATTTACTCTGAAATCCACTTTGTCTGATATTAATAGAGCCATTCAGCATTTTTTGTTTGTGTTACCATGGTATATATTATCCCATCCTTTTACTTTTAATCTATTTGTGCCTTTTATATTCAAGTGTGTTTCTTATAAGTAGCATATCATTGGATCATGCTTTTTTCTCCAATCTGATAATATCTGCCTATAAATTGATGTGTTTAGACCAGGGTCCCCAACACCCAGCCCATGGCCTGTTAAGAACCAGGCCTCACAGCAGGAGGTGAGCAGCCAATGAGTAAGCATTACTGCCTGAGCTCCACCTCCTGTGAGATCAGTGGTAGCATTAGGTTCTCACAGGAGTATGAACCCTATTGTGAACTGTGCGTGAGAGTGATCCAGGTTACACACTCCTTATGAGAATCTAATGCCTGGTGATCTGAGGTGGAACAGGTTCATCCTGAAACCATTCCCTCCCCACCTCCCGTCCATGGAAATATTGTCCTTCACGAAACAAGTCCCTGGTGACAGAAAGGTTGGGGATCACTGGTTTAGACCATTTACATTTCATGTTATTATTGATATAATTAGATATAAAGCTTTCATCTTGCCATTTTTTTCTATTTGTCCCACCTGTTATTTTCTCCACTTTTCCTCTTTCTCTCTTTTCTTTTAGATTAATTTACTATTTTCAATTATTCATTTTATCTCCTATGTGGCCTGTTAGCTATAATGCTTTGTTTTTGTTTTTTTTTAGTGGTTGCATTAGGGTTTATTATATATATATATATTTGACATAACACAGTCTACCTTCAAGTTATATTATGCCACTTCATGAATAGTTTAAGAAACTTAAATATTCCCATATCTCCCTGCCTAGGCTTTATGAGATTGTTGTCCTATATTTTACTCTTATACATGTTGTCAATATCAAATTATATTATCAATATTTTCGATAAATACCAATTATACTTTAAATGAATTTAACTAATAAGAAGAGAATCTTATGTAGTTGCCCAAATCATTACTATTTCTAGTGCTCTTCATTGCACTGTGTAGATCCATATTGTCATTTGGTATTGTTTTCCTTCTGTATAGAGAATTTCTATTAACATTTTTCTCAGTGTGAGTCTTGATGATGAATTCTTTAAGCTTTTGTGAGTTTGAAAACTTTTTAATTTTACCTTCATTAAAACTTTTTTTTAAACATTTAAAAAACAAAGTCAGGCATGGTGATGAGTACCCTTAGTACGACCTACTTGGGAAGCCGAGGCAGGACTGCTTGAGCCCAGGGGTTTGAGGCTATCCTGGGCAACATAGTGAGACCTCATGTCTGAAAGTAAATAAATAAATACATTAAATATTTTTAAAACATATTTTCCAGTACATTAAAGATTATGCTTCACTGCCTTCTCAATTACACAGTTTCTGATGATAAATCTAATGTTTCTGATGATAAATTTAACCTCACCCTTATCTTTGATCTTCTGTATATAATGTCTTTTTTCTTTTTGTCTCCTTTAAAGATTTTCTCTTTATTTTAGTTTTTGAGAAATTTACGATATGCCTTGGTATAATTTTCTTTATTTTTTGTGTTTGAAACTTGTTGAACTTTTTTGGGTGTTTGGGTTTATAATTTTCATCAAATTTGGAAAATATTTGGCTATTATTTCTTCAAAATGCTTTTTGCCTTCCACCTTGGTGACTCCAATTATATGTATTTCAGTTATCTGGAACTTGTTGCAGAGGTCAGTGATTTTTAATGATTTTTTTTGTCTATTTGAATCTTTGTATTTGATTTTGGATAGTTTTTATTGCTGTATCTTCAAGTTCACTGACCTTTTTTTCATAATGTCTAATCTGCTGTACATTTCATCCAGTGTATTTTTGTACCAGATGTTGCAGTTATCTCTAGAAGTTTGACTTATTAGTTTTTACATCTTTCTTGTCTCTAAATCACTTTTTGAACATATAGATTTCATTTATGATAACTGTTTCAATATTCTTGTCTTCTAATTGTAGTATCTGTGTCAGTTTTCAGACAATTTTGATTGGTTGCATGTTCTCATTATGGGTTATATTTTGCTGCTTCTTTCCATGTCTGATAATTTTTGATTTGGTGTCAGACTTGGTGAATTTTAACTTGTTGGTGCAGGATAGTTTCGTATTCCCATCAACATTTTAAACTATATTCTATGATACAGTTAACTGGAAATAGTTTAATCCTTCTTGGTCTTACTTCCAAAATTTGTTGGGGAGGACCAAAGCCATGATTAATCTAAGGCTAATTATTCCCCACTACTGGGGCAATGCCCTTCTGAGTAGTCTACCTATGAAATATGAGGAATGTCAGTCTAGCTGGTGCAATCAGTTATTATCTGTGACCCTGTGAAAATGTTGGATATTGTTCCCTCTAATCTTTTCATGTGTACATATATATATATATATATATATATATATATATATATATATATATATATTTTTTTTTTTTTTTTTTTTTTTTTCCTCTCCTTGAATAGTTTTTTTCACATACATGTACTGATCAGTAGTCTGCTGAATATTCCAGTGGAACCTACTGTGGATCTCTGGTGTTTTCTCTCTGTGCAGTTCTCTCCTGTTCAGTACTGTCTCCTACAAACTCAAGCTGCCCTGGTCTTGCTAGTTCCATGTTCTGAACTCAGGTTGTCTGCCAGGCTCAGACAGAGAGGTTTTCCCCTCTCTATATCATAGCCTGGAAACTCCTTCAAGCCATTAAGCTGGTGCAATCCTTGGGCTCACTTTGCCCATTTCCTGTCTCTTAGGGATCATTCTCATTTGCTGTCTGATGTCAAGTATCTTAAAAACTTAATATACATCTCATATACATTTTGTCTGGATATCTGGTTGTTTTAAACAGGAAGGTAAATCTGGTTCTTTTTACTCCAACTTGGCTCATGGTTAAAATTCTGGTGTACACTTTGAACACAGTACAAACATATTCCTGGTTCAGATGGTCAAAAAGATGGCCAATGTTTTTCCAGTCTCTAAATCTAGAATTTCATACCTCTCACCTTGTGTCACACCACACACCTTGTGTCTATTCTAATAATACAAATTAAAATACTATTAATGTGAAGAAAAGCTCTTCCTAACAACATGAACCTGGAATATTTTAAATTTGTTCCAGATACACTGGAAAATTATTATAATTTTCATGACAACTCAGCAGTTGGATATGTGTAGAAAATAAAGTCAGCTGAACATTTCTTGAAGGTCCTAATATTCTTAAATGCAGACCAAATTTTTGCAAGGGCCACAGAAATCAAGACAGACCAACTAGTTCTACTAAGATCTGGAGAATAAGAATTTCATTTCAAACTATAGTAGTGACTAACTTAATGTTTCTCAGAGTGTCTTTTTCATTTGAGACTTGTGAACAAAACAGCAGAGGTTGGCATTATGTTTAAATAGCAATCTACAATGTTGTAAATGGACCACAAGAATTCTACTGTTTTGAAGTTTTAATTGTAATTTGCATTTTTAATGAGGTTTGACCTCCTGTAGGCTTACCTCTTTGGTTAGAACCTACTTAGTACTATAAATCTGACAATTTGGAGTAATTTTCTGAGATATGTTTATATCACAAACACACATACAATTATAAAATGAACAATTTTTTGCTAAGGTTGTTATAGTTGTTATAAAGCTAGGACTCACCCATGTTTGTAATGTTGGAAAGTTTTATTTCTGCTTTTGTCTAGTGTTTGCAGTGTCTGAAGGGGAGAGTTCTTGTTCATTTAAGGGCTGATGTGATCTGACTTCTGAATACAAGGACATCCACAGGAGTTTGTGTTTTATATTGACTTTTCACAAAATCTACAATTTTTTGTGATGAAGAGAATGTATTGAAACCCTCTAGCTTCTCTACATGATAGGAATGGTTATTCATTGTATACAAGGAAAAAAAAATCCAACACTCTATGGTGCTACTTGTCTCTAGAGTCAAAAAGGAACTATCATCTGTGGAATTGTTACCATTTTAATGATAGATGACAGCAAAATATTCTGAGTTTCAAAAATATTGTAAAGCTATGTCTTCAAGGCCAAAACCACAGTTGAAAAGTGAAAAGTAAATTTCTTTTAAAAATATTAATTTGACTCATTTTCAATGAATTGATGATATATTTTGTCATCATATAGCACTAGCTCATCCATTTTATTTTTAGGAGTAACAATACCAAAATGTTCAATGAGTTTTCTTGAATTCTAATCACTACTAACACTGTGAACAAGATTTTCAGATATGGTAACAGTCAATCATTCACATTATCTGGCTTAAGTTTTCATTATTTTTAAAGCTTTCTTTGTGTAATTCCATCTCAATAAATAATTTTATCCATAGCAGCTGAAGTCTCATTTGAAGCAGAAAGCTACAACTAAAAACAAACAAAATATTGCTTTTAGAAATTTAGGGAATGTATCAATGAAGCATTATAAATAGATTAGTTCCTCAAATCATCTTAAATGGGCAAGTATCTCTTCATTGCCAATTAACATGGTTGTTTAAACAATATAATGATGGATCAATTTTACTAAAATTCTTGCAAAATTAGTATCTGCCTGTCTTGCATTTTGCACATTTCCATCAAGTAAGAATGTAACACTTTAAGGTGGCAAATAAGTTCAAACCAATTCTCAAGGAAATAAGTTGAGGCTCAGACATTCAAATTAAGCAGAAACTTTTGTGATTAATTATATAGATATTAACCTTCATTTCTCTATGCTCGAATTTCTGAGTCTGAAATGCATCTTTCTCCTCCCAAGGTCTAGTTGTAACCAATTTTTCCACCACCATCTATCTCCTAGTGATTGGCAACAGAATTTCTTTGATCCAATCTGACACTTTTCCCCCTGTGCCATTGCCATTGCTCTCTCCAATTTCTTCACTCATGCATATGTGACACCCTTCAAGGTCCAGCTCAAGCCTACCTTTTTCTATAAACGTTTTCCCAATCTTTTTAACCCTTTGTTATTCCAGGTGTGATTGGTGGATTAGCATAGCAGTACCACCAGGGAGTTTGTTAGAAATGCAGAATCCTGGGCCCCACCCCATATCTACAGATCAGAACCTGCATTTTCACAAAATTCCAAGGTTTTTGCATGTAAATTAGCATTTAAGAATTTTTCTGCATCCCATAGTGATCTCTCATTTATTTCAGATTTCCACAATAGTTATTGGCTACATAGGTTTTTGACATTATCAGAATGTTAGGCCAGGAACGGTGGCTCACACTTCTAATCACAGCACTTTGGGAGGCCGAGGCGGGTGGATCATTTGAGGATAGGAGTTCGAGACCAGCTTGGCCAACATGGTGAGACCCTGTCTCTACTAAAAATGCAAAATTAGTCAAGCGTGGTGGCATGCACCTGTAATCACAGCTTCTGGGGAGGCTGAGGTAGGAGAATCGCTTGAACCTGGGAGTTTGAGGTTGCAGTGAGCTGAGATCACACCACTGCACTCCAGCCTGGTGATAGAGTGAGACTCCGTCTCCAAAAAAAAAAAAACAGAAAGAAAGAATATTCATCTAATTAGTTTTTCATGGGTGTCTTATCTACTTATGTAGAATAAAATCTTCTTGAAGGCAGCCACCAGATTCTATCCTTTTATAACCCAGATGGAACCTAACACTTTGTATCCCATGCTGTGTTTTATTTTCTTTTATTTTTAGTTGACATGTAATAATTATACATATTTATGTATACAATGTGTAATGATTATTTAAATAATTGTATACAATGTGTAATGACCAAATCAGGGTAATTAGCATCCACATCACCTCAAGCATTTATTATTTCTTTGTGTTGGGAAAATTCAAAATCCTCTTTTTTAGCTTTTGGAACATACACAATAAATAATAGTTAACCATATTCACCCTACAGTGCTGCAGAACATCAGAACTCATTCCTCCTTTCTAGCTGTAATATGTGTCAATTAGCCAATTTCTCCCTATCCTTCCCTCTCTCCTACCCTTTCCAACCTCTAATACTCACAATTGTACTCCTTTCTTCTTGTGTTTTGATTCAATGTTTCAACTTTCCCTTAAGTCTAGTGGTTGACGTTTTCCTTTCAGATGAGAGGAGTGCAAATCATATTGCTCAGCTCAATACCTGACACATAGTGAGTAGCGAAATAAATAGTTGCTAAATGAATAAATTATCGAAATTTATTTTTGGCAAGAAGAACCTAGTCTTCAGTTTACATTCAGTGGTGCCTCTTCCCAGTCATGTTCTTGGGAGAACAGTCCATAATGAGAGTACTAAGGCAGTCATCAGCCTATAAGGCTTCTGGGGACATTTACTTGTATTCTAATTGGGCTATTAAAACATTACTAATCATGTTCCTAGAATAGCTTTTGAATCTTCAGGGTCATTAAGCCTAACGGCAATCTTTTGCCCTTCGCTGTAAGTCAGTATACTAAGATTTGTTTAGCTGCTAACTCGTCTCACTAATATAGTGGTTAAAAACAGGGGCTGTGGCATCGGACTGCAAGGGTTTTCTTTCTGGACCTATCTTTCCTACCTATGTGACCTAAGGCATGTTACTTTACTTCTTTGTGTCTCAGTTTCTGTGCCAAAATGGTAGAGATAATAGTATTTTTTACTTTATAGGGTTGATATAAAGATTAAATTAGCTAATATGCATAAAGTGTTTAGGAGAGTGCTTGGCACATATTAAGTCCTAAAGAAATGGTAGCCTCTTTTATTTAAAAAACAAAGCAAAACATGGAGCCAGGAAATCTGTATTTCTGAAATGCCATTTTAGAGTTTCAATCACTTGTATGTAGGTAGTGTGGAATCACTTTAGATAGGTTCCTATTCTGTTATCTTTTTCTGACTCAGTATTTAATTTGTGTTTCCTAGTGGAGATGGCTTCCAGCGCTGTAGAATTTCGATACCTGCTATAAGGATATGTGTTTCTATTCATGTTTCTATTGTCCGATCCCTAGGTACAGGTACAATATTAAAACTGAGTGCTGACTCATCCCAGAAAAGACAGCAGACTCTCTCCCTGTTCAGGTACGACTGACTCAGTCAATTCAATTCAAATGACCTTCCAATAAAGGACTGAGTAAGCAGATGGGAATTGGGTTATTTCCAGAATGCTTAAGACCTTGATCTTTGTCACACCACTAAGTGAAACAAATGCCAAAGCTGAGATTCTCTTTAAATGATGTAAATGATACCAAGATAATTTCATAATAGTAAATAATGAGGCTTTATAATTGAGTGTAATATAAATGGTACATTGCCAAGCAGTGAACATATGCATTATAGCATTGCAGGTTAAATATTTTCTAAAATTCTGTTGGAGACTTATGAAAATCGTTTCTTTTCATCTACAATAGAGCAATTTTTAGAATGCTGTTGATTGTGTAACTGTCTAAAAATGTAAAATTGTCGCATACTCAGTTAATCAAACAGTACAATTGATTCTTTATCACATTATATTCAAAGCTGGAAACACTGGGTCTTCACACCCTTAAGCAGCCAGCCTTGGGGTTTTGCAGGCTTAGGGTGAGTTTAATTAAAGTTAAGGGAGAAACCCAATTAAACACTGAGAAGAGCTGGCGTCTTTGTTGCACTCTAAAGACAAAAATACCATTTAGAATAAGATGATGCTGTAATCTCAGTATAAATGCCATTGTCTACTTCAGCAATTTTGATGGCCCAGGTGTTCTTGGCACTTTGAAGAGCAGCTAGCTTATGAGCTTTCAATTCATAACTACATTGAATAATTTCCATCTGCTTTAAATCTTCTCTGATAGGAAGTACTTAGAAAGGAGACTGCATAAATATAAAAAGTGGCTGTGCTTTAAGTCCTAGAATACACTTATATTAACGTGTGTGTCTCCAAAGAGCAATTAGAGTCAAATTCTATTTGAGTAGGTTTGGAAAGTAGAGGGTTAACATTTCCTATCATTGCTACATGTAAAAGTGATGTAAGTAAATGGATAAAGGGATTCAGCTTCATGCAATGAAGAAATTCATGTCATATTTACATTTCAGTAACTTGATGCAGTGCCATTACAGTTCTTCATCACTATTGTGTAGTACCGCCCACTGGGAAAATGGTAGAGCAGAAAAATATGCTGCTCTACAGCTTGTCAATCAATCAAAAAACCATAGAAAGAAGCGACTACAAGCATTATTGTAAATGCAGTCCTGGCAAGCTGTGAGGGATGGGAGAGACAAAGCAGTCAATGACAAACAAAAATTGAAAGCTGATAAAATGTGATGTATTGGTATTTTTCTCACCTTCATCTCGCTTCCTTGCAAGTATTAATTGCAATGTAGAAGAAGAATATGGAGAGTGCATTACAGAAAGTCAGGGCTGTTGCTCTAATTGGTGACAAGCAAGTCAGCTATCTGGGTAATGTAGTACAACAGTGTGGTACTTTTGCACATTGGTGTGCTCCCTGATGGAGCCTTCAAGCTAGTAAGGTCGGTTGATTTCACCTATGAGAAGTCTTGTGAATGTTTCTTTAGCAGTATATAGCAGATATTTATGCAGACCACTTATGAAAAACACATACAAATTCCTTACCATCAAGCGCCGTTATTTTAGTAGCCTTTTGAATTCTCAGATTAATGTGTAATAAATCTTAGCAATGGAGAAAATGGTTCTATGGTTACTGTTTAGTACAAGAAGTTGCCCCATGTTTGGAAAATGTCAGCAAACCCCACTCATGATTATAACCAATCCTATAACATTGTGGTGATATTTTAAAGTGATCTTGCAAGTGACTGAATATCATAGCTCAATTATACGCAAGGGTAGCTGATAAAGTATTTAGAGTTTTTGAAAAAGAAGACATAATTATCAACAATTTCTGGGTTAGGCGATGTGGTATAGAAGAAAACATAGTAGTGGTGGCTCAGGAACTCTAGATTTTAGTCTATCTCCAAATTTATGGATGGATTGGAAAAGTTCCTCAATTCCCTGGACCTCAGTTTTCTATTGGTATAAATCAGAGCAATGGACAAAATAATTTCTAAACTCCCTTTCAGTTCTAAATATTCAGGAATTCTCTTAATCAAAGCCAGCTTATAATGAGACTGCAAGTTAAGTGTTAACAAAATGTCTGAAAAGTGATCATTAAATATACAGAGGGAGGCTAGAAATGGAACAATTAAAATGTGTTCTATCCTGTTTATATTGCAGTAGGAGAAATAAATTCTGAGTTTGTCATTATCCCACTATTTGTTTGTAAACACGATGCATCTTAATAGTTAGCCCAGTGACTCAGGAAGCACTGCCTGTCTAGTTTTCTACAAGTGACTACCACCCACATTTAATGTGTCACCAAGTCTCAGTGATCCTCCAGTTTCCTTGACTATTTTTCTGTTGTCTTTCCCACCCACATATATCAGTGACTGAATATTGAGTGAAATTTTTAATTATTATCAGCAAAATACATATGTATATGAATAAACTTGTTTTCAACTGCCAATTCTAAACCCAAGTATCTGGATTCAGGTTGGAGGAACGAGAGGAAGAGAAAGTATCAGTTGTCAGGAGCCAACAGAATCACTCAGTACCAACTAATGTACTAGACAAGAGTAGTAACTACAATAAACTAACACTGGCCCAGGCCTGGTGAATTGCAGATCTTAGTCACAACATTGCGAATACATAATGTTTGCATATGGCTTTCATGTGTATCGAGACAGTTAAGAAGAAATTTAGAACACAAACTCTACACTGCTTTCTGACAATACATACAAAACTTACATCCCATCATAAATTGCTCAAATTCAGAGCTTAACGTAATACAAAACCTACATCTCCAGAATGCATTTGATTTTAATAATTTCCCAGCACAAAGAAAGGCAAACATAAAAATGAACATAATCAACTAGTCAGGAAAGAGATTTGCAGCTTCAAAGCATAGGGTGGCAGAAAGTACAAATGTTCTTTGCACATAGGTCTATGAGACCTGTGGTGCCATTCCAAGAGTAGGATACTTACTCTATGCTTGGCTTTATCATAAGGCCTCAATAAGTCATTTAGCTTTTCAATTCTTAGGTTTACAGACCTAGTTGGCTTATTCATTTTGAAGAAATTATTGTGTATCTTTGTTTAAAATTTACTATGTGGCACTGAGTTTTTATTTAAATCTTTGAAAGAAAAAAGCCTAAAAGTACGCAAGAGAGTTGGCACCTACAAAAGTATCTGGAAATGAGTCAGGTTGAAAATAAAATGCTGAGTTTGCTAGGTAACTGGATGAATTATCTCTAATGTTTGATGCAAAATAAGCATTCAGAAGAAAGAGGATATAGAAAAGTTAATGGATTCAATTGCCTTCTCCCAAGATGCAAATGAGACTATCCATGGGAATTGCTCAGCACCTAGAGTCATGGAATAAGCTTTCCAAGATTTTCTTTTGTTCTCAATGTAAGAGAACAACAAAAGGACTTTCTATATTCTGATTAAGAAAGGAAAAGGGAAGAGCATATTGAAAAGAAACATTTGGTATAGAAAGCCAATTTCTTCTCCAAAAAAAAATGTGGTAAAGGATGAGGGTGGGAGAGGTGTAGTAGGAAGAGTGCCAACGTGCTGCTTCAAAACTAATTAGATATGCAAATGAACTTGATATGGTTTGGATTTGTGTCACTGCCCGAATCTCATGTCAAATTGGAGGAGGGGCCTGTGGGAGGTGATTGGATCATGGAGACGGGGTTCCCCCTTGCTGTTCTCAAGATAGTGATTGAGTTCTTATGAGATCTGATGGTTTAAAAGTGTGTGGCATGCCCCGCTTCTCTCTCTCTCTCTCTCTCTCTCTCTCTCTCTCTCTCTCTCTCTCTCTCTCCTGTTCTGCCACGGTAAAGATGTGCTTGCTTCCCCTTTTCCTTTTGGCATGATTGTAAATTTCCTGAGGCCTCCCAACCATGCTTCCTGTACAGCCTACAGAATTGTGAGTTAATGAAGCCTCTTTTCTTCATAAATTACCCAGTATTAGGTAGTTCTTTATATCAGTATGAAAATGGGCTAACACAGAACTCAATTAGGGTTCCCTGTATGATAAGCTGCAAAATAAATATAAAATTTTGATGCTTCTATAAAATGAACAAAGAAGAATGAAGATATATACAAACTGAAGAACAGTGAAGTTTGTGCCTGGAATTATCATGTATAAGAGAAAGCTGCATTCGGGCTTAAAATACAGACTGTTTGAACTTTTCATCTCAATTCCTGTAACAGACATAGAAAAAACAACTCAAAGAAATTTTCCCACTGCCCCTAAATATTAATGTATTGTAAAGATAGTGGCAGAAGCTGGCACCAAATCTTCTAGTCAAAATTCATTCATTCAACAGATATTTTGGGGGTATATGATACATACTAGATATTCTTCTAGGCACTTGAAATATGTCAGAAAGCAAAACAGACAATAATCCCTGTTCTGGGGTAGGAAGAAGGGAGAAGATAATAGACAATAAGTAATATGTAAGTTATATAGTATGTCAGAAGATGATAATACTGGGAAAAAGAAAAATAGAGTGCAATAAGAGCTATATATGCTGTGGCTGTTAATTGCAAATAGGGTGATTCGAGTAGGCGTCCTTGAAAAAGTGATATTTGATCAAAGACTTGAAGGGAATTGGGTAGCAAGAAGATGGTCACCTAATGAGAGCACTGCATTATGAAGGCCATAATGTAGAAATATACCCGATAGATTTTATGAATAGCAGGAGATCAGTGCATCTGGAGAAGGGTGACTGAGGGAGACAGTGGCAGGTGGTAAGGATAGAGAGGTAAAGAGTGGCAAGTTTATATAAGACCTTGTAAGTCATAATAAGGACTTTGAATTTTATACTAAGCAAAATGGAGAGCCATTAGAGGGTTTTGGGCAGATGTCTGTTAAAAGATCACTTTGCTTCTGTATAAGAATAGACTGTAGTGGACAAAAGAGTAGAATCAGAGAAAGAGGTTAGGACAATATTTCAGTTACTCAGGTGAGAGGTGATGATGGCTTGGAACAGGGAAGCAAAAGGAGAGATAGCAAGAAGTTTTCAGATCTTGAATATATTGTAAAGATAGATCAGATGAGAGATTGGGTGTAAGCTGTGAGAGAAAAAAACAAGTCAGGGATAACTCCATGTTTCAGGGCCTAAGCCACTAGAAGAATGGAGTTTTCATTTTCTAAGAGAGAGAAGACTGAAAGGAGCAGATTTGCTGAGCAAGGTAGGAAGTTTCATTTTAGACATTATTATGTTTTGAAATGCCTATTAGGTTTCAAGTGGAGGTGTGAGTAGGCAGTTGTAGGGAAATCAACATAGAAGTCTGTACAGAAACCAGTACAGTAATCTGAAGAAAGGACTGACAAAAGTACAACTTTGGAAGTTAACAACATAGAGATGGCATTTAAATCCATGAGAACAGAGGAGTCCACCTAGGGAGTGAGTATAGATAGAGAAGGAAAAAGTAAAAACCAAGTTTCAGAGACTCCAACATTAGGAGGCTAGGGAGAAGAGGAGGGATTAACAACAGATACTGAAGAGTACCCAGTCAGGTAGGAGGGAAATCAGGAAAGGGTGGTATCCTGAACACCAATCAAAGAAAATATATTGAGTGTACCAGATGATGTTGGTTAGGGCATCTCAGCCCTAGCATTATTAACACTTTGGGCTAGATAATTCTTTGTTTGGTGGTTAGGTGGAGGAGGTGCTGTCTTATGTATGGCATTGAAGGAGTTTTAGCAGCACCTCTGGACTCTACTTTCTTGATGCCAGTAGGGTTTGCCTCTCCAAGTAGGATTTGCCTCCCTGCCAATTTTTGTCAACCAAAAGTGTCTCCAGACATTGTTAAATGATATCTAGTGAGTAAAATCACCACAGTTTGAGAACTGCTGTGTTGTATTAAGTAAACTGAAGACTGGGAATTCAGTACTGAAATTAATGACATGGAAGTCATTGATGACCTTGAAACAGCAGTTTCAGTGGAGTAGCAGGGTTTAAGAGAATTGGAGGAGAGAAATTGGAAACAGTAGTGTATAAACAACTCTTCAAATAGTTTTACTGAAAAGGAGAGCAAATAAATGAACCATTAATTAGCGGGGGAAATGAGGACTAAAATTTTTTGTTGCTGTTGTTTTAATGATGGGAGAAATAATGGCATGTGTGTTTACTGATGGAATAATCTAGGAGAGAGGAAACAATTAATGATGTAAAAGAGAACTGTTGGAAAGATGCCCTTGAGTAACAGAGATGGGATAGGATCTGCTACACAAAAGGAAGGATGAGCTTTAGATAGCAACATGGATATTTTATCTGAGGTAACAAGTAGGAAGATAAAGAATGTAGTTGTAGATATTGCTAGGTGGGTAGATATGGTTTTGGTGGGATCTGTAGAAATTTTTTTTCTGATTGCTTCAACTTTCTCAAAGGTGAAGAAGCAAAAATATTAGCTCTCATGGTAATGAAGAATGAAGTTTGGGAGTTGAAGAGTAAGAGAAAAATGAAATACTCATCTAAGAGAATGGGACAATTAAATCATTTGCAAATTTTACTGTGATTTCCAGGTATTATTAAATGTATACTTTATATTTATGGCCATGAATTTAAAGTGAGCTATTTAGTGTGATTGCGTATGTTTCTTTAGCCAAATTCAACTGCAAAAGTGCAGACACAGAATAAACAGAGAATTGAGGTATTAGTCTGCTCAGACTGCCGTAACAAAATACCACAGACCAGTAACTTGAAACAGCAGAAATTTATTTTTTTCACAGTCCTGAAGGCTGGAAGACTCAGATCAAGGTTTGGCAGGATTTGGTTTTTGTGAGGGCTCCCTTCCTGGCTTGTAGATATCCACTCTGTCCTCACATGGCCTTTCCTCCGAGTGAGATCTGTCTCTCTCTCTCTCTTCCTCTTCTTATAAGGCCACCAGTTTTACTGAATTGGGGCCCTAACTTTATGACCTCATTTTAACCTTAATTAACTCTAAAGACCCTATCTCCAAATACAGTCACATTGGGGTTGGGGCTTTAACATATGAATTTGGGAAGAAACACAATTCAGTCCATAGCAGTTGAATATAGGTAGAGTTATACTTTGCCAAAAGAGGATAAGGGTATGAGAGGGGACAGGGAATATTACCCTATATTATATGAAAGTCAATGATTATATTGACTGATCATGGATTTAAGATAGATAAGGGGAGAGGAATTCAAGGGAGTGGGGAATAAAACAAATATAGATGGATCAACAGATTGGAAAGATTCAGTTCAAAGATTATTGAAGCCCTGGTATTTTAGGGCATGAGATTTGAAAAATAGAATATGATGGTTGCAAAAATAGGAAGGTGAAACTGAGATTTTGGAGGCGTGGCAGTCTTTGGCAATGACAACTTTTGGGTTATCACCTTGCAGTGGATGCTATAATGTATTGCCCCAGACTTTCATTTGGGATGAGTGCCTTCATTTCCCTAGCTACTGGGAGTATTTTCTGCTGAAAGCGCAAATAACTGAGTCTCTTCCTGGGCGTTGTCCTCCACTGAAGGCAGCTACTTTGGCCAACTTTATGCCTCTACATCGAGGCAGCCCACATCCAATGATTGGTCAGTTTAGAAGTCTGAGGGATCATCTCACTTCCGGAGATCCTTGTGGGATTAGAGGAGGCCTTTGTTGCTACTTCTTTGCAGTTGAAATTATTTCTTTGCCCAATCGTGCTTCTTTCACTCCTTCATAAGTATTGTTTCAGAGAGCCCTCAATAAATTTTTGTATGCAAATATCCATTTTAGTTTGTGTTTCACAGAGAACCTGACCTAAAATATTTGGTGCTAGGTGTGCTCTGAGGAAGGGATCTTTAAAATGGAATATTGGAGTTGGATCACTCATCAGCTGTCTGGAAATGAGAACACTGTCACTGATGGTAGGTGGAATATGGACAACCTTCAGTATGTAATAGCAATGCAATTGTTAAAATTCTTAGGGTGGAAGGGAGCGCAATGGCAGTGGCTATATCTCAGGGGGTTGAGAGGTTCAGGACAAATAGTAATGATAAGTAATGATAAGGGAAATTGACAATGGCTGGCTATTGCTGAGTATTTAGATGCACTGGAGAAACGATGAAAAGCTGAGGGTGATTAATCACCAATTTAAGGGGAAGTGTGAAAGTAAGAGGACCTTGGAAATATTTAAAAATACTTTCACTTTCTGCGACCAGAGAATCAGGCCCAGGACTTAATTATAAGGGCAGTGCAGGTCCAGAGAAGGATTATGTTCCCACTTCTGTCAATTTTATTACACCAAGGAAAAGGCCCCGGTTGAGAAGGAGAGAAGGTCTGAAATGTGGAATAGGGATATTTGGTTGATACCCTTGAATTCTACAACCCATAAATGAACCTTGAAAACATTATACTAAGTGGAAGAAGCCAGACACACACAAAAACACATATAATATTGTCCAGTCTTTATTCACAGAAATAGGGAGGTAATAGCTAAAGGGTGTGAGTTTTTTTATAATTGATAAAGATATTCAAATTAGACTTTGGTGACAGTTGCACAAATCTGTGATTATGCATACTAAAAAATTGAGCTTTGCATTTTAAATGGGTAAATTGTGTGGTATGTGAATAATATCTTAATAAAGATGTTTTTAAAAATTTTGAATTCTCTGATTTTTCTGAATACTCTGGGCTGGCAGATATAATCTACAATCTACTCCTCCCTGTTAAAGGCTACTACTATCATCTTGCTTGAAAATAATGCAGATGCCTCTCTTGCAAGAAAACCTGTGTCTCCTCACATTTTATTCTCAGCTCCCCTCCTGGCCACTAAACCAATACTTAGAGCCATGTCACACATAACCTGGAGGGGAAAGTGTTTGATATGGTAAGGTAGGAAAAGTACTAGGCCAGAGAGATTAAGAACCGAGCCAATATGTACCAGCAGCATCTGAGACAGTATATATGAGACTGGATTCTGAAGGCGATGGATCAAATGGGATTGGGGTAAGAAAACATATAGTTAAATAAGTGAGAATTTATCAATGTGGATGCACTCTTTTACATATTTTAAACACCCATACATATTTTAAACACCCTGGCAATGTCCCTAGATGATAGTGCTAATATGCTGCTAGGATGACACTTGGGAGTTTGAATGAAGTGATGGCCCAAAGTAAATGAAGTAGAAACTTCAGAACTGCCATGGAAGACAGTGGAAGAAGGGATCAAAATGCTTAGTGAAATGGGCATGATAGAATGGATTTATTATGTGTGACCAGAAAATGTGCCAGTGTCTATGTTCCTCCAGTAAAATCTGGAAGACAGTCCATTTACAAAAGTGATAAGGAATGTGTTGGTGAGACAGGTGCTATCATCATCGAGAAGTACAGAGGTGGCCATCCTCTTGAGGCAAGGGCTGATGGTAAGAGATGTGACTACAGAACTCAGTCCCCTAAAAACAATAGGCGATTATGGGATCTTGAAATAATAGAGGCTAAGTTGTTGTGCTTAGTCATTAGAAGCAAAGTGAGCACAATTATAACAAGAGGAAGGGTTGGAGTGGTAGCCAGGGGACCTGATCCAGAGAGTTCTACAGAGATGGTTAATGGAGCACTATGTTCCTAGAGGTGCGATAGATGGACAGACAAAAATAAGAGCAGCAGTTGATTCTCTTTGTCGTTGTCTTAGATTGAGTTCCCTAGAAGCACAATCTGTCGCAAGAATTAAGTGCTTCATTGAGGCTGTCAATGGAGAATAGCAGTGGCTATATCTCAGGAGTTTCAGATACAGGCACTACAGACGTCTTCGTCTCAGAAGTCTATAGGGAAATGAGTGAATCAGGCTAGGGCAGGGAAAGTTACTGGGAAAAAAATAATGTGGTTTCAGTTGGAACCTAGCTTTATCTTGCTCCCACAGGAAGCTCTGGAGTATGAATTGAGCAGTTTTCTGGGACAGGCTTGTAAGAGTAGATTGTGCACATTTCTTCCCGACTCTATGTTTACTAGTGTCAGACTTGCAGAATGACATGAGACTTAATGGGAGAATTTACACCACAGGAATTAAGGAAAACTACTGTGATATTGTGATATAATAAGGTATACATTTTTGGTGTCTGTCCCATACCCAACCCTGTCCTGGCACAGAGCTCCTAAGACTTTTATAATTTGCTGAGTCATAGCAGCATCTGACACAGAGCTCCTAAATCCCTTGGAACTTTTGGGGTGATAAGAGCATCTTTTGTTCTAATGAGGCAACTTTTTGTGGGCTCCTGGATAGCCTCAGGATGGGAGCTGGTTGCCAGGGGAACCATCCATGTGATTAGAGGGTCAGAACTTCAGCCTCACTCCCTGACTTCCAGGGAGGGAAGAGGGCTGAAAATTGAGTTGGTCATCAGTGGCCAATGATGTAATCAATTATGCCTATGTAATGAAGACTCTATAAAGCCCAAAATGACAGGGTTTGGGAAATTCCAGATAGCTGATCATGTGGAGGTTCCTGGAGAGTGGCATGCCTGGAGAGGGCACAGAAATACTAAGTCCCTTCTCCTATACCTCATCTATGCATCTCTTCTATTTGACTGTTCATCTGCATCCTTTGTATCAATCCTTATAATAAATGATTAAACATAAAGTGTTTATCTAAGCCCTGTGAGCCACTCTAACAAATTAATCAAACCCCCAAAAGGGGTCATGGGAACCCCAATTTAAAGCCTGTTGGTGAGAGATACAGGTCACAACTTGGGACTCGTGATTAGCGCCTTAGGTGAGGGGCAGTCTTATGGGACTGAGTCCTTAACTTGTGGTATCTGACATTACCTCCAGGTCGATAGTGTCGTAATTGAATTGGATTATAGGACACCCAGCTAATATCTGCTACAGAACTGCCTGATGTGTGGGAAAACTCCCTGCACTTCTGGTGTTAGAAGAGCTGTGTTGAGTGAACAGAGAGTGAGAGTAGGAAAACAAACAATTACAAATCAGGACTTTTTGTTTTAAGTGTCAGTTTACCAGAACACTACTGCAGGAAATTCACCATAGAATAAGTCTGGCCTTGAGGGGAGCTATGAATCAGTTGGTCAGTTCGTCATTGGCTGCAGGATGCCATCTGAGTTGGTGGCAGGGGGTGCACATCTTTTTGGGTGAGGAAACTCCTTTCCTAAGATAATCCTTCAGAAAAGGGAGCTGCTCTGAGCAGTTAGTAGCCAGAAATCACAGCAACGAGAGGATGGCAAAGGGGATCTGAGTGGGCCACTAACAGCAACTACTACAGCCATCTTCCATTTGGAAGGAAAGGCAAGTTGAATAAGCTCACAAAATTCCTTCAAGTGAAATCAGAAAAAGTGATCCACATAGTGGTGGGAGAAAATTTATGAAGGTCAGGTGTCCCTTCCCACAAAGATAGGAAGGTGAAAACCTAACACAAGAAGTCATACATAGACAGACACCTCTCGCGCATCACTTCAAATCCTCTCAGCTCCACCTCTCATGCCAGCACCTACCAGAGTGACCAGTTCACACATGAATAGGTGCTCTCAGTTTCTTAAAGGTGTAGCCTGACAGTGCCTTGCCTTGGGCCAGCACCTTGAATCTTGTGCTTCCTACTCCAGAGCTTCTCTGATGCCGAAGCATGAAGTACCCATTGAAACCTGTTCATACTTAAGCTTGCACAACCCAATTGTATGAAAGAATTGATGCCTGGTACACCAACTCCTGACTCATGAAGGACGAGTGTTTATCCCTTTCTCTTTTTTGTTAGATAATTCTGAGGTGCATTTCATAAGGCTCCTTGGAGGGTTTCTTCAAGATCAAACACTTGCCATGTAATGGTAGGAAACATGCTGGCAAATTTTCAAAAATTTTTCCAATACTCAAACTGCAAGGTAATGGGTACTCTATTCAGGCAGTTGAAAAGGGGAAACAAAGGAGATGCTTCCTTGAACATGGGGCGTGGTGAGGGCTTTAAGGGAAAACAGACAAAAGCAGCAGAGCACAGCTAAGTTGTTTTTCTTCGTGATGTTGCCCATTTCAGGCCATTTAGTCCTAGTCTCAGAAGTGTTGACTGAATGAAGGGACTGAGAGAGAGTGAGTTAGTCGCTCTGGAGCAGAGCACAGGGGTCAGCTTATATTCAGAGCAGAGAATTTTCTATTTCTCTGCATCACTTTATATGGGCTCTCCCTCCTTCCCTGTTTTTCTCTCTTTGTCCCCTAGTTCCTGCCCTCTGAGTATAAACGACCTCCACAAGCCTTTGTTTCAATCTCAGCCTCTGCTTATAGGGAAAATTCATGCTAAGGCAAGAGGTGATAGTAATCCATTTCTACTCTACATTCAAAGAATTCAGATACATCAGTGTTATATCCTCCCTCAGATACCCAGCAATCAACCAAGATGGTTACATTTTAACTGCCCTATGTATTAAATAAACAATTCTAATTAATCAATTTACTATCAGAGTTAAAATAGTGTAGTTTGCTGTGTCATATTAAAATAGAAACTGTCATTTATGAAACTACTTCTTAATTATTGCATGAATTCTGTTTTAACATGATAGATTCTTATCTTTCATTTTTCTGCTTTTATAGAGGTTGTATGGAGGAATTCAATTTTTAAATCCTTTGAGCTTCTGAGTTGAAAAGAGAAAGATGGAAGATATTTTTATTACTATTTTAATGGATTCAGGAAAAAATAAAGCAAATAAGTTAAAACAAACAAATATACCCTCCGAAATACTACCAGCTAAGAATATCTAACAGCAAGAAGATATCTGTTGCCTCTTGCTACTGAAATATGCATTCACTTCTTTCTTCTTTATTACTTATTTGATTCTTTAGTTGATGTGGGAGAGAGGATGTAGACGATATTGAAAAAATACCTGCAGCATTAGTTAAAACAATGCTCTTACAAATATCTTGATGATAAAGATTACTGTTTCACTCTATCAACTTGTAGTTGTCATCACTTCAATCAAATTGCATCAGTATAACATCCCATTTGGCAGTCCTAAAAACAAGTACAGGGTAAATGTCTTTTGGAAGTATGAGGAGGAGATGGATTAAGGAAATGGCTTTAGGGCTTTGCTTACATGTAGAAAAGAATATCATTTCCAGCTTGCTTGGTGTTCCTGATCCTACATAAGAATAAAAGCTAGTGATGCTAATGGTTGAATTCGCAGCACAATTAGCAAATACCCTTAGACCAAATCCACAGTTGTTGAAAGCTTTTTCTACAAAAAAAATGTCATTTTCAATTTTCACCTGATCTTATTTTTGCCCTTTAAAAGCCTTTTTAACTATTGCTAATTATTTAATGAATGAGACAGGGCTTGTGATTGTTTCTGTAACATTGGCAATATTAATTTTCCTGTCAGAAAATCTGTCCAAATATCTTTTGTTTAATAAATGGTGCTTACTTATTAATAAAAAGTAGATTTTTTTCTTTTATTAGTTCTTTCGATGTTTTGCTTCAATTAAAATGGTGCTATTTGTCAGCAGAGGTTTACTTTTCTGTGGCAGCCTGACAGAAACTGGTTAGTTCTTTCCACCACTGTTAGTGTAGCACAGTGCCTCTAGAGTCAGACAGACCTGGGCTCCAAACCTAACCCTGCCACTTCCCAGTGAATAGTTTTGACCCAATGACCTCTCAAGGCTTCATTTTTCTCGTTCATAAATGCTAATGATATTAGTAATTATTTCAGAGAGTACTAATATCACTAATCATAGTGTTAAGCACTAATATTGTCAGGCATGTACTAAGAGCTTATAACAGTCATATCTATTTTTATTAACATATGATTCAGCCTCCTGCTTTTTCAATGAAAGTATAATTCTACAACAATTTCCTTACACGATCTATACTGAACTGTGGAATGTTATGCTATTATTTTAAAATAAAGTGAAGGCATTAGTTTGTATTATTTTAACAACAACTATGGAACATCTACAATGAGCTAGGTGCTAGGGCTACAGCAAGGAAGCTCTAAATGAACTATTAAAAAAATCATATAAAACTTGATAATATAACAAATTATTGAATTATATAGCTTATTTTATTTATAAAATATTTATTTCTAATGACATAGAAATGCATACATCTATTCATATTTACTTAGAAAATTAGTAAAATCCTTAAAATTGCAAAAATGAAAATATAAATCACCTCTAGTCTTTCTACTCATACATGTGTGTATATACACATACATACATACATGTGTATATAATATGTGCAATTAATATCTTGTACACCTTTCTAGTCTTTTCCACTTTACATGTATTCAATGTTTATTTTTGTCAATTGTGAGCATATCATGCATACTGTTTGGTAAACTATTATTTTTATTTAAAATATATGATGAGAGAGGGCTGCGTGCAGTAGCTCATGCCTATAATCCTAGCACTTTGGGAGGCTGAGGTGGGAGGATTACTTGAGCCCAGGAGTTCAAGACCAGCCTGGCCAACAAAGCAAGCAAGGCTCCATCTATACAGACACATGCCTGTAGCCCCAACTACCTGGGAGGCTGAGGCGGGAGGACCACTTGAGCCTAGGAGGTTGAGGACACAGTGAGTTGTGATCTTGCCACTGCACTCTACCCTGAATGATAGAGTGAAACCCTGTCTCCAAAAAACAAACAAATCTCTCTCTCTATATATATATATATGTGTGTGTGTGTGTTTGGTGTGTGTGTATGTATGTATATATGTGTGTATATATATATACACAATGAATCGTTTCCCTTGATCTAAAAAAAATACTCTTCTATAACTATCCTTATTTAGGATAATTTTTGAATCCTACATACTAGAACAGTATAGACATGCATCATAATTTATTTTACCAATCCCCTATAGTAAGCACTTTTATTGTTTTTTAACATTTCCTTAATATACATACTGCCATGACAAACTTCAACACTGTCATGTGCCATTTTATTCAGCAGATCAGTACACCGAAAAAATATCAGCCATCAGAAGGTTACATCCTCATCATCCTGTCAGCAGCTCTATAACTTACCTGTATCCCAACTTGTTATTTCCTTCTTTTCTAAGTGCTCTAGAGTCTACCTCCTTCTGCATTTTCAGAGAACATGTTCTTTGATTAGTCCTCTTTCCTGTATGTAAACTTTTCTTCCCTCTCTCTAGGTCACTCCCATCAACATTTCATCATACTTAAATCTTTACAGTCTGAAAAAAAATAAGTAGAAAAAAACTTCATTGACTCACGTCTGCCTCCTTTTCTCTCCTTGCTGTGGTTTGAATGTCCCCTCTGAAACTCATGTTGAAATTTGCTATTGTGATGGCATTAAGAGGTGAGACATTTAAGAGGTGATTCGGAGAGCTCTGCCCTCATGAATGGATTAATGCCATTATCCATGAGAGTGGGATAGTTATTAGGGCAGTTTGGCATCCTTTTTCTCTCTTGCTCATACACTGTCTTGCCACATAGTGCCTTCTGCCATGGGATGGCCTTCACCAGATTCTGGTGCCATGCTCTCCTATGTCCCAGCCTCTAAAAAAGTGAGCCAAATGAACTTCTATTCTTTTTGAATTGCTTGGTCAGTGGTATTCTGCTATAGCAACAGAAAACAGACTAAGACATTCCCCAATTTCTTGGACAAAAATTTTAGAAGATATGTAACTGTTGTCTTAACTGCTCTAAACAGAAACTTGGGAAGTTTTTTGTTTGTTTTTGAAACCTCCTTCTGCCTCATACCCATATTTCATCAATCAGAATGCATTATCAATTTTATCATCTACATAAATCTCTAATCACTTTACTTACTTCCTTTTCTACTGTTTTAGTTCAAACGTTTGATATTTCTTGCCTGGACCACTGCAGGCCTGGATCCTAACAAGTATACTTTTACCTACTCCACTTCTCTTTAAATTGTTTCTACCAACAGAATAAGCTTTTCAATTGCAAGCCTGATTATATTAGCCCTTCCTTCTCCCCCTCTCCCAAGACAGATGCACACACTTAAACCCCTTCAATGGCTTCCCACTGCTTTTCAGATAAAAACCAAATATTTAGCTTAATAAGCAAGAGCCTGACTTGAGCTGACCCTGTCCCACTTCTCTTAGACCTGGTTCTTACCAAGCTCCCCCTCATTCCCTATACCCCAGACACACTGCCATTCTTTTAATTCCATGGACAAGCAATTTTTTCTCTGTCCCAGGTCTTTGTAGATGCTCTCTCTTCCACCCAGAACCCTATTTACCCCAGTATCCTCACTCTCCAATGTAACTTTCTACATATGTTACATTTATTTCATATGTCATTGCCACAGAAGAAAAAACCTTCCAGGTCACAGGCCCTTACTACGTATGTACTCATACATAATAATTTCTCTTGTTAGAGCTGCAAGTTAATAATTATTAACATGATTGTTTTATTGATATCTATCTTGATCATGAGATGGCAAGCTTCATGAAAATGAGGACAATATTTGTACTTACCATTGCATCTGTAATATCTAACACAATGCCAGGCTACAGACAGAATCTCAACAAATACATCTGTTGCATAAAAGAATGAATGAACACAAATCGGTCTTATACTTCATTGTATCACTAAAATGACTCTTCTTAAAGATGCTAATGACCTGTTGCTAAATCTGACAGATATTTTAAAATTTTTATTTCACTTGGTTGCTCAGCAGCATATGAGATTTATTTTTTTGACTAGTGCTTCCTGAAAAATGTTCTTTCTTTGCTTTCCAAGACAATGAATGTCCTGAACTTCTGTGTTTATTCATTCTCAGAGTCTTTACCTGTCTCCTCTTTCTCTGTTCATTACTTGAATGTTAATGATCTATTATTTTCTTGATTCTTTGTCTTGTGAGAGAATATAAATTAATAGTAAAATCATCTTCTTTCATTGCTGCAATTAATATGCAAGTGCTGATGACTCTCAAATCTACATCTCCAACCCAAATCTCTTCCCTGACCTTTGGACATGTGTATCTGATGCCCTATTGTACAACTTTACATGGGTACCTTCAAAGTACCTTTAACATATCATGTGTAACATTCATTTCTTTGCATTCCACACACAAACCTGCTCTTCAGCATTCCCTATCTCAATGAATGACACCGTTATCCAACCAGTTTATTAAGTTAGAAAGCTGGTAGTCATATACAATTTCTTCATTTCTTCTTACAGTACATCAAAACAGTATCCAAGCCCTGTTAGATTTATCAGTTGAAACCCCTGTTGACCTCATCCATTTCTCACTATCTCCACTACCACTACCTTAGTTTAGGCCACCAGGATTTTTGCCCAGATTACTGCACAAGTGTCTTAATTATTCTCCCTGACTCCAGTTTTACCCTCTTGAATCTATTCTCATTTTTTATAGTTAGAGTCATCTTATTTAGCCAAACATTTATCATGCTACTCCCCTGTTTGAAAAATGTCTTCATTGGTCTTAGGATAAAACCATAGCTCCTTTGTGAAATTTATCAGATCTGTTCTATTTCTTGAGCTACATCTTTTGCCTTATTCTACTGGTACTCTATTTTTCAGCCATGCTGAGCTTCCTTTCCATCTGTTAACATGTCATGCACTGTCTCACCTCAAAGCCTTCACTCACGAGCTTCTCTTCTGCTTGCAGTATCCTCCACCCACTTTTTACCTAGCTAACCCCTACTCGTTCTTCAAATCTCTATTTAAAATTACTTCTTCTAGAGAGCTTTTCCTGACCCTCACTGCCATCCCACTCTAGGTTACGTACTGCTCTTCTATGTTTCCATAGCTTGCTATATTTCTCCTATATTACCATTTATTATACCTTACTCTGATTATATTTGTTTACTCATCTGTCTCTCCCAGTATATTATAAGCTCTGGTGATGGAAGGAATTATGTCTCTTTTGATAACTTTCATATCCCCAGCAACCCAGTACAGTCCCAAGCACAATGTAGATGCATAATACAATAGTGACTGAGTGAATGAAGTTCTCCCAATTTAAGATTTTTATAAGTATATTTTAGAATAGCAGAGTAAATTAGAATTATGAAGATAAATTTTACATGTATTTTTATCTTTTGGTATCAACACATCCAGTTTTTAGATAACAAGGGTCAGGGAACAGGTTTGCACAGGCTCCAATATAGAGCTATATTCATGTAGATAGTTAAATGCTTTGTGATCTTGCACAAAAACTTATCGTTTGGAGACCTTAATTTACTTGTCTGAAAAAAAGGTGGAAATGTTTAATCTCTAATGTTACACATGAAGTATGATTATATGAAATCACAAGTATGTTGATATTCCTCAAAAACAGTTATAACTACAAAACGACAACACTGAGTATTTCATAATGGTGTAATAGATTTTTGTGGTGGTAGTGGTGGTAGCAGGGTTTTGATTATTTTGGGAAGCTAAGTGTGATCTATTTAATATTTCTCCTAGTAGTCTAACTTGACAGCAGATAGAATGGCAAAAGCAGCCTAGTTAGGTGATACTGTAAGTCAGATTTCTGAACCATAAACCACAGGTGCTGAGAAGCAACTTTAATAAAGAAAATGTAGGAGGACACAAATTTAGCAGCCGTGGGGCTAAATAATGCAAAGATAGCTAAATTGGAGAAAGATGAATGATGTCAAAGTGGTAAAAACCAAGAGACCAGGTATTGCTACACAGCTGTGGCTTTTGTTTAAAAATGGCTGTCTGCTTTCAGTAGCTGTTGAGGCATAGGAAGTACAAAATCTCCCTCACTGAGGCAATATATCAGATGCCCAAATCTCTTCCTCATCAGTCAAGCTTGTTGGCCTTTGACTCTGCACAATCTTTTTGACACTGTTATCAATGATACTTCAGAAACATCTGCTCCAGAGCTGTCTGTTACTGCGATGGCAGACAGCAAATCTAATGGCACCAAAAGAGAATGACAAGAGACCCATTAATGTGTAGTGGTGGTATGAAACAACACAATAACTCCGATCAGGGCTAGCTGAATCCATCAGCATTTCAATGTCTAGCTAACTTAGTAGCACACGTTTGGAAAGACTTTAGAGTTCATGATGTCATTGACAAATAAGAAGTCAAAGAAAGAATTAAATTATTGCCTTATACAAAATATATGATGCTGCCTATAAGTCAAAGTAGGATTAAGTGGAAGGTGACGGTGGGTCATTTGTGGAAAAATTTGATCCTTTTTATTTGTACAGGAAACTTAGAGTAGCAGTTTATATCTAGTGTTCTTTTTGCCCAATATTCATTTACTCATTCACCCATTGATTCACTCATTCACTGCTTCATTTATTTGACAAACATTTGAGTTTTTACTCTTCTAGGTCTGAGGATATTATTATTGTTCATAATAAAACAGACAAAAATCCTTCCCTTCATGAAGCTTAAAATCTAGTAGCCCAAGAAAAATAAAAACAAACAAATAAGATATATAATAATAAGTGTTATGAAGAAAGATAAAGTAGGAAACAGGAATTAGGACTAAGTGAGGTGTCTGCAGTTTCAACAGGGAGGCCAGAGAAGGCTTCTTTAATAAATTGGCACTTGACTAGAGAAGAGGCAAGATAAGAAAGAGAGAAGGAAGAAGTTGGGGAGAACTTCTGAGGTGAGGGAACCGTAATGCAAAGACCCTGAGGCATGAGTGTGTCTCCAGGTTAGAGCAAGGGCAGAGGCCAGTGTGGCTGAGTAAGAGTGAGAGAGGGAAAATAAAAAAATGATTCCATTCTAACTATCATAAAAACACTTTCATTCTCTACTTTGAGATCTTCCTAGCTGAGAATAATATTTAAAAGGCAATACTCCCTAAAATAACATTCTAAACTATCCTCTTCCAGATGCTTGTTGGCAAAGGCAAGTATGTTTTAGGATGCTATTAGGGATGAACTCTCCTGAAGATGAGAGTTTCTATATGTAGATGCAAGTCAAGTTCACCATTGGTGAGACAATGTGTGAGCAAATTTCTTGTTTGGTGAAATCACATTAGCAAGATTTCTTGTCTCTTTCTCCCTGTTTCTGTTGAAGAGATTTGAAAGAATCAATCTGAGGACTATGGGAACTGACAGAAGCACCAGGCTTGTGCAGTAGGCCTTTCATCGAAAGAAATGTGCAGGATACCAACCTTTTACATGGGAAGTAGCTGTATTTTGTTTCCCCAAAGACCTCTGGCACAGACCCTGTGTGTTGGAGATGGGGGAGTGGGAGGTGAAGGGGGCAAAGGCAGGATAATTATGGAAGGAGGATGATGTTTCTATGGCGATCCAAGGACTGGAAGCATTCGTATCTTCCCTTACTCAAATGTATTGATGATTGTGGGAATCCAAAGTCAGTGTTAGTTTATTAGTTTCTTCCTCTCTTTTTTCTTTGGATTTTTATCAGCAGATAAAAATAATATGGTTAGTCTTCATAATAATATTACTTACCTATGCTTTTTTAATTAGAAAAATATATATGAAATGAGCCTTCTAACAGAGTATATAAAAGAATGATCATGTGAATGAACAGCAGCAACTCAAAATATCAGCTATTTGAAGTTATATTGACAAAATTTATATTCCATTCAAGCATTTTAAGGTTAAGATTTTCTATTCAAATGTTTTCTTTTCATTAGAAAAAACAATCTTAGAAACAAGAACCATTTTGTAAGCCAAACTTGATTCTACCTCATACTAAGTGATATTCTCAGCCCTCAAGAATCTCTGCAACCCTCTGCCTCTACCCGCTTCAGCTCCTCTTAATGCTACTTCTTGGAAATGGAAAAACATAACACCAAGTGTTCATTTTTTTCTGAAAATATATCTTCCTCATTTTAACTGCAAATCGTTTTTTGAAGGCCTGGAGGATGCTGCATCAGCAATCAAAGAATCAAGAGTGTTAGAAAAACATTTTGTGAAGTACAGTACCAAGTAAAGTGAACACTCAGCAAGCACGTTCTTGCCTTTGTGTGTCACAGTTTGCCAGCTTGTTATGCACAAATGTGATTCATGTAACTTTCCCACAGTCTGTGTGTGTTTGCAGCAGTACTGCTGGCATTCTAAGATAGACTGTGCTACCTATTTTAGACATATGAAAGAAGTAACACATTTGCCTTTGAAAATGTATGGAAAAGCTACATATTCTCTCATCAACATCTGTAAAATTTGTTTTGTTCAACAGGGCTTTTATTTCTACTCAATGATCATGAGTCCAGAGATTGATTAGCTTCAAAAATATGTGTCCATGAGTGGGATGCTACTCTCTTAATTCATTTTCTTCAAATGAGATGAAGGTTAATGCTTTGACTGTGGGAAAAGATATTTTTAGATCTTGTGGTCATCTCAATTTTCATTTAAGCAGCTGGTAAAGGGACAAACCAGGAATGAAAAAAAAATATTGGCAAGCCAGCAGTTGATAAGGCAATATATGAATATTTACTCTCCTGCTTTTTAATTTTTAGCCTGTTAATTCTTAGGTGACTGTTTCCTATGTATAACTTGTTGATTCGAGAATTTTGGATTAATAGGAGTGTTGTAAGCATATTCTTGCCACAATCTTTGCAAGTTACTGGTTAAAAAGATCTTTAAAAACAATTGACTGCAGATACAGTGACATAATATTTGTTTAATGGTGACAAAATTTCTTGCTTGCACAATTTAACTGGAAAGTCAATACATTTAAACATAGGCCACTGTTGGCCGGGCGTGGTGGCTCACGTCTGTAATCCCAGCACTTTGGGAGGCTGAGGCGGGCAGATAACCTGAGGCCGAGAGTTCGAGACCAGCCTGGCCAACATGGTGAAAAAACCCCGTTTATACTAAAAAATACAAATATAGCCGGGCACGGTGGCAGGCACCTGTAATCCCAGCTACTCGGGAGGCTGAGGCAGGAGAATCACTTGAACCCAGGAGGCGGAGGTTGCAGTGAGCCGAGATTGCGCCACTGCACTCCAGCCTGGGGAAGAAGAACAAGACTTCGTCTCAAAACAAACAAACAAACAAACAAACACAAGCAAACAAAAAAATAGGCTACTGTGAAAATTCACAGTAAAATTTCAGGCTTGTATATACTCTCTTTAGCATTTTCACTTGGATATTTTACAAAGTGCCCAAATTTGATATGGACAAAACTGAACAAATCAATACCTTTCTCAAACTTTGCTCTCACTCAAAGGTTTATATTTAAGTATATTCAATAACATAAGCAAGAAAGCTGGGAGTCATCCTTGACTTTTCCCTTTTCACTCACACCCCACAGCTAACTAATCATAAAAGTCCTGACAATTTTATGTCTAAAATATCTCTTAAATCTCTCAAATGTCTGCCTTTTTCTATCCCACCCCTTAGACCTAGCTGCCATGATTACTTACATAAACTGCGGAAATACTCTAAATAGTCATTTCTTTCTAATCAGAATTATCTTTTAAAACCGCATTTTGATCCTGCTATTATCTTTCTTAGAAAACTATATTTGCTCCCCTTTCCTCTTAGAATGAAGGCTAAAAACCCTTAGTATGACTCTTCTACCTGTTTTACACTACTCTCCTTTCACTCTTTGAATTATAACCATATAAACTTTCTTTGAGCTCCTGCAATGAATTCGATTCCTCCCCACCTCTGGAGCTTCCCACATGCTGTTCCCTCTGCTGGAAATTTTTTGCTCTCTTTCACTCTTTCAGATCCCAATCTAAAGTAGATTTTCCTGCTATAAAATCTGTAAATATCTCGCACTCCTCTAGAGTGTTGGTTAAATTGTAATTAATTTATTTTGGAAGTAGTTTTAATAGTCTTTCTCAAGACAATATAAGTTCCAGAAAGGCCAGTACCACTTCTCTCTTTGATGACTCAAATTCTCAAGTACCTATGAAACACCATGTATAGTTGTTTAATATGTATTGTTTAATATATTTGTATTGAATGAAAGTCGAGTTCTTTACAGTGAGGTGACAGCACTTAATTTACCTCAGATGTTGTATTTTGACAAATTTCACATTTTTTTCTTTAATTAAAGTTTCTCAATAGTCAGCCAAGTACAGCTGACCAAAACCGTATGACCCAAGTGTATCCATTTGAAAGACTCAAGATACATCTATTTTATAGATAATTTTCAAGATTGTGCCTTCATGTGATTTGTACAAATGACAAATATAGTACTTAAATTAGGATGCAACTACTTTATTTTCTCTTCATCTTAAGATACAGGATATGCACATGCAAAAGAGCCAAAAAAGACATGAAAGGTAGATTTTTTTTTTATGTTCACCCATCGAGAGTATGCTTTTTTGTCCTTAAGTCACTCAAATAATATTTAGAATATATTGATATCAATTAGTGTTGTCATGTCAATTTTCTCTTATTTCTACTGAAAACTCCATGTAGGATCCACATATTATTGCGGAGCCATACTTTTAATGCATTTTTAAGTGGTATGCTTGAGACCTTGGACACAGATGGGGAATCTGTTTTTGCTAATCCTTTCTTCTCTCATGTCAGAGACTTATTCTCTTTTGCCACTCCCATATCCAATTTTCATCAATGTAGCATTCATGTGCTATAGTACTATATATGTATTAATGCTAAATGATTTTTAAGGAGTGACTTCCTTCAATATAATTTTTACTTGAAAAGTAGAACTTTTGATTGATGGAAAGACTTCAAATAGGAAGAAATGGAATTATAGGCCAGCCACAGTGGCTCACGCCTGTAATTCCAGCACTTTGGAAAGCCAAGCCAGGCCAATTGCTTGAGGTCAGGAGTTTGAGACCTGCCTGGCCAACATGGTAAAACCTCATCTCTACTAAAAATATATTTTAAAAAAAGTTAGCTGGGCATGGTGGCACACACCTGTAATTCCAGCTACTTGGGAGGCTGAGGCAGGAGGATCACTTGAACTCGGGAGACAGAGGTGGTAGTGAGCTGAGATTGCGCCACTGCACCCCAGCCTGGGCAACAGAGCAAGACTCCATCTCAAAAAGAAAAAGAAAAAGAAAAAAAGAAAAGAAATTATAACAGTGAAGTTCATATTTTTGAGCTAGGAATCTGGTTCTATGAAACTTACTTAGAAAATCCTCTAAAATAGTAAGAAATAAAGCAGAAAGTAATATGTAAATTCATGCTGGAACTTCAAGGAAGACTCATTTGAAGGTAATATTCTATCTGGCTTTTGTGTGTTGTACAAATCTATTTCCTTAGACATTTTTTTTTCTCCTGATGTCTTCCAAAAATATTTTAAATGTAATATTTGTTTTAAGACTAATTGCTAACATTTATATTGCATCAAAGTTTGTTATATTCATTTAGACTTACATCTGTATAACTTTTTTTTTTTTTTGGAGATGGAGTCTCACTCTGTCGCCCAGGCTGGAGTGCAGTGGCATGATCTAGGCTCACTGCAACCTCCACCTCCCTGAGTTCAAGCAATCCTCCTGCCTCAGCCTCCCGAGTAGCTGGAATTACAGGCGCACACCACCATGCCTGGCTAATTTTTGTATTTTTAGTAGAGACAGGGTTTCCCCATGTTGGCCAGGCTGGTCTCGATCCCCTGACCTCAAATGATCAGCCCACCTCAGCCTCCCAAAGTGCTGGGATTACAGGCGTGAGCCACCGTGCTCAGCCGACTTCTTTTAATGTTTATTATTAGCCCTATTTTAACTTCTTATAATGATTTAACATTGATTGCTTTCTTTGTAAATAAAATAACAAAATAAGTGACTTTTCCAAGGAGAATACTCAGTGAATATCTACTTCAAATCCTTGCTTATCTGAAAATATGTTTATGTACATGATAAAGAACATATAATTAGAAGTCTAGAAATATATATATATATTTATATACATATATATATAGTCATCAATTTGAGAATTTCAGTAGATGGGATAACCTTTCGCTTGTAAAGAATTGAGGAAAGAAAACAATAAATTGCAAATTAGCACCAAGGAATTCACCAAGAACACAGCACAAATTAAGAGACTTTTTTTAAAAAAATGTGAGTTTAGAAAAAACATGGAGAAAAGATGGAGAGCCTCCATCCATACATGCTGAATGAGAATATCAGAGGGAGAAAATTGAGGGAGTGGTGGAAGGAAATATGCCAAAATTTCTACAGCTTTCTACAACACACACATCTTCACATTAAGAGTATACAACACATTGGCTGGGCACGGTGGCTCGTGCCTGTAATCACAGAACTTTGGGAGGCTGGGGTGGGAGGATCACTTGAGGTCAGGAGTTCGAGACCAGCCTGGCCAACACGGTGAAACTCTGTCTCTATTAAAAATACAAAAAATTGGCTGGGCATGGTGGCATGCACCTGTAGTCTCAGCTACTTGGGAGGCTGAGGCAGGAGAATTGCTTGAACCCAGGAGGTGGAGGTTGATGTGAGCCAAGATTGCACCACTGCACTCCAGCCTGGGTGACAGAGTGGTTCCATCTCAAAAAAAAAAAAAAAAAGTATACAGCATATCGAACATGTTAAATGGAAATAAATAACACCTAGAAACATAGCAGAAAAGCATACATCAAGGATTAAAAAAAAAAAGCAAACAACTTAATCTGGTAGTTCTATCAATGAAGGTGTTAAAGTCCCCAACTGTAAATGGATTTGTTTTTTTCTCCTTTTAGCTCTATCAGGTTTTGCTTTTTTTGCTTCTTGTGTTTTCAGGCTCTGTTGCTTGATGCACACACATTTAAGATATTATGTTTCCTGATTAATTGACGCTTTTATCATTCAGTCCCTCTTTAGTAATTTTCTTTGTTCTAAAGTCTACTTTATCAAATTTAATGATGTCATGGTTAATGACAGACCACACATGCTATGGTGATTTCATAAGATTAAAAAGAACCAGAAAAGTTCCTATCACCTAGTATTTACTATGCTATACTTTTTGTTTTTGGAGTATACTCCTTCTACCTATAAAAAGAATTTAATATAAAACAGCCTCAGGCAGGGCCTTCGGGGGTTTTCCAGAAGAAAGCATTGTTATCATAGAAGATGACATCTCCATGCCTGTTATTGCCCCTGAAGATCTTCCAGCAGTACAGGATATGGGGGTAAAAGACAGTGATATTGATGACCTGACCCTATGTAGCCCTAGGCTAATGTGTGTGTTTGTGTCTTAGTTTTTAACAAAAAAGATTAAAAAGTAAAATATAAAAATAAACATTTTAAAAATGAAAAAAGCTTATAGAACAAGGATATAAAGAAGAAAACATTTTTGTACCGCTGTACAATGTGCTGGTGTTTTAAGCTGAGTGTTATTATAAAAGAGTTAAAAAATTAAAAAATTTATAAAGTAAAAATTTATAGTGAGCTAAGGTTAATTTATTATTGAAGAAAAAGATTTTAAAAATATATTTAGTGTAGCCTAAGTGCACAGTGATTATAACGTCTACAGGAATGTACAGTAATGTCCTAGGCCTTTATATTCACTCACCACTCACTCACTGACTCACCCAGAGCAACTTCCAGTTCTACAAGCTTCATTCATGGTAAGTACCCTATATAGGAGGACCATTTTTTAATCTTTTTATATCATAATTATACTGTACCTTTTCTATATTCAAATATTTCTAGATACACAAATACTATTGTGTTACAATTGTCTATGGTATTCAGTACAGCAACATGCTACAGGTTTGCAGCCCAGGAGCAATAGGCTATACCATATAGCCTATGTGTGCAGTAAGCTATACCATCTAGGTTTGTGTAAATACATTCTATGAGGTTTCTACAAGGATGTAATTGAGAAATGAAGCATGTCTCAGAATGTGTCCCTGTTGTTAAGCAACACATGACTGCATTTTTCTTAAGGATTTCCTCTACACGTATTGAGCAGCATGTCAGATGGTGTTAAAATTTTTGCTATAACCATCAAATATGATATAAGAAACGCATATAAAAGGTTAATCTGTTATATTTATCCCTGTTTTTAGCCTATCCAATGCTTTTATTTCTCTCCTGAAACTCTGGCCATTCTTTTGTTTTCATTTATTTTCCATTTAGAGAACTTCCTTTTGCCATTCTTTATGAGTAAATTTGCTAGCAACAAATTCTCTTAGTTTTCCTTAATCTGGCAAAGTTCTAATTGTCCGTCCATTCCTGAATCATAGTTTTACTGAATACAGGATCTGAAATTGAAAGGTCTTTTCATTCAATACTTGAAAAATAGTGTTATTTCATGATAGCTTTCATGGTTTCAGACAAAATATCTCCTCTCACTCAAATTCATATTCCCCTGTAGGTATGCTTTTTTTCTCTCTGGCTGCTTTCAATGTTTTTCTTTGCCTTTAGTTTTCAGAAATATGATTATGATATATCTTGACAGTGATTTCTTTGGATTTATCCTTTAGTGGTTTGCTTAACTTCTTGAATCTCTAGGTTTAAGTCTTTTGCCAAATTTTGAAAGTTTTCAGCCATTAATTTTTAAAATATTTTTTCAGTTCTGCTCTTTCTCTTCTCTCCTTAGTATCGGGGTTACTCACCCCCAATATTTCAACTTAGGTGCTTTCTATTTTCCATAAGTGTCAGCCGGCTGAGAAATAAAGAGAAAGAGTACAAAGAGAGAAATTTTACAGCTGGGCCGCCGGGGGTGACATCACATATGGGTAGGACCGTGATGCCCACCTGAGCCTCAAACCAGTAAGTTTTTTATTAAGGGTTTCAAAAGGGGAGGGGGTGTAAGAACAGGGAGTAGGTCACATGCTTCAAAGGGCAAAAAGGAGAACTGCTGATAAGGATCCAACAAAGATCACAAGGCAAAGGGCAAAATCAAGGTGCACTGATTTCGTATTGTTCAAACACACATGTTTTACAATCAATTTGTACAGTCAACACAATTATCACAGTGGTCCTGAGGGGACATACATCCTCAGCTTACGAAGATAACAGGATTAAAAGATTAAAGTAAAGACAGGCATAAGAAATTATACCAGTATTATTTGGGAACTGATAAACGTCCATGAAATCTTCAATCTACAATTTATGTTCCTCTGCCATGGCTCCAGCCGGTCCCTCTTTTCGGGATCCCTGACTTCTCACAACACCTTAGACCCTGATGACATGAATGCTACTTCTTTTGTTTATATCCCAACTGAGACACTGTTCATTTATTTTTATTCTTTATTCTTTCTGTCCTTCAGATTGGGTAAATTCTAATGATTTTTTTCTTTAAGAAAATGAATTCTATCCACTGTCATTTTCACTCTATTATTGAACTCATTGATTGACATTTTATTTCAGTATTCTCTTTTTCAGTTGTACAGTTTAAATTTGTTATTTTCTAACTTAGATTTCTTCACTGAGAGTACTTTTTTTTTCTTTTCTTTCTTTTTTTTTTTTTTTGTTGCTAGGCTGGAGTGCAGTGGCACAATCTCGGCTCACTGCAACCTCTGCCTCCCAGGTTCAAGCGATTATCCTGCCTCAGCCTCCCAAGTAGCTGGGACTACAGGCACGTGCCACCACGCCCAGCTAATTTTTGTATTTTTAGTAGAGACAGGGTTTCACCATGTTGGCCAGGATGATCTCGATCTCTTGACTTCATGATCCACCCGCCTCAGCCTCCCAACGTGCTGGGATTACAGGCGTGAGCCACCGCACCCGGACTCATTTATTTTAAGAAAATTTATAATTGCTTGTTGAAGCAGTTCCGCAATGGCTACTTTAAAATATTCCTCAGATAATTCCAACATCTGATTCATGTTGTTGTTCATTGCCTTTTATAGGTTATGTTGTAATTTTCTGGTTCTTGGTATGACAAATAATTTTAGCTATGATCCTAGACATTCTATATATTGTGTTAAAAGTATCCTATATTGAATTATTTATTTATTTATTTTTTACAGGCAGTCCTCCTGTTGAGGTCCAGTGTAAAAGATAATTGGATGTGTCTGTTCACCTTTATTTTTGGACCACTGGGCAAAAGTGGGCACTAACTCATACTCCTCATTAGAGATAGGTGGGGTGAAAATTCAGCTCTCACCTAGACTCTGATAACAGCTTCCCAGAAAGTTGGGGCATTGACTCACACCACCTTATTGCCTCCAAGTGGATATAGCAAATTAGTTCTCCACTGGGCCACACTGACCCAGGAAGTGTGGGTGGAAGTAGGGAGTGGGGAAGCAGAGAGCTAGTTCAGACTACTTTGTTCCTGCAGAATGGCTAGCAGAATTTCAGCTCCCTGCTGGACCCTGATGACACTGCTGGAGGAGAGTCGAGGAAAATAGAATGTCAAATAGCTGCAACTCTCACAACCTCGGATGACTTGATGCTAGTTGGGGTAGGGGCTTAGATCCCCCTTGATCCTCTCCCCAACACCAGGGAAAGGGAAAAGCACAGAGTCATCAAGCCAATCTACCATGATTGTTCCATCTTGTTGATGCAGGGTAGAGGTAGAAGTTCATTTTTGCATTGGACCCCACTGAAGACTGTGGAACAGGTGGAGTGTCAAGTAGCTCTGCTTTACACTTCCTTGTTCAATCTTGTTGCAGTTGGGTGGGTGTGAAGATTCAGCTCTCCAGTGGATTTCACTGACCTCTGGGGTGGGAGAAAGAGTGAAGTATTACTTGCATTGAGTTGCACTACTTTGATCAGTCTCTCTGCTGGGTAGCACTGGAGCCACAGCTTACCATTAGACCACACAGACACTGAGGAGGATTGGGAACACTGCCTGGTCCCCCTGAGAAGGGTATAAGAGATCATTTCCCTGTTTAACCTAGTAATACCACCTGCCAAGGGAATTGAAGAACCACCTGTTTCCATCAGGCACAGTAGGGAAGATTAGCTCCTTGCTAGGCTCCAACTACACCACCTGGCTGGGGAATGGGAGCATACCTCCTGCTTCGACAGGGTTAAGGGAGGAAGATCAACTCATCACAAGGCCTGCTGAGACTACAGTGGTACTGGGAGATGGAAGTGGTGTTTTCTATTGGTGTTTGACTTGAGTAGGGTGGGTATAGCCAAAACATTTTTCTATGAGGCCATCATTTCCTGTTTCTTTGGTTTTGGGGAAAAGATTTTCTTGGAGCTTTTCTTTGTGTTTGTTGGTAGATGCAGATGGAGGCTTCTGCAGAACTCCATCTGGGATATATGAGAAGTACTACGGATACCCAGGGAACTCACCTCAATGTCCTTCCTTATATTTTGATGTCCCTAAGCAGCCCACCTTCTTTACATCTTTCAGAGATTTCCTACGCTTGTTTGTTATTTATACCCAGAGTTATTTCAGTTGGAAAAGAGAAGACCTGTGAGGCATATGGCTACTCCATTTTGCTAGCAAACCTAGAACATTTTACTTATATTATCAAAATCTAAATTTAATCAATATATTTATCCTGGTCCCAAACACTGCAAGTACATAGAGCACTTTAATTGTAATCATTTTACTTTCAGTTCTTTATTTTATTGGTTTAAAAATACTAAACCTATTTATCTCTGTCCTATAACTCCAATATCTAAACATTTTTGTGGTTATAAAACCATTGTTGTTTGTTATTGCTGGCCTGTCACTCATTATTGCTTCCAAGTGTGAGCATACGTGCCTGTGTGTGTATTCAGGAAATAAGAGCTCTTTCCTCATTTAGAGAAAAATGTTAACAACACTCATTTCTGAGTGATGAAATTACAGATAGTTTTATGCTACCTTTCTATACATTTTATGGTTTCCAAATTTCTTACAATAAGCATGGAATTTTTTATAGTCCTATAAAATCATTAATTTTTTCTTCTCTTTTCAAAGCTTATATTTCTCACTAGAAAACTAGGCTTATTGAATATACCAGATATCTACTCAATAAATTGACAATCATTTTATTTAAATAAATCATTAACTTTGAAAATAAATCTGTCTATGAAAGTATGATTAATTAATTTTCTAATTTTTAACTTGTTGTGATCATTACCATGTGCTTTTCTTGGTGAAGATGCCTATAATGAACAAGGATGTAAATATTTTTTGCTCCCATAATTGTAGCCAAATCAGGAAAGCTAATATTAATAAAAGAAGTGCTAGCCTGGCCAACACGGTGAAACCCCATCTATACTAAAAATGCAAAAATTAGCTGGGCATGGTGGCAGGTGCCTGTAATCCCAATTACTCGGGAGGCTGAGGTGGGAGAATTCCTTGAACCTGGGAGGCGGAGGCTGCAGCGAGCCAAGATTGTGCCACTGCACTCCAGCATGGGCAACAAGTGAGACCCCATCTCAAAAAAACCAAAAAAGCAAAACAAAACAAAAAACAAACAAGAAAACCAAAAGAAGTGCTTAATTTACACTGTATTTGAAAAAGGAGACTGAGTCTGGCTGGATTTGTTAGTCCTGTGTCAGAAGATGAAGAGAACTATAAACAGAAATGCAGGAGAGGCTTGGAGGAGAAACAACACAGGGTACTGATGGGAAGGTAATGAGAATCCTTATGGTAATTACTGGTAGAAAATGTTAGAAACACTGTGGTGGTATTATATAGCCAGGCAGAAAAGTGCCGTTTCTTTAGAAATCCCCAGGGAGTGAGATTCTTTTTACATCCTTCAATATTATCTTTTGAAGTCTAACACCTTAATTAGTTTTTACCAAATTCCTGTAGAGTAAATATGGATTACATATTAGTCATATCCTCAAATGCCTCCGCATTAGTTGGTCAGTCAACAGCATGTGAACCCAAGGCAGCTTTTTTGATATTGCTTTTCTGCCCCTCTCCTACTCAGCCTTTAGGCTGGTACGTTGAGTGGTTGACTCTCTTGCTTTTTCCTCATCTTTCTATAGCATGATATTAAACCCTAAGTGTTTCTGATGTATTTATTTGCCTTGACTCTTTTGGAAGATGGATGGTACCATTCCTTTTCTTTTTTTTTTTTTTTCCCTCACACTGTCATATCTTTTACCAAATTTTTCAACCTTGAAAATTAATTAGAATTCCTTCAAAGTAGCTAGACAGGACAATATAATCTTAGAATATATGTGAAATACCTTACAGGGCCTGGCATTTAGTAGATGCTCAACAAATGCCCCAAATTGTTTCCTGTTTAAATTTCTAGAGCGCTAAAATGTCCTCTATGTTAATTGTTTTCTAATTCAACAAATATTTATTGAGCACCTATATTGCCTGTACAGCTTATATTCTTTTCATTACTTTTTCTCTCTAAAATAGCAGACTGGACATGTATCATTGTGGACATACATTGATGTTCTCACACATGTATCTATTGTGCATAAAATGAAACAGTGTGGTATAGAAAAATGAGCACTTGTTTTGGAAGACCCATGTATTATTCAGCCTTCTCCACTTTCTAGCTGAATTACCATAAACCAATTACTTATGCCCTTTGAAGCTCAGTTAGCTCATGTACAAAAACATGGAGTCAATGATACAGACGTTGACTATCTTACAGGATTGTTACACATAACAATCTATCATCTATAAAACTTTAAAAAATGTGTCAAAACTTTAAAGTGTTATACAAATGTGTTTATATCTAAATATTAGCTACCCACTTATATTTTATTCTGAGATCAACGTTCCTTGTAAACATTTCACAAAATATTTATATATGTACAATAAGTGTAATTGATTACTTTTTTATAGGTGAAGAACTTTAGTCAGATAAATGAGGCAGGTGGAGAAACTGAGAATAGACGTTCAGTCTTCTCAATCTGATAATTTTATGCAGTAGACAATGTCATTCTTTCTACTTGTTTTTGAAAACTGTAAATATCAATGAAAATGCCTTACTGAATAGTGGAATGGAAATTACAAGTTATAGAATGTACAGTTTACAAAACTAAACACATCTCTAACAGTGTACATATCAGTTCGGAGTTCAGCAGTGAAAAAACTTAATTTAAACTGTGATTAAATATAGTTCAGTATAGAATCTTGCACTCCTCAGATACTAGGGTACAGATGATAAAAACTAAAGGGTTCTTTTCTCTCTTAAATTCAATCAGTAAACAATTTACATGAACTCATTTCAATTTGGAAGTCTCAAAAACCTAACGCGGCTGAATAATCTATCAAACAATTTAAGACATCTATTATCATAAGTGATATCTATGTAATGAAGAGGTCAAAATCGTCCTCTGGTAGTTATTTCTCTGAGACCGGATCCACATAAGACAAAGCTGATTGGCAAAGTAAAAGCCAAGAAAATGATTGTGGTTCGTGGATGTTCTGTCCACGATATTCTCTTTTAGATTTAATCTCATTGTCAAACCACAATACAGTAGCAGCTTGGGTTACAATGAATTTTGGTTACGCCACTTTGAATCACACTCTGTCGCAGGAAATGAAGACGATGAAAAAAAATGCCTGTATTCATTTCAAATACATTCATGAGCCATGGATCCAGTACATTATTTTTCTGAGCATATTCTAAAAGATGTCAGGCCTTTTCAAATCTAGCCATCTCTTTTGTTAATAAGGCTGCTTAGGAAATGAGATTTTGATTCAAATTCAGTATCAAAATATCAAGCCCAAAACAATAATCTCAAACATTACCTCTGCATTACCTCTAACTCAATATGCAGAAAACACTTACCCTCTGACATTTCAAAGTAATAAATCAGCACCATCTGTCCCCAGGCTCTGCTGCTTCTTCTCCTCCTTACACTGCTCAAGGGCATTCATCTTGTTTCTTCCATTAGCACACACCATAAAGATGTGTTGTTCTGACACCTGTATATCAGACAAAGTTACACTCTAGGGATGCCAAAATACCTTATCATATTGTCATGAACACCATCCCTCCTTTTTTTTCCATTGAAAAACTCTTTGGCTCTCTGGAGAAAAATGGCTCTACATAAATTTGTCATTATTGGTTGCATTTTGTTTGAGAAGAATCCAATGTCAGTTACATTACAGCTTGATCTTAGAGTGATTTCTAACACCGGATAGTGAGAGTGAGAATGGGGTAATGCAATCCTGTCTTCAAATATGACAATAACTGAAATTATAATTAATTTGAGATCATCTGAACATACGGTATATATAGCACAGATTAGTTTTGTACTTCACAGAAAAGTCTGTTATGATACACAGATTTAACAATTGTGATTCTACTAATCACAAATGACCTTGAAAATCCATGCTATGTGATGATTTATATTTTATAATCACATTCCCTAACACTGCGTTAGCAGAGGGAGTTAACTTAGCATGAAGCCTTATGTTTCCCTAGACATCATCCTGCCTGCTGTAACACTCCAGAGGTGAGAGAAACCTTATTTCTCCTAGAAAGTTCTTCCTCCCCAAATGTGATATAATTGGAAAAAAAAGAGACAAAAAGTGACAATATACATGATTTTCATGTATATATATTCCTGTACATACATTAAGAGCCTACAGTACTTCTTTATAGGAAGACTAGGGATGGTTTTATGGAACGGGAAGTTGCAAACTGGGAGCACCTAATACTTATGAACCTTCATCTGTTATCCCATATTTAATCTTCCCGATGGTTTTGTTTTATGGGAAGAAACAGCCTCAGTGAGGTTGAACAGTTGAGTAACTTTTCTGAGCCTCATATTCTCCATTTGGAAAAAAAGGTTAGATACCTTTAAAACAACTAAAAATCATGGCTGTCTATAATTCTTACTTATTCTTACATTACCTTTTTTCAGGATCTGCCACACCTCAGACTTCAGACTATGCAGAGGTTGTTGTGTATGTGCATGTATGCATGCGTGTGTGTGTGTAGGTGTGTAGGTTGGGTGTTTAAATTGAGAAGGGGAAGGGTATAATGAGACTCATGAATCTTACTCCTTGTCCTCTTCTAACTTTGATGCTTTAGTTCATAAACAGGACTTCAGTAATCCCAAACACTGGCTTTACTCACTGAAATATGAGTTTCCCAGTGCCTAGGTCTCCTGCCAATGAATTTGTTGCCCACAGGTGCTTCCAAAATACCTAAAGAAAAAAAAAATGTTACCGTCTGCCTGAATTCCCACTTCTTATTCATTTGTTCTGTGCTTTCCATGCTGGCCCGATTTTCAGATTTCAGATCTTCCTTTGGATTCATGATCCCGTGTACTCACTGTGAAAGTAACCAAACCCTAATATTATTTTGTTGTTTGGATCTTATTTTCCATATCCTACACTTTTACCTCAACTTCTCCTAGTTTGATCTTGCTTAACCAGAGTCTGACTCCCAACTTTCACAGAATTAGTGGTCAAAGTGTACGTTTTTCTGATCTTAATATTGATTGATGCATGTATAAGTATGTTGTTAAAAGAAAAATAAAATCCTCCTTAATGTTTGCCCTACTTTATCTTCTTTATTACATATCCTAAGAGATCTGGTCATTAGGAATTATTCTGTTTGAGTTGGAACTGTAGAAACCTATGAATCATTTCATTCATGCCTGGTAGATCTTCACATTAGAAACACAAAAGATCACGTAAAGTAAAAAAGAAAATGTACTACACCAATTTTTTTTTTTTTAAAAAACACAAGCAGAAAACCAACTATTTTCCTTTCTTTGAGTATATTTTTAAGACATTTTCAAGGCTAAAACACAGTTACCAGGTTTGAATTTTTTGATTTGGTTAGAAGTGGAATAGTATAAAAGGATGAGCTTGTTTCTAACAGATCATTTTACTCTTATAAGTTTAATGTTAAATATTTACATTTTAAAAATAAAAATTTGTCAGGCAACTTAGAGAAGTACATGGCACCTATATTGTATATTGCGTAATGTGACCATTTAATTCATATGACCATCTGTAGTGCTTATTCAATGTGATTGAAAATTTTAATTGAGAACTTATAATAAAAATGTTTTTTGGAAGAAAATGAATTACAGAGACATAAAAATATGTTAATAAAAGTAACAGCATTGTCTATCTAAGAGCATTATCTTTACCTGTGATTGCATTTTTTTTCTGGAAAATAAATGTTAAAACTCTTATGAGAATTGTGCGCAAAATTAAAAAAAAGTGTTTTAAATAATACATGCATTTTTTTTCTTTAGGGTTTTACACAACCATTTTGTCTCATTATGCCTTATTGGTGTGAACTCCTGAAGCAAAACTACACTTATTATTGAAAATGGCTACCCAAACTCCCTGACAGATCAACATCCTTCTTGCAATTTCTGCCTCACCCTTATTTAACTAACAGTGACAGTAGCATTTATCTTTTCCTAGTCTGTAGGAATGCAAGTATTGTTATCCACAATGTTTTGATTTAAACTATTATTTAAAAGATCTTTGTCATATTCAATATCTTTTGTGCTACCAATGAGGAAGACTATTTTCTTTTACATCAAAGGGTACTTATAGTAATCTTCGATAAAAATGGAAAAACAAAATCAATTATATAATGTTAGAACATATTTTTCTATTATATTTCAACTTTTAAAATTGATCAAAATTGTAGCAAGAAATCATTCTTTTGGGTTTGAATAGATTCGTTGGAGACATACACATGCACACATAAACACATCCTATGACTTGTTTTTTTAAAGTGAATTTGAGTCTTCTCATATACACTATGTGGGTTTAGGCAGTTGCTCATATCAAATACATAAAATGTATTGCTTTTTAATGAAATTATATTATGAGTGTTGGCACCATCAATTTTCCACTACTTTTTCTATAACCAAACAAAGTGTGTTTGTTTTAAAAAGTACTCTTAGTTTATCAGTGCTGTTGTCAAAAAGAAAACATATTCTCAGGAAGAATATGGAAGTTGACATTTTTGGATTCCATTTTCTCTAAATAGGCTCTTTTTGAAAAAGATTGCATTCAAAGGCTGTCTTTCAAAACAGTTTTATTTCTCTTTGAAGTGAGAATTTTCTGTTCATACATTTGAATTTTTAAAAGTAGTCTAGAAGCAAAAGATGCCACCCCAAATCAGTGACGCAACACTTACTTCCTTGGAAATTTAGAGTCAACCACAGAACTCCATAATTATTATACTTTGAAACTTTCCTTCAAATACTGTACAGAGTGGCATTACGAAAAACAACTCCTTTGAAAATTCACAGTTGAAACTAAAAGCAGAATAATTCTTTGGTTCTTGTGAGCAGAATTAGAGAAAAGGAAAAACACTTTTATAAAATTGTTTTTCTAAAAATAACATATTCTGATCAAATAGGCCTGACCTTTTGTTCATAACGACAAAGGGCATGACATTCTTGATATCCGTTCAATTTCACAACTCTAGCATGGGGTTTACTTAAATTTTCTTACTCAAATGTTTCCAAAATAGTGGTCGCAAATATTCTGCTTTTGTTTTGCTGTTTGTTCATCTTTTTTTGGTGAATCTGCTTGGGAAATTGATTTTTACACATGTGTGTTTCAAGAGGAAATTAAGAGCAACTTAATGACTTTCTAAGGAAATAGAGAAAAAAATACAGATGACAAATCTGTTAATGCTTTCACAATCCCTTTGGTGTTTATTGTTGCCAGCATAAGAATGTAAACCAAAGAAAAAAATGATAATTATTAAATTAAATATAGTCAAAACATGTTAGAGGCAAATAAATGCGAAAAATAAACACTCTCAATTTTTTTTCAGTTTTTCTATGTGGTGTCACTATTGCATACCAGATAATAATGCAAATCAGGTCTCTTGAAAAGTGGCTCTTTCAGGGCCTGTAAGGCAAGTACATGTAACTGCTGACAAAGGTGCTACTTAGAAAGTTCAATCTCACCTTGAGTGGATGGTGTTTATTATTTTGCTTTTTCTACTAACTCCTTGTGCAGCTTTACGGCCATTTTCTTTCTCTTCCTGTGAGTTTATACCTTTATAAAATCTAGTATCCTCCTCTCAGATATTTTAACAAGTGTGATGCTCGTGAAATGCTTGGCAAGTTGTGAAAGCTACTATCTATTTAGAACACATAATAATCAGCATCTTTCTGCCTTAAGAAAACAAATACTTAGTCAAAGTTGTAGTAACTAAGTTCTTCTTAGATTGTGGCAATATCACCTGAAGCAGGGGTCAGCAAGCTACGGCCCACAGGCCAAATCCACCCAGCTACCAGTTCTTGTGAATGAAGGCTTACTAGAACACAGTCATACTTATTTGCTTATATATTGTCTAAGGCTGCTTTCATATTATAACAACAGAGTTGAGTATAGATGCTTCTCACCTTACGATGAGGTTACATCCCATATAAACCTATAGTAAATTGAAAATATCATAAGGCAAAAATGCATTTAATGTATCTAATGTTACAAACATTATGGCTTAGTCTAGCCTAACTTAACATGTTCAGAATACTTATATTAGCACACAGTTGGGCAAATTCATCTAATACAAAGCATATTTTGCAATAAGGTGTTGAATATCTCATATAATTTATTGAATACTGTACTGGAAATGAAAAACAGAATGGCTGCACGGCTACTAGAAGTGTAGTTTCTACTGAATGTGTATCAATGTTGCACCATTATAAAGTCAAAACATTGCAAGTTGAACCATTGTAAGCTGGTAACCATTTTTGGTTGCAACAGAGACTGTAAGAAATACAGGTGTGGGCTGGGTCCGGTGGCTCACGCCTGCGATCCCAGCACTTTGGGAGGCCAAGGTGGGCAGATCACGATGTCAGGATTTCGAGACCAGCCTGGCCAACATAGTGAAACCCCGTCTCTACTAAAAATACAAAGATTAGCTGGACATTGTGGTGCGGGCCTGTACTCCCAGCTACTCGGGAGGCTCAGGCAGGAGAATCGCTTGAACCTGGGAGATGGAAGTTGTGGTGAGCCGAGATCAGGCCACTGCACTCCAGCCTGGGAAACAGAGTGAGACTTAATCTCAAAAAAAAAAAAAAAAAAGAAATACAGGTATGACATTATCAGAAAACCAGAATTTGAAGCAAAAGAAGCAAAAGGTATCAAAAGGCCACAGAGAATATTTCATACTGAAAAAGAATAGTCCATCACAAATACAAAAATCATGAAAGTTTATTACCTAATTATGTAGTTTTAAAAAATGTAAACAAAAACTGACAGAATTTCAAGGAGAAACGGAAAAATCTGCAATCACAGTGATAATTTAACATATTTCACTAAGTTTATAGACCAAATGTATTAAAAAAGTGAGAAAGAATATAGAGAATTTGAATTTTAGAATTAACAAACTAAGTTTAATATACATATATTACAAGCACATGTATTTGTACCTGCAAAAGAAGAATGCAAATTATTTTCAAATATTTTTCAAAAATTGACCATATACTAAGCCTCAAGAAAAAAAATCTAAACAAATTAAAAAATCAAAATCTTACAGGACACATTATACTTACTGACTACTATGCAATAAAATTAGAAAGTAATAAACAATTGATATAGTAATAACCAAAATGTAGTAAGACAAAACAAACAGAAACCCTATACACCTAAAAATTTAAAAGCACACATTGGAATACATCTTAGGTTAAAAAAGGAAACAGAAATTAGTATTATAATTAGTATTATATACCTTCAATGAATAATAGAAATTAGTATTATATACCTTCAATGAATTTATCAGATAAGAAAAGCACAGAATAAATTTTTAAAACCCCTTCTGATTCAGGAAGCTAAAAGGATCATAAAGTAAATTCTGTTAAAGAAATTAATAAAAGACAAGTGCAGAAATTAATAATAAAAAACAAAATATAGATTTGATCAATAAAACATAAACTAGCTAAATTGCAAGGACCAAAAAAGGAAACTAACTGTTATTACATATAATTTAAAAAAAGAAAGAGGAATTAAAATAAATATCTAAAGCATTAAAAAGAGACATAACAAAGAGATTAAAACTATTTATTAATTCATGCTAGGGAAATGCTATATTATTACATTGATATAGTAAAATTTCCGAGGTATTTGTTGAATGAAATAAATAAATCACAGAAACTGTGCAAAATATGATCCTCTACAGATTAAAACATGAAACAAAGCAACATTACACATGTAAATGTATTAAACATCTGGAAGGACATATACCTGATACAGTGATTACCACTGGGGGACAGGATAGACCATTTGAGATACTGTTCAGACTGTGTTTTAGCCATATTTGTAATATTTGTAATTATAAAATACTTGTAATTATTTTACCAAGAGAATATGTTTATTTATCGCTTAACTAAAAACTAATGTAAAAAGTAAAAATCAGAACAAAATAACAATGTTGATCAATTAATTTGTTATTATGATTGGATTATAGAGATGATGGAGAGGATTTAATGAAACAATGAGGTTGGAGGGGCAGGCAAGAGTCAGGTAAAGGGTCTTAGAAAAAAGTATTCATTTTTGCCATTAAAGTAAAATGAGAGCAATTGAAGAGTGTCAAGTAAGACTTGTGTTTGAAGTCAATTGGATGCTAGAGGATATGTCTGTACATGAATGTATTTGTAGCAAAGAAGTAATCTATAAGCACACCTTATTTTCCTGACTAAAGTGTATGTCTTTGAGGACTGAGAATATATTTCGTTCATTATGACATCCCACTACAGCACTTAGTCAAATGTTTATTTGTAAGTAAGCATATAGCAAAGTATGTTAAATCGAATTTGAATTGTGTTGTGTCTGATTAATATGCAAGTAAGACAATTCACAAAGCATATAACTTTCCTTAATTCATAAGGTATTGTCAGAGTGGTCTACATTCTGTGAATTCTTGAAGAAAAAATATTTAAAGTACAAAAATTATCAACTATTAATTACAAACAATGCTAAATATTGTGGTAAATTTTCCCAGTATTAAACACTGTAGTTTAGCAATGCAATACTGATTAATAGAAAATGAAGACATGGTTAAAGCTCTAAGAGATCTGAATATCTCTTTTCAAGTTATATGAGACAAATACTTCAAAATGTTTCAATATATGTGTCAAAAATGCTAATTGTTCTCTATGGTATTTGTTTGGCTCTAGCATGGGACAATGTATAAATCAACTATTTGAAGTAATGGGTGCATAGATTGAAATTGTTCCTATGCTATAGTTCCTCATGGCTAATTTAGACTTCAATCAGATTTAAAAGACCAATGCATCCTTGATGCACAACAGCAGTGATTTTTGTCTTTTAAAACATTTTGAATCAAAGAAGAGGTTGCCTAGCAGAGTAAACTACTAATGATGAGCCAAGTTATTTCTGTGGTGAATTGTCAATGTTCGTCAGAAGTAACATGGCAAGAAGCTTCTTACTGTTAGGCTGTCTGTCATCTACAAGGCTCTCAAATTAGGCATTTTTGGATTTTTACTACAGTAATGATCAAAAAGTGTAAGAATCACTCCACTAAATCGCACGTAATCTTGATGTTTCTGTGTTAAGTTCCTTTTCTTTTAGCCATAGTCATGTTCTCTGCTTGAGACTTAAAACAATTCATCCAAGTTAGCCAGAGCTGCAGAGGAACTTATGCTCAGAGGTCCTGCCATCCTCCTTTGAGATCTTCTGAACATGTTATAGATAGTACCAGAATCCACTTCATACTACCAAAAGATAAAAGATCATCTTTGTCAAACCCTTCTACTATCTTTTGAGAGATTTTGCTAACACTTGTGACCAAACAATTGCCTTATACTAGTAAGGTTCTCAAAGGATTTTATAAGAGTCACAGTGTTATTAATATTTTCCACATAATTAGTGATATGTGTCCACATCACACCAACTCTTTCAACTATTCAACTATGAACAATATTCTCTTTCTAGTGTTGACATAATTTGTGGACCCAGGAGAAAACAAAACAAATAGGCAAATATGGCACACCTCCAAAACAAAAAAAGAATAATTACCCTTTTCCTCTGATGTCCCCTTAGTATCTTCATTTGAACCTTGGTTTGTGAACAATACACAAAGTGAATTGCTAGCAGATGCTCAGCTTGTAGTTTCTGTAAACCAAAAATAAAATCCTAAGCCTCCAAAACAACTGAATGTGTTCCCAGACGAAACCGAGGGTCAAGCTCCTTATTCTCTCAGCCTGATAACAAGATGCAGATGAACTGGGAAAGAAGAGTGTTTTTATTTCTGTAACAGGGTGCAGGGAGAAGGCTTGGAAATTATCATCAGACCAACTCAAAATTACAAACTTTTCCAGAGCTTATATACCTTCTTAGCTATATGTCTACGTGTAAGTGCGCATCCATCTAAAGACATAAATGATTAACTTATTCTAATCTATAACTAAGGTCTGAGTCCTGAAGAACTTCCTCTGGAACTTCAGTAAATTTACTCAATCTAAATGGGTCCCGGTGTTGTGGTGATTACCCTTATCTTGTCTCCTACTAAAGCATGGAGGTTTGGGGAGTTGCTTCAGACCCCCAATAAACTTGTTTGTGGAGGCCTGGGGAGTTTCTTCAGACACCCAATAAAACTTGTTTAATCCTAAATGGGTCCTTTTAAGAATTCCTTCATTATCTTGTCATGCTTTAAGGCCCAGGAAAGGCTTAGGCAAAACTCTTGGTGGGCTTTTGTTACATCCCAGCCTTTGTATAAGGGCACTGGCTCTTTCAGCTTTTAGTATCTAACCTAACCACTCAGTCAGTGCTGAGACAGTTGTTATGGTGGCCTGCCTGTTCAGCCGTTAGGGAGACCTCGCTTGCCACAAATAGACATCCTCTTGGCCAAGGAGACCACAGAGAAACCTGAAAAACTGAATTCCCAGCCATGACAGGAAGGGAGGTCAGACACACCTCATTACCCTCCCTCCCTTTTGGAGCTTAAGCACAACTGACCGGTATTAAGGTTAAAATAGAGAACACAAAACTGACAAAACAGACTGTGGCAATTAGATACCAGATTATAACCCAGACCTGAGGCCATGCAAGATAAGGGTTAAGTCACATCCTACAAACCATACAATTTTGTTAGACTTGTTTTTTAATTAACCTGGTATAATGTGGCTTTCCAACCTGACTCTGGTATAGCATCGCATGACAGATAGTAGACCTGGAAGGAAATAAAAATATTTTATCTCAAAACATATTTCTTTGACACATTTGAAATGACCCTGCAAAGCCGTCTTTTGTGGGGAAAATTTGCATCTGTAGAGAACCTTCAATAATGTAGCCAGGCCTTCCCTTTCTAAGCATTTCCTGGATCTATAGAGATTAAGAGTTTGACAACTTTTAAAGTCTAAAAAGAGACATTTACCATTTATTCTCTCTGAAGGTTGCTACCTAAGAGGCTTCATCTACATCACAAGAACCCTGGCCTTCAAGACCCCACTTATCTTAAGTATTTCTTTCTACTGACTTCAAATCTTTAGACAAAGTTTAACTCTTTCAACCAATTGCGAATCAGAAAAATCTTTAAATTCAACTATAACATGTATGTCCCGTCTTCAAGATATCCTACCTTTTTGGGGGCTGTATCAACATATACCTTCCATGTACTGATTTATGTCTTTGCCTGTAATTCCTGCCTTCCTAAAATGTATAAAAACAAACTGTAACCTGACCACCTCAGGCACACGTTCTCTGGACCTCCAGAGACTTTTCCCCAGGCCATGGTTACTCATACTGGCTCAAAATAGTCCTCTTTAAAATATTTTATAGGATTTAGTTTTTTCCATTAATACTTTATTATCTAGCAAACTCTGATGAGCATTCCTGAAAGAAACAAAGAGTGGGTAGTTACTATGCTCTATACAGCAATTCTTCTTCAGACTTACTTTCATACATGTCCCTTTGAAGAGACCACTAAACAGGCTTTGTGTGAGCAACATGGCTGTTTATTTCACCTGGGTGCAGGCGGGCTGAGTCCGAAAAGAGAGTCAGCAAAGGGAGATAAGGGTGGGGCCGTTTTATAGGATTTGGGTAGGTAAAGGAAAATTACAGTCAAAGGGGGTTTGTTCTCTGGCGGGCAGGAGTGGGGGTCGCAAGGTGCTCACTGGGGGTGCTTTTTGAGCCAGGATGAGCCAGGAAAAGGACTTTCACAAGGTAATGTCATCACTTAAGGCAAGGACCGGCCATTTACACTTCTTTTGTGGTGGAATGTCATCAGTTAAGGTGGGGCAGGGCGTATTCACTTCTTTTGTGATTCTTCAGTTACTTCAGGCCATCTGGGCATATACAGTGGAAGTCACAGGGGATGCGATGGCTTGGCTTGGGCTCAGAGGCCTGACATTCCTGCCTTCTTATATTAATAAGAAAAATAAAACAAAATAGTGTTGAAGTGTTGGGGTGGCGAAAATTTTTGAGGGGTGGTATGGAGAGAGAATGGGCGATGTTTCTCAGGGCTGCTTCGAGCAGGATTAGGGGCGGCATGGGAACCTAGAGTGGGAGAGATTAAGCTGAAGGGAGGTCTTGTGGTAAGGGGTGATATTGTGGGGATGTTAGAAGAAACATTTGTTGTATAGAATGATTGGTGATGGCCTGGATACGGTTTTGGATGAATTGAGAAACTAAATGGAATAACAGAAGGAGAAAAACAGGTATAAAAGGTCTAAGAATTGGGACGACTCAGGATATCTGATTAGAGAGTGCCTAAGGAGATTCAGCATAGTCCTGCCAGCAAATATTATTTATTTACTTGAAGAGTTAAGAGTGGCAGTTTGGGGATAGCACCAGGAGATATCAGCTGTGATGGCTTGGAAAAACAGTGTAAACCAGCAGTGTAAACAAGAGCAGGGCATGTATGAGTAGTTGAGAACGGTGAATAGGAGTATGACTAGACAGAAGATAGTAGGGATGACAAGATTTTTGGGGGGCACAGTCTAAGTTGGTCTGGTGTCTGGAATGAGACTGGGGCCTAATAAAAAGGAGCGTCTATACAGGAGCTCAAATGGGCTGTACCCTGTAGCATTCCGAGGACAGGCCTGAATTCTGAGAAGGGCAAGTGGTAAAAGTATTGTCCAGTCCTTTTTAGGTTGGTGGCTGAGCTTGGTGAGGTGTGTTTTTAAAAGACCTTTAGTCCATTCTACTTTTCTTGAAGACGGAGGACCATAAGGGATATAAAGGTTTCACTGAATACTAAGAGCCTGAAAAACTGCTTGGCTGATTTGACTAATAAAGGCTCGTCTGTTATCAGACTGTATTGAGGTGGGAAGGCTAAACTGAGGAATTATGTCTGACAGAAGGCAAGAAATGACTGAGGAGGCCTTCTCAGACCCTGTAGGAAAGGCCTCTACCTATCCAGTGAAAGTATCTACCCAGACTAAGAGGTATTTTAGTTATCTGACTCAGGGCATGTTGAGTAAAGCTAATTTGCCAGTTCTGGGTGAGGCTAATCCTCGAGCTTGATGTGTAGGGAAGGGAGGGGGCCTGAATAATCCCTGAGGAGTAGTAGAATAGCAGATGGAACACTGAGAAGTTATTTCCTTGAGGATAGATTTCCACGATGGAAAGGAAATGAGAGGTTCTAAGAGGCGGGCTAGTGGCTTGTACTATAGCATAGCCTGCCTTTGCTGGTATGTGGCGATTAGGCCTGGTGGAACCGCCATCAATAAATCAAGCGTGATCAGGGTGAGGAACAGGAAAGAAGGAAATTTGGGGAAATGGGGTGAATGTCAGGTGGATCAGAGAGATACAGTCATGGGGGTCAGGTGTGGTATCAGGAATAATGTGGGAGGCCGGATTGAAGTGTGGGCCAGGAACAACGGTAATTGTGGGAGACTCAGCAAAGAGTGAGTATAGCTGAAGGAGCCAGGAAGCAGAAAGTATATGCATCAGGTATGAGGAAGAAAATAGATTTTGGAAGTTATGAGAACTGTAGAGAGTGAGTTGAGCATAGTTTGTGATTTTGAGGGCCTCTAAAAGTATTAAAGCAGCGGCAGCCGCTGCATGCAGACATGAGGGCTAGGCTAAAACAGTAAGGTCAAGTTGTTTGGACAGAAAGGCTACAGGGTGTGGTCCTGGCTCTTGTGTAAGAATTCTGACCGTGCTAACCATGCCTAGGAAGGAAAGGAGTTGTTGTTTTGTAGAAGGTGCTGGGGTTTGAGAGATCAGTCAGACACGATTGGCAGGGAGAACACGTGTGTTTTTATGAGAATTATGCCAAGATAGGTAACAGATGAGGAAGAAATTTGGGCTTGATTGAAGTAATGGGGGCTGTCTGTGAAGCTTTGCAGCAGTACAGCCTAGGTAATTTGCTGAGCTTGATGGGTGTCAGGGTCAGTCCAAGTGAAAGTGAAGAGAGGCTGGGATTAAGGGTGCAAAGGAATAGTAAAGAAAGCATGTTTGAGATCTAGAACAGAATAATGGGTTATAGAGGCAGGTATTGAGGATAGGAGAGTATATGGGTTTGGCAGCACGGGGTGGATAGGCAAAACAATTTGGTTGATAAGGCACAGATCCTGAACTAACTTGTAAGGCTTGTCTGGTTTTAGGACAGGTAAAATGGGGGAATTGTAAGGAGAGTTTATAGGCTTTAAAAGGTCATGCTGTAGCAGGTGAGTGATAACAGGCTTTAATCTTTTTAAAGCGTGCTGCGGGATGGGATATTGGCATTGAGTGGGGTAAGGGTGATTAGGTTTTAATGAGATGGTAAGGGGTGCATGATCGGTCGCCAAGGAGAGAGTAGAGGTATCTTATACTTGTGGGTTAAGGTGGGGGGATACAAGAGGAGGACACAAAGGAGGTCTTGGATTGGGAAGAAGGGCGGCAATGAGATATAGCTGTAGTCCAGGAATAGTCAGGGAAGCATATAATTTAGTTAAAGTGTCTCAGCCTAATAAGGGAACTGGGCAGGTGGGGATAACTAAAAAGGAGTGCTTAAAAGAGTATTGTCTAAGTTGGCACCAGAGTTGGGGAGTTTTAAGAGGTTTAGAAGCCTGGCCGTCAATACCTACAACAGTTATGGAGGCGAGGGAAACCGGCCCTTGAAAAGAAGGTAATGTGGAGTGGGTAGCCTCCGTATTGATTAAGAAGGGGATGGGCTTACCTTCCACTGTGAGAGTTACTGGAAGCTCGGCATCCGTGATGGTCTAAGGGGCTTCCGAGGTGATCAGGCAGCGTCAGTCTTCAGCCGCTAAGCTGAGAAGATCTGGGAAGGAGTCAGTCAGAGAGCCTTGGGCCAGAGTTCCAGGGGCTCTGGGAGTGGCTGCCAGGTGAGTTGAACAGTCCGATTTTCAGTGGGGTCCCACACAGATGTCACGTGTCTTAGGAGGAATCCCGGGCTGCAGGCATTCCTTGGCCCGGTGGCCAGATTTCCGGCAAGTGTAGCAAGCTCCTGTGGGAGGAGGTTCTGGAGGAACGCCTGGCCGCTGCAGTTCAGGCGTTTGGAAGTTCTTGTGTGCTGGAGATGTGGCTGGGGTTTGTCTCACAGTGGAGGCAAGGAGGAATTGCAACTTTTTTCTATTATTGTACACCTTGAAGGTGAGGTTAATTAAATCCTGTTGTGGGGTTTGAGGGCCGGAATTTAATTTTTGGAGTTTTATTTAATGTCGGGAGCAGATTGGGTAATAAAAGGTATTTTGAGAATAAGACGGCCTTTTGACTTTTTAGGGTCTAGGGCTGTAAAGTGTCTCAGGGTTGCTGCCAAACAAGTCATGAACTGGGCTGTATTTTTATATTTGATGAAAAAGCCTAAACACTATCTGATTTGGGATAAAGAAAAAGGAGCATTAACCTTGACTATGCCTTTGGCTCCAGCAACCTTTTTAAGAGTAAATTGCTGGGCAGGTGGGGGAGGGCTAGTCACGGAATGAAACTGTAAGCTGGACCAGGTGTGAGGAGGGGAGGCGATAAAAAGATTATAGGGTGGAGGAGCGGAGGCTGAGGAAGAATTGGGACCTAGCTTGGCCTGGCAAGGAGGGGAGAGGTCAGATGGCTCTGTAGAAAAGGAAGATTAGAAAGACTCAGCAACACTTGGGGTTGGGACTGAGGGGACACGCGGGAGGGAAAGAAGGAAGATTTGGGACGAGTTGCACTGGGCACAGAGACTAGGAAGGGACTGATGTGTAAAAGAATGCCTGGACGTCAGGCACTTCAGACCGTTTGCCTATTTTATCACAAGAATTATTTAGATCTTGCAGGATGGAAAAATTCAAAGTGCCATTTTCTGGCTATTTGGAACTACTGTCGAGTTTGTATTGGTGTCAAGTGGCATTGCAGAAGAAAATAAGGCATTTAGGTTTTAGGTCAGGTGTGAGTTGAAGAGGTTTTAAGTTTTTGAGAACACAGGCCAAGGGAGTAGAAGGAGGAATGGAGGGTGGAAGATTGCCTATAGTGAAGGAAGCAAGCCTAGAGAAAAGAGAGACTAGAGAAATGGAGGGAAGGGGTTCGGGGTTCTTATCTTCCAGAAAAGTGGGAAAAGGGGTTGGGGCACAGAGATAAGAGATCGGGGTGCGGAAATAAGGGATGGGGCACAGAAATAAGGGGTCGGGGCACAGAAATAAGGGATTGGGGCGCAGAGATACAAGGTTGGGGTGCAGAAATAAGGGATTGGGGGTTCTTGCCCCCTAGAAAAGCGGGACTTGCCACTAAGGGTGAAGGAGAAGGGGTTGAGGGGTACTTGCCCCTCCCCCAGAAAAGCGGGACTTGCCGCTAAGGGTGAAGGAGAAGGGGTTGAGGGGTACTTGCCCCTGCCCCAGGAAAGCAGAGAAGGGGTAGAGACAAGGAGAGAAGGGATTGGGGTACTTGCCCCTTCCCCAGAAAAGCGGGACTTGACGCTAAGGGTGAAGGACCAAGGCAGGCATCCCTGCATGGTCTGACACCTTTGAAACGTGGGTGAATAATCAGGGAGGCGTCCCTGCAATGATTAAACACCAAGGGAAGGCTGCCTTCCCAGTCCGTGACCGGCGCCGGAGTTTTGGGTCCACAGATAAAATGTATCTCCTTTGTCTCTCCCAGAAAATGAAAGGAATTGAAATTAAGAGAAGGGAGAGATTGAAGAGTAGAAAGAAGAAAGTGGTTGAGGGACAGTGAGAGAGGTTGGAGAAGAGAGTAAGAAGAGGCCGCTTACCTGATTTAAAATTGGTGAGATGTTCCTTGGGCTGGTCGGTCTGAGGACCTGAGGTTGTAGGTGGATCTTTCTCACGGAGCAAAGAACAGGACAGGGGATTGATCTCCCAAGGGAGGTCCCCCGATCCAAGTCACGACACCAAATTTCATGCGTGTCCGTGTGAAGAGACCACTAAACAGGCTTTTTGTGAGCAACATGGCTATTTATTTCACCTGGGTGCAGGTGGGCTGAGTCCGAAAAGAGAGTCAGTGAAGGGGGATAAGGGTGGGGCCGTTTTATAGGATTTGGGTAGGTAAAGGAAAATTACAGTCAAAGGGGGTTTGTTCTCTGGCGCACAGGAGTGGGGGTCGCAAGGTGCTCAGTGGGGGTGCTTTTTGAGCCAGGATGAGCCAGGAAAAGGACTTTCACAAGGTAATGTCATCACTTAAGGCAAGGACCGGCCATTTGCACTTCTTTTGTGGTGGAATATCATCAGTTAAGGTGGGGCAGGGCATATTCACTTCTTTTGTGATTCTTCAGTTACTTCAGGCCATCTGGGCGTATACGTGCAAGTCACAGGGGATGCGATGGCTTGGCTTGGGCTCGGAGGCCTGACACTTACGGCAGACCACAAGACAGAAAGTTAGCGATTACTCAAAAGTCAATGATACTGTGGAATACCTAAAAGTAAATGAACCATGTTCAGGTCTTTGTTCACTTTGGATTGTCTCTTCTGCACTAGAATTACAACTCAAACAGAAACCAAGGATATGAAAACAGATCCCTTCTTCATTGTACCCCCAAAGTTTATATTCATTCTTCCAATTTATGTTGTAATTAAATTTCGGGTAATATAACTCTACAGATAATCATACCAGCTTTTCCTTTTTCATTAAAACAGTGCCATCTTTACAGGTAAAGGTAGGGTATTTATATACATATATGTACCTTGATTTTTAATTCAGAAGCAACCTCATCAGTAATGCATACTTTCTGTTTTCTTTATTGCTAGTTTGCCAAGCAAAGGCATACTTTGGTATAGGCTACTGAGAAAGAGTCAAGTGGGGAAACAGAACAATTAGCACATTTCCATGCCCCGAATAGGTTCTAGTAAGGTAAGTCAAGGTGGATTGCCTGCTTTGTAGCACTCACTATAAGTACTGTCCACTGGTTTCCTTAACTTATTATACTATAAATAATGACAATGATTTTAAATTCAAAATGTTAGCCTAAAAAGAAGTTTCATTATTATAGTTTAATTTTCCAGATTTTTTGTCTACTACTGTTAAAAGTAAGTTGTTGCAGAGTTTATTTTTTTGTTTTGACCCTATATAGCACAAATTTCTATAAAAATGCCGTTTGTTAACCCAGATGAAATCATTTCAACAGCAGCACTTGTCTTTTCATAATGTGACTTAGGTACGTTTGAATATGTAATTGGTCTATGCTAAAAAAAAAAAAAAAGAAAGAAATTGTAATCAAAATGGTTGGCATTTTTTTTTTTTTTTTTTTTTAGAACAGAATAAAAAGGGAAGAGGGGAACAAGGCCCTCAGGTACTGAGGGCAATTGTCAGGACTACAGTTAAGGAATGGAATATGGTTATAGCTTGGGGTTGTGGATAGGGAAAAACTTGGGTTTTTCTCTTCTACTACCCTCTCACCAATCAGTACTTCTAGACACCAAAATGTGTGGGGTTTTTTTTTCCCCACACTGACCAATTATCCAGCACTAGCTGGGTGTCCTATAATTAAACTCGATTCTGACACTATGTAGCTAGAGAGAATATCAGACCCCACAGGTTAAGGGCTCAGTCCCACAACCACTTTGGTTGAAGGTGGATGAAGATGGAAGAAAATAAACTCCACTGATGATCACCCCCACAAGGACACTGAGTTAACAACTATCCACAAAGAAAAAACACCTTTATAAGAACCAAAAATCAGGTAAGCACTCACAGTACCTGGTTTTAACTTCATATTACTGAAAGAGGCACTGAATAGATAGAAATAAAAACAGTCCTGAATCACTGAACCACCCCTCCCCTACTCCTGGCACTGGCGGCCTGGTGTGGAGATTATCTCTGGGTGCTGGGGGAGAAAGAACACAGCAATTGTGAGGCATTGAACTCATTGCTGTTGTGTTAGAGCAGAAAGAAAAACCAGACCAAACTCAGCTGATGCCCAGCCACATAGGAAGGATTTAAACCAACCCTAGCCAGAGGGGAATGACTGATCCCAACGGTTTAAACTTGAGGGCCCACAAACCTTGCCACTGAGGGACGAAGTAGTCTCCATGTCTAAGTAAATTTGAAAGACAGTCTAGGCCATAAGGACTGCAACTCTTAGGTGAGTTCTAGGGCTGAACTAGGCCAAGAAGCAGTGAGCTGGGAGGGCAAGCATCATACTGAGACACCAGCTGGGGCAGCAAAAGGAGTCCTGGCATCACCCCTCCCCTAAACTCAGGCTGCACAGGTCACAGCTCCAAAAGACACCACTTCCTTCCACTTGAAGAGAGGAGAGAGAAGAGTTGGGAGGACTTTTTGTCCTGCATCTTGGGTACTAGCTCAGCCACAGCAGGATAGGGCATCAATCAGAGTCTTGAGACTCCTGTTCCAGGACCTAGCTCCCAGGCAGCATTCCTAGACACACCCTGGGCCAGAAGGGAAATATTGCCTTGAAGGAGAGGACCCAGTCCTTCCAGCATTCATCACCTGATAACTGAAGAACTCTTAAGGCCCCAATAATCAGCAACGATACCCAGGAACTACATGAAAGGCTTTGGTGAGCCTCTGAGAGTTGCTGGCTTCAGGTACCAACACTGCCAGAGGAGAGTAGAGTACCAAACAGGCTCTTGGGGTCCCCAATCCCAGGATGTGACTCTTGGATGGCATTTCTTGACATACACTGGGCTAGAGGGGAGACCACTGCCATGAAGGGAAATTCCCAGACAAGGCAACATTAACCATAAGCTGACTTAAGAGACGTTGGGTCTTAAGGGCTTATCAGTGGTAGTCTGGCAGTACTCTTCACGGCCAGCTGTGGTGGCAGCTACAGTGTGAGGCTCTCTGCCTTTGGAAAGGGGAGGGAAGAGTGGAAAGAATCGTGTGTTGTGATTTGAGTGCCAGCTCAGCCACAATAGAATTGAACACCAGATAGACTCCTAAGGTTTTTAATTCTAGTCTTTGACTCTCAGACCGCACTTCTAGAATCACCCAGGACCTAAGGGACCTAGATGCTCTGAAGAGAAGGATGCAGGCCTGACTGGCTTTGCTGCCAACTGGTTGTAGAGCCCCAGGGCCTTGAGTGCACCTAGGCAGTAGCCAGGGAGTGGTTACAGCAGGTCTTGGATGTGACCCAGTGTTGTGCTGGCTTCAGGTCTGACTCAGTGCAGTCATAGTTGTGGTGGTTACAGGAGAGCTTCTGTTACTTCACCTAGAGCTTTTGGTGGCTCAGAACAGAGAGAAAGGCTCTATATATTTGGGATAAAGTAGGAGAAGAAAGTAAGACTCTCTACCTGGTAATCCAAAGAATTCTGCCAGATCTTGCCCAAGATATCAAGGCAGTACCTCTATGAGTTTGCAAGAATCACAGCATTACTGGGATTGGGGTTTCCCCTAAAGCAGAAACAGCTCAGATCAAAACATCCAAGTCCTTTAAAATATCTGGAAACCTTCCCAGGAAGGATGGGACAAATAAGCCCAGACAGTGAAGACTAAAATAAATACCTAAGTCTTCAACATCCAGACACTGAAGAACATCAACGAGCATCAGTACCATCAAGGGAAACGGAGAAATGGAGATATGTGACCTTTCAGACAATTAATTCAAAATAGCTATGATGAGAAAACTCAAAGAAATTCTTCATTTTTTTTTTTTTTTTTGAGACAGAGTCTCGCTCTGTTGCCCAGGCTGGAGTGCAGTGGTGCGGTCTTGGCTCACTGCAACCTCCACCTCCCAGGTTCAAGTGATTCTCCTGCCTCAGCCTCCTGAGTAGCTGGGATTACAGGTGCCTGCCACCACACCTGACTAATTTTTTTGTATCTTTAGTAGAGACGGGGTTTCACCATGTTGGCCAGGCTGCTCTCGGACTCCTGACCTTGTGATCTGCCCGCCTCAGCTTTCCAAAGCACTGGGATTACAGGCATAAGCCACCGCACCTGGCTGAGAAATTCAAGATAACACAGAGAAGGAATGCAGAATTCTATCAGATCAATGAAGCACACATACAAGATCTAGAAAACAGCTCCAAATGAAAATCTGAGAGTTATTGGCCTTAATTAGGAGATAGAGAAAGAGATAGGGGTAGAAAGTTTATTCAAAGGGATAATAACAGGTAACTTACAAATCTAGAGAAAGATATCAATATCCAAGTATGTGAAGGTTCTCAAACACCAAGCATATTTTAACCAAAAAAGATTACCTCGAAGCATTTAATGCTCAAATGCCCAAAGATCAAGGATAAAGGATGGATTCTAAAAGCAGCAAAATAATAATAATAAAAATCATACAAGGGAGCTCCAAAAAGTTTGGCAACAGACTTTTCAGTGGAAGCCCCACAAGCCAGGAGAGAGTGATACTGTGTGTGTGTATATATATATATATATATATATATAGAGAGAGAGAGAGAGAGAGAGAGAGAGAGAGAGGGAAAGAGCTGAAGGAAAAAAACTTTTACCCTAGAATAGTATATCCAGCAAAAAATATTCATCAAACATGAAAAGTTTGGCAACAGACTTTTCAGTGGAAGCCCCACAAGCCAGGAGAGAGTGATACTGTGTGTATATATATATATATATATATATATATATATAGAGAGAGAGAGAGAGAGAGAGAGAGAGAGAGGGAAAGAGCTGAAGGAAAAAAACTTTTACCCTAGAATAGTATATCCAGCAAAAAATATTCATCAAACATGAAGGAGAAATACTTTCCCAGACAAACAAAAACTGAGAGACTTTATCAATCCCAGAACTGTCCTACAATAAATGCTAAAGGGAGTATTTCAATCACAAATAAAAGGATATTAATGAGTAATGAGTTATCACTTGAAGTTATAAAACTTAGTGGTAATAGGCTGGGCACGGTGGCTCACACCTGTAATCCCAGCACTTTGGGAGGCCGAGGCAGGCGGATCACGAGGTCAGGAGATCGAGACCATCCTGGCTAACATGGTGAAACCCTGTCTCTACTAAAAAATAGAAAAAATTAGCTGGGCGTGGTGGCGGGTGCCTGTAGTCCCAGCTACTTGGGAGGCTGAGGCAGGAGAATGGCAAGAACCTGGGAGGCGGAGCTTGCAGTGAGCCGAGATCACACCACTGCACTCCAGCCTGGGCGACAGAGGGAGACTCCATCTCAAAACAAAAAAACAAAAAAACAAAACAAAACCCCAAAAAACAAAAAAATAAAAAAACAAAAACTTACTGGTAGTAGTAAACACAGAGAGAAACAGAATATTATAACACTGTAATTGTGGTGTGTAAACTACTCTTATCCTAAGTAGAAAGACTAAATGACAAGCCAATCAAAAATAATAACTAAAACAATTTTTCAAGACATAGTATAATCGTATATAAATAGAAACAAAAAGTTAAAAAGTGGGTAGACTAAGTTAAAATGTAGAGTTTTTATTAGTGTTCTTTGTGCTTGTTTGTATGTTTATGCAAACAGTTTTAAGTTGCTATCAGGGTAAAATAATTGGTTATATGATAGGATTTTCAAGCCTCATGGTAATCTGAAACCAAAAACATACAAATGGATACACAAAAAATAAAAAGCAAGAAACTGCATCATACCACCAAAGAAAATCATCTTAACTAGAGGAAGACAGGAAGGAAAGAAAGAAGAGAAGACCACAAAACAATGAGAAAACAAATTTAAAAAATTTAAAAAAATACAGAAATAAGTCCTTACTTATCAATAATAATATTGAATGTAAATTGACCAAACTCTCTAATCAAAAGACATAGAGTGGCTCAATGGATGAAATAATAAGACCCATTGATCTGTTACCTACAAGAAACTCCCTTCTCCTATAAAGACGCACATACACTAAAAATAAAGGCATAGAAAAAGATATTCTATGCCAATGCAAACTAAAAAAGCAGGAGTCACTGTACTTATAGCAAACAAAATAGATTTAAAGAAAAAACTATAAGAAGAAACAAAAAAGATCACTATATAATGATAGTCAATTCAGTAAAAGAATATAACATTTAGAAATATGTATGAACCCAACACTAGACCATCTAGATCAATAAAGCAAATATTATTGAGTTGAAGAGAGAGATTAACTCTAATAAAATAATAGCTGGAGATTTCAACATTCCAGTTTCAGAAATGGACAAATCTTTCACACAGAAATTCAACAAAGACTCATCAGACTTAATCTGCACTATAGACCAAATGAATCTAATAGATATTCTCAGAACATTTCATCCAAGAGCTGCAGAATACATATTCTTTTCTGCAGCACATGAATCATTCTCAAGGATAGACCATATGTTATGTCACAAAGAAAATCTTAAAATATTCAAAAAAATTGAAATAGTATCAAGCATCTTCTCTGACTGCAATGGAATAAAACTAGAACCTAATAATGAAAGGAATTTTAGAAAGTATACAAATACTTGGCAATTAAACAATATGACCACTGAATCAGTGAGGAAATTAAGAAAAAATCTGAAAAATTACTTGGAACAAATGACAATGGAAACACAACCTACCAAAACCTATGGGATATAGCAAAGGCAGTACAAAGAGACCCATTTACAGCTATAAGTGCCTACATCAAAAAAGAAGACAAACTTCAAATAAACAATGTAATAATGCATCTTAAAGAACTAGAAAAGCAAGAGCAAACCAAACCTAAATTTGGTAGGAGAAAAGACATAGTAAAGATCAAAACAGAAATAAATAAAATTGAAATGGGAAAATAAATACAAAAGATCAATGAAACAAAGAATTTTTTTTTTTTTTTTTTTTTTTTAGTTAAACAAAGTTGACAAACCTTTAGCCAGACTAAGGAAAAAGAGAGCAGATCCATATAAAGAAAATCAGAGATGAAGACAGAGACATTTGAACTGCTACTGCAGAAATCCAAAGGATCATTAGTGGCTATTATGAGAAACTATATGCCAATAAACTGGAAAATTTAGAAGAAATGGACAATTTCCTATATATATACAACCTACCAAAATTGAACCAGAAAAAAACTTCAAAACATGAGCAGACCAATAACAAATAATGAGATCAAGGTTGTAATGAAGAGTATCTCAGTAAATAAAAGCCTGGTACATGATGGCTTCATTGCTGAATTCTACCAAACATTTACAGCAGAACTAATACCAATCATCCTCAAGTTATTCTAAAAAATAAAGGAGAAAGAAATACTTCAAAACTACTTCTATGAGTGAGGCCAGTATCACCCTCATACCAAAAACCAGACAAAGATACATTAACAAAAGAAAGCTACAGGCCAATATCTCTAGTGAATATTGATGCAAAAATTCTCAACAAAATACTAGCAAACTAAATTCAACAATACATTAGAAAGAACATTCATCATGACCAACTGGGATTTATCGCTTTGATGCCAGGATGGTTCAACATATACAAATCAATCAATGTGACACATTGTATTAACAGAATGGAAGATTATAACCATATGATCATTTCAATTGTTGCTGAAAAAGCATTTGATAAAATTCAATGTCGCTTCATGTTAAAAACCCTGAAAAAACTGGGTGTAAAAGGAACATACCTCAACATAATAAGAGCCATGCATGACAGACCCACAGCTAGTATCACACTGAATAGGGGAAAACTGAAAGCATTTCCTCTAGGATCTAAAATACAAGACAACCACTTTCACCACCACCACTTTCACTACTGTAATTCAACATAGTATTGGAAGTCTTAGCTACAGCAATCATGTAAGAGAAAGATATAAAGGACATTTGTGATGGTTACTATTGAATGTCAACTTGATTGGATTAAAGGATACAAAGTGTTGCTCCTGAGTGTGTCTGTGAGGGTGTTGCCAAAGGAGATTAACATTTGAGTCAGTGGACTGGGAAAGGCAGACCCACCCTCAATCTGGGTCTGCACAGTCTAGTCAACTGCCAGGAAGCCAGAAGAAAAGCAGATGGAACGTGAAAAGACAGTACTGTCTTAGTCTCCCAGGCTGCATCTTTCTCCCATGCTGGATGCTTCCTGCCCTTGAACATCAAACTCCAGGTTCTTCAGCTTTGGGACTTGGACTGGCATCCTTGCTCCTCAGCTTGCAGACGGCCTATTGTGGGACCTCACCTTGTGATCCTGTCAGTCAATACTCCTTAATAAACTCCCCTTTATATATACATCTATCCTATTAGTTCTGTCTCTCTAGAGAACTCTGACTAATACAACATCCAAATTAGAAAAGAAGTCAAAGTATCTCTGTTTGCAGAAGATGTGATCTTATATTTGAAAAGCCTAAAGGCTCCACAAGAAAACTATTGAAAATGATAAAAAAAAATTCAGTAATGTTGCCAGATACAAAACCAACATACAAAAATCAGTAGCATTTATATATATCAACAGTGAACAATGTGAAAAAGAAATAAAAAGTAATCCCAGTTACAATAGCCACACATAAAATTAAATACCTAGGAACTAACTTAACCAGAAAAGTGAAAAACCTCTGTAATGAAAACTATAAAACACTGGTGAAAGAAATTGAAGAGTACACCAAAAAAATGGAAATACATTCCATGTTCATAGATTTGCAAAATCAATGTTGTTAAAATGTCCATTCTACCCAAAGCAATCTACAGATTCAATGCAGTCCCTATCAGAGTACAAACAGTATTCTTCACAGAATTAGAAAAAAACAATCCTAGAATTTATATGGAACACTGAAGACCCAGAATAGCCAAAGCTATCCCAAGCAAAAAGAAAAAAAATAGAGGAATTGCATGAGCTGACTTCAAATTATACTACAGAGATATAGTAAAAAAACAAAAAACAAGGTACTGACATAAAAACAGATACATTCATCAATGGAACAGAATAGAGAACTCAGAAACGAATCCACACACCTGCAGCAAACTCATGGTCCACAAATTTGCCAAGAACATACTCTTGGGAAAAGACAGTATCTTCAAAGAGTGGTGGTGGGAAAACTAGGTATCCACATGCAGAAGAATGATACTAGACCATTATCTCTTGCCTTGGGCAAAGTCAAACCAAATAGGTTAGATACTTAAATCTAAGACCTCAAATCATGAAACTACATTGAGAAAACTCTCAAGACATTGATCTGGGCAAAAATTTCTTGAGCAATACCTCCACAAACACAGGAAACTAAAGCAAAAATGGACAAATGGATCACGTCAAGTTACGAAGCTTCTGCACAGCAAAGGATACAATCAACAAAGTGAAGAGACAACTCACAGAATGGGAGAAAATATTTGCAAACTACCCCTGTGTCAAGTGATTAATAACCATAATATATAAGGAACTTAAACTACTATATGGGAAAAAAATCTCAAAATCTGATCAAAAGATGGGCAAAATGTTTGAATAGACATTTCTCAAAAGAAGACGTACAAATGGCAACCATGTATATGGTAAGGTGCTCAACATCATTGATCATCACTGAAATTCAAATCAAAACTACTATGAGATCTCATCTTACCCCAGTTAAAATAGCTTATATCCAAAAGACAGGCAATAACAAATGCTGGCAAGGATATGGAGAAAAGGGAACCCTCGTACACTGTTGGTGGGAATGTAAATTAGTACAGCCATTATAAAGAACATTTAGGAGGTTCCTCAAAAAAGCTAAAAATTGAGCTACCGTATGATCCAACAATCCCAATGCTGGGTATGTACCCAAAAGAAAGGAAATCAGTGTATCAACAAGATACTTGCTCTCCCATGTTTAATGTAGCACTACCCACAATAGCCAAGATTTGGAAGCAACAGATGAATGAATAAAGAAAATGTGGTACATATACACAAAGGAGTACTATTCAGTTATAAGAAAGAATGAGATCCTGTCATTTGCAACAACATGAATGGAACTGGAGATCATTATTTTAAGTGAAATAAGCCCGGAACAGAAAAATAAACATCACATGTTTTCACTTATTTGTGGGATCTAAATATCAAAACAATTGAATTAATGGACAGAGAGAGTAGAAGGATGGTTACTGGATGCTGGGAAGTGTAGTGGTGGAGGGGCTGGGAGAGATGGGTATATTTAATGGGTTCAGAAAAGTAGAAAGAATGAATAAGACCGACTATTTGATAGCACAACAGGGTGACTATATTCAATAATATCTGTACATTTTAAAATAACTTAAAGAGTATAATTGGATTGTTTGCGACTCAATGGAAAAATGCATGAGGGATGGATACCCCATTCTTCATGATGTGCTTATTTCACTTTCCATGCTTGTATCAATACATCTCATGTACCCCATAAGTGTATATACCTACTGTGTACCCACAGAAATTTAAAAAAAAAATTAAAACCACCCCTACTTCAAAAGTCAATTACAGCTGGGTGCGGTGGCTCACGCCCATAATCTCAGCACTTTGGGAAGCTGAGGTGGGTGGATCACCTGAGGTCAGGAGTTTGAGACCAGCCTTACCAACATGGTGAAACTTCATCTCTACTAAAAATACCAAAATTAGCTGGGCGTGGTGGCGTGCGCCTGTAATCCCAGCTACCCAGCAGGCTGAGGCAGGAGAATTGCTTGAACCTGGGAGGTGGAGGTTGCAGTGAACTGAGATTGCACCATTGTACTCCAGCCTGGGCAACAAGAGTGAAACTGTCTCAAAAAACAAAGAAACAAACAAGCAAAATATCACAAACCCATGTTGTCACCTGTGCTTTTGACCAACTGGCTATAAATTAGAGTTTACTCCTGGCACTCCTCAGGTTTGATTATTTGCTACAGAGGCTCACAGAACTCAGGAAAGCACTTTATTATTACTCATTTATTATAAAATAATACAACTCAGTAACAGCCACTTGGAAGAGATGCGTGAGACAAGTGTCAACAAAAAGTCAAACTCTGTAAAATATTTGAAAAGATTTATTCTGAGCCAAATATGAGTGACCAATGGCCCATGACCCAGCCCTCAGGAGATCGTGAGAACATGTGCCCTAGGTGGCTAGACTACAACTTGGTTTTATACATTTTAGGGAGACATAAAACATCAATAAATGTAAGATATACATTGATTTGTTCTGGAAAGGTGGGGCAACTGGTAGCGGGGTCTTCCAGATCATAGGTGGATTCAAAGGTTTTCTAATTGGCAACTGGTTGAAAGAGTTATTATCTAAAGATCTAGAATCAATATGTCTGGGATACAGTAACATAATGATTGTGGAAACCAATGTTTTATCATGCAGATAAAGCTTCTAGGTAGCTGACTTCAGAGATGATAGATTGCAAATGTTTCTTATAGTCTGTTTTATCAGTCTTAATGTCTGTGTTGATATTAATGCTGGCCAGCTTGGCCTGAATTTTAAAAGGGAGGATGGGATAATGAGACATATCAGACTCCCCCTTTCCATCATGACCTGAACTAGTTTTTCAGGTTAACTTTGGAATGCCCTTCACCAAGAGGAGGTGTCTATTCAGATGGTTTCTGGGCTTAGAATTTTATCTTTGGTTTATACAAGCTATGTGGGAGGGGCCACAGAGCTCCCATTCCCTCTCTGGGGTGGCCACTCTTCCAGAACCCTCATGTGCTCGTCAGTTGGGAAGGTCTCTGAGCTCTGTCCATTTGAGTTTTTGTAGAAGCTTCATTAGGTAGACATGATTGATTAAATCATTGGCAACTGGTGATCAACTTAACCTTCAGCCTCTCTCCCCTCCCTGAATTCAGGGGGTGGGGCTGAAAGTTTTAACCCTCTAATCATCTATTTGTTTCCCCTAGCAACCAGATGCCCAGCCTGAGTTTATCCAGGAGCCCCAGCCATTAGTCATTTCACTAGCATATTAAAAGACACCACTTCAGAGATTCCAGGGGTTTTAGGAACTGCCTACCTGGAAATAGGACTAAGACCGAAATACATATTTTTTGTTGTAGCACAATATCACAGGGTTGGGGCATAGGGCTGACAGGCAAATGACTCTCTCTTTCTACTTTTCCCTCTCTGCCCTCTGTATCTCATTAATTAATTCTGTATCAGGGAGCAGGAATGAAGACAGACTGAGGCAATGAAAAGTAGGCTGGAAGCCTGCTGTGACATCAGCCAAGAGGTAGCAATCCTGACCCTCACTGTTGGGGCTTGTGGAAGTCTCCCTTCTCCAGTTTTTCCTGGCCTGGCCAGGAGAAGGAAGGAAGCAGGAACACTAAACTTGGGGAAAGTAAGAGATGTGATGCTTGCCTCAGGGGACCAGAAAAGAGTGTGTCTGCAGGAATGTGAGGATACTAGAGCACCATTTCCTCAGACACCACTGTCTCCCATACACCCTACCCTCCTTTTCCCAAAGCTACTCCCAGCACCACTCCTAGGTATTGTTCCCCCTAAAATAGTTTACTTATATTCATCTTGAAAAAATACCTTACAATATATAGCAAAAAATTCTATGACAAAAAATTTAAACATTAAATTCTAAATTTATCCTTTGGTCTTCCAGTGCATTTTCAGAACATCCTGTTACTGTTACCCTAGTTGCTCTAGGGTTAGCTGTCATGGTAGAACTATCCTTTAATGTTTAAAAGGATAATAGTTGATTGAGCACTCACCGCTATGTAATATTTGATAAACACCAATTAAAAAGGGCTTGTGTCTAAAGAGAATGTTTTCCAGAATTACTTTTATTGTGGAAAACTTTTTAAAGAAACTTCTCTATTATTACCTCCATAGGAACAGTATTTTCTCCAATGTCAGAGGAGGGAACACATTTTATGTACACATTGATTACAATTGTACTGACAATGTAGTGTTCCACATTGTAGGTTTTTATGTGGGCCTGTATGCATGAAAATGAACCTTCCTTTCATGGAATGCAATGTTTTTTTAACAAGGCCTGTTTGAGGCAAAAAAAAAAAAAAAAAAAAAAACCAAACCAAAACAAAACAGTGTTTGACAGTCAGGAATATCCTTATGTGACACGTGTGAACATTACTGAGGCTCCAGGATTGTTTTCTCACGCCAAAAGAACAATCTGGTTGTAAAAATCAAACATCAACTCTCTTGTCAAAAACTAGGCAGAAGGATGCCGTGAAGTCAGCTAAAAGTAGATGTGATAAAACAATTAGAAGATATTAAGTATAGTGCAAAGAACATGGGTTTGAATGCCACCTATGATATATACTAATTATATGACCTTACACATGTTATTTAATTACTCTGAAGTTCAGTTTCCTCATCTAAAAAGTAAAGAACATGATTTCATATACTTCACAGAGCTCATGTGGAGTTCAAATAAGATAATTTGCATAAATGGTTTTGCTGTGATGTTGAGAATTCTTGTTTGCAAATGAAAGACTCTTAAACCAAAGTAACCAAAAACAAGGGAGTATATTGATTCAAATGACTTGAATGGGAGGAAAAGGGCAAAATTACTACAGGATCAACTGGATCTAATATTTTAAATAATGTTATTAGGCCTTTCCTCTCTCTCTCTCTCTCTATTTTTTTCTTTTGTTTTTTATATCATTACTAATCAGATTCATGCCATATTGTGAAATATATGGCCCTTGACAGCCTTAGGAGGATGACCATATTTTCAGAAGAAAAAACATGGCCTATCCCTCTGTGAATCCATATCTATCCATATAAAATACTCTGATCACTTATACTCTAGACCAATATTGTTTCCCAGGGTGTTGAATACCATAGTTGGCTAGACTGGATCATGTACATATGATTTTGGAAGAATAGAGAGGGCCTCATATTTTTCACATCTGTGATAATTGTATGGCACAATGATTCTTAACTGGCTAAATCTTAGAAATGCCTGGGAAACTTTCTATTAAAAAAACAGAGATTCCTGGTTGTAGCCATGAAATCAAATGAAAAGAAGGGGCAACAAAAGTTGAAGATCACAAAAATAGTATGAATATGAGAGAAGTAGCTCCCAAAAGGAAAAAAAAGTCTTTTTGTTTTTCTCTTTTTTTTTTTCCAGAAGAAAAAGGGTGGTGGTAAGCAACAAAAAACAGATGTTCACTTCAAGTGTTCAGTGCAGTGTGTGGTATATCCCCAAACCTGAAATATTAATTATTATTATTAACATTAAAAAATAGAAAAATACAGTGTTATTATCTAAAATGCTAGTGTGTGCCATGTGCCTTCCATATGTGAACAGTAACTGTATGGCTAATAGAAAGGAAAAAAATAGTGATTTTGAGCAAAGAGGGAGGTTGAAAAGACTGTAGATGATGAATGCAAGGCATGTATATTTATGAGTGTTTGTATTTATTTTTAAAAACATAAAAATTTAGAAAATTGCATATGTTAAACAGATATTTATTGACAATTTGCTATGTGCCAGATATTGTTTAAGGTGCTGTGGGTATATTCGTGAATAGAACAGGAATAAAAAAATCCCTATCCTGTGGAGTTTACTTTCTAGTGAATATAGATATGCAATAAACTAACAACAAAAATAGACAATATAGTATGTCATGTGGTGATAAGTGCTATAAAGAACAAAGAAGAACAGGGAGGTGCTAGGTAGGAGGTGGTGATATTGTTCTAATTTCACATGGATTGGCCTGGAAGGGTGTCATTGAGGTGACCTTTGAGCAGAACCTGAGAGAAGTTAGGAGACCGCCTATATTCACAGTTGGAGAATGAGTGTTCTAGGCCAAAAGAACAAAAACAAGGAAGCCAGGTCCATCAGAGAAAAGTAAATGAGAGAGACAGTAATTGGACATGAGATCATGGAGGTAGAGAGATATCAGACTATGTAAAGCCTTATAGACAAGACATTGGAAAACTTTTTCTCTAAAGAGGATAGGCAGCAAATAATTTAGCCTTTGTGCCCCAAAAGGCAAAATTTGGGATATTATATAGGTACTTACGTACAAAAGAGAAAACATACATTTCACAATTTTTTATTGATAAAACTCAGTTGTTAGTTGTCATCAAAAAAGTTTCCACAGTATAACATATATATTTTTTGTTGAGACAGAATTTTACTCTGTCACCCAGGCTAGAGTGCAGTGGCATCATCTCAGCTCACTGCAACCTCTGCCTCCCAGGTTCAAGTAATTCTCCTGCCTCAGCCTCCTGTGTAGCTGGGATTACAGGTGCCTGCCACCACGTCCAGCTAATTTTTGTATTATTAGTAGAGACAGGATTTCACCATGTTGGCCAGGCTGGTCTGGAACTCCTGATCTCAGGTGATCCTCCTGCCTCAGCCTCCCAAAGTTCTGGGATTACAGGCATGAGCCACCTCGCCCCAGCCTACATAGTATAACTTTCTAGTAATCCCAGCTACTCAGGAGGCTGAGGCAAGAGAATCGTTTGAACCTGGGAGGCAGAGGTTGCGGTGAACCGAGATCACACCATTGCACTCCAGCCTGGGCAATGAGAGTGAAACTCTGTCTAAAAAAAAAAATAATAATACTAAATGTTTCTTTGCCTTGTAATTATAGGTTGAATTCATTAAGACACATTATCAAGTATGCAGCAAAAGCTAATTTCCAAAACTTTTCAGTGTTATAATATAGTGATTGAAATAGTGGTTTTCTTATTTGGACAAATTTTACTATTAACCCAGAGCTCAAAAAACTCATAACTATATGACTGCCAAGTCGTTTAACCATTTGCTATCTAGTAGAACAAGTCAGGATATTCAGCTTTTAATTCTGACAATGGTTCAGTACATAAGAGTGATTGGAATTTACCATTGACACTGATTCAATAACACATGACAGATTCCAATATTTTTCACAATGGACCTGCTGTTGAATAATACATTGAGGCTTTAAACACTTTGTAATTTCATGAGCTTTAAAAATTTGTTCAACTAATTCTTTTTCTGCTCAACACATATTTTTACCACCCTCGATTGTATCATATCTTAGTGGATTCCACTTCAGGTCATACTGAATGAGTACTTTCTCAACTTCTTGCTTGTTCCATGCAGACTGTTTATACAGGTTGATCTTTCAGCCACTTTAAACTCGGTATTTCTTTCTAAAATAAATAACAACTGAGAAGCGTTAGTAACATTTGTTGGTGCATCAAAGCCCAGGGGAAAACCACTTTAAATTTTTTACTTTCTTTTTTCATTGATTATTGATAGCAACCAATGTCCAAAACTTTTAAAGAAACCCTTTTTACTGAAGAGCTGCAATCAAACATAGTTTATTTACTATCAGTAAATGGCTTTCCTTGCTTTGAGTACCACATGAGCCACTCAGAAACTTACTTTGGTAGCAGTCTCATTTTCATTTTTTATTTTTGTGACGAAAGCTGTGAAAAAATATTTCCCTTAAAATTGTTTTTATCATTGTTGCTTTGCTCTGAGTTGGGAATAATGGGATGAGAACTTAGTTATGCCAATATGTGTTGTGTTCTTTTAGCACAGCTCTATTGTCATTGAAAAATAAACATGACACTTTGCCATCTAACTCAATAACAAAAGAACTCATACTTCATTGTGCCTTAAAAGGATGATATTCAAAGTTTATAAAAAATATTTTCCTTACTTCTGCATAATGGATATTCAGTGGTAATAAAAATAAATACAAAATGTATGCATGGTGGAACATGTGACATTAGAAATACACCCAAGTTGCCACTGAATCACTGTGATTTGTAAAGCACTGAGTAGGAGTATAAAACAATGAAAGCACTACATGTGATTTCTGTTGCAATTACTGAAAACTGCTATAAAAGCAGCCATAAGAAATACATAAATAAATTATGGTGCCAATAAAACTTTATTTATGAACATTGGAATTTAAGTTTTTTTTATTTTTTGAGACAGGGTCTCACTCTGTCACCCAGGCTGGAGCGCAGTGGTGCAATCCCAGCTCACTGCAACCCAGACTCCCAGCTCAGGTGATCCTCCAGCCTCAGCCTCCCGAGTAGCTGGGACTACAGCTGCATGCCACCAGGCCCAGCTAATTTTTGTATTTTTTGTACAGATGGGGTTTTGCCATGTTGCCCAGTCTGGTCTCGAACTCCTGAGCTCAAACAATCCAACCGCCTTGGCCTCCCAAAGTACTGAGATTATAGGCCTGAGCCACCATGCCCAGCCCTGAAACTTGATTTGTATATAATTTTTACATGTCACAAGATATTCTTCTTCTGTTTTTGTTTTCAACCTTTTCAAAATGTAAAAAAATAAAATTGAGTTTGTGGGCCATGCTAAAACAAGCTACGGTTCAGATTTGTCCCATGAGTCTTAGTTTGCCATCTCTTGTTATAGACTGTAGTAATGACCTTAATTGTGATTGAAATGAGAGGTCATTGAATGGATTGAGACAGGAGTGACATGGTTAGACCTATATTTTAAAACAATAACTTTGAAGCATAGGGAGAAAAAACCTGGGAGTGATTGTTTTAAAATTATTGTTCAGTTTTTTTCTACCCACACTGACAATTTACTAATGTAGACAATGATGGAATTAATAAGAATAGTTGGGAAGGTATTGTAACAACCCAAGAGAGAGATGATGGTATCTTAGAAAAGAATGGTAGCAGAAGAGCTGGTGATTAGTGGTTAGGTTCTGGAGACATACAGAAGAAAAGATTTGGTATCAGATGATGTCAAGCGACCCTCATTGCTGATGGCACTCTGAGCTAGGTCTACTTTCTGCTATTTCTTGCTTCAACTCTCTCTTAATTGAAATGAAGAAACAATCAAGATTGGCTCTAAGCAAATTTATGAATACAGCACAATTTCCCTTCAGCACTAACCTCTCCCTTTCCAAATGAACTACCCTGATGCCCAGCATCTCAGTGACCCACCTGTACTCTGAAGGCTGTCTTCTCCTACCCACCACTACTTCTACCTTTTGCTTGTCATTTCTGTGCTTCTCCCTGAAACTTTCTGATACTCAAAACAAGAAGGAAAGACAAAGTTTAAAAACAAAGATATTTGTGAGCAGGAGCTAAAGACATTGCCCTCAAATCTCACCAACCTGGTAGCTTCCCATTCAACTTACTTAGAGGGTTGGCAGACATGAATGAAATAGTCCTTATATCCAGTATTGAAAGGGAAGCCAGCTCGAGAAGAATAGGAGAATTTCAGAGAATTGAGTGAGGCCAAGGCACTAATCACTGAGAAAGATATGTCTAACTGACTCTGAAAGAAGTAAGAGAAATTCCTTAATGGCAATACCGAATCAACACACACCATCCCCTTCATTCATAGCCTGAGAGAATAGCTTGACTACAATAGTCAAAAGTTATAGTTAAAACTTTTAATTAAAAAAATTATTTCATTTTTACAGCTTTAGGGAGGTATGTGAAATAAACTTCAAGTATTAAAATTGTACATTTGATAAGTTTTGACTTATGTATACCACCCATGAAACCATCATCACAATCAAAATGAAGTACAAATATATCACACCCAAGAGTATCCTCATGCCTCTTTGTAATCTTTTCCTCCTTGCTCCCTTAACTGTAGGCTACCACTGATCTGCCTTTTGTCATTATAGATTAGTAGAAATTCTCTGGAATTTCAAATGAATGACTTTATACATTATGTACTCTTTCTTGTCTGACTTTTTTGCTATGTTTTTGCTTTAGCTGCTGAGCAATATTCAACTATATGAATGTACCACAAGTTGTTTATCCATTTACATATTGATGGACAGTTGGGTTGTTTCTTTTTTCTTGTTTGTTTTGCTATTATGAATGAGGCTGCTATGAATATTCATATACAAGTCTTTATGCAGATATGTGCTTTCTCTTTAGACTACCTAAGAGTAGAATGGCTGGATTATTTGATAACTATATGTTTAACTTTTTAGAGAAACTGCTAATCTATGTGTAGTAGGTTGCTTGATGGCTCCCAAAAAAAAGATGTTCATATCCTAACCTCTGGAATCTGTGAAGATGACTGTATTTGGTAAAAAAAAAAAAAAAAAAATGCCCTTTTGAAATAAATATTTTTAAATTAGAGGCAATTGGGAAGAAGCAGTTATAGAAAGGGCAGTCTGCGTTGCTGTTTTTAACGTAATGGCAGGCTATAAAAACTCCTTTGAAAAACATGAACAGGGGCTTCTGCCCCTCCTTTCTGCCTAAAGGCAGGATGTAAATTCTTTCTTTACTAAAGAAGTCACTGGGCTTGTGTCAGCTCAGAAACAGTGCCAGCTGGGCCAGAGGAATCTGGGAGCAAACTTCACTACCTTCCTACAGTTCTCCCACCTTTGCAAGCCTGAAGCTTTGTCTTGTTACTATGCTAAAATGTATTGTCCTTTGTTAAAACACTGTTTAAGCAAGGCCCCTAACCCACTGCTATGAAAGAGTTACTTTCCAGAGATCCTTTTGAATTGAGATTTCTCCCGCATGATGTGCACTGTGTGTGTATATAAAATTGCTTGTTTTTCTCTTGTTAATCTGTCATTTATTAATAGGAAATCTGTCCAACTATGAGATTATGAGGGTTGCAAAAAAACATACTTTCTCCCCTTCAAGATCATTTTAGATTATACAGATAAGCCCTAAATCCCATGACAAGTATTTTTGTAAGAGATAGAAGAGGAGAAGACAGACACAGAGGAGAAGACCACGTGAACAAAAAGGCGGAGGTTTGGATTATGCTGCCACAAGCCAAGAATGCTTGAATCTAGAATGCCAGAATCTAGAAGAGGTAAGGAAAGGTTTTCCCCTACAGCCATTAGATGGAGAGCTATGGTTGCTGGCTTCTTGATTTCAGACTTCTGGTCTCCAGAATTGTGAAATAATAAATTTGTATTTCCTTTTTAGACTACCAAATTTGTGACACTTTGTTATGGCATGCCTAAAAAACTAATATATGTTGTTTTATAAAGTGGCTGTAGTATTATACATTATCATCATCAATGTATGGGAGGCCCAGGGTTTTTATATTTTTGAGTTTTACATTTAAGTCTTTAATCCACCTTAAGTTAATTTATGTATGTGATGTAAGGAAGGGGTTCAGTTTCAGTCTTCTGCATATGGCTAGCCAGTTGTCCAAACACCATGTATTGAATAGGGAACCCTTTCCCCATTGCTTATTTTTGTCTAGTTTGTCAAAGATCAGATAGTTGTAGGTGTGCAGTCTTATTTTTGGATTCTCTATTCTGTTCCGTTGGTTTCTGTTTCTGTTTCTGTACCTGTACCATGCTCTTTTGGTTACTGTAGCTCTGTAATATTGTTTGAAGTTGCGTATCAAGATGTCTTCAGCTTTGTTCTTTTTCCTCAGGACTCCCTTGGCTATTTGGCTCTTTTTTGGTTCCATATGAATTTTAAAATACTTTTCTCTAGTTCTGTGAAGAATCTCAATGGTAGTTTAATAAGAGTAGCATTGAATCTATAAATTGCTTTGGGTAGTATGGCCATTTTTATGATATTGATTCTTCCTATCCATGAGCATGGAATATTTTTCCATTTGTTTGTGTCATCTCTGATTTCTTTGAGCAGTGGTTTGTAGTTCTCCTTGTAGAGATCTTTCACCTCCCTGGTTAGCTGTATTCCTAGGTATTTTATTCTTTTTGTGGCAACTGTGGATGGGAATGCATTCCTGATTTGGGATTTGGCTCTCAGCTTAATTGTTGTTGGTGTATAGGAATGCTAGCGATTTTTGCACATTGATTTTGTATCCTGAGACTTTGCTGTAGTTGCTTATCAGCTTACAAAGCTTTTAGGCTAAGACTAAAATATCTATTTTCTAGATATAGGATCATGTTGTCTGTAAACAGGGATAGTTTGACTTCCTCTCTTCCCATTTGGATACGCTTTATTTCTTTTTATTGCCTTATTGCCCTGGCCAGGACTTCCAGTGCTATGTTGAGTAGGAATGTTGAGAGAGGGCATCCTTGTCTTATTCTGGTTTTCAAGGGGAAAGCTTCGAGCTTTTCCCCATTCAGTGTGATGTTGGCTGTGGGTCAGGTTTAGTCAGGGTTCTCTAAAGGGACCGAACTAATATGATATATGTATATATGAAGGGAAGTATATTAGGAGAATTGACTCTCATGATAAAAAGGTGAAGTTTCACAATAGGTAATCTGCAAACTGAGGAGCAAGAAAGCCAGTCTGAGTCCCAAAACCTCAAAAGTACGGAAGCCGACATTGCAGCCTTCAGTCTGTGGCCAAAGGCCTGAGAGCTCTTGGCCAACCACTGGGGTAAATCCAAGAATCCAAAAGCTGAAGAACTTGGAATCTGATATTGGAGGGCAGGAAGCATCCAGCAAGGGGAAAAGATAAAGGCTGGAAGACTCGGCAAGTCAGCTTCTCCCACCTTCTTCTGGCTGCTTTATTCTAACCACACTGGCAGTTGAATGGATGGTGCCCACCCACAGTGAGGGTGAGTCTGTTTCTCCCAGTGCACTGACTAAAATGTTAATCTCCTTTGGCAACACCCTCACAAACACATCCAGGAACAATACTTTGCATCCTTCAATCCAATCAAGTTGACACTTAACATTAACCATCACACCCTCCCTCAAGGGTGTTGGTGAGTGGGTTCTCCTTTATTAGTTTCCAGGAGAGCTGGTTCTTAAAAAGATCCTGGCACCTCCTCCTCTCTCTCTTACTGCCTCTCTTGTCATGTGATCTTTGTACATGCTGGCTCCCCTTGCCTTCTGCCATGAGTGGTAGTAGCCTGAGGCCCTCACCAGATGCCCAGTCTTGAACCTTTCAGCCAGCAGAACTCTGAGCTAAATAAATCACTTTTCTTTATGAATTACCCAAACTCTGGTATTCCTTTATAGCAACACTAAATAGACTAAGACAGCAAGTAAGACTGGTTGACTGATCAGAGTGAAGACAAGGGAGACAGAAGAAAATTAGGAAATGGAAGATAAATTATGTAGTGGGAAAAGTATTAAATTCAGAGTTGAAAATCATGAGTTGTCCTAAAAGTTCTGTGTGACTCTTGACAATTCATTTCAACTATAAGTAACTCTTTCCCCATGTAACTTCCATGTAACATAAGGAGAATGGGTGAGATGGTATACTATGTTCCTTCCAGTTCCAAAGTTCTGTGATTCCAAGCATGTGAATAATGTGAATAAATGTAGGTATAATTGAAAATAGAAAATATATACTAAATAAGCCACAAACTGTTGATATTTCAGATGAGAGAGACATTGGTTTTGTCTGAGCGTATCTGAAAGTCTTTATAGAGAAGAAAGCATTCTGAATAAATTAATGAAAGTCAGTACAGGATATGTAGGAGTTGGATGAAAGGGAATTCTAGGAGAATAATGTTATGTATAATTAATCTGCTGTTATTATCAAACAATAATCAGTAAACAGTTAATATAACACATTTAATGATGCACATTATTTATAAATATTAAAATGGTTCTTTTTGAGTGTCAGTTATGGGACTGTGTTTTACACACTTTGCTCATCTATAAACTCAAGATAATTATGCCTACCTTTTGAGGATTCAAATATAAAAACATAATGCTTAGAAGGAGATTAAATAACTTACCTGAGGTTATTTAATTAGTAAGAGACAGAAATGATATTTACAACCATGTTTAGGTGACTACAAAATATATTATCTTTCTGCTTTATTATGACTTCTTACATTGTGCTTCATAGTAATTAGACCTAAAATATGTAGCAGTTTAGGTACATGTCTAAAATTTATTTGTCACACAGGTTAACCACCTTTTGACTTTTTCTTCTTTAACTTAGAAATACACAAAATCTCATCACAAGTCAGCATTAACAAAAGAAATTTGTGATCAACTTTAATGTTAGGGAATACTAACTTTGAACCACAATTAAGTGACTGTTATCTCCCCTTCCTCAAAACAATTCCATTCTTCTCATCAAAGTTCCCATAGAAATACAGGGTCACAGAGTGGTGATTTGCCTATGAAACAGCAATAGCATGTTCATTATACTGCAGAGTGGTAAATATACCCAGTATGGGAATAATAGAATAAGAGAAGGAGAATGGGAATTTGGGAACAGAAGTATGGAAATAGGGCAGTTAAGAGAGGATCCAGTAGAAAGGACCAGCCTAGATCCCTTTTTATTTTCTTTCTTCCTTTTGTTACCCCTGAACACTCTACCACCAACCCCACCAAGTCAGCTGTAATCATGGCTGTAATACAGGGGTATACTATAGATCTGGGGACAGCAAACCACAGTCAGTGGAACAAATCCAGCCTGCCACCAGTTTGTGTTTAATCCATGGACTAAGAATAGCTCTCATATTGTTTTAAACAGTTGAAAAAAATCAAAAGAAGTATATTTTGTGACATGAAAATTCTGTGAAATTTAAATTTTAGTACCATAAATAAAGTTTTATTAGAACATAGCCATACTCACTCATTCATTCTCAATGGAGGATTTTGTGCTACAACAGCAGAGTTCAGTAGTTGTGACAGATTGTATATGACACGCTTATCATTTCTCACTGCTACTATAAATCTCAGTAATGCAGTTATCAGCATTTTTAATACCACATGTATCATCTATCTGTGTGAAAAGACATTTTCAAAGATGAAAAATGTAAAATCTCATTACAGATTAGCATTAACAAATAAAATTTGCAATTAATTTTAATAATAGGGAACATTGAATCCCAATTAAGTGAGGTGTTGCCTCTCCTTCTCTCAAAAAAGAATTCCATTCTTTTTATTAGGAGGCTTGTATGACAAAAAAAGTTCTTAATTATTATTTTTTTAATAGAAATTATAGGGAAATGTATTTTTCCTTTTTTATATAAGTACATTCATAATATCCTCAATATTACCTTTTGGCCTACAAAACTTAAAATGTTTACTATCTGCCCCTTTATAGAAAAATGTTTGCTGACTTCTGCCCTAGAGTACTGAGGAACTTTCTGAGGAAAAGATTCCAGAAATATTGGAAATAATTCTGTAGTAAGCAAGCCATTAATAAAGATTTTGTATTTGTTTTGTGTGTTTCCTTTTTCTTTCACTAAAATAGTAGGAATAATGTGCTGTAAATTTTAAATAACTCAAGTTATTTTTTCTATTGTCAAGCAATAGCAAAAGGATGTTAGGAATTCAAATATATATCATTAAAAGTTGGGAGGAAATGCCTATAATTGAAGCATTCTTGGAGAATATTTTAAAAAATAACAACAACAAGAAAACAAAGCAAAAAAACTTTTCCCTCCATGCTCAGATTTTTATGTGGATTTTGTCAGTAAAAAGAAGGTCAGCTTTCATTTTACATGGTGACTTGATACATTCTGTTTTAAATACAAAATTATATTTTATTTAAATAATGCTATAGATAGGAATGTCTGAGGCACATTTAAGATATTACTTGGAGTGCCAGAACAAGCAGAGAGTTAGGGATGAAATGGATCTCCATGAAAGTCACATAGAGATCACATAGACAGTGACAAGTCAGAATGGAAATAACATAGGGCTGTCCCCATTTGTCACATATCTATAAACTAAAGCAAGCTTGTCTAGAATGATAGATTCATGGTTTCATTCTTTTTTTTTTTTTTTTTTTGAGACAGATTCCTGCTCTGTCGCCCAGGCTGGAGTGCAGCGGCATGATCTTGGCTTACTGAAATGTCCACCTCCCGGGTTTAAGTGATTCTCCTGCCTCAGCCTCCCGAGTAGCTGGGATTACAGGCACATGCCACCATGCCCAGATAATTTTTGTATTTTTAGTAGAGACGGAGGTCTCACCATGTTGGCCAAGCTGGTCTCGAACTCCTGACCTTGAATGATCCACTTGCCTCAGCCTCCCAAGTTCTGGGATTACAGGCGTGAGCTACTGCCCTGGCCTCATTCACTTTTATTTAAGTTATGTGGCTGGAACTGCCCTGAGTACAGAGAGGGGAAGGAAAATATGATCAATACCTTTAATGATCTCACATTCTAGAGTGAGATTACAAAAAAATGGAATAAGTGATGGTATATCTATTCAGTAGTTATTTGTTAAAAAAAAGAATTAGCATACAATATAATGAAAAAAGAAAGAAGGTTCTACTAGCTCTATGTTCGCGTTGTTAGAAAAGGCTTCATAGAAAAAATAGCGTTTTGGCTGGTTTTTAGAGATCAGTAGAAATCATTCAGAAAAAAAGAGGAAAAATGGAATTACAGTCAGGGAATACAAAGTGTACAAAAATACAGAACCACAAAAGAACACGTTTTTCCTATTTTCTGGAAAAAAGTACTGTATGTCTAGAGCATTTGTTACTTTCTGATTATGAATGATTAGGGAAGAAATGATAAAGGTGAAAATAGAAGTGCTTCTTTCACTTAGGGAAAGATTGAAAAATACTTTTTTTATACTCCAACCATGCGTAAAATTTATTATTTCTCTCATTGGAAGAATAGATAGTAAAAGAGGACTTTAAGTGGAAAGACAACTTTATAGCTATTTAAAGATCAACATACATTTCTAAGAGTGGTGACTTTCTAGAAACACTGAACTTTACAATGCTTCTTTATTCTAGTGATTATTATTTTGAAACATTTATAAATTTCATATGTATAACACACTTTCCAGCAAATTTTTCCAATTTAAAACTGTGATATTTGTTGGAAGTATTTATGGTCTCACTTTATTAGATGAGAAAGCAGAGGCCCATAGAGTTTAATTGAATTACTTCAAAGGGTTTAATGTAACTCGAAAGAGAGATTTTTGTCCCTCAGAACCAAACCTCAGCTCATTTGCCATTGTCAACCACACCCCTTTGAATCACCTTTAAAATCATTAACTTTTTTTTGGAAATAGTCTCAATGGCTTACACCATCTGGACAGGGCAAATCAATTCAGATGAAATTAATTTGGAGATGTGTTTCAACTCAGTGGTACTGTGTTCTATTTGAAGCTATTTCTTGCTAATGAGTCTTTCCAGACCCTCAGCTAAAATCACATGCAAGTTTTTATTTGTAGATGTCATTTTCTTAGATTTTGACAGCAGAGGAGAGAGAAGTAAGTAGAGCACTGTGTTCATGACTGTAACTGAATCTTAGCTGTGGAGAGAAGAGAGTGACACTGACAAACAGCCCCAGGTGACAGTGAGAGACATTCATGGCCTCAGGTTATCAGCAAGTTTTATAGAACCTTTACCATTTTAGACTCTAGTGAGGCTGACGGCTTGCTTGTATCTGTAATCCCCATGTCTCCAGTTAATCTTCAGTTAGAAGTCATTCTCCCAGTCTTAAGGAAATAATGAAAATTAAAAAGGAAGAAATTAAAATGGAAGCAATATTGCATCCTGAATTCTAGATCTGAAAGGCTACAGTGGATATAGGCATGAACACAAAACAGTTTGAGAATATTCACAGCTGTTCATTTGTGGCTAATTATGCAAAACAAGTATCACTGACTTCCAATGAATTAAAAGATTTAGTGAATTTATTGTTTTTTTTGAACCCCAAAAAAGAGTCATGGTGGGGAGAATTTCTCCAACCATTTGTCCTAAGTTACTCTACAGTTCAAATTCATACAACCCTCTTTTTTTTTTTCAACTAACTCATTCCCATTGATATGTAAGCTTTATCAGGACAAGGATAAATATTAACAACATAATTTTTGGAGATTTCTGTTTTGTAGACTGATGCATCCTTAGTGGTTAGTACAATGCCTAGAATGTAAGCACTCAATAAATCTTAGCTATTTTTGGAAAGTTCCCCAAATCCTAATTGTTGTAGAACTGGCATGTCTCATATTTTTCAATTACTGTTTTCTGTCTCAGAGATTTGCAAAGTGTGTTGTGTTAGTCCATCCTCATGCTTCTAATAAAGACATACCTGAGACTGGGTAATTTGTAAAGGAAAGAGGTTTATTTGACTTATAGTTCAGCATGGCTGGGGAAGGGGAAGCAGTCATGTCCTTCTTCACATGGCAGCAGCAAGGAGAAGTACAGAGTGAAGGTGGAGAAAAGCCCTTTATAAAACCATTAGATCTTGTGAGAACTAACTCACTATCACAAGAACAGGATGAGGGAAACTTCCCCCATGATTCAGTTATCTCCATCTGATCCCTCCCACAATATGTGAGGATTATGGAAACTACAATTCAAGATGAGATTTGGATAGGGACACAGCCAAACCATATCATGTGGTATGCAAGTTTCCTTCAGGGACTTCATGAAGTTAACACTCTTTTTATGATAACCCTAAAATATTGACCTTTTTCACTGTGTTGGACTTCACATTGATGTTGCAAAAGCAATGATGGGAAAAACTGCAGAAACTTTGACATGAAACAAAGTGGTATGATTAGTTATTGTATTCTTCACTACAATGCCCTTTGAGTTTAAAAAAGCCAGTTTCATTTAAGAATGCTCTCTATAAAACAGTAATTTTTAAATTGTATTGAAGCTTGACACTTGCGTACATGTTTTCTCAATAGTCTCTTCGATGAAATGGAAGTGCACATAAAGCACTTGTACTTGGGGGAGTATTAAGGCTGTCTCAAGGAAAAGCACTTGTACAATCAGTTGAGGTAGGAAATCAATGGGCCACTTTTTAATGGATCATCATTTTTACTTGAAAGGATGACTGTTGGATAAACTATTGCTATTGAGACTTGGATATTTGGCAGATGTTTTCTCAAAAATGACTGAAGTGAACCTGTTACCTCAAGGAAAATAACTGACACTTGTTGTCAATAATAATGTTTAATATTTCAAGCTAATATTAGAATTTTGGAAAACTTGGGTATACCTCCATGAGATTAACAGCTTCCTAATACTTGAAGAGTTTTTTGATGAGGTCAGTGGTGATAATAATAAAGGTGAATTTTGGTATGATATAATGAAATGTATCAATATTCATATGGTATGTATAACTTAGTAAATGAATATTTTCCAAATAATTAATATCTGATGATACAAAATCATGCAAGAGTAAAAGATTCATTGAAAGTGCAAGATATATCAATAGTGTTAATGTAACAGAGTACAAACAATTCATTGATACGATTACAGATTTCATATTACAACTAAACTTTAAGAAACTACTACCTGTCAAGTTTTGGTGAAACAGAGTTCTTGAGAATGGCTAGTTTTCACCAGGGAGCCAAAAAAAAGAAAGCAAGAGAGCAACTCAGATGGAGCTGGAGGCCATTATCTTAAGTGAAGCAACACAGGAATGGAAAACCAAAAACTGTATGTTCTCACTTATAACTGGGAGCTAAGCTATGAGTATGCAAAGGTATACAGAGTGATATAATGGACTTTAGAGACACAGAAGGGGAAGGTTGGGAGGGGAGCTAGGGATGAAAAAACTACACATTAGGTACAATGTACACTACTCGGGTGACGGGTGCACTAAAATCCCAGAAATCACCATTATAAAATTCATTCATGCAACAGAAAACCACTTGTACTCCAAAAGCTATTGAAATAAAAAAAAGGCAAGAGAAAAGCGTATGCAACTGCACAGAGCTATGTTAGAACATAGTGTTTGAGGAATTATATCTGGTTTCATGTTGCTATAATATAGAATGAGAAATGAGGAGAGACAGAAGGTGAGGCAGATCACCAAGAGTCATGCATAAAATGATAAGAAGTTAGATTGTATCATGTGGTTAATATGGAAGAACTGGAATTTGTACAATATTTCATCTTGGAAAGCGTGGGCTATAGATTTTATTCTGGAAAGCAACTACCAGGCTGTTGCAATACTTCAGGCAAAAGATTTTTAGTGCCTGGAATAAAGTAGTGGTAATGAATGATGAAAAGTAGAAGACTGTTACAAGATTTATTTCAGAGTTGAAATCAAGATAAATGACTTGAAGATTAAATATTAGTAATGTGAAAGGAGAACGGGTCTAAAATGACTCCTAGCTTTCATAATTAGCGGCTAGAGGGATTGTAGAATTAGTTTCTCTGTAGTCACTAACTCTGAAAGCTTTTAAGTACAAAATCTATTTCTTTAACAGATATAGTGCTATTAAGGGCATCTATTTTTGAGTGAGCTTTGTGAATTCATGTCTTTCAATGATGTTTTCATTTCATCGAAGTTGTAGAATTTATTGGCATAAAGTTTTTATGTTTATTTAACTAATTATTTTTGAGACAGGGCCTTGTTATGTGACTTAGGCTGGAGTGCAGGGGTGCAATCATGGCTCACTGCAGCCTTAAACTCTTTGGCTCAAGTGACCCTCTTGCCTATCCTCCTGAGTAAATGGAACTAAAGGCATGCAATAACACACCCAGTTAATTTTTAAATTTTTTGAAGAGATGGGGTCTCCCTGTGTTGCCCAGGCTGGGCTTGAACTCCTGGGCTCAAGCAGTCCTCCTGCCTTAGCCTCCCAAAGTGCTGAGATTACAGGTGTGAGTCACTGAACCAGGCCAAGTTGTTCTTTTAGTATCTTTAGAGTCAGTGGGAAGGTCACCTCTTTTATTCCTAAATTAGTAATTTGTGTGTTCTCTCTTTCTACTCCTATCTTTCCTTCTAGGACTCCAATTACACATATATTCAGTCACTTAAAATTGTTTCATAGCTCATCGATGCTCTTTTCTCATCCTTATTTCCTTCCTTGCTTCCTCCCTTCCTTCTTTTTTAATAATAGCTAACATTTATTGAACCTTTAAAATATAAAAAGCACTGCTTTATGTGCTAAACATGTACTAAATCATTTTATACTCAAAACAAATCTTTAAGTACTATTCTTATCCTTATTTTCTATAGTTGAAACTGAGGCACAGATAGTTGAAGTAATTTGCTCAAGGTTGTCTACCCAGAACAGAGATGAATTTGAACCCAGTCAGTTTGGCTCTGTAGTCCACACTTTTAACCACCATGCTATGTAGCCTCTCTAGGAGGAATTAAATGTTTCTCTCTATGGAAAAACATGCTCAAAAAAAGCATGCTTCAAGATAATAATATGTTGTACAAATTTTTCACAACTTTCAATTATGCTCCTGATTTCTATTCATGAACTACTTCTAATGATGCTTTCTAATTTCTTTCTAATGGACGCATGCAACACATCTTTCTTAAGTTCTCAGCAGCATTCAACCACTCGCTCCTTGAAACAACTTATTTTCCCCTGGTATCTGAGAAACTAGTCCCTTGACCAACCTCTACCTCTCTGACAATTCATGCACTCAATAAATATTTACTAAGTCATTTAATTTGTGTCATTCTTCAAGATACTAAAAGTAAGAGATTCAAACTCCCTGCCCTTAGGAGAGTGCATTCTAGTGGAGAAGAAAGACAATAAAAAAGTAATACATATTTGCAAAACTTCAAATAATGTGAAAAGTAGAGGAAGAAAAATAAACATTGCTAATCTCCATCACCATTCTACTGTGATTAGGTATGCTATTTTTTTCAGATTTGTGTGTAAGGAAACATATACACAGTGTACACACACATAAATACACATATATGTACTCACATTTACTTAAAATGGATCTATATAAACACACTCAAAAATACATTAGGACACATTTTTCTACAAAAATTTGGTTATATATACAACATATTTTTCCACAATGAACTTTAGTCATTTAATCATGAATTATGAATACCTTTCATATACTTAGTGCATATTTTTCTTTATATATATATATATATTTATTATACTTTAAGTTCTAGGGTACATGTGTATAACTTGAAGGTTTGTTACATACGTATACATGTGCCATATTGGTGTGTTGCATACATTAACTCGTCATTTATATTAGGTATATCTCCTAATGCTATCCCTCCCCACTCCACCTACCCCACCACAGGCCCCAGTGTGTGATGTTCCCCTTCCTGTGTCCATGTGTTCTCATTGCTCAATTCCCACCTATGAATGAGAACATGCAGTGTTTGGTTTTTTGTCCTTGCAATAGTTTGCTGAGAATGATGGTTTCCAGCTTCATCCATGTCCCTACAAAGGACATGGACTCATCATTTTTTATGGCTGCATAGTATTCCATGGTGTATATGTGCCACATTTTCTTAATCCAGTCTATCATTGATGGATATTTGGGTTGGTTCCAAGTCTTTGCTATTGTGAATAGTGCCACAATAAACATACGTGTGCATGTGTCTTTATAGCAGCATGATTTATAATCCTTTGGGTATATACCCAGTAATGGGATGGCTGGGTCAAATGGTATCTCTAGTTCTAGATCCCTGAGGAATCGCCACACTGACTTCCACAATGGTTGAACTAGTTTACAGTCCCACCAACAGTGTAAAAGTGTTCCTATTTCTCCACATCCTCTTCAGCACCTGTTGTTTCCTGACTTTTTAATGATTGTCATTCTAACTGGTATGAGATGGTATCTCATTGTGGTTTTGATTTGCATTTCCCTGATGGCCAGTGATGATGAGCATTTTTTCATGTGTTTTTTGGCTGCATAAATGTCTTCTTTTGAGAAGTGTCTGTTCATATCCTTTGCCCACTTTTTGATGGGGTTGTTTGTTTTTTTCTTGTAAATTTGTTTGAGTTATTGGTAGATTCTGGATATTAGCCCTTTGTCAGATGAGTAGGTTGCGAAAATTTTCTCCCATTTTGTAGGTTGCCTGTTCACTCTGATGGTAGTTTCATTTGCTGTGCAGAAGCTCTTTAGTTTAATTAGATCCCATTTGTCAATTTTGGCTTTTGTTGCCATTGTTTTTGGTGTTTTAGACATGAAGTCCTTGCCCATGCCTATGTCCTGAATGGTATTGCCTAGGTTATCTTCTATGGTTTTTATGGTTTTAGGTCTAACATGTAAGTCTTTAATCCATCTTGAATTAATTTTTGTATAAGGTGTAAGGAAGTGATCCAGTTTCAGCTTTCTACATATGGCTAGCCAGTTTTCCCAGCATCATTTGTTAAATAGGGAATCCTTTCCCCATTTCTTGTTTTTGTCAGGTTTGTCAAAGATCAGATGGTTGTAGATAGGCGGCGTTATTTCTGAGGGCTCTGTTCTGTTCCATTGATCTATATCTCTGTTTTGGTACTAGTACCATGCTGTTTTGGTTACTGTAGCCTCGTAGTATAGTTTGAAGTCAGGTAGCGTGATGCCTCCAGCTTTGTTCTTTTGGCTTAGGATTGACTTGGCAATGCGGGCTCTTTTTTGGTTCCATATGAACTTTAAAGTAGTTTTTTCCAGTTCTGTGAAGAAAGGCATTGGTAGCTTGATGGGGATGGCGTTGAAACTATAAATTACCTTGGGCAGTATGGCCATTTTCATGATATTGATTCTTCCTATCCATGAGCATGGAATGGAATGTTCTTCCATTTGCTTGTATCCTCTTTTATTTCATTGAGCAGTGGTTTGTAGTTCTCCTTGAAGAGGTCCTTCACATCCCTTGTAAGTTGGATTCCTAGGTATTTTATTCTCTTTGAAGCAATTGTGAATGGGAGTTCACTCATGATTTGGCTCTCTGTTTGTCTGTTATTGGTGTATAAGAATGATTGTGATTTTTGCACATTGATTTTGTATCCTGAGACTTTGCTGAAGTTGCTTATCAGCTTAAGGAGATTTTGGGCTGAGACGATGGGGTTTTCTAGATATGCAATCGTGTCATCTGCAAACAGGGACAATTTGACTTCCTCTTTTCCTAATTGAATACCCTTTATTTCTTTCTCTTGCCTGATTGCCCTGGCCAGAACTTCCAACACTATGTTGAATAGGAGTGGTGAGAGAGGGCATCCCTGTCTTGTGCCAGTTTTCTAAGGGAATGCTTCCAGTTTTTGCCCATTCAGTATGATATTGGCTGTGGGTTTCTCATAAATAGCTCTTATTATCTTGAGATACATCCCATCAATGCCTAATTTATTGAGAGTTTTTAGCACGAAGGGCTATTGAATTTTGTCAAAGGCCTCTTCTGCATCTATTGAGATAATCATGTGGTTTTTGTCTTTGGTTCTGTTTATATGCTGGATTACATTTATTGATTTGCATATATTGAACCAGCCTTGCATCCCAGGGATGAAGCCCACTTGATCATGGTGGATAAGCTTTTTGATGTGCTGCTGGATTTGCTTTGCCAGTATTTTATGGAGGATTTTTGCATCGATGTTCATCAGGGATATCGGTCTAAAATTCTCTTTTTTTGTTGTGTCACTGCCAGGTTTTGGTATCAGGTTGATGCTGGCCCCAAAAAATGAGTTAGGGAGGATTCCCTCTTTTTCTATTGATTGGAATGGTTTCAGAAGGAATGGTACCAGTTCCTCCTTGTACCTCTGGTAGAATTCGGCTGTGAATCTGTCTGTTCCTGGACTTTTTTTGGTTTGTAGGCTATTAATTGTTGCCTCAATTTCAGAGCCTGTTATTGGTCTATTCAGAGATTCAACTTCTTCCTGATTTAGTCTTGGGAGGTGTATGTTTCCAGGAATTTCTCCATTTCTTCTAGATTTTCTAGTTTATTTGCGTAGAGGTGTTTATAGTATTCTTTGATGGTAGTTTGTATTTCTGTGGGATCGGTGGTGATATCCCCTTTATCATTTTTTATTGTGTCTATTTGAATCTTCTCTCTTTTCTTCTTTATTAGTCTTGCTAGCAGTCTATCAATTTTGTTGATCTTTTCAAAAAACGAACTCCTGGATTCATTGATTTTTTTGAAGGGTTTTTTGTGTCTCTATTTCCTTCAGTTCTGCTCTGATTTTAGTTATTTCTTGCCTTCTGCTAGCTTTTGAATTTGTTTGCTCTTGCTCCTCTAGTTCTTTTAATTGTGATGTTAGGGTGTCAATTTTAGATTTTCCCTGCCTTCTCTTGTGGGCATTTAGTGCTATAAGTTTCCCTCTACACACTGCTTTGAATGTGTCCCAGAGATTCTGGTATGTTGTGTCTTTGTTCTTGTCGGTTTCAAAGAACATCTTTATTTCTGCCTTCATTTCATTATGTACCCAGTAGTTATTCAGGAGCAGGTTGTTCAGTTTCCATGTAGTTGAGTGGTTTTGAGTGAGTTTCTTAATCCTGAGTTCTAGTTTGATAGCAATGTGATCTGAGAGACAGTTTGTTATAATTTCTGTTCTTTTACATTTGCTGAGGAGTGCTTTACTTCCAAGTATGTGGTCAATTTTGGAATAAGTGTGATGTGGTGCTGAGAAGAATGTATATTCTGTTGATTTGGGGTGGAGAGTTCTGTAGATGTCTATTAGGTCCACTTGGTGCAGAGCTGAGTTCAATTCCTGGATATCCTTGTTAACTTTCTCGTTGATCTGTCTAATGTTGACAGTGGGATGTTAAAGTCTCCCATTATTATTGTGTGGGAGTCTAAGTCTCTTTGTAGGTCTCTAAGGACTTGCTTTATGAATCTGGGTGCTCCTGTATTTGGTGCGTATATATTTAGGATAGTTAGCTCTTCTTGTTGAATTGATCCCTTTACCATATGTAATGGCCTTCTTTGTCTCTTTTGATCATTGTTGTTTTAAAGTCTGTTTTATCAGAGGCTAGGATTGCAACCCCTGCCTTTTTTTGTTTTCCATTTGTTTGGTAGATCTTCCTCCATCCCTTTATTTTGAGCCTATTTGTGTCTCTGCATGTGAGATGGGTTTCCTGAATACAGCACACTGATGGGTCTTGACTCTTTATCCAAATTGCCAGTCTGTGTCTTTTAATTGGAGCATTTAGCCCATTTACATTTAAGGTTAATATTGTTATGTGTGAATTTGATCCTGTCATTATGATGTTAGCTGGTTATTTTGCTTGTTAGTTGATGCAGTTTCTTCCTAGCCTTGATGGTCTTTACAATTTGGCATGTTTTTGTAGTGGCTGGTACTGGTTCTTCCTTTCCATGTTTAGTGTTTCCTTCAGGAGCTCTTGTAGGGCGGGCCTGGTAGTGACAAAATCTCAGCATTTGCTTGTCTGTAAAGGATTTGATTTCTCCTTCACTTATGAAGCTTAGTTTGGCTGGATATGAAATTCTGGGTTGAAAATTCTTTTCTTTAAGAATGTTGAATATTGGCCCCCACTCTCTTCTGGCTTGTAGTTTCTGCCAAGAGATCCACTGTTAGTCTGATGGGCTTCCATTTGTGGGTAACCCGACCTTTCTCTCTGGCTGCCCTTAACATTTTTTCCTTCATTTCAACTTTGTTGAATCTGACAGTTATTTGTGTTGGAGTTGCTCTTCTCGAGGAGTATCTCTGTGGCATTCTCTGTATTTCCTGAATTTGAATGTTGGCCTGCCTTGCTAGGTTGGGGATGTTCTCCTGGATAATATCCTGCAGAGTGTTTTCCAACTTGGTTCCATTCTCCCTGTCACTTTCAGGTACACCAATCAGACTTAGGTTTGGTCTTTTCACATAGTCCCATATTTCTTGGAGGCTTTGTTCATTTCTTTGTATTCTTTTTTCTCTAAACTTCCCTTCTCACTTCATTTCATTCATTTGAGCTTCAATCACTGATACCCTTTCTTCCAGTTGATCGAATCGGCTACTGAAACTTGTGCATTCATCATGTAGTTCTTGTGCCATGATTTTCAGCTCCATCAGGTCCTTTAAGGACTTCTCTACATTGGTTATTGTAGTTAGCCTTTTGTCTAATCTTTTTTCCAGGGTTTTAACTTCTTTGCGATGGGTGGGAACTTCCTCCTTTGGCTTGGAGAAGTTTGATCATCTGAAGCCTTCTTCTCTCAACTCATCAAAGTCATTCTCCATCCAGCTTTGTTCATTGCTGCTGAGGAGCTGTCTTCCTTTGGAGGAGGAGAGGCGCTCTGATTTTTAGAATTTTCAGCTTTTCTGCTCTGTTTTTTCCCCATCTTTGTGGTTTTATCTACCTTTGGTCTTTGATGATGGCGATGTACAGATGGGGTTTTGGTGTGGATGTCCTTTCTGTTTGTTAGTTTTCCTTCTAACAGTCAGGACCCTCAGCTGCAGGTCTGTTGGAGTTTTCTGGTGGTCCACTCCAGACCCTGTTTGCCTGGGTATCAGCAGCGGAGGCTGCAGAACAGTGAATATTGCTGAACAGCAAATGTTGCTGCCTGATTGTTCCTCTGGAAGTTTCATCTCAGAGGGGTACCTGGCCGTGTGAGGTATCAGTCTGCCCCTACTGGGGGGTGCCTCCCAGTTAGGCTACTCAGGGTTCAGGGACCCACTTGAGGAGGCAGTCTGTCTGTTCTCAGATCTCAAACTCCATGCCAGGAGAACCACTACTGTCTTCAAAGCTCAGTTGGAAATGCAGAAATCACCCGTCTTCTGTGTCACTCAGGCTGGGAGCTGTAGACTGGAGCTATTCCTATTCAGCCATCTTGGAACTGCCCTCCAGTGCATATTTTTCTTATCCTTTAACCATGCTTATTGATGGGCATATAGTTAATGTCCAATTTTTTGAACACAAATAATGTTGCAACAAACATCATTGTACATGAAGCTTTGGATGTTTATGCTACCATTTCCTTAGGATAGATCCCAGGAATTGGGACTCAGTTTTTGCAGAGTATGAACCAAATATCAACTGGGTTAATCTTGCTTTTTATATCTAGATAAGTAGATAAGATTTATTCCATCTCTAATCATTGGAAATTCATAAGAATCTCACTCTCTCGTGGACATCCCTGCTTCTCAGCTCCTGTTTCCTGTGAATTACTTTATGAATAATCTTGCCATCCAACAAATGGGGTCCCTATCCTGTACCACATTGTACCAAATGTAGAACTCTGCTTTTGTCTGTCAATTTTATATAAAAAGAAAACACTCAAATAGATGCTTCGTCTTTTAAATTCTGATTATTGGATTTTTGGTTTGTAATTTATAGAACTGTTGAGGGCTGGCAGACCTTTATGTCTAATGTTGACTGTAGCCAATATTTGGTCTTTCCTTGCCATATGTAATTAACAAACAAGAGAAGTGTGTCCTTTCAAGAAAGGTGTGTGCATATTTGGGTGTGTGTGTGTGTGTGTGTGAGATAAAGACAACCTTATTCAAGATTTGAGGAGTTAAAATAGGTTTTGCATTTAAGAAACACAAAATGCCCAAAACCTACTATGATAATTCCCATTTTTAAAAGTCTTTGATCACTGTGCCAAGAAGCAAGGGTTTTCTTCCCCTGTTCCCATCCCTTTTGTAATTGATTTCTCTTCCCTCAATCCTGTTTCTCAGAAGCAAGGAAAATTTAATTCTTCCTGTTTTTATGTACAGAGATATTTTAATTTCTTCAGGCTTACTTCCCAAACTCTGTTTTGTTTTTAACAGTTTAAAGATCTTTGCTATTACTTTAAAATTAAACTTTCAAAAAGTCTCGATTGTTTAAGTTTATTAACAACACCTGTCCTCCTTCATACTACTTGTTTAGGGAGAAAAATAAGGGATTTTTGTTCTTTCAGGTGCAGATATTTACAATTTTGATGCACATTGTCAAATTGCCCTATAAATAATGGGCAGTACTATTTTGCACTGTCAAGAGTGTATGAGAATGTTGATTCTTCAAAGCCCTTACTAATTGGATATTATTGATATCACTCTTTTGTTTTTGTTTTTGCCAGTTTGTTGAAAGGGAAATGGTATTTTATTGTTTTCTCAATTTGCATTTTGACAACTGGTGAGGTTGAATAAATTTTTTCAATTAGTTATTGAATTTTGCCATTTCTACTCTGTGCATTGTCAGTATATATACTTTTGGTCACATTTCTAATTGGGTATTTGATTTTTAAAATATGAATGTGAAGTTCTTTATACATTTTGAATTCTAATACTTTACTTTTGTAAATGATATCTCTCAGACCCCTGGGTTGGTCTCTCTTGTGTCTATTATTTTGCATTTCTTTCATGGTGTCTTTTGTAATACAGATATTTTATCTTCTTATGTAATTATATCTGTTAATCTTTTCCTATATGGCTTCTGGATTTTGTTTCTTTCTTAGTAAGGTCTTTCCTGTCCCAACATTATTTTTATTTTTAATTGCCAAGTAAATATTATATAAATTTATGTTGTGCAATATGATGTTTGAAAAATGTATGCATTGTGGAATGGCTACATCACGCTATTTAACGTATGCATTACATCTCATTCTTATCATTTTATTTTCTTGAGACAGTGTCTTGCTGTCACCCAGGCTGGAGTGCAGTGGTGCAGACACAGCTCACTGCAGATTTGACCTCCCTAGCTCAAGTGATCCTCACACCTCAGTCTCCTGAGTAGCTGGGACTGTAGGCATATGCCACCATGCCCAGAAAATTGTTATTTTTTTTCTAGAGACAGGTTATCTCTATGTTGTCAGGGTTGGTCTCAAACTCCTGGCCTCCAGTGATCCTTCCACCTCAGCCTCCCAAAGTGCTGGGATTACAGGCATGAGCCACGGCACTCAGCCTTATCACTTTTTATTGTGGTGAGAACATGTAAAATCTACTCTCAGCAATTTTTGAGTAAATTTTATACTATTATTAACTATAGTCACTATAATGTACAATAGAGCTCTTGAAGTTATTCCTCCTGAGTTTTATTTTATTTTTAATTTTTTAATCACCAATTCATCTAGATTTTACTTTGATATATGATGTGGTGTGGGGATGTGATGCGCATTTACTGGTTTATAAATAAATTTCTAATTTTGTCAACACACTTTACTCAATTGTCTATGTTTTCAACAGTGATTTTAAATGTTGCCTTATCTTGTATAAGAATACAAACACAGAGACATGCATATATACACATGGGCCTGTCTGGAGTATATATTGTTTTCTTTAGAAATACATGTCTTGATTTGAACTGATATTACATTATTTTAATCACTAAAATTTTAGAATGGATTTGAAAACTGGCAGAAGAGTGCCTCTGTAATAATTTTTTTTTTTTTTTACAAATTTCACAGTTAGTATGCATTTGATCATCTAGATGAACTTTAGAATCACCTAAATCTCATTAAGATGTTGATTCAATTTTTGCATTAAATCCATAGATTAACTTGGGGAGAATTGACTCAAAAATATTGATTCTGTGTTTTCTAGAAGACGGCACTTTTATCCATTTATTCAGAATTCTTATGTCTCTCAGTAAAGCTTTCTTCTTATAGGTCTTAGATCTTATGTTTATTTTTACTTTTTAAAATGTTGTTATGGGAGTGACATCTTTTTCCCTTTTTTAATTGGCTAAAGTTGTTATATAAAAACATTAATGGTTCTTATACATTAATCTTTTCATACAGACACTTTATTAAGTTTTCTTATTAGTTCTAAAGATTTAAATTTTTATTCTATTACATCTTATAAGTAGAAAATCAAATAAGCCACAAACAATAATAATCCTTTTCTTCCTATATTTATATCTTTTTCTTATTTGTGATGTATAATTACATTTGTTAGGAATTCTACATCCATGTTGAATAATACTTGTGTTATTAGGCATCCTTGTGTTGTTCCTTACTTTACTTGGATTGTCTTCAGTGTTTCACTAGAAAATAAAATGTTGATTTCTTATTTTCGATTTGTTGATTTATTATTTTTGATTTTTATCTATTACATCGAAAACATATCCTTCTATTTCTAGGCTACATATAATTTTTAATTATTTTCTTTTTTCTCTTAAAATTGTTTTTGTTTTCCATTTTATTGTTATGTCAGCATTAGTTTAGATGGTCATAGAAGTTTTTCTTTAACCTATCAATTATATTTTTCCTACAGTTAAACCACCATTGCAATATTAGAATTTTTTCCCTACTTGTTTATAATATATTCTTGAAGACTTTTCTGAAATTATTTTGCTAATATTTTAGTTATTTTGGCATCTATGATCATATGTGAAATCAGTATATACACTCTTTAATTTTTAAAATATTGTTGATTTAATATCAATGTTATTCCAGCTTTTAGGCACTAGAGAAGTTTTTTTTTTTAAAAAGGCTCCATTAGGTTCCAGCTGTGTGACATTGGTTATGTCGCTTAACCTCTTCTGCTTCCACTTTATCTTCTTATATTTTTCCCTTAAGTATAGTAAATTTCAGTTTTCAAAATTTCACCTGTGGCCTTTGTGGGAATACAGATTTTCCTCACTTTTAAACTTTTTCTTTGGTCATTGAGTTCTTAATGTTATCTCCTCTACTAAGACAATTATTTTCAATTCTAATTTTCCAGAAGGTGGCTCATTTCATCAAAATTTACAAATTTATTTGTAAAACTCCTTTACATCTTGAAAGCAGTTTCTCTTTTATATGTATAGCTATGACATTTTATCATTCTTAAATTTTTTGTGTGTGTTTTCGGTGAGAATTTCCAAATATCTGTTCATTTTTTTTTGTATTTCTAAAAAACTGTTTTATGTATTTATTTTTCTAATTTTTCTGTCATAATTTTTGTATTTTTGTATCAATTTATTTCAGAATATTTTCTTGTTTTCTTGTCTCTTAAGATAAATTTGCAATTAATATATTTTTATGTGACTTGTTTTCAATAAAAGCAATTAAGGTTACACATATTCTTCTTGCAACCACTTTAAGACTAAGACTTTGAGAGGCAATGATTTCATGCTTTCTTTATATCTAAGTTTTCTGTATATCAGTTTTGATTTATTCTTAAAACAAGTTAATTAGAACAGTTTTTTAAACATTTTAAGTCATCTTCTGTGTTTCAGGCTAGTATTTTGATTTTTTTCTAGTTGATTCCCTGAAGTTGAAAAAAGTAAAATAATTTGTATGTTTTTTGCTTTTGTATTTTATTGAGTTATTCTTTGTGAGTTAGTACATGATAAATATGGTATTTTATGAGTGCTTTGTGGAATTTTTAACCCATGATATTCTGTCACACTAGAATTAATTCAAAGAGAAATACATGTTATGGGCTTTGATACAGTAGCTTGCAGCAAACCAATGCTCCTGATGATAACAGAGAAAATCTGGATAAAATTCAAGATCTATTTTGAAGGTCTCAGGATAGTTTCAAAGACAACTAGAATTTCAAGGCCCAGATCCTAAAGAGAAGGAAAGGTAACTGAACTAAACTCAAGTTTTTATCTATTATTTTTCCCCTTGGTCCATTTGCTGATTCATAGTCCCAAGAAAGAGGCAGAGAAGCGAGGATAGCTTTAGTTAATCTCATAGAATGGCAGGACAGATATTGAACTTCTGATATTCAAAGGAATCATAACATGAGGGGATAAGATCCCAAAGAGAAGGAAAGCACAAATACTTCGGTTAAATACTTGATGCCATTTTTCTCCTCGAGCCCTTTTCTCACTAAGCTGCACAGGGCAAAATCGTCAGAAACCAAGCCGAAAACAGCTGAAGAGCAAAGTGGAGTTTTTTGCAGTTTCATGACCTGGGAGCAAAAATTTGGAGTTCAGGATCCCTTATGAAGTAGCATAGCTGAGAGACTCTACAGGCTCTCATTTAAACCATGAAGGTTTAAAGTCTAGGATTGGAAGCAAAATGGGAGAAGGAATTTATAGAGACTGCAAACTAGTCTTGGATCATGTCACTCCAGGATTAGATACAGGTGACTTGCCTCTTTGCAGCCTGGATAAGAGATAGAGTTAATCTTCTCTGGAGAAAGACAATCAAATTGAGAGCTTCCATAATTTTTCATAGGCAATGCCTGGCACTCAATAAAAGATTAACCAGCATAACAAAAATAAACTTCAAAAGAAGAATCTGGACAACAGAAAAAGACCCACTTGGAATCTGTCTGTTTGGTTATCAGACTTTGACTTTAAAATTATTATCATCAATATCTTCAGGAAAATAGACAGCAAAAGAGTAGCGTTAATTTTTCCCAAATGAACAAAATACATTAAACCCCAATTCAAAAATTGTGATGCACCTCAGGCAGAATAATATAAAAAGAAGCCACACATAGACATATAACAATAAAACTGCTTAAAACTAATGTGAAAGAGAAAATCTTTAAAAAAAAATCTAGAAAATAAGACTCACCACATTCAAAACAACATCAATTAAAGAGAAAACTGAAAAGCACTACTGAGTAATTAAAGAAAACCTAAATAAGGTAAAATAAAGGGACAAACCAGTCTAATGAATTGGAAATCTCAATATTATAAATACGTCAATTCTCCTCAAATTTATCTGTAGGATTATGCAAGCCCCCCCGAAAATCAGCCAGTTTGTGTGTATGTATGTTTGCATATAATTTGACAAGTTCATGTTGAAATTTATAAGAAATTTTAATAGAATAGACAAGAATAGCCAAGACAATCTTAAAGAACAAGATGAAAGCTAGAGGATTTAATATTATCAGACTTACACCAACAAATATTCAGATATTTATTTTAAAGCTACAGTAATTATGACACTATAAATTGTGCATAAATAGACTAATTGAACAATGGAGCATGACAGACAGTTCAGAAATAGAGTCACATGATCAAATCTCCACTAAAATTCATTGGGGAAAGAATACATATTTTAATAAAGAGTACAGGATTAATTAGATATCCAAATGAAACCTTGATCTCTCCCTCTCAGTATATAAATATATCAATTCAAAACGTATTGTGACATAAACATAAAAGGTAAGACTAAAGGTTAAGAAAGAAACCTTTTAAAGCTTGGAGTCAGCAAAGATTTCCTAAACCAGTATACAAAACGTAATGTCCATAAAGAAAATAAATCATAAATTCAACCACATTAAAATTAAAAATATCTTTTCATCAGAAGACATAAAAGAGTGAAAGGAAAGCAATAAAATGAGAAAATAAATTTTAAAGTTTTTGTACAATAAAAGACATGCATCCAGAGCAATAAGTAAAGTAAAGGGAGACTCAAGAGAAATAGAAAAGGCAAAAGACTTAAATAGGCTCTTCCTCTCCCACCAAAAAAAGAATATTCAAGTGGACAATATACATATAAAAGATCATCAGGACAATGCAAATGAAAACCACAGTGAGTTACTACACATTCACTACAATGAATACTTTTAAATAACTAAAAATACTATGTGCTGGAAAGGATATGGAGCAATTGCAACTTTCATACACTGTTGAAAGTGTAAATAGGCATAAACATTTTGGAAAAAAAATTTGTAATATTGGTTAAAGCTGAGCATATGTTGAACATATAATCCAACGATTTCTACTAGGTACATTCCCAAGAAAAATGAGTGCATATATTCACCAGATACACATAGAAGTATGTGTTTAGTCGCTTTGTACAGAATAGCCCCAAACTAAAAACAATCCAAATATTTATCAACAGTAAAATGGATAGTGTGTTCATATAAGGTATTATTACACAGTAATAAAAAATGGAAAAAATCATTACTACCTGAAACAGTAAGGATGAATTGCAGAAAACATATTTACAAAAATATGCTGAACACAAGGAATAAGTACTGCAAGATTACATTTCTATAACATTTAACAAACACCTAACAAATATTGTATTGCATTAAAAGTCTGGATAATGGTTGTCTTTGATGGTGGATAGTAACAGGAAAGAGACATGAAGTAGGCTGCTGTTGAGTTAATAATGTTCCGTGAAATAGGTGAAAGAATCAAATAGCACCTACATTAGAAGAACATTTTACTTTTGAAGGTGAAGGTATTATTTATCTGAGTGTTAGACCCTTAACATGATGAGCTGGTAGGAGCATGTTTGAAAATTTATGAAAAGCATAAAAAGATATATAAGATTAGGAAAATCACATTCCAAGGAATACATAGTCTAACTGAATCAATTTTTGAGAATTCAAATTATTTTGAAAAGTTTTGGCTCATTGTTAATGAATTCTATCAAGATATACGTAGAATTATTAAATATTCTTTATATAATATATGGAAATAAACATTTTAATATCTCTTTAGGCACCTATGCTGCATATCTGAGCATATCTGAGTTGGTTTGGAGGCTCATATTTTTAATGCTGAGTATCAATACATAGATATTTTTCAAAATTCTGTGAAGACAATATAAAAGTTATTGGTATATTGTCATTTTTTGAAATAATAATATATTTGAACTCACATTGAGCATTAATTTGAACTTTACTTCATGTTATCATTTATTCATACAGAAAATATTAAGCAGCTATTACACAATTATATAATGAAGGAAATTAAAATATTTTACACCAAAATATATTTCTTTGACATATCTCGAAATGGCTTCTGCTTGGCCATCCTGACAGAAGTGGCCTTGCAAAGCTGTCTTGAGTGGGGAAAATTTGCATTTGTAGAGAATCCCCATTTCCCTCTCTCCTTTATATGACTTTTCCAAGATCCAGAAGAGATTGAGCCCGACACCTTTAAAAGTCTGAAAAGAAATATTTGCCATCTATTCTCTCAGAAAGAGGCTTCATCTACATATTAAGGCCACCTTTGCTAGCCAAGCTTCTTCCTTTCTTTCTCTCTTTTTTTTTTTTTTTTCTGAGGCGGAGTCTCGCTCCGTCCCCCAGGCGGGAGTGCAGTGGCGCGATCTCGGCTCACTGCAAGCTCCGCCTCCCGGGTTCACGCCATCTTGCCACTAAACCTGATTTACCAACATAACCTGTTTCTGGCCATGCTGTGAATCTGCATTCTTTACTGTGTCCTTGGGATACTAGGTAAGTTTCTGTATGTCACTGGAAAGTTGAGTCTTTAGTCTGAAGCTACTGTGTGTATGCGTTACATACAACTGTATGCCTTTTCTCCTGTTAATCAATCTGCCTGATATCAGTGAAGTTTAGCAAACCTTTAAGGGACCAAGAGCCTATGGTACCTACAATAACATGCTTGGCAATGGGAAGAAGGTACAATACCTTCCTCCGAGAATTTTCTTTTAGTTTGGTGTTAGAGAAGGAAACATGAGAAGTATAGTATACTAGTTAATAGAATGTCTGGAGTCAAATTGTCTGTGTTAGAAGCTTCTCTGTTTGCTAACTCTGTTACTTTGAATAATACTCTTAACCTCTTTGTGCCCATTTCATAATCTTGAAATGGGGAAAATAATATGCTAACTTACAGGGTCATTATCTTCCTAGGAAGTACGGGGGTCCTTGGTTCTTGTTCTACTTAGGAGAAATAATTCAGTCAAGAACCAAGTAATAAAATAAGCAAAAGATCTATTAAGGAAATAAGAGTACGCTCCAAGAGAGGACTGGGCTGACCTGGCTGGGAGCAGACCCAAGAATTCTTCATTGTGGTTTTTATTATGTTGGACTGTTTCTTTAAGTTCCCTCCTCTTTCTTAAGTCTCTGCCTTTGTCTTTGTATAGTTTCCCACTTCTGTCTTAAGTCTCTGCCCTTGTCTCCATGTAGTAGTTCCTGCTCAGGTTTGTGAGATTCTCCCTTACTGTCAGTTGATGTGCACATGTGGGCCCAGTGATCAATACAAACTCTACCTAAGGTGTTCCTCATGACCACAACCCCTGGAGGGTCATATAGCTGTTAAATCTGTACTTATTTTGCTTGCGTATCTCTTAGGAATTTCCCCTTTGTCCTTTTTCCCTTTTTTTTTTTTTATTATACTTTAAGTTTTAGGGTACATGTGCACAACGTGCAGGTTTGTTACATATGTATACATGTGCCATGTTGGTATGCTGCACCCATTAACTCGTCATTTAACATTAGGTATATCTCCTAATGCTATCCCTCCCCATTTGATCCTTTTTCCCTTCTTATCAGCATGTGGCTAGCTACATTCTGACAGGTTAACTGCAGAGTGAGCAACTACTGAGCATTGTAAGGGGCATTTCTGGGTGTTCTTTTCTGCATAGGTATTTCCCTTCTTATCTGCTTATATTTTGCATGTATGTTTTAGGTGGTCTCTAGGGCATGAGATTTTCCAGAGCTTTCTCCTTCAGGGGCTCCCTTTCCTGCTCATGTTTAACTATCTGCCTACTCCAAAATTCCCCCCTCAAAAGTTTGAGACCCTAACAATTTTTGAGTCTAGGAGTATCTTGGGTCTTCTGTAACTACTTCCTGCTGATACAGAATTAACTCATCCAGGGTCTCCTTCTCTTGCCCTCTGTCAGGAGCCCCTCCTTTTCCCCGAACCTTTTCCTGCATTCAAGGGAGAGGTGTTTACATAGGTGTTGGGATCTGCAAATGTAATATGTTATATCCTTGCTGTAATCTCATTTGATGACTGGTAGCCTGAATGCAGAAAGAAATAAATTTAGTTAACAAATTGACCAAGCAAAGGCCTAAGAGGAGAAGAAGGAGCACCGTGGAGAGTGGGCCAAGAGGAGGTCAGAATCAACTGAGGATGTTCCATGTCCCTGAGAATGGGCCTGAAGCTGCCTGTAGATGTTTAGCTTTTTCTTGTGGTTGTTGAATGCTGTCCTGTATGATTTCTAACTGGTTAACATTCTTCTTTGAGCATAGCACAGGTTCCTCCCTGGGCTGAGGTGCTGATGTCTAAGGCGTGTTGGTTTTGGAGGCCCATCCCTGCTAGGGAGTTAAATTGCTGGTCAAGCCATTGGACAACCAATGGCTTTGGTTGTCTCTTCAAGAGCCTGTCCTGGCTCATGGGATAAGGTGGTATGCATTTGCTGAAAGATTAAAATTCCTACACTCCTGTTCTTATTTTAGTTACTCCAGTTCTTAACCCCAGAGCTGTAAGTAAGGGAAGGAAGGCTATGACCACTCTTTGAGATGTGGACTTGGAGGGAAGGGGGATAGGTACTGACTGATGTTGGTTTAGGAGGGCCACATCAAGGGAAAGATAAATTAATGAGCAAGTTCCCCTCCAATTGTTAGAGAAGAATAGGTAAGTCTGACTTTTTATAGCATAGCCAAGGGCATAGCTAACTCCACATGTCCCCAGGCCTTGCCAAGAATTTAATTACTCTAAAGCAGGCAAGTTGAATAATTATCAAAAGTCATAGAAACAGTTTATGACCTAGGTAACATTATCTGTTTGATGTTTTTGGGCCTGAAAACTCTGAGATGAGGAGGGAGGAGCCATTTGCTTATCTTTTTGTTTGAAGAGAAGCTTCAGGTCTTCCAATGGCTCAGAAGAGTAACTGGGCGTTGGTTCTTTTCCTGTTCTTTGGAGCCTTCCCAGGGTTTTATTTGGGAGTGATATATGCAACTAGAGATGTCAGGAACTTTGATAGCTGTTGGGGTGGAAAGTAAGACAGTAAAAGGACCCTTCCATAAGGGGGTTAGCTGAGACCCAGGTGACCAGTCTCTCCAGGTTTTAATGAGGACTTGCGACCCTGGCAGGTATACGAGTTGTTGGTTGTTGAAGGGGTCACTAGCCAGCAGTACTCTGTGTATATATTCAGTTAGTTCTAGGTATGAAATTCTGTCTTAGCTTTGAATACTTTGTATCCTCTTTTGCTAGAAAGTTTAAGGTTTGTATTGCATGTTGTTGTACAAGCTCTGTGGTGGGTGGGGCAAAGGAGTAGGTTATGTATATATTGTAGAAGTTGTCTTTCATCAAGAATAGCTTGGTTAGATTTCTTGCTAGGGCTTTATGGATGTGTGAGCTGTCTACAAAACCAGAGGTAGGACTGTCTGGATTGAAGTCATTGGTTAAAGGTTTAGGCAGCTTTTCCCGGGAGAAATAAGGCCATTGGGGGAAAGATGAATCCAGAGGTTGGGTAAATATTAAGGAGGCACCCACCTTGTGAAGTACATTCTTTCCCAAAAGGGGTGTGGGGCATTCGGACATTGCCAGGGTCTGGTGGGAGAATAGTAATTGATCCCCATATGCAATATAAAGTGGGTGTGAATCTTTATTGGGGGGTGCTATTTTCCCCCATCACCTAACTAGATTTGGAGGAAAGTTTTCCAAAGAAGGTTAGCACAAACTTGGTGGCCCTTGTATTTTTTTTTTTTAAATTATAGTCCTACCTGCCGCTTCCAGAGTTGCCCTTGGCTCTATTCCTTTAATGATTATGTCTGATCTGGGAGCTGGCTGTAGTGGAGGGCCCCTTCAGCTCAAGGCCATCATTAGATGGGGGATCCAGCGAGGGAGTCTTTTGGCTCCTGGGACAATCCTTACTCCAGTGGCTGAGCTTATGGCAAAGGGGGAGTTCATGTGGGGCTTTCTTCCAGTTGGGCAGTTCCTTCTTCAGTGGCCCGGTCTTTTGCACTGATGGCAGTTACCTGGGAGCGTATTTTTACGGCAGCTTGGTGGGGTCTGGAAGACTTGTAAAGTAGCCAATAGTTGAGCCTGCCTCCTCCTGTCTCTTTGTTTTTCTCTCTTCTTGACCCTGTATTCCTCACTCTGATCCCAGTTATAAAAGACCAATGAAGCTAAATTAAGGATTTCTGGCATAGAGGCACTGAGTCTTAAGGCTGACTTTTGCAATTTTCTCCTAATGTCTGGAGTGGCTTGAGTGAAGAAATGGTCCTTCAGGCCTAGTCCCTCTGGGAATTCTGTGTTTAAGTTGGTGTGCTTAATAAGGGTTTCCTGTAGCTTTTTAAGAAAGGCTATAGGATTTTCTTTTGGCCCCTAGTTTATGGTGGCTAAGCATAGGTAGGACAGAGGGATCTGGCTTATAAGCTTTACAAAGATTAGAGTCTTCCCTCAAAGCCATGAGGGTTTGTAAATAGGGGAGCTCTGACTATTTGCCCTGATGGCAGCAGAAAAAGTCCAGCTGGAGGATGGTATTAAAATTTGTACTTTTGTTCTCCAGCCAGATTTCCTCTGGTTTTATAAAGGAAAAATAGTTTTTTTTTTTCACTTTAGGGTTTGAGGGTTGAATTTATCTAAATTTTTAAGGATGCATCTCAGAAGGGGTGAATCTTGGGGTATGGAAGTCTGGTTATCCATTTTAAAGAGAAGACAAAGGAGAACTGTAGGATGAAAGAGGTGTCTCCCTGTCCATTCCTACAATGACTTATGAAGGTGAGGCATCCCTCACCAGACCAAGGAAGGCAAAATGCCCCTCACCTTGCACTTAGGGAGCTCTGGATTTGGTTGATTCTTGCTGTGTGCTCTTTTTGTCTCTGCTTTCTCTCTTTTAATCAGAAAGATTTCCCCAGTCTCATTTTGGTTAATATTTTACTGGTGACATCTTTCTTGCCTCTATTCCAGGCAAGGGGGTGGAGTAGTATCTGATACAGGAGTAATTTTGTTGCCTTTTATATTCTCAATGATCCTGGCCCTTTAAGAAACCCAATAGTTGTACCTCCGCCAAAGCTTGAAGAGAAGAGACCTCCACATAGGGTTGTTTTAGTCTATAATGACACTTAGATAAATGGTGTAGATGGTTAGAGGAGTCAGGGAAGATTTGAAACCTTCCCCTGTTTTGAGGAGGTTCCTTAGGGCTTATGCTGAAAAGATGCTTGAGAAGGCATGGTAATTCCTAGGTCCCAGGCTAAGTGGACTAGGTTCTTGACTCCAGTTTTTTATATAATTACATGAATGGCAAGGGGAGCCCAGGGACATTTTCTGTTGGTTTGTTTAATAAAAAGCAAAAAATGCTTTAGGGTTTCAGAGTTTGACAATAATGGTCTTAAGAGACAGAGGAAGAACATCCCATTGGCCCATAAGGAGCTCCAGTTGTAAAGTGAGACAGAAGGAAGAGAAGGTGGGGGCCGCAGATGGCTACCTGGAGGAGCCAGACAGCCCACTTGAGAAGCTAAAGCCTAATGTGTTTACTAAGGGTGGCCAGGCTAGAAAGGCCTGGTAATAAATGAAGGATGCTTTAAATGGTTGCAGGAGGAACCAGAGGAGCAGATCCTGCTAGGAGGCTAAGCATGAAGAAGGAATTCAAAGAAACCTTGTGGAGAACGAAGACACAGCAGGGAGTAAGCTAATTTGTGAGATTAACTGTCCATGGGGGCATGCCTCCTTTCTGTGGTTGCTAGCACCCACTCAGGGGAGAGAAGGGGGTAAAATGCAATGAAAGGAAAGTTTAACAGTGAAATTATTGGAGGATAACCATTTTATACTATTATTTATTTATTTATTTATTTTTATTTCAATGGTTTTTGGGGAACAGGTGGTGTTTGGTTGCATGGAAAAAATTGTTAGTGATAATTCCTGGTATTTTGGTGCATCCATCAGCCAAGCAGTGTACACTGCACCCAATGTGTACTATTTTATTCCTCACTCACCTCCCATCCTTCCCCGCAAAATTCCCAAAGTCCATTATGTAATTCTTAAGGCTTTGCATCCTCATAGCTTAGCTCCTACTTATAAGTGAGAATATATGATGTTTGATTTCCCAGTCCTGTGTTATTTCACTTAGAATAATGGTCTCCATCTCCATCCTGGTTGCTGCAAATGCCATTATTTTGTTCCCTTTTATGGCTGAATAGTATTCCATGGTATACATATATATATCACATTTTCTTTATCCACTCGTTGGTTGATGGGCATTGAGGCTGGTTCCATATTTTTTCATTTGCGAATTTTGTTGCTAAAAGCATGCATGTGCAAGTGTCTTTTTCATATAATGACTTTTTTCCTCTGGATAGACACCAAGTAGTGGGATTGCTGGATCAAATGGTAGTTCTACTTTCAGTTCCTTAAGGAATCTCCATGCTGTTTCCCACAGTGGTTATACTAGTTTACATTCCAACCAGCAGTGTAAAAGTGTCCCCTTTTCACCACCTCCATGCTAACATCTGTTATTTTTTGATATTTTAATTATGGCCATTCTTGCAGGAGTAAAGTGGTTTCTCATTGTGGTTTTGATTTGCATTTCCCTAATAATTAGTGATGTTGAGAATGTTTACATGTTTGTTGGCCATTTGTATATATTTTTTTGTGAATTGTTTATTCATGTCTTTTGCCCACTTTTTGATGAGATTTTTTTTTTCTTGCTGATTTGTTTGCATTCCTTGTAAATTTTGGATATTAGTTCTTTGTCAGATGTGTAGTTTGCAAATATTATTTCTCACTGTATGGGTTGTCTGTTTACTCTGCTGATTATTTCTTCTGCTGTGCAGAAGCCTTTTAGTTTAATTAGGTCCCATCTATTATCTTTGTTTTTGTTTTATTTGCTTTTGTGTTCTTGGTCATGAACTCTTTACCTAAGCCAATGTCTAGAAGAGTTTTGCCAATGTTATCTTCTAGAATTGTAATGGTTTCAGGTCTTAGATTTAAGTCTTTGATCCATCTTGTGTTGACTTTTGTATAAGGTGAGAGATGAAGATCCAGCTTCATTCTTCTACATGGGGCTTGCCAATGATCCCAGCATCATTTGTTGAATAGGGTGTCCTTTCCCCATTTTATGTGTTTGATTCCTTTGTTGAAGATCAGTTGGCTGTAAGTGTTTGGCTTTATTTCTGGGTTCTCTATTCTCTTCCATTTGTCCAGATGCCTGTTTTTATACCAGTACCATACTGTTTTGGTAACTATAATCTTGTAGTGTAGTTTGAAGTCAGGTAACGTGATGTCTCCAGACTTACTCTTTTCGCTTAGCCTTGCTTTGGCTATGTGGGCTGTCTTTTGGTTCCATATGAATTTTATGATTTTCTTTTCTAGTTCTGTGAAGAATGATGATGGCATTTTTATGGGAGTTGCATTGAATTTGTAGATTGCTTTTGGAAGTATAGTTATTTTCAAAATATTGATTCTACTTATCCATGAGCATGGGATACGTTTCCATTTGTTTGTGTTGTGGATAATTTCATTCCACAGTGGTGTTTTGTAGATTTTCCTGTAGAGATCTTTCACCTCCTTGGTTAGGTATATTCCTAAGTATTTTATTTTTTAAGAGCTGTTGTAAGAGAGATTGAGTTCTTGATTTGATTCTCAGTCTAGTTGTGGTTGGTGTGTAGCAGTGCTACTGAATTGTGTACATTGATTTTGTATCCTGAAACTCTGAATGCATTCAGCAGGTCCAGGAGCTTTTGGATGAGTCTTTAGGGTTTTCTAGGCATACAATCATATTATTGGCTAACAGTGACGGTTTGACTTCCTCTTTACTGATTTGGATGCCCTTTATTTCTTTCTCTTGTCTAATTGCTCTGGCTATGACTTTCAGTGCAATATTGAGTAGAAGTGGTGAAAGTGGGCAGCGGATTACCATTTTAGTTAAGAGATACGAAGATCCTCAGTCATTGCATGGCCTAGTCTTAATCCCCACCACCTTCACTAGCCTCCTCTCAGGGAGGCTTACAGTGGCTTAGATCTATGTGGTGTGGACCTTGAAGTCCTTCTACCTTCACTTGTCACCCCATCAGAGTCAACTGAGAAATCAGCCAGAGTTAGCATAGTCACAGTGGCTGAAGGGAATTGTACTGGAGATTTGTAAGAATGTGAAAGAGTGAGCAAAGGAAGGCCTCATTTTAAATTGGCAAGAACAGCATTAGGAGTGGGAGGTTTTTCTCAAAACTTTAGTAAAACAGCCCAGGAAGAAGCAGAGGTAGTTGACCAGGTAGTCTGAGACAACCATGGCACTTATCTTGAAGAACCATTTGCAGGTTAGGCTCTCTGAGTCACAGCACCACAATATGTTACTGGGAAGTATGTGGATCCTCAGTTCTTATCTTACTTGGGAGAAATAATTCCGCCAAGAGACAATTAGTAAAGTAAGCAAAAGTTTTATTAAGGAAATAAGAGTACACTCAAAGTGAGGAACAGGCTGACCTGGCTGGGAGCAGCCCTGAGAGTTCTGCGTTGTAGTTTTTATTATGTTGGACTTTTTCTTTAAGTTACCGCCTCTGTCTTAAGTCTCCACCTTTGTCTTTGTATGGTGTCCTGCTTCTTTCTTAAGTTTTGGCCTTGTCCTTGTCCTTGCCTTGTGGAATTGTCACTTACTCTCAGTTGATACACACGTGCAGGTCTGGTGATCAATATAGATTCTACCTAATGACAGAGTTACTCATGACCACCGTCCCTGCAAGGTCATGTAGTGGTCAAATAGGTACTTTTTGTGCCTGTGTAACTCTTAAGAATTTCCCCTTTGTCCTTTTTCCCTTGTTTTTTTTTTTTTTTTTTTTTTTTAGATGGAGTCTCGCTCTGTTGCCAAGGCTGGAGTGCAGTGGCACAATCTTAGCTCACTGCAAGCTCCGCCTCCCGGATTCAAGTGATTCTCCTGCCTTAGCCTCCCGAGTAGCTGGGATTACAGGCATGTGCCACCATGCCCAGCTAATTTTTGTATTTTTAGTAGAGGTGGTGTTTCACCATGTTGGCCAGGATGGTCTTGATCTCTTGACCTGGTGATCCGCCCGCCTCAGCCTCCCAAACTGCTGGGATTACAAGCATAAGCCACTGCGTCCGGCCCCCCTTTTTCCCTTCTTATCAGCATGAAGCTAGCTACATTCCGACAGGTTAACTGCAGAGTGAGCAATTACTGGGCATCTTAAAGGGTGTTTCGGGGCATTCCTCTCTGCATAGGTATTTACCCTCCTCTCTGCTCATATTTAGCATACATGTTTTGGGTGGTCTCTGGGGTGTGAGATTTTCCAGTGCTTCCTTCCTTTCCCACTCATGTCTAACTATCTGTCTACTCTGACAATTGTGAGGACTAAATTAAAGGTTATAATACAAATAAATTGCTTAGCATATACAAATAAATTGCTTAGCACGTGTCTAACACATAGTAAATGCCTAATAAATCCTTATTACTGTTACTGTCAAATCACTATACATTGTGATATGTTTTATGATAAAAGTAAGTACAAGATATTATGTGAACCCAGATAGAGGTACCAAACAAATCCTTGGTGGTTCAAAGAACTTATATAACTGACATATTCTAATGTTACAATTTAACAAATTTTTATTGATTGCCTACTGATGTTAGGTACTATGCTACGTTTTGATAATATAATGTGAACAAGTCATAATTTGTTCCTTCAAGTTGCTCATCGTCTGGTGGGAAAGGCAGATCATTATACAGTAGTATAATACACGCTGTGATTACCTAAGTGCAAGGTGTTCTAGGTGCATATAGGCAAAGTATATTATTCAATATTATGAGACCAAAAAAAACTTCTTAAGGGAAATATTATTGAAACTTAGATGTGAATAATGGATAGTACTAGTTTAGGAGAAGAAAAAGGGGCTCAGTATTCCAAAGAGAAGCAATGTGTACCACAGGCTTGCTATGGATTGAATGTTTATGTTTTTCCCAAATTCTTATGTTGAAATTGTATGGAATGTAATAGCAAGATATTAGTGACCTTATAAAAGAGAACCCAGAGAGCCAGCTCACCCCTTCCGCCATGTGGAGACACATCCATAAGGAGCCAAATAAGAACCAGAAAATGATTCCTCACTAGACACTGAACCTGTCAGTGCCTTGATCTTGGGTTTCCCAGGCTCCAGAATGATGAGAAATAAATTTCTGTTATTTTAAGCCACCAAGTTTATGGTAATTTGTTACAACAGCCACAGAAAACTAATACATACATGAACACTATTAATATAATAAAAGTATTTCCACATGTGCAAGAGATTAGAAAAGATCTTACTCCTGTGCCCATTCTGAAAAGTTACTTTAAGATGTGTTAGATGTTATAGACAAGAGAGAGGGAAATTAAAAATAAAAATCTCAAGAATATAAACATTGTGGTAAACAAGCACTGGAAATGCATTTTGAAATTAAATATATAGAGTTAAGGAGAAATAGTCATTGATAGCTATTAAATTGAAGACAAAGACAAAACAGTCTTGAAGTTTTATGTTTAAAAGTATTAATGGTATGACGTATTAGTCAAGGTTCTTCAGAGAGACAGAACCAATAAGATATATACAGATATATGAGAAGTAATTTAGTAGAAGGATTGACTCATGAGATCATGAAGGATGACTAGTCCCACAACAGGGTGTCCACAAGCTGGAGACTTTCAGATGCTGCTACTGTGGCTTTGCCAAAGTTCAAAGCCTGAGACCCTGGGGCAGGTGAGGTGGGGGTTGGGGGCTTGAGGTTGCACTTTCCTGGAGTCTAAAGGCCAGAGAGCTTAGAGTTCTGATGTGCAAGGGCAGAAGAAGAGTGTGTCCCAGCTCTGAGAAACAAAGAAGCCAATTTGCTTTTTCTCTGTTTTTGCTCCATCTGGACTCCATGTCAATTGGATGGTGCCCACCCGCATTGAGGGTAGCTCTTCCCCACTTAGTCCACTTAGACTCACAGGTAAATCTCCTCTGGAAACGCTCTTATAAACACATCCCAAAATAATGTTTTACCACTTCTCAAGGTGTAATCCAGTCAAGTTGAATCTAAAATTTGCCATCACATAGGATAACGCCAAAATTATTAGTCTGTATACCCAGATTATATTAAGTGACAGAAAATCAATTTGGGATGAGGCAGGAAGTGAAAGTACTTTCTAAACTATAAAATATTAGACAAGAAATATCATGGAAGGAGGTGCTAAACCAATTGGTATTTTGGACTTTTAATGAAGAGACATCATTGACAGCTGGTGAGAGAAAAAATGGTTAGATGTCAAAACTCTGACCTGATAGATGTTTAGAAACACTTCTAGATAGTGTGAGAAATACAGCATCCTCTCTTTCCCATTGGATATTCACATTTGAAATATCATTCAAAGTTTTGAGACGCTCTGCAGTAATTTTTTTTTAAAACCAATGTCTTCCAAGCTCATTTGTAAAAGGATCCCCTTTATTAAGCCGTACTATGTACCTCTCTGAACATCAATTTTGCAAGTCCCATATTAAAAGCATCTATACCAACCAAGATGAATGGCAATCCTTCCTCCCAACCTTATTAGTAAAGGGGATTAGAAGAAGGAGCAGCTAAGTCTATTAGTTTGCTTTCTTTCAACCTAACTCCTTTGTCAAAAAGTGAACTATCTCTACAGATTTTTTTAACCATTCCCTCATCTGAGGTCAACAATGCCATTGCTAGTAAAACCTGCTCTGTCACATGGCCTGATCCTGCAACATTCAACATGCAGAATCTCTTGAATGCTTTCCAGTTAGGGAATAGAAATGATCGGGGAAGAGACCACTCCCTTTTTGGCTGCTATTTTACAGAGAAGTTTCTGTTTTTCAAACAGCTGACTAGTAAGAAATAGGGGCAGTGGCTAGATTTTCCAGAAAATTTTCCTCTGTCACAAAGATAAACTTATTATTAAAAATGCTTTAAGGCCGGGTGTGGTGGCTCACGCCTGTAAGATCAGCACTTTGAGAGGCCGAGCAGGGCAGATCACCTGAGGTCAGGAGTTCAAAACCAGCCTGGCCAACAAGGCAAAACCCCATCTCTACTAAAAATACAAAAATTAGCCTGGCACGGTGGTGGGTGCCTGTAATCCAAGCTACTTGGGAGGCTGAGGCAGGAGAATTGCTTGAACCCGGGAGGCGGAGGTTGCAGTGAGCCGAGATTGCATCATTGCACTCCAGCCTGGACGACAGAGAGAGACTCCGTCTCAAAAAAAACCAACCAACCAACCAAATAAAAACTTTAAAATTCAGAAGCTTGTATATGTATAATTTTATACATTTGTACCTTTTAGACTTTCTCATTTAAAAATGCACAAATGATAGAATTTCTTTTCTCTTTTCCTCCAAGTAAATGACAAAGTATAGAAGACTAGACTAAAATTAGGAGTTTGAGGTTCTAATTTTAGTTCTGACACTTATTAAATATTTGCTGTTATGCAAGTAGATTAGTATAGTCACCTAAATTATGCCAAAGTCCTTTGATGCATTAAGGTCAACCTGTCCTTTAAGATTTACATAAATTGCCTCATATTCCCAACCACGTGTGGTGGGGAACCCAGGGTTTTCCCCAAGATCTCTAATGATTCTTTGACAGAATCATTAGAGATCTTGGGGAAATGACATTTTCCCTAGTCTCTTCTATATTTGATTTCCTAATACTGCCAATTTGTTGATCCACATTATGCTTCCACATATTTCAAACATGCAGTTGCTGTATAAGTATGCTACACTGGACCTACTCTAACATTCTCTCAGTAGAACACTAACCCAAAACTTGGTTATAAAAGCCTTTTATTGAAAGTTTTTGGGCATTAGGAGCATGACAAAATACAGGATAGCAAAGTATACTTAAAATATCAAGCATTCTTTGGCCATTCTGGTCACTAGAATCCCAATTAGTAATGGTGTCGAATTCTTTTTATGTATTACTGGATTCATCTTGCCAAGTTGAGCACTTTTGCATCCATATTCATAAGAGATATTGGTCTCTTCTATTGCAGTATCTTTGGTTTGGTATCAGAGCAATATTGTCTTCACAGAGTGAATTGGGAAGTGTTCCTTCCTCTTTGATTTTTTTTTGGAAAATTTGTGAAAATTGCCTTTTTTTTTTTTAAATGGAATTTATCAGTAAAGCCATGTGCACATGGACTTTTCTTTGTGGGTAGTTCTTTTTGTTTATTACTATTTCAATTTATTTTCTTGTTACAGATCTATTAATAATGTTTATATCTTCTTAAGTCAGTTTTAGTAGTTTATGTCTTTCGAGGAATTTGTTCATTTAATCTAGTTCTCTAATTAGTTGGCATACAGTTGTTCATGTATTCCTTTAAAATGCTTCTCATCTCTGTAGGGCCAGTAGTAATGTTCTCACTTTTATTTCTCATTCTAGTAATTTGAATCTTCTCCTTTTTTTTTTTTGTCAATCTGGCTAAAGGTTTGTCAATTTTTTTTAATCTTTTCCAACAATCAACTTTTTGTCTCATTGGTTTTTCTTTTTTTTCCCCCTCCATTTTCTATTTCATTACTTTCTGCTCTTACCTTTATAATTTCCTTCCTTCTGTTTTCTTTAGGTTTAGTTTGCTTTTGTTTGTCCAGTGCCCCAAGGTAGAAAGTTAGGCTGTTAATTTGAAATCTTTCTCCTTTCATAATACAGAAATTAAGTACAGGTTTCTCACTAAGCACTACTTTAGGTGCATCGTATAATTTTTTATGTTTTGTCTTCATTTTTATTCATCTTAAAGTATGTTCTCATTCTCCCTCTGATTTCTTCTTTGACCCCATTGATTATTTAGGAGTGTGTTGTTTAATTTTACGTTTGTGAATTTTATAATTATTTTCTGTTATGAATTTCTAATTTTATTCCATTATAGTCAAAGAACATGCTTTGTATTATTCCTTTTAATTTTATTGAAGTTTGTTTTATAGGCTAACATATGGTCTATCCTGGAGAAAGTTCTGTGTGAACTTGATAAGACTGTATATTCTGTTGTTTTTGGTTGGAGTAATCTAGACATGTATGGTTAAATCCGGTTGATTTTATAGTGTCATTTAATTCTTCTGTTTTCCTATTTTTGATCTTCTGTCTAGTTGTCCAATCTATTATTAAAAGTAGAGTATTGAAGTCTACCCTATTATTTTTGAACTGTCTATCCCTTAATTTCTATAACATTTTGCTTCATGTATTTTGGTATTCTATTAGGTGCATATATGTTTATAATTATCATATATTCCTGACAGATTGGCTTAAATGTTATATCTTTTTCTATGTTTTTTACTTTCAATCTAGTTGTATCTTTGACTCTAAAGTTTGTCTCCTATGGACAATATATAGTTGAATTATGTTTTAAAAAATCCAGTCTAATAATCTTTGCATTTGATTGAATTATTGAATACATTAACATTAATTGTTATCATTGATATATTTATGTTTGCCATTTTACTTTTGTTTTATATATGTCTCATGTCTTTTTTGTTCCTTTATTCCTTTTTTGCTTCTTTCTTTTGCACTAAGTGAATAATTTCTAATGTCTTATTTTAGTTACTTTAATAAATTTTTTACTACATTTTTGTGGTTGCTCTAGGGTTTACCATGTACATCCCTCTTGCATGGGAAAGCTGTTATACAACCAGAAAACATGAATTGAAAATGATAATTGAATGAAAACCCTCTATAAAAGTTTAAATGGCCATGAGGTAGCCAAATATACCCAAAGCTTTGATTATCTTCTCAGAAATACGGGTTTAACAAACAAAACATTGGTCATAAACTATTTCAGTAATTTAGAAATCACCACACCAATGTATATAATATTTAATTTGGATCATTTATCTTTTCCATGATGAGTCATGAAATACAGAACTTTTAATAACAAAAGCATTAATGACTCAAGAAGGACAAGGCAGCTGTCCTGGTTCTCCATGAGTGCATGCGTAGCATTGGACTTATGTCCTCTTGAATACCAGTTGTTTCTCCAATTTAGGTACTTAGCACTGATAACTGATGGGTTATCATAGACCATTTGACTTAGACCATGGAGTTCATTCAAATTGTATATCTAAACAATTTCAGTATTGGCTGATTTAGCATGAAAATCTGGCAAAGTATTTTCTTGGTATTCAATTAATTTTTGTTCTGCTTGGGTTAGCAGTTTTATAAACCAGTCAGTGTTTTCATTAAAGTTCCAGGAATTCTTACCCAGTCCAAATGATATGATTCTAACATTACCAGAAACCTGTATTCAAGAGTGCTTTTCAGGGTCTCTTTCATCCTTTCAGGAACCCTTAAAAGACATTATCTTCTAGAATTTTGCATGCTTCTGAAGTTTTCAGGAATTGCATCAGCATTAAGCAATTAACTGTGGAAATGGCTTTAAATAGTCATAGTTAAAGACACAATTGACAAGGAAATTTGGTTATTTCTGTGGTCTACAATAACTTAACATAATAATCATAATTATGATTGATAGCATATACTCAGACATTAGAATTTTAGAAATCCTATACAATTTTGGAACATGTATTAATATCATTCACTAAAATATAACCTGAAGAAGGTTAAACATTAACAATTATATTTTATTTTGACAATGCTCCCATGCAACTCAACATGTCAAATTATCCTGTTTACCTCTGTTTTGGATGCTTCAGGGGCCTTCTGTAGCATCCCAAAGTCAGAGGTCAGAAAAGACAATTTTGAAGCTGAAATTTAATTTGGGGAAGGCTGTCAAATATGTTAACATTTTAAAACACTTGATATTATAAAATAGAATTCCAGGTCACCATAAGTCATTCATTTAGCCAAAATGATGACTCAAAAATTTTAAAAGGGCAAATACCTTTATTCATTGATAAAGGGATGACTTAGCTTTCCAAACACTCTGTCTCTTGTCTTCCCTTTCTTTTTCATGTAGTTTATTCAAAAGGCAAACAAAAATCTTTCATTATCCTTTAATATTACATGAAAATCTTGTGCAAGACAGAAAGCCAAATTTCACTCTTGCATTAGTGTACTATTAATGTCAACCTCACTTTTTAATAAAACCTGATAGACAAATCTATCCAACTTAATCAGTTTGACCATAAGGTGAGATTCTCATAAACCTTTCATAACCCTTTGCAAATTTTTGTTAAAGAGCAAATCAGTGCTCTAAGAAAATCCTGTTGTGCTTTTATTTCAATGTTCCATTTACAGAAAAAACAAACAAATATATAATACACCTTTAAATTTAGCTAATATGTTCACAAACATGATTTTTTACAAGTTTTTTTTTTACATATCTTCCACAACTTGCTCAAACCTTCAGCTTCATGCTATCTAATTTTAAACAATACTTTAATCCTCTAAACTAGGCAAAAATTTTTATTCCCATGCCTTTTTATAATCTTTTACTAAATGCACATTTCACTTTCCTCACACACCTTGCATGTAGAACTCTTTTATCAGTAGTTTCAATTACATGTTACAATGTTAACTCTGAGCAATTTTTATTTTTGGTGAAAAACCTGGTAAGTAAATGATTTTAATTATGTACTAGGTATGGAGCCTAGGGCACCAGACATAAGTGCAGATATAGTTTGACTCTTTCCAGGATAGCTAGAGGGCTTGGCTAACTCCACATGTCCCAAGGCCTTACCTAGAATCTAATGGCTTCAAAGCAGGTAAGTTGAAAATTTTTCAGTCAAAGAAGCAGATTACAGCATTAAGCAAACCTAATATTTGACCTGCCTAAATTAGACCAAATGTCTTTATTTTACTAATAATTTTTAAAACTTTTTGTTTCCAAAGCTTACTACAGTCACATGAACTAAAAGGCATTACAATTTTTATTTTTTCAGACAAAATATTTGATATAAGCACTTATTATCTTTAAACCCATTAATCAGAGCTCTTTTATATAAACATCATGAACACAACACATATAAATACATAGACAAACAGAAGATCCAGTAGTTGTAAAATTTTTTATTTGCCAGTTTTTAAATGTTTCTTAATTGTATTACTGGCTTTAGTGTGGAGCCCTTCAAGGAACAGGGGCAGAAAAGCATGCAGTTTCTAGGGCCCAATAAGCAGCCACAGCTGGAAGGCAAAAACAGATCCCCAAAATTAAGGGTCCCATTTTTATATCACATCCTGGATCCCCCAAAAGAGGGAAATTCTATGGAAGAAGACAGTGCAATGCTTTCACCATGTATTTCATCGCAAAGCACCCCAGTGTCTCAGTTTATTCTGTGATAAGCCCATCCCTCAAGGGAGTCTTATCTCTCAGTGGGGGTGGGGGAATTTCCATACGTTCTAGGTGGCCAAGAGCATGCTTCTATGATCCAAACATGCAAAGAGCTGAGTACTCCCCATGACTGACATTATTGCCCCATAATGCCATTAGCTATCCCTAAAGGTATATTTCTTACCTAGTTATTACACACCAAAGTTCTCTCATAATGTGAAGTAATTTCTGATATACCCCCAAAAGTAAAAAATGTCAGATAACCCAATTCAAAGCAGAACAGAGCCTTAGATTTTGAGAGGGATCTATCCACTTTCAATTCCTGGGGTTCCATGAGAGGAGTTTTTTTCCCCCAAAATAGCATGTGTGACTATTTTTGCCCAAGGAGTCCCAGGATGTTAGAACTTGAATACGATTTTCCCAAGAAGTCCCAGGATGTTAGAACTTGAATATCACTTTTAATTAAGCTGACTTTTAACCATAGCACTTTTAAATAAAAATCCTTTTAAATCTCATATTACCCGAGTTTAGCCAAGCCAAACAGCCAATATTTCTGGCTTTTGAACTTTAACAAAGGTAACCTCCCAGGTTCTTTGCTAAAGGAAAATTCAAGAAGGGAAGCCAGAAATTGTACATGGAGAAGAGAATCAACAAATGGTAAAGGTCACACAGATGTCAACTAGAGAGTACTCATCCCCCAGGCCAGGATTGAACCTGGGTTGCCATTGTGGAATGACAAAGCCAAGCTTTGGCAGTAGCCAAGCTTTGGCAGCTAAGCTACAGTACTGAGCACTTTCCATTGCTCTTCCCAGAAGGAATCTAGAGCAGCCAATTTTGAGCTTGCAAAGCCTTTTACCTGCTGAAGATAATTTTTAAAGCTAACTATGACATGAACCTCAAAATTCCTGTTCTCTTGATGGCAGAGACCAAGAGAAAGTACTGCTACATGGTTACAAGGTCAAGTTCCCAAGGACATAACAAAAGACAAGATGAAAACCTCATCCCATTTTGTTTGTTTGTTACTGATCAGCTTGCTGGGTCATCTTGAACAGCAAGCTTATGGGGGCCTAGGCCTACATTCTATCTTATGGTACATTTTTTATGACAGAACAATGCAGAAAGACAAATTCACAGGACAAATTACACCAGATTTGCTACAGTTTAATATTAGCCTCACGAATCCTTTTTCTCATTAATTAAAACTTTGGAAGAGATAGTAATTTTTGCAGTTCTTACAACTGGCTTGCACAGAGAGAGAGGAAAGGGAAAGGAGAAACGCATTGCCTGCAACAGGGTGCGGAAGGCAAGGAGTTCAGAAAGGCCAAAGAAAGACCCACCGATTGCAACAACACTGAATCAATAGTTGAGGCAGCCCCTTGTCAGTCACAACAATTCATCTTTTCCAGCAGTCCCATCAGCTCTCAAGTTTCCCTCGTAGGGAGAAAAAGGTTTCCCATGTCCAGTGATCTAGTACCTGCCTAACCCTGTTACCCATACCCATCAGCAAAGAGTGCAAGGTAGATTATTCCAAAGAGAATAGCAGTTAACTTCCTATAGTGCCATATCCATTTTTAAGCAAGAGGGACTTTACTGAGGAGAGGGCCTCTAGCTCAATTCCATCCTTTACACAGGTAAAATGTACCCCACAACTTACTCAAAGTTGGCCAATTGGTGCTACTGTCTATTACCTTTGGATCAGGATCATAACTAAGCCAAAGCTCAGCAGATTTAATTATTTTAATCAATTAGTCACTTAAAGTTTTTATTTGCCTTTCATAAAGTCTTTAAATAAAAATATTGAATTTTTTAGAAGCTTTGCATATTAATAGGCATCCCTAGATGAGACTAATTTGGGAGCCCTCATTTTTAAATGCTCTTCAGTGCAGTGTTGTTCATTTTGAATATTCCACTGTAAGTTATCTTGAGTAAGATTTCACCATTTCTTTAAGACTTTGCTGCTTCCAGGGTCCAACACTTATGCGTGTATAAGCTGGAAGAAATTTAGTTCTTCAGAAATTAAAAATACTATTTTTATTTCAAATATTGACTTTGCTGTCAGGTCCTCTTGATCACCTTAGCCAATGATTTTTTCCTACCTAAGCACACAAGAAAAATGAAACAAAGTGGTAGAACACAAAAATCCCTGCAAATTTTCAATAGCAAAATTTTATACCCGCTGCAATATGGTCATTTACTATCCATTTGTTTCAGATGCAGTCAGATGTAAGAGACCTCTTACTTAATCCAAGACAGTTAATTACCAGATACAATCCAATCCTGAACCCAGTCCAGTTTCTGTTGTTCACTTCCAAACCCAGTTTGGATCACTAATTCGCTCAAAGAAACTTGGAGAGTTCAGAAAAGAAATCTATGGAGCTTCAGAATCTGAGAGAGAAGTTACCATGATCCCCAGCTGCTTCAAGAGATCAATGGACACAATGGGTCTGGTGGTTTCTCAGTCAGTCATTCAGAGCTCCTGGGGGTCACTAGAAGCTATACTTTGGATCCCACTTCTGACACCAACTGATAAAAGAAAAACTTCAGCCAAATTAAATTTAAAATAGTTTAGTTGAGCAATGAGTGATTCATCAATCCGGCAGCCTCCTGGAGCTCTGTGACTCCAGCACAGCCACATGTTGGAATATTTATGGACAGAAAAAGGAAAGTGACATAAAGAAAATAGAAGCAAGATACAGAAACAGCTGGATTGGTTGCAGGTTGGCGTTTGCCTTATTTGAACACAGTTTGAACAGTTGGCTACATTTGATTGGCTAAAACTCAGTGAATGGCACAGCGTAGGGTACAGTCTGTTTATACTTTCACTTGTTATAGTTCACGATGCATAGCAAAACCTTTAGGCTGAACTTAAAATAGGTAAGGAGGCAGCTTTAAGCTAAAGTTGATTTAGCATATCTTTACACTAAGGGAAAACCGGACAAAGATTTTCTTGCTTACATCACAGAATTGAGGTCACAGGGCAAATCACAACTTCCAAATATGGAGAGACAGGTGAATTTAGAGAGTCAGAGCCAACATCTGTTTACCTAGAACAAAAGCCATTGGAGCCATAAACTGGTAGAATCACTTAAATGTTAATTCTTATGATTAGCTAGAAGCTGATTATGCACTAGTATAAGAGTGATAAATTTCTTGAACATTTTTGGGTTTGACTTCCAGGAACCCCACCAGGTTCTCATGGTAAATAAGTGAGAAATAATACCTTTTGGCTCCGGCAGTGGGAGGGAAAAAGTTTTTCTTTTGAGATATACCCAGACCTTCTCCATAACAGAGGATTGGGCCTCCAGGAGAAATGGTTTGATCAGAATGTTATCTAAGAGCCATAAAGAAAATGTATACTTCTTTTTTTTTAAATTATTATTATTATACTTTAAGTTTTAGGGTACATGTGCACAATGTGCAGGTTAGTTACATATGTATACATGTGCCATGCTGGTGCGCTGCACCCACTAACTCGTCATCTAGCATTAGGTATATCTCCTAAAGCTATCCCTCCCCCCTCCCCCCACCCCACAACAGTCCCCAGAGTGTGATATTCCCCTTCCTGTGTCCATGTGTTCTCATTGTTCAATTCCCACCTATGAGTGAGAACATGCAGTGTTTGGTTTTTTGTTCTTGCGATAGTTTACTGAGAATGATGATTTCCAGTTTCATCCATGTCCCCAGAAAGGACATGAACTCATCATTTTTTACGGCTGCATAGTATTCCATGGTGTATATGTGCCACATTTTCTTAATCCAGTCTATCATTGTTGGACATTTGGGTTGGTTCCAAGTCTTTGCTATTGTGAATAATGCCGCAATAAACATACGTGTGCATGTGTCTTTACAGCAGCATGATTTCTAGTCCTTTGGATATATACCCAGTAATGGGATGGCTGGGTCAAATGGTATTTCTAGTTCTAGATCCCCGAGGAATCGCCAAACTGACTTCCACAATGGTTGAACTAGTTTACAGTCCCACTAACAGTGTAAAAGTGTTCCTATTTCTCCACATCCTCTCCAGCACCTGTTGTTTCCCAACTTTTTAATGATTGCCATTCTAACTGGTGTGAGATGGTATCTCATTGTGGTTTTGATTTACATTGCTCTGATGGCCAGTGATGGTGAGCATTTTTTCATGTGTTTTTTGGCTGCATAAATGTCTTCTTTTGAGAAGTGTCTGTTCATGTCCTTTGCCCACTTTTTGATGGGGTTGTTTGTTTTTTTCTTGTAAATTTGTTTGTGTTCATTGTAGATTCTGGATATTAGCCCTTTGTCAGATGAGCAGGTCGTGAAAATTTTCTCCCATTTTGTAGGTTGCCTGTTCACTCTGATGGTAGTTTCTTTTGCTGTGCAGAAGCTCTTTAGTTTAATTAGATCCCGTTTGTCAATTTTGGCTTTTGTTGCCATTGCTTTTGGTGTTTTAGACATGAAGTCCTTGCCCATGCCTATGTCCTGAATGGTAATGCTTAGGTTTTCTTGTAGGGTTTTTATGGTTTTAGGTCTAACATGTAAGTCTTTAATCCATCTTGAATTGATTTTTGTATAAGGTGTAAGGAAGGGATCCAGTTTCAGCTTTCTCCTTATGGCTAGGCAGTTTTCCCAGCACCATCTATTAAATAGGGAATCCTTTCCCCATTGCTTGTTTTTCTCAGGTTTATCAAAGATCAGATAGTTGTAGATATGCGGCGTTATTTCTGAGGGCTCTGTTCTGTTCCATTGATCTATATCTCTGTTTTGGTACCAGTACCATGCTGTTTTGGTTACTGTAGCCTTGTAGTATAGTTTGAAGTCAGGTAGCGTGATGCCTCCAGCTTTGTTCTTTTGGCTTAGGATTGACTTGGCGATGCGGGCTCTTTTTTGGTTCCATATGAACTTTAAAGTAGTTTTTTCCAATTCTGTGAAGAAAGCCATTGGTAGCTTGATGGGGATGGCATTGAATCTATAAATTACCTTGGGCAGTATGGTCATTTTCACGATATTGATTCTTCCTACCCATGAGCATGGAATGTTCTTCCATTTGTTTGTATCCTCTTTTATTTCATTGAGCAGTGGTTTGTAGTTCTCCTTGAAAGAAAATATATACTACTTATCACAGTCTCCTCAGTTCTTCCTATCTTACCTACTCAGAAGGAAATAAAAAAAGCTGTAGAAGAAACAGTTGTGAAGGTCAAAGCCAGAGACACAGGACCACTAAAAGACTTAAAATTTAATTAAAAGAAAATAGAATGCTTTCCATCTCCCACCCCTACTCATCTCTGCAACAGGTCTCCGATATCTTAGCGGATTATATCTGAAAGAGCTGGAAGACACAGACTCTTTCTGAGGAGGAATAATTTTAAAAAATTCAATATCAAGAGATGTCTCAGTCCATTTTAATGCTGCTGATAAAGACATGCTCAAGACTGGGAAGAAAGAGAGGTTTAATTGGACTTACAGTTCCACATGCTGGGGAGGCCTCAGAATCATGATGGGAGGCAAAAGGCACTTCTTACATGGCAGCAGCAAGAGAAAATGGAAAAGAAACAAAAGAAGAAACCCCTGAAAAACCCATTAGGTCTTGTGAGACTTATTCACTACCACGGGAATAGCACAGGAAAGACCAGCCCCCATGATTCAATTACCTCCCCTGGGTCCCTTCCACAACAAGTAGTAATTCTGGGAGATACAACTCAAGTTGATATTTGGGTGGGGACACAGCCAAACCATATTATTCCACCCTGGTCCCCCAAATCTCATGTGCTGACATTTCAAAACAATTATGCCTTCCCAACAGTCCCCCAAAGTCTTAAATCATTTCGACATTAACCCAGAAGTACACAGTTCAAAGTTTCATCTGAGACAAGGCAAGTCCCTTCCACCTGTGAGCCTGTAAAATCAAAAGCAAGCTAGTTACTTCCTAGATACAATGGGGGTACAGGTGTTGGGTAAATACAGCTGTTCCAAATGGGAGAAATTGGCCAAAACAAAAGGGTTACAGGGCCCATGCAAGTCCAAAATTCAGTGTGGCAGTCAAATTTTAAAGCTTCAAAATGATCTCCTTTGACTCCTGATCTCACATTCAGGTCACACTGATGCAAAAGGTGGGTTCCATGGTCTTGGGCAGTTCCGCGCCTGTAGCTTTGCAGGGTACAGCCTCCCTCACAGCTGCTTTCATGGGCTGGTGCTGAGTGTCTGCAGCTTTTCCAGGTGCTCAGTGCAAGCCATTGATGGATCTACCATTCTGGGGTCTGGAGGACAGTGGCCCTCTTCTCACAGCTCCACTAGGCAGTGCCCCAGTAGGGACTCTTTGTGGGGGCTCCCAACACATTTTGCTTCTGCACTGCCCTAGCAGAGGTTCTCCATGAGGGCCCTGCCCCTGTGGCAAACTTTTGCCTGGGCACCCGGCCATTTCTATACGTCTTCTGAAATCTAGGCGAAGGTTCCCAAACCTCAATACTTGACTTCTGTGCACCTGCAGGCTCAACTCCACGTGGAATCTGCCAAGGCTTGGGCTTTCACCCTCTGAAACCACAGCCCAAGCTGTATGTTGGCCCCTTTAAGCCATGGCTGGAGCAGCTGGAAAAAAGGGCAGAGGGACCCTGGGTCTGGCCCATGAAACCACTTTTTTCTCCTGGTCCTCTGGGCCTCTGATCAGAGGGGCTGCCATAAAGGTCTCTTACATAGCCTTCAGACATTTTACCCATGATCTTGGGAATGAACATTGGGCTCCTTGCTCCTTATGCAAATTTCTACAGCCGGCTGGAATTTCTCTCCAGAAAATGGGTTTTTATTTTCTATCACATAGTAGGCTGCAAATTTTCCAAACTTTTATGTTCTGCTTCCCTTAAACTGAATGCCTTTAACAACACCCAAGTCACCTCTTGAGTTTCTAAGCTTTGCTGCTTGTAAATTTTTTCTGCCACATACCCTAAATCATCTCTCTCAAGTTCAACATTCCACAAATCTCTAGGGCAGGGGCAAAGTGCTGCCAGTGTCTTTGCTAAAACATTACAAGAGTCACCTTTGCTCCAGTTCCCAACAAGTTCCTCATCTTCATCTGAGACACCCTCAGCCTGGATTTTATTGTCCATATCGCTATTAGCATTTTGGGCAAAGCCATTCAGCAAGTCTCTAGGAAGTTCCACACTTTCCCACATTTTTCTGTCTTCTTCTGAGCCCTTCAAACTGTTCCAATCTCTGCCTGTTACCCAGCTCCAAAGTCACTTCCACATTTTCAGGTATCTTTTCACCAACACCCCACTCTACTGGTACCAGGTTACAGTATTAGTCCTTTTTTCATGCTGCTGATAAAGACATGCCTGAGACTGGGAGAAAAAGAGGTTTAATTGGACTTACAGTTCCACATGGCTGGGGAGACCTCAGTATCATGGCAGGAGGTGAAAGGCACTTTCATGGTGGTGGCAAGAGAAAATGAGGAAGAAGGAAAGTAGAAACTCCTGATAAACTCATCAGATCTCATTAGACCTATTCACTATCATGAGACTAGCATGGGAAAGATTGGCCCCCAAGATTCGATTACCTCCTCCTGGGTTTCTCTCACAAAACTTGGGAATTCTGTGAGATGCAATTTAATTTGAGATTTGGGTGGGGACACAGCCAAACTATTTCAAGAGGGAAGACAAAAGTAAGGATGCTAGAGGAATTTGAAGCCTCTGCAACCTACAGCTACAACAAATATTTAAGAAAGGCTGATTTCTAGCCATATTAACATGTATTCTCACACTAGATGCCTATTTATTTTACTTTCTATTATCTAATACAATATGTCTGGCTTTGAACAAAAAGTTATTAGGCACATTGAAAGATGAGAAAAAAAACCACAGGCTGAAGGGACAAAGCAAGCATTAGAACAAGATCCAGTTATGACACAGATGTTGGAAATACCAGATAAAATTTAAAATGGCTATGATCAATAAGTTAAGTCCTTTAATGAAAAAACAGACAATATGTAAGAACAGATAGGTAATGTAAGCAGAGACATAGAAATTCTAACAAAAATAAATAAAAAGGAAATTCTGAAAAATTAAATACCATAGAAATAAATAATATTTTTGATGCACTTATTAGTATTGGAGGGAACAAACATCCAAACCATATCACCATCTGACAAGTGATTAATAACCAGAATATATAAGAAGCTCAACCAACTCAGTAGCAAAACAAAACAAAACAAAAAACACAATCTGATTAAAAATTGGGCAAAATATGTAAGTAGAAATTTTTCAAAAAAATGACATTCAAATGGCCAACAGGTATATTAAAAAATGGTCAACATCACTAATAATCAGAGAGATGCAAATCATACAATAACTTTTATTCAAAAATTTGAGATAACGAATGCCGGCAAGGATGTCGACAAAGGGAAGCCCTCATACACGGTTGGTGGGAATGTAAATTAATTCAGATGCTATGGAAAACTGTATGCAGGTTCCTCAAAAACTAAAAGTGGAACTACCGTATGATCCAGCAATTCCATTACTGAGCATATATCCAAAAAGAGGAAATTAATGTATTGAAGAGATATATATCTACACTCTTGTGTTTATTGCAGTGCTGTTCACTGTATCTACAATATGGAATCAACATAAATGTCAATCGATGGATGAATGGATATAAAAAACTTGGTATATATGCGCAATGGAGTATTCAGCTCTTGAAAGAATGAAATCCTGCCATTTGCAGCAACTGGAATGAAACTGGAGGTCATTAAGTTAAGTGAAGTAACTCAAGCACAGAAAGACAAATATTGCATGTTCTCACTCATATATGGGAGCCACAAAAGTAGATCTCATGAAAATAGAGGGCAGATTGCTGGTTACCAGAGTCTGGGAAGGTCTCAGGGGTGATGAACAGAGGTTGATTAATAGGTACAAAAATACAGTTTGATAGAAGATATAAGACCTAGTGTTTGATATATGAGTAGGATTACTATAGTTTACAATTATCTATTGTATATTTCAAAATAATTAGAGAAAAGATAATTTGAATGTAGCATGAACAAAATACAAATATTTAAGTCATTGCATATCCCAGTTATACTGATCTTACAGATTATATGAATGTATTAAATAATTACATATACCCCCAAAATGTGTGTATCTATTATGCATCAATAAAAAATAAAACTATAAAAAACAGTGATAATTCGCATTGATAGTATGCGCCTCTGTTATGATATGATGGTCATAGTAATTTACCTCTGTAGTTTTCCTACCAAAAACACATAACCCCATTCTAATAAAAAAAGTAGATGAATCCCAATTGATGAATATTGTCCAAAATACCCGACTGTTCCTCAAAACTGTCAGGGTCCTCGAAAACAAGGAAAATCTGAGACACTATTGCAGCCAAGAGGAGCTTAATGTGACACGATAACTAAATGTAATGTGATATCTTGGATGGGATCCTTGAACAGAAAAAGGGCATTAGATAAAAACCAAGGGAATCTGAATAAAGGTTGGGTTTTGGTTAATAAATGTGTTCAATTGATTAATTAATTGTAACAAATGTACCATTCTAATGTAAGATGATAGTAATAGGAGAATCTGGGTGTGGAAGATATAGTAGCTCTCTGAACAAACCTTGCCATAATTCTCTAAATCTACAACTATTACAAAATAAAGTTTATTTTTTAAAAAAAATCTGTCCCCAGGAACTAAGAAAAGAATCTCTATGGATATAAGAACAGACACTTTTAGAAACTCAGAATGACAACAATCTTGTCACTAAATGCATTTTACATTGGTTTGCCATAGATTTGAAGAAGTCTGGAGTAATGCCTTAGGACAAGTAATAGCAATCACAGATGTTCATAAAGTTGTTGATATTTCCCCAATTCACTAACCACTATTGGCAGGTGCCAATGTAATCTGGCAGTTGCCAACACCAGAAGGTGCCATATCCCATGAGTAAAAATAATAAGTTCTTATTCTCTAACAAATAAAACTAGATCATCTTCATTAAATGAGTTGGTAATTTTCTTATTTTCTTTATATTAGGAGCAATAGATTTTATCATGTGGAAAGTGATTTTTAGGCTGCCTTTCTTTATCTGGAACCTCAGTCAACAGTGCAAGGCTTTGTGGAACAGGAAATGAGAGTAGACATTTATTTTTATATATAAATCATTTATATAACCATTTTTTGTTTTATGTAGGGTTCTTTGAGGGACCTTTGTCAGGTTTGTGTGGCTAAGAGGATAATGAATCCCTTTTTCCCTTATGTGTATACTTTGCTACAGAAAGAGGACGTGGTATAAGAGATAAAAGTTCAAGGACAAATAATGATTTGAGGAAATTCTTATAGTTAAGCTTCAACTTGCCTGCCTTTTCTTTTTAAAAAGAAAACTTCTAGGGAAGGGCTAATACTGATAATATTTGTTTGTATTGTCCTTTTCCTTTCATAGAATTAAAAGTAATCTTTCACAGGCTGTAAAATTGTGCAGCTTTCAGTATAATAAAATCATTGTCTTCCAGAGAGCCTTTGATGTTCTCTTATTTGTATTTCCAGGATCTAAGTGTGTTACTTTTATAGTACATGGCAGCTTTTTATTAAATATTATTATATGCTAAAAGTAAATATAGCATTATTACTCTTGCTATGGTGTGAATGGATCCCCCAAAAGTTCATGTGTTGGAAACTGGATTGCCAATGTAGCACTATTAGGAGCGTGAGTATTTGGGAGATGATTGAGTCATGAGAGTGAAGCCCTCATGAATACATTAACACCATCACGAAGGCAGTGAATTAATTCTCACAAGAGGGGGTTGTTATGAAAGCAAGCTCAGCTCCCTCTTGCGGTCTCTTTCACATGCCCTCACTTGCCCCTCTGTTTTTCCGTTATGTTATGCAATTTAAAAGCCCTCATGAAAAGCTGCTGCCATTCACATAGAAGTTCCAGCCTCCAGAAAACCATAAGCCAAGAAAACTTCTATTGCTTCTAATTTACCCAGTCTGGGATATCCTGTTATAATAATGGATAATGGACTAAGACAATTCTACATTTTTTTAATTTTTATTTTTAGAGTGAGAAATGTATTTAATAGCTATTCAATTAATTTATTTTTTAAACTTTTAAAAAAATATATATTTAGGTGATTCAAGTACAGGTTTCTTACATGCATGTATTGCATAGTGGTGAAGTCTGGGTCTGAAGTGTACCCATCCCTTGAATAGTAAACATTGTACCCAATGGGTAATTTTTCAGTCTTCACCCTCCTCCTACCCTCCCATCTTTTGTACTTTCCAATGTCTATTCCACTCTGTATAGCCACGTGTACTTATTGTTTAGCTCCCACTTATAAATGAGAACATGCAGTCTTAGGCTTTCTGTTTCTGAGTTAATTCACTGAGGATAATGGCCTCTAGTTCCATCCATGTTGCTGCAAAATACATGATTTCATTCTTTTTCATGGCTGAGTAATATTCCTTAGTATATATATATTATATATATACATACATATATATATATATATTATATATATACATACATATATATACATATTATATATATACATACATATATACATATTATATATATACATACATATATATACATATTATATATATACATACATATATATACATATTATATATATACATACATATATATATACACATATATATATATGCCACATTTTCTTTATCTAATCCTCTATTGATGGACATTTAGGTTGGTTCTACATCTTTGCTTTTGTGAATAGCACTGTGGTAAACATACGACTACTGGTATCTTTTTTATATAATGATTTCTTTCCCTTTGGGTATATACCCAATTGTGGGATTGCTGGGTTGAAAGTCATAAACTATGTGACTTTGCAAAATTTGCTTGACCCCCTTGTTTTTTCAGTTGTAAAATGGGACTTTCTATTTATCTGGATGTTGTGAAGGTTAAATAAGGTAAATTATGAAAAGTACAGCACAAGAATGCTTACTAAGTGTTAGACATTAAGTTCTTTAATCAACTTATTATTTTCTGAATCACATCATTGTTTCTCTGGCTCACTGAGAAATGTCTATTCTGTCTGCAGTTCTTGTTCACTTTCCCCCACAGATGTAGCTTGAATATACCCTAAGAATCGCCAATCAGCAATTTACGTATTTCAAGTAGGTCTGTAATGCAATGTCACTGCTTTTGAACTGAACAGCATTAGGTGTTTCAAAATGAAAATTTCATAGCTAATCAAAAGACACCACATATATGTGATTGCTCTATCTCTTGCTCTCTCTCTCTCTCTCTCTCCTCTGTTTCTAGTCCCTGAAATCCTGGTTTCTGTTGTTCTTCTATCCATTTTTAGTTTATCTCATATCCTTCTAAACTGTATGAGCTAAGCATATTCTCAGTTTTGATTTAACCTAGTTTGAATTTGATTCTTGTCACTTGCAATGAAATGGGTCCTGATAAGTCACTTCTGTCATATACAAATAAAGCCAGCCTTCTAGCCAACTTACTTGTTGTGTTTTTCCTTTGGGACTCATAATTTTAAAATCTGTTGTTCTCTGTGGCACTCTTATCACATGACCAAGCCCACAAAAGCCCACATTTTTTTTAGCATGAGAATAATTACACTGCCCAAGGGGGTATGGTAGAGGTTATTGGCTATATGCTATCTAGAATTATTATAATAATTTCTCTAGACTAGTAATGGTACTCTTGATGTGGTTTCATGGCTGAGATTGTACAAGTGTATGTGTGTGTGTATTTGGATGGGTGAGAGTGTTTCCAGAGGAAAAGAGCTGAAGAACTTTTACTTAGCCACCCCATGAAATAACAGTGCTTATCAAAAGCAGTAAAAAATATCTATTTTTCTGTCTTTCACAAATTTGTTTCTAACATATTTTAGGAACTATTTTGACCAGTTCATTTCAGGAAACTTTTATCATCCACCTTGAGAGTCATACTTCTGGAGTAAATGGATGTGGGAGAGGCGCCAAAACTATTAAATTACAGCATGAGTATGTACAAAGCATACATCACTAAGTTTTATATGGTTGGAAAAGTGATATTGATCTAACTTTCCCCCAAATCATCTGAAAATATAATTTTTTTACCCTTCTGTATACACTCATTTGCAATAAAATATATCTGTTCTGGAATCCTGTAAAGTTTGTCTTTCTCAGGGCAAGTACATTCCTTCATGCCAGAGAAGTGCATACATTATCATACTTATTAAAAAAAATACTTTCCAGAGTTTAGAACAAGGCGGTAAACTCCATTACAGTCATCTCCATATGAGTTGCAAATATAAATTATTTGGCTTCATAAATGCCATATATTGTTGATAAAATACTTGGTTAATACTTAGTTATCAAATACATCTTCACGTTACTCCTGAGGAGTTTATCGATCCCTTATGTTTCATATTATGGGTCAGACTCTGTCCAAATTGTCCCAATGCAATATAGTCACTTCACCAAAGGGGTAAGTCAAATAAATACTTGGAAAATTTCTGACTTGATTATTTATAATCATGTAGAATGAGCAATTAGCTGAAGTTCTTATTTTTCAACCCATTGTTTTAGAGTCATACAAAATTGAATTAATGTGTGAGAGATTCCTTTTTTATGTTGTTGTTGTGGTTGCTGTTGTAATTACTTCTCTTTCTATTTTAGATAAAAGAAAATAGACCCCTTTGGAGTCCCTATAACACTGCTTCCAAGTGTGCTGTTCTCAAAATGCTAGTATAGATTACTAGCAGATACTGAATGACTGCTGTGGTATTTCAAAGATATATTTTTCCATAAGATGTCCAATTTAGCATGGTAAAGCATAAGTAAGAATAGTTTCTGAGTAGTTATGTAGCAGGTATTAACTCTGGTGTATTGAGAGTTCTTCCCTAAAATTTAAACTGAGAAATATATTTTTGATTGTGTTATTATGGAAAGAACTAATGGACTCCTGTAAAGATCATATTTCCTCATCAATCAAACAAGTTTTTGTTCTTACAGTAACAAAAGACTAATTTGTTTAATATTCATGAAACGAGAATAGGAGGGAAAGAATAGTGAGTTAAATGTTTATATCACTTGAGGCCTGGTAATTTCCTTTCAATCATCTTTAAAGTAAGATAACTTTTCTCTTTCACGAATGAGACTCTAAGTCTTTATCCATTATTCTAGAAAACTGTCTTCTTGAATCTCAGATTATGTCATCAATGATCTCTTTGTTTTTCAAAGAGATATTATATTATCACACGACAGGATAGCTATTTAATTTCTGGGACACCTAACTTCTTAATGTGTACAGAGTAAATTTAATACAGTATGTGGTGCAGTAAATGATAATGAAAGAAATGTGTATTTAGATCAAAATAAATTCTACGAGAGGTTTCATATGAAATAGAGGTTAATGGATTTCAGGAAAGAAATGGACTACAGTGTTTTGTCATTCAATTCTAGTAAGGTTTGATTTCTTTTATTGGATTGACTAATGACTGCTGGTGCTTGCCCTTTTCTTATCATAATAATTTGTAATAAATGGAAACACGGGAGACATTTCTTATTAGCTGAGAAATAGCAGGTTGGCCAATGACTTCTGCATGCTTGACTTGTCCCTCTACAACTTATTTTAGAACAAAATTAAGGTGATCTGAAAGATAGTTCTTTTCTGAAGAAGCAAGTTTGATTAGGAATTTATCTATTGGCTTGACTGGTGACTGTGTATATACATAAGGTATTTTTTAGAATAATTTTGGAATTGCAAAGTGATTTTATAAGTGATGTGAATGGTACAAAGTTTTTATGGAATACCTTAGGGGAGACAAGTTTTTTCCTAAGAACATTTAACATATCAGTACTTGGCATGACATCACACAGTAACCATTGAATAAAGCAGTCTCTCTGAGCAGGTCAAGTTTACCTAAAAAAATCAATAACTTTGTGAATAAGAAATAGTTTCCCAGAGGGATTAAAAGATGACAACCAATCCATGCCAGTAGGACAAGATTTTGAAGAAACCCCTCCTAAACAAAAGAAAGTTTCACTTTGCAATTATAAGCTGGATAGTTTCCTACCTAATTCATCTCCCACACAATATCATGTTTCTCTCCTTTTCTGTATTAGGGAACTTGCGACTTTTTACTGTTTTATCGTTCTCCAGTAGGAAGGAAACTCTTTTAGGGGCCTGGCTTTTTCATATTTGTATCTTCACAGACCTTGTATGTAGGAGGGGCTAGATAAATTGTTGTTGAGCAAATAAATAACTTGGATGACCACAGATGGATTCACGAAATTCCAGAGTGACAAAAGGTAGCCTCTGAAACAATAAAGACACAGTTTTAGGATGAATTAAAGGAAATACTGTTACACAGTTAATCATATAAATTGTTATATTTCAAGAAATGATAAAGACTGAAAAAAGAAAAAACATTAAGTTTTTCATTCAGCAGTTTTTAATTGAGCTCCTGTAGTGCACTACTCTACAAAGGGAAGTGGCTACAAAGATGAATAAGGCATGGTCTCTTTTCTAAAGGAGCATACACATGCTAATCTCATGCAAGACATACTTTTTTAAATGGGTTTTAAATCTACAAAGGATTATTAAGAGAACTAGGGATTTTTGTGATTATAGTGTTAATCTTGAAAGAATGAGTCACAGAGGGGAACTGTCTATCCACAGCGCTGTCTCAGTCTAGTAGATTCAGAGGATAGATGATTAGACTTACTAAATATTGAATGCCTCCCCTCTCTGAGGATCTTATGTACTTACTGTGATAATGCAACTTAAAAAGAGATAACATGGATTCCATTAAAGTGCAACTTGCTAACTAGGAGTTGTCTCAACGTCAACGACTATCAAAATAGCTGACATGACCAGCACAATTTCTATACACAAAATAACTCACACTTCTCACATTTACGGACTCAGATTGTCTATATGCAAACACATACTACTATATATAGTCCTTAAGTTTTGGAATGTATATGTGACCATTAAAAACTGAGTTATAATAAATAGATCAGTGCTTACGTATGGTTTAAATTTTTGGTCTCTAAATAAATGTGGCTTTTTGCACTTGGATTTTTGGGGAGGAGAAATCTACTCAGAATGTCTAATACCTGACATCTGCTGATAAGATTTGTTTTCATGATTGAGGAAACATGGGTAGCTCACAAAACAAATTCCCACATTATGTTTTGCTTTCATCACTAGTGAATATTTCGTCCTTTAGAGTACTCAAGACCTTGAATATTATTTCTAATGTTTTTCAAAAGAGGCTTCAGGTTACTTTTTTACTTTTTTCTCTTCCCCGTGGCCCCCCCTCACACTTGGACAAAATTTCAAATCGAGATGAGTTTAAAATTCTTTTCTGCCAACATGTATGCATTTAGTAAGAACTTGGGAAGTATTAAAGTAAAGCAAATAGTTTTTAAGGCAAAAATTCATCTAACAGTATTTCCTGAGGTTCATCTTAAAATATTGTCATTTGCCTCCAAATTACCAATGCAATGCTGCTGTGAAAAGAGTTGTCACTGATAATAATAATAAACAATAACAGTACCACTTGCACAGTTCCTTTCATCTTGAACGTTCTGAAAAAATCCTATAAAGGATGCATTTCTGATATATAACCATCTCTAGAGAAAACTTGGAAGCTATTTAACAGCTGGCCATCAGTTAGAGACGGGAAGTAAAGAACGTGTTTCCCAGAAGAAATTGCAGGGTATACAATGTAATTACCTAATTTAAAATTAGTTTAAGACACTGGAGCTAATTGATGTCCATATCATTGAAAAAGTCACACTAGATAATTAGTCAGTACAAAGTAGTCAGGACTTTAATTGTACATTTTAGCTCAAGGACAAAGCTTTCAGTAACAGTGTCTTCTCGAATGCTGATTCAGTGCTGCCTAAACACAGAGTCATGGTGTGAAGCAACCAGGAGATGTGATAGTTTCTTAGCTGGGTATATAATGTACACATACAAACAAACAAAAAGAAATATTAAAGCCTGTAGATTTATTGGGTGAATTTGTAAATACAGTAATGTGTCCTGACACCAAATGCCAACGGTTAATTTTACTGTGCAGCTTCACAGCTTCTTGCCAGTGCAGGTGTACCCCATTATGTGGGGTTTCACCAACTAGACATTTACCATAACAGAAAAGTAGGGAATAAATTCAATATATGCTTCCAGAAATGTCACATGAACTGAAATTTGCCAGCAGACAAACAGTTTCTGAGAGCATATACAAAATGAGCTCTCCAGTTGTCTGTACCTTGCCACAGAAACAGCAGGATGTGACCAGCTGCTACTCGTATCTCCCACAGCTTGATCCTGGATGTGACATCAAATCTAGGCTGTGGCAATGGGGGATGAGAAGTTGTCTGCATGAGGCAAACATTTGAAACTAAAGCAAGGTGGAAAGAGCAGGACTTCCTGCATTCCATGCCTGAATTGAGCCATGGCTTCAGGCAGCTGGCAGATGTTTTGAGTTAGTGGAGTAACTGTACCCCTCTTGCGCTATAATCACCTTTGGGCAGGAACATAAAAAAAAAAACAAAAAAAAAACCTGCAATAGTTCAGGGACACATTTCTTCATTCCTTAAATTATTATAAAGGTTGATAGAAAAAGATAACTTGTTTTACACAAATTTGCTTTACAAGCCATTTTTCTGGGTGGTAATTATTAGTTAAATCAAGTAATGTCCAAATATGATGTAATTGGCTAGTAATTAAATGGTTAAATATTGAAAAGGCAACAATAACCTGCGAACATTAAGTAACATAGTTCAGGGGAGAAATAAACATTCTTTGAATAGTTTAGCTTAGGGAATAAACATTTTGTTTACTTGGTATGTGGTTCTAATGTCCCATGTCCAGGAATATTTTGATGTTAATATTGATGTATGAGGTTATTCCTATCTTACCAACCCCTACCCCATATGATTAATTAGTAACAATTGTGAATCCCTAGGGTAGGAAGTGGAATAATGCCAATTTCCTAGACACAACTAATATTGTTAATTATATAAACCCAAAGGAAACAAGATTGAAAAGTGAAATACAGGATCAAGTATGGGGAAGCTTATCTGACATCTGTAGGCATAGGTGCACTTTACAAAAATGACTTTATATAGCTGATGTCAATCTCTCTATTGGTTTGACTTTTAAAATATAAACTATGTTTTAAAAATTTTCAAGAACAATTAAAACATTTCTCTAACTTCTTAAGGACAGTATCCATTAGATAATTTAATAGGACTATTATCTTTGATAATTACTGATTACTATACATAATGATCATTCTTTTTGGTTGAAAAAGAGAGATGCCCCAAGATGCTACTGAGACTGTAGTGTTGTTTGCCCAAAAGGTAAGCAAAGACATATTCTTTATGCTCCAGCTCACTATTTATGGCTATCTTGTCCCTCAGGATTGTGAGCTATTATATCAGGTTTCACTGAGATCAATGTACCTATAATGCACCCATAGTTTTACCTTTCTAATATACTATTTCTGTTATATTTTGGATAAGACACTAAGTAAATAAGTCTGTGATCATTTGACACAAGTAGGTGAAGGACGTTATGTCATGGGTTTGATGGCAAATAATTATGTTTCTTGCTATCAGTTTCTTGTGTTCTGCCTAGCTTAAAATTGCAGAATCTTAATCTCCAAATAAAAACCAAGTTACAGTTCATAAGACTTCATTTCGAAAGAAAATCAGGAAAATAACACAGTCATAGCAGCCATTATGGGTGGAGAGAATTTGCAGAGAGAAAGATGAAAATACTAAGCCTAGGATAGAAATCCAAAGTCTCAGCTCTCAGTAGAATATTTCTAAATTGCAGTCCTACAGTTTATTTATAAATAACCTTGGTGATACATTAAAAATGTAATCAATTACCTGCAAAACAGTCTTAAGAATGTAATTCCAAGGTAGCCATTACAAATTTTTAAAACTATAACTGGCCAAGCCTTCCATCATATCTTTAGCCCAGATTTGCATCTTTATCAATTTTATTAATTTTAGGTAGGATTCCTGTAGCCAACAGAATAAGTATACTAAATACTTTCAAATATTTAAAGTCAAATATTGTGTCCAACATGAGTCTTCTTTCTCCTCCGTGCAAATAATCTGGAGTGCCCTCATGTCTTCCTAAAATGACATGGTTTCAAGTCTTCCAATCATTCTTGTTTCTCCTCTGTGAACATGTTACATTTTCTCAGTGGGCATTCAGAACTGAGTACAGGTGCTCCTTGACATACCACATTATTACAACCTGATAAACTCATCATAAATTGAAAATACTGTTAAGGCAAACCCCATTATAAGTCAAGGAGCATGCTGAATGTGTATCGCTTTCCCACCACTGTAATGTTGAAAAATTGTAAATTGAACCATGGCGAGTCAGGAACCATATGTACAATAGTCTTCTTTTATCCACAATTTCACTTTCTGTTTTTTTGTTTTACTTATGGTACAGGACAATAAGACTTTTTTGAGAGAGAGAGAGAGAGAGAGACCACATTCACGTAACTTTCATTACAGTATATTGTTTTAATTGTTCTAATTTATTTTTAGTTATTGTTAATCTCCTACTGTGCCTAATTTGTAAATCAAACTTCATAATTGGTATATATGTATAGGAATATATATATATATATACATAAAACCATATATATATATATAAAAACCATATATTTATATAACCATATACATATATATATATATATATATATATGATTCAAAACTATCCACAATTTCAGGCATCTAATATGGGTGTTGGAACGTATCGCCCATGGATAAGGGTGAATTATTGTACAATGGTCCAGCTGTAATTGTGTCAATGTAAACTAAGTTGAAAGTTATTTGCGACTTTCATCTGAACTGCAATGCTTTTCTAAGTGCTTTTGCACTCATATCTTGTTGCATTTGCTTTTATCATCTTTCTGGAATTTTAGGTATTCTAAATTTAATATGTAAAGGGGTGTTTCAGACACAATTTTATATTTTTAATGGTAGTTCTTAAGTGTGCTGCTTATTATGAATGGTGAGATGATTTGTTTTTCTAATGGATGCCTTTTCCTCTTTTGTTTACTTAGGAAATTTTTGGCTGGTTTGTCTAAAGCCCCTATCCCTTAATTTTAATATGATATAATATAATTTAAATATACATATTATTTTTATATTTACTATAATATATTATAATTAATATGCTAATTATAATATATAATTATATAATACAACATAATAATTATAATATAAAATTATATTTAATATAAAATAATTATAATATAAAATTATATTTAACATAATATAATTAATTATACTATAAAATTATATTTAATATAATATAATTAATTATAATATAAAATTATATTTAATATAATATAATTATAATATAAAATTATATTTAATATAATATAATTATAATATAAAATTATATTTAATATAATATAATTAATTATAATATAATACAATTTTATTTTTAGGATCTCTGAATGGATGCCAAATCACTTGAAAGCAAGTTCCATTTTAGTCAAACTGAAATTGGATATTGGATATTGGATCATTAGTAAAACTGATTTTAGCCAATGTGGGTGTTCTGCTGAAAACTGGACTAGGAGTTCAATTTTCTAGCTCAGGACCCCATTTGTTTAGTGCAGTTTCAGATACTATTGGCTTAATTGGCAGTTCTATCATGCTTTTATAATATTTTGAGCTGGCTTTATCTCAGAGTTGTTTTTAAAAATTATACATTAAACACAGTCTGCTCTTAAATCACACTTCCTCTTTGTTATATCTGAGAAATTGTGATATGTCTGTAGCCAAGTTCTTAATAGATCTGGTTCATTGCTAAGGTCATCAATAATAGGTTGAGATTGCTTTTTCAATTCCTGATCCTATGGATTTGATCAGCATATTATCAGTATGCTCATCCTCATCATTGATTCTTAAAAAAATATTTATTGGCTTCCTAATTTATGTCAAACACTGAGTGAAAGTCTAGCTTCATAGTGATCCTAGTCTGGTGAGGCCATTCCCAAATATAAAAAAAGAGAGAATGACTAAAGACAGGTTCCTCTGGTTTTACACTAGAGAACTCTCTCTAAGTTTGGTTGTTTAATTGAAACTCTTTGAGTATTATTATTTAGTCAGCTATGAATTGACCTGTGTCCTAACATCAATCCATTTTCTTCACAAAAATAACATAAGGGCTTGTCATATTCCTTGGAAAAATCCACATACACTATTTGCATCATTCTTTTGATTTAGTAAATACTGAGAGGAATGGAGATGGAAAGAATGGTAAAAAGGATTCAAGTCATGAATTTTTTGTTTTCAATTAAGAGCTTGCATGGGGGGAAGTAGCAGAATGGGCAGTTTGGAAAAGATGAGTAGAATGTAGCAAGGAGAAAGTAAAGTGGGGAAAAACAAACGAAAAAACCACAGTTATACAAATAGCAAAATTCTTGGTCATAAAATCTTTTGGCCTCTGGATAAATGCTGCCAAATAAAAAGCATTTTCCATGTGCCTGACCAGAAGAGCCATCTACATGCTCCTTTTTATTTTACGTATATTCCTAAAAACTGTGGTTTGCTTTTCAGAAAAGCTGTCTGTTTATATTTTCTTCATGATGCAGTGAATTGCAATGTTCATGTCAGAGAGCATTAATCTGAGAAGAAAAAAGGACCGTGCAACTTTACAACATGGAATCATTTTCTTCTGTGTGTTTTCCTTTTCCATTCACTGGAGTAAGTAAGCAAGCATCTCTGTGAGTGGATTTAAGCATTTTGATTGAATGCTGTCTTCTTTACAAACAAAAGCAAACAAATCAATGCAAATTCAAAAATAAAAGTGGGATTGCCTTTGAAAACACAGTCCTGAGGTGCTCTTAGCAAAGAAAAACCCAGATAATCTACAAATGACAACTGCATATTTAGTGCGGCTTTAATGAGTCTCAGAACATTTAAAATTTGTGGTGTGATGGAAAGAGCACTGCATATGAGCAGGATGCTTGGATTCCAATGCTGATTCCTCTACGAGTGTCCTGTATATCATGACTCCTTTATGAGCTTTCTGTATACCAAACCTCATTTCTGTGAGTTTTTTGTAACTCACTTATCTTCTCTAAGTAGTCTCCCTTCTGACAAATAAAGGGGTTAGACATTGTTTGAAAGGTACTTTTTAGCTCTGATGTTATTCCTTACATAGCAAGTAAAATGTCAACAAAGCTTATAATAAAGCTCTCCTCTGTGTTCTTGCAAGGGGATGACATAAATTTGAACCCATTCTGCAACAAGGACTTTTTTTAAAAGCCCTATAACTAAACCTTTTTGAATGGAGTTCAAGACCTGCCTGCCACTGAATCTCAAGTATACTGAGGCTCTGGTACTTACTCTGGCTTTCTGACACTTCAGGTCTGTCTCTTGAGACCATGAAGAAACCTGGCTGGCTCTACCCTATCCTGCAACAGTTCCCTCATCTATAGTGGAAAAATAAGCACAATCTCTTTTTTATGCAGGCCATCATTCAAAATCCTTTCTTATATTGGCTGGGGAGGAAGTACAGGGGCAAGAACTGTTAAGTCTGAATGAAAGGCCTTATCAGAGAGGGTTCAAACTAGGCTGTCTTTTGAGTTGTTTACTTTTGGATGGCCGCTAGAAAAAAGGCTGAGGCTGAGCTCTTTTTTTTTTTAAATTTTTTATTTTTAGCTTTTATTTTAAGTTCAGGGGTACAAGTGCAAGTTTGTTACATAGGTAAACTTGTGTCATGGGGGTTTGGTACAGATTATCTCATCACCCAGGTATTAAGCCTAGTACCCATTAGTTATGTTTCCTAATCTCCCTCCTCCAACACTCCACTCTGTGAAAGGCCCCAGTGTGTGTTGCTCCCTTCTATGTGTCCCTGTGTTCTCATCATTTAGCTCCCACTTATAAGTGAGAACATGCAGTATTTGGTTTTTTGTTCCTGTGTTAGTTTGCTAGGGATAATGGCCTCCAGCTCCATCTATGCTCCCGCAAAGGACATGATCTCATTATTTTTTATGGCTGCATAGTATTTTCTGGTGTATATAAACCATACTTTTTATCCAGTCTATCACTGATGGACATTTAGGTTGATTCCATGTCTTTGCCACTGTGAGCAGTGCTGCAATAAACATATGCATGCACATATCTTTATAATAGAATGACTTATATTCCTCTGGGTATATACCCAGTAATGGAATTGCTTTGTCTAATGGTATTTCTGTCTTTAGGTCTTTGAGGAATTGCCACACTTTCTTCCACAATGGCTGAACAAATTTACACTCCCACCAACAGTGTAAAAGAGTTCCTTTTTTCTCCACAACCTCACCAACATCTGTTATTTTTTGACTTTTTAATAATAGCCATTCTGACTGGTGTTAAATGGTATCGCACTGTGGTTTTGATTTGCATTCCTCTAATGATCAGTGATGTTAAGCTTTTTTCCATATGATTGTTGGCCATATGTATGTCTTTTGAAAAGTGTCTATTCAGGTCCTTTGCCCACTTTTTTATGGAGTTGTTTTTCTCTTGTAAATGTGTTCAAGTTCCTTACAGAGGCTGGCTGTTAGACCTTTGTCACATGCATAGTTTGCAAAAATTTTCTTGCATTCTGTAGGTTGTCTGTTTACTCTGTTGATAGTCTCCTTTGCTTTGTAGAAGCTCTTTAGTTTAATTAGGTGCCATTTGTCAATTTTTTCTTTTGTTGCAATTGCTTTTGACATTTTCATCATGAAATATTTGCCCATGCCTATGTCCTAAATGGTATTGCCTAGGTTGTCTTCCAGGGTTTTTATAGTTTTGAGTTTTACATTTAAGTCTTTAATCCATCTTGAATTAATTTTTGTATATGTTGTAAGGAAGGGGTCCAGTTTCAATTTTCTGTATATGGCTAGCCAGTTATCCCAGTACCATTTATTGATTAGAGAATCCTTTCCCCATTGCTTGTTTTTGTCAGGTTTGTAAAAAATCAGATAGTTGTAGGTGTGGAGTTTTATTTCTGGGTTTTTTATTCTGTTCCATTGGTTTATGTGTCAGTTTTTGTACCAGTGCCATGGTTTTTTGGTTACTGTAGCCCTGTAGTATAGTTTTAAAGTTGGGTAACATGATGTCTCCAGCTTTGTTCTTCTTGCTTAGGATTGCCTTGGCTATTTGGGCTCTCTTTTGGTTCCATATGAATTTTGAAATAGTTTTTCCTAGTTCTGTGAAGAATGTCAATGACAGTTTAATGGAAATAGCATTGAATGTATAAATTGCTTTGGGCAGTATGGCCGTTTTAGTGATATTGATTCTTTCTATCCATGAGTATGGAATGTTTTTCCATTTGTTTGTGTTATCTCTGATTTCTTTGAGCAATGGTTTATAGTTCTCCATATAGAGATCTTTCACCTCCCTAGTTGCTGTATTCTTAGGTATTTATTCTTTCTGTGTCAGTTGTGAATGGGATTGCCTTTTTGATTTGGCTCTCCGCTTGACTGTTGCTGGTGTATAGAAATGCTAGTGATATTTGCACATTGATTTTGTATCCTGAGACTTTGCTGAAATTTTTTATCAGCTTAAGAAGCTTTTGGCTGAGAGGATGAGGTTTTCTAGATATAGGATCATGTCTTCCGCAAAAAGGGATAGTTTGACTTTTTCTCTTTCTATTTGAGTGCTCTTTATTTCTTTCTCTTGCATGATTGACTTGCCCAGAATTTCCCGTGTTGCATAGGATTGGTGAGAGAAGGCATCCTTGTCTTGTTCCAGTTTTCAAGGGGGATGCTTCCAGCTTTTGGCCATTCAGTATAATGTTAGTCGTGGGTTAGTCATAGATGGCCCTTATTATTTTGAAATATGTTCCTTCAATTCTTAGTTTATTTAGAGTTTTTAACATGAAGGGATATTGAATTGTATCGAAGGCTTTTTCTGTATCTATTGAGATAGCCATGTGATTTTTGCCTTTAGTTCTGTTTATGTGATGAATCATATTTATTGATTTGCATATGTTGAGCTAATCTTGAATCCCAGAGATGACGCCTACTTAATAGTGGTGGATAAACTTTTTGATATGTTGCTGGATTTGATTTGTCAGTATTTTGTTGAGGATTTTTCCATCAATGTTCATCAAAGATGTTGGCCTGAAGTTTTGTTTTTTTACTATTCATGTATCTCTGTCAGGTTTTGGTATCAGGATGCTGCTGCCCTCATAGAATCAGCTGGGGAGGAGTCCCTCTTCTAAATTTTTGGAATAGTTTCTGTAGAAATAGTGCCAGCTTTTCTTTGTACATCTGGTAGACTTCAGCTGTGAATTCATCAGATCCTGGGCTTTTTTTGGTTGGTAGGTTATTTATTACTGATTCAATTTCAGAGCTCATTATTGGTCTGTTCAGGAAATCAGCTTCTTCCTGGTTCAGTCTTGGGAGGTTGCATGTGTCCAGGAATTTATCCATTTCTTTTAGATGTTCTAGATTATGTGCATAAAGGTGTTTATAATATTCTCTGATAATTTGTATTTCTGTGGGATCAGTGCTAATTTTCCCCTTGTTGTTTCTGGTTGTTTTTATTTGATTCCTCTCTCCTTTCTTCTTCATTAGTCTAGCTAGTGGTCTATTTATTTATTTATTTTTTCAAAAAGACAGCTCCTGGATTTGTTGATCTTTGGAATTTTGTGTGTGTGTCTATCTCTTTCAGTTCAGCTCTGATTTTGGTTATTTCTTATCTTCTGCTAGCTTTGTTATTTGTTTGCTCTTGGTTCTCTAGTTCCTTTACTTGTAATGTTAGGTTGTTAACTGGAGCTCTTTCTAACTTTTTGATTGGGCATTTAGTGCTATAAATTTCCCTCTTAACCCTGTAGCTATGTCCCAGAGATTCTGGTACATTGTCTCTTTGTTCTCATTAGTTTCAAAGAACTTGATTTCTGCCTTAATTTCATTATTTACCCCAAAACCATTCAATAACAGGTTATTGAATGTAATTGTATGGTTTTGAGTGAATTTCTCAGTCTTGAATTCTAATTTGATTGCACTGTGGTCTGAGAGATGGTTTGTTATCATTTCAGTTCTTTTGCATTTGCTGAGGAGTGTTTTACTTTCAGTTATGTGATTGATTTTAGAGTAAGTGCCATGTGGTGATGAGCAGAATGTATATTCTGTTATATTTTGGGAAAGGTTCTGTAGATACCTATCTAGTCCATTTGATCCAGGGCTGAGGTTCAGGTCCTGAATATCTTTGTTATTTTCTGCTAGATGATTTGTCTAATATTGTCAGTGGGGTGTTAACATCTCCCACTATTATTGTGTGGGAGTCTAAATCTCTTTGCAGGTCTCTAAGAACTTGCTTTCCAAATCTGGGTGCTCTTGTGTTGCATGCATATGTATTTAGGATAGTTAGATCTCCTTTTTGAATTAAATCCTTTACCCTTATGTAATGCCCTCCTTTATCTTTTTAAAATCTTTGTTGGTTTAAAGTCTGTTTTGTCAGAAACTAGGATTGCTTTTTTCTGTTTTCCATTTGCTTGGTAGATTTTCCTCCATCTGTTTACTGTGATCCTATGTGTATCATTGCATGTGGGATGGATCTCTTGAAGACAGCATACCAATGGATCTTAGTTCTTTATCCAGTTTGCCACTCTGTGTCTTTTAATTGGGGTGTTTACATTTACATTTAAGGTTATTATTAATATCTGTGTATTTGATCCTGTCATCATTATGTTAGCTGGTTAGTTTGCAGATTTGTTTATGTGGTTGCTTTATAATGTCACTGGTCTCTGTATTTCAGTGTGTTTTTGTAGTGGCTGTTAATGATCTTTCCATTCCATGTTTATTGCTTCCTTCAGGAGTTCTTTTAAGGCAAGTCTGGTGGAAACAAATTCCCTCAGCATTTGCTTATCTAAAAAGGATCTTATTTCTCCTTCACTTACGAAGCTTGGTTTTGCCAGATAGGAAGTTCTGGTTTGGAATTTCTTTTCTTTAAGAATGTTGGCTTGTAGGGTTTCTGGCTTGTAGGATTTCTGCTGAGAGGTCTGCTGTTGTTAGTCTGATGGGCTTCCCTTTGTAGGTGACCTGGCCTTTCTTTTTAGCTGCTCTTATCATTTTTTCCTTCATTCATCCTTGGAGAATCTGATGATTGTGTGTCTTGAGGATGATATTCTTGTGGAGTATCTTACTGGAGTTCTCTGGATTTCCTGAATTTGAATGTTGGCCTGTCTGTCTAGGTTGGGATACTTCTTATGGACAGTATCCTGAAATATATTTTTCAAATTGGTTCCATTCTCCCCATCTCTTTCAGGTACACCAATCATTCACAGATTCAGTCTCTTTACATAATCCCATATTTCTTAGATGTTTTCTTCATTTTTTGTCAATATTTTTTCTCATTCTTGTCTATTTGTCTTATTTTTCAGAATACAGTATTCAAGCTCTGAGATTCTTCCCTTTGGTCTATCCTGCTATTAATAATTATAATTGCATTATTAAATTCTTTTAGTGTGTTTTTCAGCTCTATCAGGTTCAGTTATGTTCTTGTCTCTACTGGTTACTTTGTCAGCTCTTGCAATGTTTTATCATGATATTTAGCTTCTTTGCATTGTGTTCATTTTTATCCATATTCTGAATTCTACTTCTAATTCTAATTCCAATTCAGCCATCTCAGCCTCAGCCCAGTTCCAAACCCTTGCTGGATAGGTGATGCGGTCATTTGGAGGAAAGTAGGCACTCTGGCTTTTTGAGTTTTCAGCATTCTTGCACTGATCCTTTCTCATCTTTTGGGCTTACCTACCTTCAATCTTTGAGATTGCCGACCTTTGGATTTTTTTTTTCTTTTAGCAGTCTTGCCACCTTTCCATAGGGATGCTGCAGTTTGTTGGGGGTCTGCTCCCATCCCTAGTCACCTTGTATTTTCCAGTACCTGGAGGCATCACCAGTGAAGGCTGTGAAACAGCAAAGATGGTGGCCTTCACCTTTTTCTGAGAAATCCCTTCCAGGAAAGTATGGACCTGTTGCCAGCCAAAATGCACCTGTAGGAAGTGGCTGGAGACACTGCTTGGAAGCTTTCACCAAGTCTGGAGGAATGGGATCAGGAACTCCTTAAAGAGGAAGTCTGTCCATGTTTTGGTAAAGCAGCTGTGCTGTGCTGGGGGATCACTTCTGCCCCTGGTTGGTTTGGACTCTCCAAAGCCTGCAGGCTGGAATGGCTGAGTTGTCCAAATAGCAAAGATGTCAGCCTGTCCCTACACCCAGGAACTCTGTCCCAGATAGGCACAACATTGTTGTTAGTAGCTGCTAGAATTCCAAGCCAGTGGGTCTTATCCTGTGAGACACCATGGAAGTGGGGCTTGCAGGCCATTGCTGCTTGACCTCCTAGATTTAGCCTCTTTCCTAGGGGTGTGTATGGAGGTTGTATTAGTCTGTTCTCATGCTGCAATAAGAACATATTCAAGACTGGGTAATTTATAAAGGACAGAGATTTAATTGACTCACAGTTCCACATGGCAGGGAGGCCTCACAATCATGGCAGAAGGTGAAGGAGGAGCAAAGGCACGTCCTACATGGCAGCAGGCAAGAGAGCATGTGCAGGGGAACTGCCCTTTAAAAACCATCAGATTTCATGAGACTTATTCACTGTCATGAGAACAGCACAGGAAAAACCTGCCCTCAGCATTCAATTACCTCCCAGAGGGTCCCTCCCATGACGTGGGGATTATGGGAACTACAATTCAAGATGAGGTTTGGATGGGGACACCACCAAATAATATTATTTTGCCCCTGGCCCCTCCCAAATCTTATGTCCTCATATTTTGAAACACAGTCATGCCCTTCCTACAGTACCCCAAAGTCTTAACTCATTCCAGCATTAACACAAAAGTCCAAGTCCAAAGTCTCATCTGAGACAAGGCAAGTCCCTTCAGTCTATGAGCCTGTGAAATCAAAAGCAAGTTAGTTACTTCCTAGATACAATGGAGGTACAACCATTGGGTAAATACGCCTGTTCCAAATGTGAGAAATTGGCCAAAATAAAGAGGCTATAGACCCTGTGCAAGTCTGAAATCCAACAGGGCACTCATTAAACTTCATAGTTCCAAAATGACCTCCTTTGACTACATGTCTCACATCCAGGTCATGCTGGTGCAAGAAGTGGGCTCCCAATATCTTGGGCAACTCTACCCCTGTGGCTTTGCAGAGTACAGCCCCCCAATCCTGGCTGCTTTCATGGGCTGGTGTTGAGTGTCTGTGGCTTTTCCAGGTGAATGGTGCAAGCTGTCAGGGGGTCTGGAAGATGGTGGCCCTCTCCTCACAGCCCCACTAGGCAGTGGGGACTCTATGTGGGGGCTTTAACCCTACATTTCCCTTTTGTACTACCCTAGCAGAGGTTCTCCATGGGGGCTCCACTCCTGCAGCAAACATCTGCCTGGAAATCCAAGCATTTCCATGCATCCTCTGAAATCTGGGTGGAGGTTCCAAACCTCAATTCTTGACTTCTGTGTACCTGCAGGCTTAACATCACATGGAAGCTGCCAAGGCTTGGGGCTTGCACTCTCTGAAGCAATGGCCTCAGCTGTACATTGGCCCCTTTTAGCCACAACTGAAGCTGAAGTAGCCGGGACATGTCCTGAGGCTGCATAGAACAGTGGGTCCCTGGGCCAGCCCATGAAACAATTTTTCCCTCCTAGGCCTCTGGGCCTGTAATGGGAGGGTCTGCCATGAAGACCCCTGACTTGCCCTGGAGACATTTTCCCCATTGTCTTGGCAATTAACATTTGGCTTCTTGTTACTTATGCAAATTTCTGCAGCAGGCTTGAATTTCTCTCCGGAAAGTGGGTTTTTCTTTTCTATTATATTGTCAGGCTGCAAATTTTTCAAGTTTTTATGCTCTGCTTCATCTTTAATGCTTTTCTGCTTAGAAATTTCTTCTACCAGATACCCTAAATCATCTCTCTCAAGTTCAAAGTTCCACAGATCTCTAGGGCAGGGGCAAAATGCTGCCAGTCCCTTTGCATAGCAGGAGTGAGCTTTATTCCAGTTCCTGACAAGTTCTTCATCTCTATCTGAGACCACCTCAGCCTGGAATTTGCTGTCTATATCACTACCAGCATTTTGGTCAAAGCCATTCAATAAGTCTCTAGGAAGTTGTGAGCTTTCTCACATCTTCCTATCTTTTGAGCCCTCCAAGTCTCTAGGAAGTTCCAAACTTTCTCACATTTTCCTATCTTCTTCTGAGCCCTCCAAACTGTCCTACTTTTGCCTGTTACCCAGTTCCAAAGTTGCTTCCACATATTCAGGTATCTTTACAACACCTCCCCACTCCTGATACCAATTTACTGTATCAGTTTGTTCTCACACTGTTATAGGGACATACCTGAGACTGGGTAAGTTATAAAGGAAACATGTTTAATTGACTCACAGGTACACATGACTGGGGAGGCCTCACAATCATGGTAGAAGGTGAAGGAGGAGCAAAGGCACATCTTACATGGCAGCAGGCAAGAGAGTGTGTGAAGGGGAACTGACCTTTATAAAACCATCAGATCTCATGAGTCTTATTCACTATCATGAGAACAGCATGGGAAAAACCCATCCCCATGATTCAGTTACCTCCCACTAGGTCCTTCCAATGACATGTGGGGATTATGGGAGCTACAATTCAAGATATCTGGGTGGGGACACAACCAAATCATATCAGAAGTCCAAACTCCCACTTTGCCAGAGTTGCAGTTACTTTTGTTGGCAAGCCTGGAGCTAGAGTATGTAAAGCTCCTGGGTCTCTGCATGCCTGAGGAGCTGCTCTGCCAAGACTCCACATATATTTGTGGGTCAGGCTGATGGCCCTGATGGAGTGGGTTCATGAGTGGATCTCCTGACCCAATGGTTGCAAAGATCCGTGGGAGAAGTTTGGGTTCCCAGGGTCGCACATTCACTCATGGCTTTCCCTGGAATGGGGCGGGTTCTCTTGACTCTGTGTCACTTCTGGGTTGGCCATGATTTTGCCTTGCTTTTCTCCCTTTTCCATGGGTCAAGTTGTTTCCTTAATTAGTTCCGATGTGAGTACCTGGATTTTTCACTTGAAGGTGCTGTGTTTACTTACCCCTTTCATTTATCTCTGTGAGAGCTACACACCCTAGCTGCTTCTATTCAGCCATCTTGGCCAATCCCAAGTCTAAGCTGTTGATAGAATTACAAAGGGAAAGGAGAAGAAGACAGCAAGAGTCATGGAAAGAACATTGCCCTAGATGCCAGGTCACCTAAGCTTCAGTCTTAATTCTGCAAAAATCCTAGGAATTCATACAAGACCCATTCACAACTGTGTGTTTCAGTTTCCTTATATGTAAACTGAGGGGGTAGCTTGGGATACCGGTCTCATACTCAGGTAATTTCAGAGGCAAAACTACTAGATGTATGGACAACAGGGAATGGTAGTTACCTAGGAAAATTAGAACATATGCTCTTCCCAAATGCATTCTAGTTTAAAAATTACTTTAGAACACTATGATAGCCTACAAAAGAAACATGTATTCTCTGTGTCACTCAGGTTTCTCCAGAGAAACAGAACAAATAGGATGTTCCTTTTTTTCTTTAGAGGGACCAGCTCATGTGATTATAGATGCTGGCAAGTCCAGAGTCTATAGGGCAGGCCAGCAAGCTAGAACCTAAGACAAGAGTTGATGATGTAGTCTTGGGTCTGAAATCCAAAGGGCAGTTCACATTTTGGAAATTCAGGCAGAATTTTTACATTTTCAGGCAAAATTTCTTCTTCTCTCAGAAACATAAGCCTTTCAACTGATTTGATGAGGCCCACTCACATTATTGAAGTTAATCCCCTTTACTATAACCAACTGGTTATAGAAATTTACCACATTTAGAAAATGCTTTTACAGCAACATCTAGACTAGTGTTTGACCAAACAACTGACCGCCATTGCCTAGCCAAGTTGACACATAAATTAACCATCACAATCTACCATATAGACCCCAGATGAAACCATTCCTAAAGGCCCTTTGAGCTCTGATCTCTTATTATTTGATAGCGTCTTTAAAATCCAAGCCAGAATTTCAGGTATTTCCCCAACAAACATACAACAAAAGCATTTCCAGAAAGAAAGGTTGTTGTTAGGTATAAGTAAGAGGAACCAACACTGGGCACACACTCCTACTCCTGCGTAGGCCCATAACCCTTGTAATGCTTTGTTTGTACCTTATTCCCAAGATAGTGCTAAGCTTTTATCATTGCTGAATCCTTATACAGTAATTGCTCATGCTTTGTTGCTCTTTTTCTCATCAATCAACTGGAGGGTGGAATGTATTAGGGTAGATTTGTTAACAGTGACTGATTCAACTTCTCTAGCATTAAAAAGTATTTTTTAAAAGGCATAGGATATAAAGAAAGTAAGGGAAGTTGTTTCTTAGAGCCTGCGATCTTACTTATGTCTGTGAATATCTACATACTTTGGACAAGATTTTTCCTCTCTGGGCTTCATACTGTGTTAACAATAATTTCATTTCTCAGAGGTTATGCGTATTTGTTTTGGTTGATCCTTTTAAAAATAAACATGCTAAACAAAAGCAAAATTGTTGACTGTACCTTCCCTTATATTTCTGATTTTTTGGCTCCTTATTTCCATAATAATGAGAGACAAAAGTTGTAGATGAGCCTGCCTCCTGTCAGTGACATTTGGCGGACCTATGATTATTGTGTGTAGCCTCAGGTAGGTCACTATTTTTTTCTTATAAACATTGACACTATATTTTACAGCTCAAATTCACACTTTTCCTGAAATTAAAGCAAGAGGGATACAAAATAATTAAATATCAGGAATAAGCACACAGATTTTAGAAATTAAGCACTTTTCGGAAATGGACATGAATACTAATGTTAAAAGATAAGCTAAAGCAATACAAATTATTTTATTTAAAAATGTGGAAACATTGACTTTTAAAATTATTTCTAACACATAAACTGCTTTTGGGGATACCTTCCATGTAAATTGGCTTTCTGTTATGGAGAACAAGACTGAAAATTCACTCAAATCAAAACAGAGATCCAAATTGTCCCAAAAACAGTTGGCTTGCAAAAAAAAGGCAATCTCTAAAATTTTAAGGAGAAAAATAATACCTCGTATGAAGTGATTCCAGTAACTTTTAACATTTTATTAAGAGTAGAAAGGATAGTCTTAGATGGTATCTGGTATGATTCCAGGTGGCACATTTATTTAAGAGGTGTTAGGGTAAAGCCACCATGTCCGCAAAAGAGGCCCAGGAAAAGTAACTTATGCACGGATAGAGGTCTGCAGAATTGGCCAAGCTACCTGGACCCCACATTGTATTTCTCAAACCCTACAGCATTTGCAGTTTCAGATCTCCCATTCTGTTTCTGTATTATAGCTTGAAGGACTGCCTCAAGAGCTACTCAGTGTCTTGTTCACCTGCTAAATTACCCTTAAATTCTTCAAATGTCTCTCTGATAGCTTCCAATTACGGATGGTTGACACTAACTTAACACAGTCTTGGTTTCTACCTGGCCCCAAGCCCTAGGAGATGCCAAGCAATGCGTTATGAAAGATACGAAAAAGGGTCTTTCTTTAGATTAGTTAATATATGCATGTCATTAACTATTTTTTCTTTTTACAATTTCATGACTGTCATTTTTTTCCTCATCAAAAGAACATGACTTACACAAGTCATATGAATAACATTTATATCCACTTGATAGGAAAAGTTCTGAGAAAAACACTGTATTGAAATCTTTCCAAGTAGCTTGTTTCTCCTTGAGACATTCAATAAATGGAGCAACCATTTAGAAACTACTCTCTTATTGGTCATAATGCTCCTTCTCCATTTAACATCACATAAGTCGAGATGAAAGCTTGGAAGAAACATTTAAGTATTGTAATCTGATTTCACTTTAATTAATACTAAGTGAGACAGAAAAAAAGCAGTAATAATTGACAACTAGATATTTCAATTACTGGGACCTTAAAGTGCCTGGAGAGAGAAGAAGGTAAATTAGGCACCACAGATAATTTTATGTTATACAGGTCTATCCAAGATTCTTCTATTTTTAGAGTGAGCATATAATTCATTCTCTAAACAAAAACACTTTTGAGAGTGAGAGGAGCACTATTAAAAATTATATCCAGATAAAATGAATTACCGGAAAACCTCCCCAATAAATAAGGGCATTATTAACCCTAGATTTGTTTGTTTTACCATATGCGTGAAACAGAAAAAGACAATACGTACAGCATAGGGATTAAACACAAAAAATGAAGTGATGTTAAGAGCTATGATATAGGTGCTTCTGATACTATTAACCAGGCAGCATCTTACTAGTTGAATGGAGTATTCAAATATCAGGATTGTACTGTACCATTTCAAAACTCCTAGAAGAATGCCCTAGTAATTGAAATTAGTAGGTAGTTAGAAGCCTCACATATATTTTTAACTTGGAAAAAATATGTATGTTTTTACAAAAATAATATACAAACTAAGTGTGGTATTTCTCTACAATTGGATATAACCTAATGATGAGCATTAATAACTTCCTTATGAAATATGGCTTCTTTCTCTTTCTTTCTTTCTTCTTTTTCTTTTTCTTTCTTTCTTCTTTTTTCTTTCTTTTTCTTCTTTCCTTCTTTCTTTCTTCCTTCCTTCCTTCCCTCCCTCCTTCCCTCCCTCCCTTCTTTCCTTCCCTCCCTCCCTCCCTCCTTCCCTCTTTCCCTCCTTCTCCCTTCCCTTCCCTTCCCTCCCCTCCCCTCCCCTCCCCTCCCCTCCCCTTCCCTTTCCTTCCTTCTTTCCTTCCTTTTTTCTTTTTCTTTTTCTTTTTGAGACAAGGTCTTGCTCTGTCACCCAGGCTGGAGTGCTGTGGTGTGATCTTGGCTCACTGCAACGTCTGTCCTACAGGCTCGTGCGATCCTCCCATCTCAGCCTTCCAAGTAGGTGGGACCACAGACACACACCATTTTTCTCTTTCTTTCTTTCTTTCTTTCTTTCTTTCTTTCTTTCTTTCTTTCTTTCTTTCTTTCTTTCTTTCTTTCCTTCTTTCTTTCTTTCTTTCTTATCTTTCTTTCTTTCTTTCTTTCTTTCTTTTCTTTCTTTCTTTTTCTCTTTCTTTCTCTCTTTCTTCTTTCTTTTCTTTGTTTTTCTTTCTTTCCTTTTTCTTTCTTTTTCTTTTTGTTTATTTCAAGAAGTTCTAGCTGGAGGTAAAACAGTTTGTTATTCTTGTAAACTGACTTTTCTTAACTTCTTGTAAGAATATGAGAATTAGAACAAACTCTTATGGTAAATTTTAGGATGCAAATAATAATATTTCAATATGAATTGAAATTATTTTCTGCTATATCTATAGAAACAAATTTTACTTATTTCCAGGTCAAGGAGAAATTAAGACTTCATAGAGTAATTTTTAAGAAGAGCCTCGCTGGAATAGAAATCTGTACTCTCTAAAATACTTTGAAACATTCTGCTTCACTATAAAAGACATTTAACTCTATAATGAAAATTACAAAGGAAAAGAACATCTGATTTAATCAGAATTGTTTCAACTAAAATAGATACTGAGACACTAAGCCAGAAAATCTAGAGTATGTCTGTCGACTCAAATTCCTAATTTACATCCAAATAGACTTTTTTAGTTCCAAAGTTGGCCTATCATGATGCTTCACTGAAATGTTTCTTAGACCCATTGTGCAGATGGCTGGGCCTAAAGCATTGGCAGGGTAAAGGTAGTTAGATACTCATGAATCCAAATCACTGGGTGATATTAAAAGACTGGTTTAAGTCAGAGGGGAAAAAAGTGAAATTATCCTCTCAGATAGAAAAAAGGAGGCAATCAAGACAAATAACTAGATGACAGAAGCTGGTCATACTAGCTGATATGGCAAGGGCTGCAGTCTCAGACTCTGTGGCCTAAAGAACATTGTCATGTTTTGTGATTAAGAATTTTCCACTGTTAGCATCTTTAGAGTACAGAGAGAGGTTATTGGAAGTTAGAAAAGAACACAAGTCTTTTTTCAATGAATGAGGAGATAGGGATAAACCAGTTTGTGGTACCAGTTTGTGGTACTTTGCCACAGCAACCCTAGCGAACTAATATACTCTCATACTAATATGAAAGCTATAGACCCATGCTACCCTCAGGTTTGGAGAGTAAACTCATACTACCTGTATGTCACAGGAATTCTCTGAGAAAATAACGTAGTATCATACCAGACTACCAAAATCCTGAGATATCTGTAGAATCAAATGCAAAACTACTTTTCTTTTTATTCTTTTTTAGAGATATGGTCTCATTATGTTACCCAGGCTGATCTCAAACTCCTAGGCTCAAGTGATCCTTTCTCTTCAACCTTCTGAGTACTTAGGATTATAGGTGCATGCCACTATGCCTGGCTAAAACCACTTTATAGTAACACAAAACCAAGGGTAAATGTGATTTCAATAAAAAAGTCACTGATAAAGATGAGATCACAATAAGTAATGAAATACTACAAAGGGATATGATCCTCCATAAGGAAGAAACAGAAGATACAATAAACAAAAGATTAGCAACCCTTAAACTTCAGATAATAGAATTTTCAGAACTAACAAATTTAAGCTATAGTTAGAAAAAGAATTATCTACTATACTATATCCAAGTCCTAATTGAAAGAACGACTAAAGAAAAAATCTCTTGTATAATTAACCTGAACTAGGAAAGAGGAAATGGAATGCAAGAGGCAATAATGATCATTAAAATTGGTAGAAATATAAACAAATCTTAATAAGCATTTGCTAAGCAAAGAAAACAACACAAGTAATAGTCTGGAGCTTAAACCAAGTTGGAAATAAAACACAAGGCAATAATAAAATAGAACTGGTAAAGGATAAATAGTATAAAAGCACTTGAAAGTCCTTGTTTTATGAGTATAGTGGAGATATTCATTAATTTTATAATTTGTTAAGTCAAGTATACATATGAAACATGTAGTGTACCCACTAGAAAAATTAATGACCTTCACACAAGTACAGAAGGAATACGGCAAGTGACAAATAAAATCCAAGGAGCAAAATAGAATGTAGGAAGGGATTACAAAGTATAAATAAAACAAAAGCATAATCTAAATACATTTAAAAATTAGTAAAATTTAAAAGATTAAAGTTATTTGGTAAATAAATGCTTGGATTGAATTAAAAATTTAGTTTTATCTATTTATAAGAGACATGCTAAAATATATGGCACAGAAAGGATGAATGTAAAAAGGTAGAAAAATGCATTGGTATTAAATTGCTACATCAGCTTTTTTCTGGATATTTCATTTCCAGATATTAATGAATATCCAAAGAAAACTGATGTAGTAATATGAATATCCAACATAATAGAGTTCAAGAAAATATGCCTTCTTGGTGATAAATTATATAATTACATGGTGATAAAAGAAAAAAATCAGGAATATATAATCAGTTCTGAATCATTTTCTACCTAAAAACATAGCATCAAAATGAAAATGCTATAATCTAGGGGAGATTTTAAAACATTTTCTTAATAATTGATAGACTTGAGGAAACTGTTACTAAATATATAAAATTTTGAGCATCAACCACAATAGACTTGAAAGAAATTATATTTATAGAGTTCTCACTCAACAGTGAAAAACGTTATATTTTTTTCAAGCAAATATAAAACATTTATAAAAATAGAACACATACCAGACTACAATGGAATTTTGAACAAATACCAAAGAATTAACATATAAACTATCTTCTCCAACCAATACACAATAAAATTGTAAGTCAATAACAAAGATATGGCAACCGCCGTGGACCTGGAAACTTTAGAACAGACATGTGTTCTAAATATCTAATAATTCTAAATAATTCATTGGTGAAGATATAAATTATAATGACAATACAAAACATTATACAAGGAAAACCTATGTGGGATACAGGCAAAAAATATATACATCAAACTGTAGAGCTCTGAATGTTCTTATTGGAAAAGAAGAAAGATTGAGAATTAATAAGTTCAGTTTATAATGAAAATGGCTGGAAAAAGAAAATCAAAATATCAAACATGAAAAGAAAGATGATACCAAGTAAGGCAAAAGTTAAAGTAATAGAAAAAATTAGAGGATCAGCATAACCAAAAGCTGGTTCTATGTAAAGACTAATAGTCATATCTCTGGCTAGACTGAATTGGAGAAAAATGTAAAGTTACAAGTAAAAAATATTAAGAATGAAAGATGACATAACATTAATTAGACATTGACAAAATTATAAGGATGAGTTATAAGTAAATTTATCAAATAAATATGAAAATAATTTCTATCAAATCCAATTTACAAAGCAGAAAATCTGAATAGACTTATATACATTAAGTAAATCAAATTTATTTTTCTGTTTTTATTTGTTTTTACAAAACAAAAACAAAATAATATTTACCAAAAAAAGAAAAACCCCAAACCAAAGATACCAGAGTAGATAACAACCAGGTCGGATAGTTTTACAGGTAAATTCTACAAAATGTTTAAAACATAGATTAGCTCTCACTAATACAAAATCTTAACAGTACAAAAAAATCAAAGGTTCTCAAATAATTTTATGTGGTATTGTGTTAACCTAAAATCTGGATATTATTCATGCAATAAAGAAAAACTTAGGATAATCTCATACAGATAAAAGAATCATAAACAATAAAATATTTGGAAGCAAATTCAACAATGTGTAAAATAAATTTTGACATTGTGATCCACTACAGTGGAAGCCTAGGAAACAGATAATTTTGCCTACATTTCCTATAATTGTAAAATAGTAGAATTCTTATGATTTTCAGAGCTGTGAATGGAAAAATATTTTATATTTTATTTGGTGTTTGAAATAGGAATAGTATTTCTTCTTCTAGGAGGAGACTTGCTATTGGGTTTGAACCTACTTTTCAATGTTTAGAAACATATTTTGTAGCTTAGACTTACAAAATATTAAATAATGCATAAAATCCATCCCAAGGATGTCTGTCGGTTTCAACTTCAACATGTAAAGAACTTGTAAGCTATCACTCATATCTTTACACTAAGAGAAAGCTAGGCAAGTACTTTTCTTGCAGATGTCATAGAACTGAGGTCACACGGCAATCTGCAACCCCTAAATTTGGAGAGACAAGTAAATTTGGAGAATTAGAGCCAAGATCTCTTTGCCTAGATCAGAAGCCACTGGAGTCATAAACTAGTAGAATCACCTACATAGTAATTTTGATGAATTGCTGGAAGCTGCATTTGGATTAGCGTAAGAGTGAGAAATTTCTTGCACATTTTGGGGTTTGACTTCCAGGAACCCCACTAGGTTCTCATGATAAATAAATGAGAAAGAATACCTCTTGGCTCTGGTAGTAGGAGGGGAGAGCATTCCTTGTGAGGTATACCTAGACCTTCTTCAAACAGAAGTATAATGTATTTAAGGAGAAATTATACAACCTAAGTACATAAAATAAGACTTAAAATAGATAGATTAGATTCATGAATGAGAAGAGGCTTGCTTTTCTAAAATTGATAAACTCAATATAACTCTCTATATAATTAGAAAACCCATAGTGTTGTTGGGCTGTGGGGTTTTTTGCACAACTTGCTGAGCTTATTTGAAAATTCTTATATATAAGTATCTTAGTCCATTTTGTGCTTCTTTAACAGAATACCCCAGGCTAGGCAATTGATAATGAAAAAAAAAATTCTTAGAGTTTTGGAGGCTGGGAAGTACAAAGTTGAGGGGCCTGCATCTGGTGAGGGCCTTCTTGCACCCTCATTCCGTGATGGAAGGCAAGAGAGTGAAAAAGAACAAGAGGAGCAGAGAGAGAAAAATGAGGCCGAACTCATCTTTTTTATCAGAAACCTAATCCAGAGACAATAACCCATTCTCATGATAATGGCCTTAATCCATTTATGAGAGCAGAGCCCTTATGACCTAATCACCTCTTAAAGGTCTCACCTCTCAACACATTTGCATTGGGGATTAAATTGCCAACACACAAACTTTGCAAAACACATTCAATTTTCAGCAATGAATAAATGGCCAAAAACTCAGCCAAGTAAAATATAAAAAGAAAAATAATTAGGTAGAACTTTTCTTACCAAATGTCAATAATTAATATAAAGCTATAGTAATTAAAATAGTGTGATCTTGATTTAGGCATGGACAAATGGAGACTGGCACATATTAAATGGCCTCAAAACAGACCCACAGAGTTATGGTAAGTTATCATATGATAGATGTGAAACTACTATACAGTGGTGAGAGATTCAGCTATTCAATAAATGGTATTTATTGGGAAAGTTTGTGATTTATATGAAAAGAGATAACCTTCATCCCTATTTCATATTACACATGAAAAATAATTTTCATTTTGTCATTAACGGACTAAATGTGAAAAAGAAAGCTTAAAATATTTAGAAGAAAATTTAAGTGGATACCTTTGTAATCTCAGGATAACAAATCATCTCTTAAAAATACACAAAGTTACAAATTATAAAGAAAAAGATGGACACAGGTGATTATAGTAAAATCATAAATTTGTATATGTGAAAAGACATGATGAACAACTAAAACAAATAGATGTTACTTCTCATAATGTTTGAAAAAGAATTAACTCAGTAATATCAAGTGATGGTGAAGATGTGAGGAAACACACACATCATTGGTGTGAGTGTATATTAACACACTCACAGCCTTGAGAGGTAGAGCAAAACGGTAGACTAGAAGGCTCCACCAGTTGTCCCCCCCCAGACAAGGACACCAACTTAACAACCACCTACACAACAAAAGCACCTGATTTTTGGTCCTTATGAAGGTACTTTTGTTGTGTAGGTAATCGGTAAATAACTCTCATATCACTGAAAGAGGCACTGAAGGGGTAGGAAAAACAATCTTAAATTGCCAATGCCTTTCCTATTCACCGGCAGTGGTGACATGGTTCAGAAAGCATTTCTGTGCCCTGGAGAGATGGAGAGCCAGCAATTTTGAGGCATTGAATTCAGTCTAGCCCTTGTTATACCAGAAAGCAAAGAATGGACCAAACTCAGCTGATACCTACCCATGGAGGAAGCATTTAAACCAGCCATAGCCAGAGGGGAGTCATCAATTCCAGTGGTTGGAACTTGAGTTCCTGCAAGCCTTGTCACAGTGGGCTAAAGCATTCCAGGACCCCAAATAAACTTGAAAGGCAATCTAGGCCACAAGGACTGTAAAACCTAGGTGAGTCCTAGGGCCGAACCGGGCCCAGAGAGAGTGAACTGGGTTGGGCATGCAACCAATGTAGACACCAGCCAGGGCAGCTAAGGAAGTGCTGGCATCACCCATTCCTTAACCCCAGTCTGCACAGCTCTTGTCTTCAAAAGAAACTCTTTCCTTCTGCTTTAGAGTAAGAGATGGAAGAGTTGTGGACTTAGTCTTGCATCTTAGAAACCAGCTCAGCCACAGAAGAATAGGACACTAGTCAGAGTCATGAAGCCCCTTTTTAGGCTCTAGCTATCAAACATTTCTAGACACACTTTGGGCCAGAAGAGAACTGATTGCCTAGAAAGGAAGGAACTAGTCCTGGCAGCATTCATCACCTGCTAACTAAAGAGCTCTTGGACCCTGAATAACCAGCAGCAATACCCAGGTACTATGACAGGAACCTTGGGTTAGATGCTAAGACTTGCTGGCCACTGGCAAGACTCAACACATTCCCAGCTGTGGCGGCTACAGCATGAGAGTCCTTCTATGTGAGAAAAGCAGAGGAAAAAGCAAAGGGAAATTTGTCTTGAATCTTATGTACCCACTTGGCTACAGTAAGGCAGAGCACCAAGTGGGATCTTGGGGTCACCATTTCCAGGACTGGCTCTTGGACAGCATTTCTGGACCTGCCCTGGGCTATAGGGGAGCCCACTGCCCTGAAGGATGGGTCCCAGGCTAGGAGACACTCACCATAAGCTGACCAAAGAGCCCTTGGTCCTTAAGGGAACATTGGCAGTAGTCTGGCATTACTCCCAGTGGGCCTGAGGTGATGGTGGCCATGGGGTGAAGCTCCTCTGTCTTTGGAAAGAGGAGAGAAGAGTGACAAAAACTGCATCTTGTGGCTTGATTGCCAGCTCAGCCACAATACGATAGAACACTGGATGGATTTCTATGGTTTTTGACTGTCCCTAAGAATATATCTTAAAAAAATGAGAAAAGCAAGAGCTAACCAATCCCCAAATTAGTAGAAGATATATAATAAGTATCAGAGCAGAAATATATAAAATAGAAATAAAAAATACGAAAGACCAATGAAACAAAAAGTTGGTATTTGAAATGCTAAACATAATTGACAAAGCTGTAGCCAGATTATCTAAGAAGACAAGAGAGAAGATACATATAAATAAAATCAGAGATGAAAAAGGAGACATTACAACTGATACTGCAGAAATTCAAAGGGTCATTCAGGGCTACTATGAGCAATTATATGGAAATACATTGGAAAATTTAGAAGAAATGGGCAAATTTCTTAGAAATATACAACCTACCCATATTGAACCAGGGATAAATCCAAAACCTGAACAGACCAATTATAAGTAATGTGATCAAAGTCATAATAAAAATTCTTCCAGTAAAGGAAAGGCTGGGAACCAATGGCTTCAGTGCTGAATTCTAGCAAACATGTTAAGAACTAATACAATCCTACTCAAACCATTTTGAAAAATAGAGTAGGAGGAAGGACTTCCAAACTCACTCTACAAGGCCAATATTATCCTGATAACAAAACCAGACAAAGACACATCAAAAACAAACAGACAAACTATATGCCAATATCTCTGATGAATACTTATGCAAAAATTCTCAATAAAATATTAGCAAACCAAATTTATTAATATATTATAAAGCTCATTCATCAAGACCAAGTGGGATTTATCCCAGAGAGGCAAGAATGGTTCAGAATATGCATATCAATTAATGTGTTACATCAAATCAACAGAATAAATTAAAAAATCAATATGATCACTTCAATTGATGCTGAAAAAGAATTTGATGAAATTCAACATCTGTTCCTGATTTAAAAAACCCTAAAAAAAGTGCCCATGAAGGGAACATACCTCAACATAATAAAAACCATGTATGACAGACCCACAGCAAGTTTCATACTGAATGGGGAAAAACTGAAAGGCTTTTTTTCCAAGATCTGGAACATGACAAGAATGCCCACTTGCACCATTGTTATTCAACACAGTACTGGAAATCCTACCTAAAGTGATCAAACTAGAGAAAGAAACAAAGGGCATCCAAATTGGAAAGGAAGAAGTCAAATTATCCTATCTAATATGTGGAAAAATCTAAAGATGCCATAAGAACACTATTAGAACCGTTAAATTCATTAAAGTTGCAGGATACAAAATTAACACACAAAAATCAGTAGCCTATCTATAGGCCCACAACGGACAATGTGAGAAAGAAATTTAAAAAGTAATTTCATTTACAGTAGCCACAAATAAAATTAAATACCTAGGAATTAACTTAGCCAGAGAGGAGTAAAATCTCTATAATGGAAACTATAAAACACTGATGAACGAAATTGAGGAGGACACCACAAATGGAAAGTTATTCCATGTTCATGGATTGGAAGAATGTTGTTCAAATGTCCATACTACCCAAAGCAATCTACAGATTCAATGCAATCTGTATCAAAATACCAATGACATTCTTCACAGAAATAGAAAAAAATTATCCTAAAATTTATAAAAACCACAAAAGACCTAGTATAGCCAAAGCTATCTTGAGGAAAAAGTGCAAAACTCAGGGGAATCACATTACCTGACTTCAAATTATGCTACTGAGCTGTAGTAATCAAAACAGCATGGTACCAGCATAAAAGCAGACACACAGACCAATGAAACAGAGTAGAGAACCCAGAAACAAATTCACACACTCACAGCAAACTCATTTTCAATAAAGTTGCTAAGAACATACACTGGGGGAAAGACAGTCTCTTCTATAAGTGGTGACAGAAAAACTGGATATCCATAGGCAGAGTGAAACTAGACCACTATCTTTTGCCATATAAAAATTAAATCAAAATGGATTAAAGAACAAATACCAAAGAATTAACATACAGAGAAAAATGATGGTCCAATACTTCAAACTGTAAAACTACCACAAGAAAACGTTGAGGAAACTGTCCAGACATTTGTCTGTGCAAAGATTTCTTGAGTAATACCCCACAAGCACAGGCAACCAAAGCAAAAATGGAAAATGGCATCACATTAAGTTAAAAAGCTTCTGCACAACAAAGGATACAGTTAGCAAAGTAAAGAGAAAACCCCATAGACTGGGAGGAAATATTTGCAAACCACCCATCTGACCAGGGATTAATAACCAGAATATATAAGAAGATCAAACAACTCAACATGAAAAAAACTAATAACTCTATTTTTAAAAGGGCCAAAGATTTGAATAGACATTTGTCAAAAGAAGACATACAAGTGGCAAACAGACATATGAAAAGTTGCTCAACATTACTGATCATCAGAGAAATGCAAATCAAAACTACAATGAGCTATCATCTCACCCCAGTTAAAATGGTTTATATCCAAAAGACAGGCAATAGGAAATGCTTTCACGGATATGGAGAAAAGGCAACACTGTTCACTGTTGGTGGGAATGTAAATTAGTATAACCACTATGGATAATAGTTTGGAGATTTCTAAAAAAACTAACAATTGAGCTACCATATGATCCAGCAATTCCACTGCTGGGTATATAACTAAAAGTAAGGAAGTCAATATGTCAAAGATATATTTGCATTCTCATGTTTGTTGCAGCTCTGTTCACAATCACCAAGATTTGGAATCAACCTAAGTGTCCATCAACAGATTAATGGATAAAGAAAATGTGGTACTTATACATAATGGAGTACTACTCAGCCATAAAAAAGAATAAAATTCAGTCACTTGCAACAACATGGGTTGTTGAAGGTCATTATGTTAAGTGAAATGAGCTAAGCACAGAAAGACAACCATCACATGTTCTTACTTATTTGTGGCATCTTTAGATACCAAAAATCAAAATTGGATTCATGAACACAGAGAGTAGAAGGATGATTACTAGAGCCTGAGAAGGGTAGTGGGAATTGGGCATGAGTTGGGGATGGTTAATGGGTACAAACAATAGAAACAACGAATTAAACCTAATATTTAATAGTATAACAGGGTGACTAGAGTTAAAAAACTTAATTGTACATTTACAAATAGCTAAAAGAATATAATTGGATTGTTTTTAACAAAAAGCATAAATACTTGAGGGGATGGGTACCCCATTCTTCATGATGTGATTATTACTCATTCCATGCCTGTATCAAAGCATCTCATACCTCATAATTGTATACATCTGCTATCTACCCACAGAAATTAAAAAATAAAATGTCATTCCTCAACAACAACAACAAAACAAATATTTTACGGGCCAATTAAGCAATAGCTAGTGAAGTTGAAGATGCACTCATCCTAGGACTCAGAAATTCCACTTTTAATCAGAACAAAAGCTACTCAGGGTCACTGGTCTGAGGACTATTTTTTATCTGTCTTCCATGAGATAAGGAGCCTGTGTCAAAGTGTAAATTAATTCAGTGCTTTCTTTATTGAGAAATTCTTATTATGAAAATAATTATCAACTGAATTATATAGTAAATTTAGTTAGCATGTTGATTTGCATTCTGGGACCAGCTCCTTATCTCGTTACAGACATGTAACTATCAGTTAATGGATTAGCACTGATCTAAAGACCACATTTTAAGTAGCATGGACCTAGGTAAAAATCTTGAAAGTATTCACAAGGAGATAATTTTGTAATATCTTCAATTTGGAAACAACATATATGCCCATCAATAAATAAATGGATAAACAAATATTACAAGGTGATTAAAATAATATACTAGATATTCAATTATTGTGATATACTACCTGACTTCATTTTTTTTGTTTGACTGCTGACAGTTTTCAAGACCCACCACTCCCTCTTTCCCTCATGCCCACTCCTGGCCAAGCTGATAAGAAAGCCCTGGGGCTCCACCTTTAGTACTGGCAGGAAGTTTAAAGCATGCAAACCTTGGCCCATGAACAGAAACCTCATTGCAGCCACAGCCCCTAATCACAATAAAAGCCAAGACAGTCTTCTTTCTCAGCTCTCTGAAATAGTTTTCAGTTCAGGTTGGGAGCTTTCACTGCTCTCCTCAGAAAGTCTCATTATAAAAGTATAATAAACCTTTTAGTACTCTCTTGGTGCGTATGTGCTAGCATCACCACAGTTTTAATATGTGAGCCAAATTTTGGATGAAGGAGTTCATCCTACTTATGCAGAATGACCATGTCAACTAATAATATGAATAAATCTGGAACACAGCATTAAGGAAAAAAAATTTGCAAAAACAAATTGAAAGCTGTATGTAAAGTTTAAGAACACAAATAATATTTTATGTTCTTATGAATGATATACATATGACTCTATTATTCTCTCTGTCTTCCTTCAAGTTTCCATATACTTGTCACCTTATCAGAGAGGCTGTTGTTAACTACTATAATGGCTCCCTTTGAGTAAGGGTAGAGAGAAGAATGGAAAGGTAACATTATTTAAAAAATACAGCTCAGACAAATATCTCAAAATATTGTTCATTAAATATGATAATTGATATGCTGTGTATGTTAGGTCTTTATATATCTACAATTATCTTAAAATTAGAAAAAATATTTTAAAATGAAATAATGAATTAATTGCCACAAATTATTGATTTACCTCCATTCTTTTATCAAATGAATTTACTGAAAATTCTACCTCATAGGTCTCAGAATCTTATGCCATCCTTATCAGATAGGGCCCTGATTTTAGCATATGAGACCTGTCAAGCTGCATATTTTATCTCTTTGTATCTCTGTTATCCTTACAATTAAATCCTATATTTGTTTTTTAGCAGTCTGCCTTAGGACTGCAGAAGATGAGGATCTTGCTAAATACTGCCATAGTAGCTGTGGTGGGTTGAATAGTGGCCCTAAAAGCTTGCCAAAGTTCTAATTCTTGGTACCTATAAATGTGATCTTTTTTGGTAATGGGTTGTCTGCAGATGTAATTAAGTTAAGGCTCTCAAGATGAGATCATCCAGGATTTAGGGTGGCCACTAAATTCAATTATGAGTATACTTAGACATATAGGAGAAAACACAGAGATACATGGGGGAAGGTCAAATGAAGATGGAGGCAGAGACTGGAGTCACACACTTACAAGCCTAAGAATGCCAAGACTTGCTGGCAGCCACTAGGAACTAGGAGAGAGTTCTGAGATAGTTTCTTTCTTAGAGCCTCCAGAAGAACCCAATGCTTCTGACACCTTGATTTCAGAATTCTGACTTCCAGAACTGTCAGGAAATAGATTTCTATTCTCAGACTGTGGTAATATTTTATGGAATCCTTAGAAAACTAATATATTGGCCTCATGCATTCCATGTTTGTTTTGAGTTGTTAATGGGTGACTTGAGCCTGTCATTCTCTTTTTATTAAGGTATTCAAGAAAATAAACAAAAGCCAGACAACTCCACAATCCTTATATTTACTATTGATTTCATATTGCTCTAGTGTTATTGCTGCTACATAAACCCAGTACTTCCTGAGTCTGGTTCGTAGATGAGACAACTCAGTATGTTGGTGGAAGCAAGCAATTGATTGCTGGTATGCTATCACACCACTCAGGGGTGGCTTTGTAGAACAGTAGTGAGGGAAATCTCCCCAATGATAAGATCTCCTCAAATCTCCCATGCCTATTGTCAATGGAGAGAAAACTGCCTAGAGTTAAGAATGTAGGGGCTCATAGTCAATGGTCAGTGACATATTGGATTGGTTAGAGATATGGAAGAAGCAAAATTGGAAGGTCAGAGACAAGGAGTTCTGGGAAACAGACATTTTAATGGACCAATGGAAATGGCATAAACTGGTGTGAAACTGCATGTTTTGTGTTAATGCCTAAGAAAACGTCTACCACAGAGAGGCACTGAACAACCAGATAGATAGACTAACTCATTCAGTGAAAATTAGTCGTCATTTGTACTTGACCATCCCTGAGTGGTGGCACATTGGGCACATGAACAGAACAACCACGATGGCAGCGATGGAGGCTCTGCCCAAGTTCAACTGCATGACTCCTTCACACAAATTATGATCTAGCTGCTCTCTCTACTAAATTCTGACCTGTCTGAATGTCAGCAGTTAATGTTGAGCTTTTGAGTTGGTAAAATCTCTCAAGGAAATGAACCAGACATTTGTGACAAATTCATTATATCAGACCCCCTCAACATTGGAAGGGGCAGTGATTATTCTTTTCCAGAATTAACAGTAACATGAAAAATGAATTGGTTTTTCCAACTCCATACAATAAATCTTAAACTCCTCAATTCTCCTGAAGCCTCAGGAATGACTAGTGCTTGATTTTGGCCCATTCAAAGAAAAATATAAATAGACAGAAACCATCCCTGAGGAACCACACACATTGGACTTACTAGACAAAGACATTAAATCAAAAGTTTCAAACATGTTCAATGCTAAATGAAACCATAAAAATGAACTAAAGAATAATAGCAAGATGATGTATGAACAAACTGAAAATATCAATAAAGAGATAGAAGTTACAGTAGGAAACCAAACAAATTTGGGAGCTGAAAAGCACAATAACTGAAATGAAAAAAATTGCTAGAGAAGTTCAACAGTAGATTTGGGCAGGCAGAAGGAAGACTCAGCAAACTTCAAGACAGGCCAACTAAAATGATCTAGTCTGAGGAGCGGAAAGAAAAAAGAATGAGAAAAGTGAACATAGCCTAATGCACCTGTAGCATCAAGCAAAACAACATATGCATATGAAAGTCACAGAAGAAGAAGGAAAGTTAGAAAATTCCTTGAAATGAATGAAAAAAGAAAACCACAATACAGGAAAATTTATGAGATGCAGCTAAAGGAGTGCTTAGATGTCAAGTTATAGCTGTAAACTTGTACAGTAAAAAAGAAATATCTAAAATCAGCAAGTAACCTAACTATGCAGCTTAAGGAACTAGCATGTCTAGAACAAGATACATAGTACTGGAACATAGTACTGGAAGTTCTAGCCGAAGTAATTAGTCAAGAAAAAGAAAGAAAAGGCATCCAATAAAAAGGAAGAGGTATAATTATCTGCATTTGCAGATGGCAAAATCTTATATCTAGAAAACCCATAAGAATTCACAAAAGAACCTGTTAGAGCTAAAACAGTCAGCAAAATTGTAGGATACAAAGCAAACATGCAAATATCAATTGTATTTCTACACACTAATAATGAATAATGTACAGAGGGAATTAAAGCAATAATTTCATTTACGATATTATCAAAAATACATATAAACAAACTTTCCAAGAAGTTTAAAATTTGTACACTGAAACCTATGAAACATTACTGACAGAAATTAAAGAAGACCTAAATAAATGGAGAGACATTCTATATTCGTGGATTTGAAGATTTAATACTACTCAGATGACTATACTGCCAAAGCAATCCACAAATTCAGTGCAATCCCAGTAAAATCCCAATTGCATTTTTTTTACAGAAATGAGAAAACCCATTCTAAAATTCATATGGAATTTGAAGAGACCCACCATAGTCAAAAAATATTGGAAAAGAACAAAATTGGAGGACCCACACTTCCTGATTTCAAAACTTATTACAAAGCTACAGTAATCAAAGTAGTGTCATACTGGCTTAAAAGTGTACATATATACCAATAGAATAGAATTGACAGTCCAGAAATAAACCCATATATCTATGGTCAATGTAATTTTTACAAGGAAGCCAAGACTATTCAATGAGGGAAAGAACAGTCTATTTAACAAATGGTGCTAGGGGAACTGAATATACACATGTAGAAGAATGAAGTTGGACCCTTACCTTACATCATACACAAAAATTAACTAAAATGTCAATTGAAGAGCAAAAACTGTAAAGCTCTTAGAAGAAAACACAGGGGAAAATATGTAGGCTCTTGGATTTGATAATGGCTTCTTAAATACAACACCAGAAATGCAGGCTAAAAAATTAAAAATGGACACATTTGACTTCATCAAAATTAAAAACTTTTGTACCTGAAAGGACACTATCAAGAGACTGAACAGCACTGTTCACAATAGCAAAGACTTGGAACCAACCCAAATGCCCATCAATGATAGACTGGATAAAGAAAATGTGGCACATATACACCATGGAATACTATGCAGCCACAAAAAAGGATGAGTTCATGTCCTTTGCAGGGACGTGGATGAAGCTGGAAACCATCATTCTCAGCAAACTAACACAAGAACAGAAAACCAAACACCACATGTTCTCGCCCTTAAGTGGGATTTGAACAATGAGAACACAGGGACACAGGGAGGGGAACATCACACACCGGGGCCTCTCGGGGTGGTGTGGGGCCAGGGGAGGGATAGCATTCGGAGAAATACTTAATGTAGATGACGTGTTGATGGGTGCAGGAAACCACATGGCACGTGTATACCTGTGTAACAAACCTGCACGTTCTGCACATGTACCCCAGAACTTAAAATATAATAATAATAATAATAAAAATAAAAGAAAGGCACACTAGTTGGCTTAACCCAAAAGAAAAAAAAAGAGCGTGAACAGCAACTTAGAGGATGGGAGAAAATACTAACAAATTATATATCTGAGAGGGACTTAATATACACAATATATAAGAAACTCCTACATCTCAACAACAAAAAGACAAAAAACCCAATTAAGAAATGGGCAAAGGGCTTGAATAGACATTTCTCCAAAGAAGATACACAAATGGTCAATAGGCACATGAAAAAATGCTCAATATCATTAGTCGTTAGGAAAATGCAAATAAAAACCAAACTGAAATACCACTTCAAATCAGTCTATGGCATTTTTATGGCAGCCTGAGCTGATTAAGACACCATATAATTGACCATTATTCAGCCATAAAAAGGAATAAAATTCTGATACATGCTACAACATGGACAAACATTGAAAACATTATGCTGTGTGAAATAAACCAAACACAAAATGACAAATATTGTATGACTTCCCATATAGAAAATATACAAGATAGGCAATTTCATTGAAACAGAAAGTAGATTAGAGGTTATAAGGGATTGATGGAAAAGTGTATGTGGAGTTATTCATTAATGAGTATAGAGTTTCTGTGTGGAGTGATAAAAAATTTCAGAAATAGATCATGGTGATAGTTGCACAACATTGTGAATATAATTAATGTCACTGAATTGTACACTTAAAAATGATTAAAATGGTAAATTTAATGTTATATATGTTTTGCCACTGTAAAAGAAAAACAAATAGAAAAAAAAGAGGGCAGTGGGAAAACATTACTGGTTGTCAAAGGAAGGGAACATGCCTCTCTCAATTATTAATGCTCTATATACAAAATTGGTGAGTAATTTTAGAATGGCATGTATTGCTCTATAAAGACTGTGGTTATGCTTTAAATGTGGTTCCAATCTTTTGGTGTACACCTGGAGGTAGAGAACTTGTTACAAATATAGAGTCCCAGAAATTTGCTTCAAGATATTTAGGTTCAGTAGATATGAGCTGAAGCTCAGGGTTTTGCAGTTTAATAAACACTGCAGACAATTTTGATGAAAGTGATACACAGCCAATGCTTTGAGAAACAATGCTATAAATGATGGTTAGGTCCTCAGTTGGGACTATAGAAGTGTATTTATCTCCAAATGTATGTGGATATAGTAACATTTCAGTAATGCCTAACCATCATTTCTAATTTTATTCAACAAAATGTGTCCTAATATCCTTTCTATAGTGTTGAATAGGCAATAATAATTTTCTAGCTCTATACATTTTCATATATAATAGTTACCTTTTTAAGTAAGTCTCAAGTCAAACACTCTAATTTGTATTCAACAGACAGATAACATATCCAGTTTAGGATATTATAGAGGACTTTCAGAATTCACTTGTATTGTTATAGGTTATTTTTAAAGTCAACTTTTATTTTAGATACAGGAGGTATATGTGCAGATTTGTTATGTGCATATATTGCATCCAGGGAGTGAGGCTAGCACCCCATAGGTACTTTTTCAACCCGCACTTTCTTCCCTCCTTCTCCCCTCTAGTAGTTGGTGTCTGTTGTTTCCATGTTTATGTCCATGCGTACTCAATGTTTAGCTCCCACTTACAAGTGAGAAAGTGCAGTATTTTATTTTCTGTTCCAGCATTATTTGCTTAAGATATAGGTCATTTCTAAAATGTTTTAAAATGTGGACTTTGTGTAATGGGGATTTCTATAAAGCAGAAAATTGCCTAAATTGTAAGATTATGCATCAAACGTACTGGTTGTATATTGTAAAGCTCTTGTATATTAGTCGACTTGTATTTGTGCATGCTTGGACTCCCTGACTGGATTGCATACTTCTGGAGGACAGAAACTATGTATGCATATCATTGTGTCTCCCATCACACCTAATAATATTATCGACCAGACTAATCAACTGGTATGTTAACAGGCTAATTGGCTTAGTGTGATATAGCTCACAATAGTAAACTAAGTCTCTTTGGAAAATATCAGTAGGGCCATTAATATGATTAGGAATGCTGACCAGACTGTCTTACCTCATAGCACAGAGCAGAGAGAGGCAACCATAACAAAACTAGCTGCTGGAATGTCAGGAAGCAAAAAAGTCTTGAACAATACATATGGCTTAAAAAATTTTTACTCTATTTTACAGTTCACTGTGTATCATTATACATTTTTTGTCTTCCAGAACAACCTCAGGAATATCTAAAGCAGAATACAAAGTAACAGCTTGATTCTGTATCTTCTGTTTCACAGTAAACTTGGTCATCATTTGATATATCTTAATAAATGTTATATATAGAATGGATTGGCACCAAGCTGCCAGCATCTTTGTGTTTGAAATGTCTCATTCTTCCTAAATGAGATTATCATTTGTTCAATCAAATTCAGATGTTGTTCCTCATAAGTCTTATCCTTGAACTAACGGAAAACACTAGAGGGTGAGAACAAGCAAGTCATTTTTTACAGAATTTTATCATGCTAAAAGCAGTGTCCAAATATTATCCATTTTTACTGACTCTTCAAAGTCACTGTCTTGCACTTGTAAATTTTATTCATGAAATTCATGAATATTAAGAACAAATAGTTATTTCTTCAGTAGCAAGTAGGCACCCTGAATATAGGACTTGATAATATTAAAAGCATTAAATCAGGATACTGAGTTCTATTTGTAACTGTGGAACTGATCTCTATTTCCCTGCTAAATCAGATCCTCTTCTGTCAATCACTTTTGTTACCTGGTCAACAAGACAGAGATGCATCCTGTAAATAAAGCAACAATCGAGAGACATACTTTGAACCCTATACTTTCTACATCCTTTGTTGTCTGACTGTGCCCAAGGACTTTACCTTCTGTGACCTTGTCTCCTCAAAAGAAAGATACTAATAATTATCTAACTTACACGGATTCTGAAAAGAGTAAATGAGATAATAGATGTGTGAATCACTTTGTAAAAGGCCAAATGATAAAGTCAGCCATTATTATTATCATAAGTTTCTGCTTTGTGGAATCTTAAAAGAATTTACCAAATGAGATAAAGCATTATTTCAATAATCAAAACCCCTGGAGCTTAACAATAATAACAATGATAATAGCTAGCATTAGACATAACCCAACATGATCTGGCTCTGCCTACCTATCTGATCTCATGCCCTACTCCTCTTTTTCCCTTAACTCTGTATTTTTCAGCCACAATAATGTCTTTGTCTTTCCTAGAGAACGTTAATAGCATTTTTCCCTTTTTAAGAACATTACACTTCCTGTTCTCCCTGCCTGAAATGTTCTTCCCTGCCCACCCTCCCACCCCAACACAGTTATTTCATGGCTGTCTCTTTTTGTGTCTTTCAGGTCTCTGATCAAGTGCCACATCTTTAGAGAAGCTTTTCCAAACAACCGTAAGTAAAATAGCATGTGTCCTACCCCTACAGTCTGTCTGTAGTCCCTTATTCTGATCTAGTTTCTTCATGGCACTTATATCTGACATTATTTGTTTATGTATTATATATCTTTCCAATTAGAATATGAGATGGTTGAGAGAAAGGACTGTTCTCTGTCTTGGTTCACCATTGTATCCCAGCACATAAAACAGTGACACACTTATGGTAAATGCTCCATAAGCATTTGTTCAATGAAAGAATTACATTTATTGAACTTTATATGCCAGGCCTTGTTTTATAAGTATCATTGCATTTAATGTTGACAATAACGCTATGGGGTAGATACCATCATCCCTATTTTGCAAAAGAGAAAATTTAAATTTAGCAAGGTTAAATAAGTTGTTCAGTGGTCACACAGCAGTTAATTGGAAAACCCAGTATTTGAACACAGATATTCTGATTCTAGTGGACTTATTCATAATACTCTACTGCCTCTAGTGTTTATTTATTGAGCACTTACTATGTAGCAAGCACTATGTTAAATGTTTTATGGGCATAATTTCATTCAGTCAATATCCCTATCTTTACAGAGAGAAACTTAAATCTTAGGTAGGTTATGTAATTTGCCCTAGTTACACACATAATAATGGGCTATCCTTTATGAAATATCTAAAAAAAAAAAATGATGCTGCAATTGTCACCTCATTTAAAGAATGCTCTGTCTGAATTTTGTATTCTGAAAGAAAAAATAAGGGCAAAATGAGTTGTCTCAACATTCTGGCCAAGTGGTCTCTTATTTCCAAAACCATATTTTTGCTTTTCTTTTTGGCTACTGTTATGCATATTCCTAATCAAGGTTGAACTGTATTTTTACAAGCATACACTTTTATTTGTGAGGGCAACAAGAGTGATACCCTTGCTCATGTCAAATAGTGACGTAATTGGTGCACTAAAACTAGAACTCAGGTCTTCTGACTCTGGCTTAATTTCTAATTCCATTATACTTTGTCCTCATTAACAACTTGCTTTAACCAACTAAGATAATTGGAATATAATAATGATGTGTTTAAATCTATTTAAACACTTTTCTGTAATTTCTGATGAAAATCATCGCTCTTACCATTGTCCATCTAATTCAGGGGTCCCCAACCCCAGGCCACCGACCCTTAGGGACCCGGCCTCACAGCAGGAGGTGAGCAGCGGGGATTGGGCATTACTCCCTGAGCAACGCCTCCTGTCAGATCTATGACGGATTTAGATTGTCACAGGAGCTCAAATCCTTTTGTGAACAGCGTGTGCGAGGCATCTATGTTGCACACTCCTTATGATAATCTAATACCTGATGATCTGAGGTAGAACAGTTTCATCCCAAAACCAACCCCCTGCTTCCATGGAAAAATTGTCTTCCACAAAACCAGTCCCCGGTGCCAGAAAGGTTGAGGAACGCTGATCTGGTTTTACATATTCTTTTTATTCACAACCATTTACTCAGATATATGATTGTGTATCTATTTAAGGACAAAATTTTTTGAGGGCAGACACTGTGAGTAGCCTTTATTATATACCTTTAACAATTCAAAAAAGAGCCAGGTACTATCTGGATTCTGAGTATATCCTAGGTCACTTATATTAGCTCCTTTAATCTAAGCTTGGAGGACCACAAAAGAAAAATTCCGTTGAAACATGAAACATGAGATATTCAGACAAAACAAAAATCACATAAAGCCTTGGATACACATCAACACATACACATATACACAGAATTCTGCAACATTTCAATTCATCCTTATTAACTTGGTTTGTACAGTTTTTCTTTTAACAAGGGATGTCCCCAACAGTCATTCATGATAAACAAGTATCGTGAGCATTACCATGATGGTATTTGCCAAAGGAAAATGAATAATTCAGTGTTTGTTTAGCTACAGGGACAGGCATGTTTTGCCATTAGCAGAGAGAATCTTGGCTGAATTAGTGAGGACCAACTCATTCCATTCCACTGAGCACAAATGGGAATCTTCTCCATTGTCTAGTTGCCAAACAAATATCTGCATTTGTGTAAGTGCATTTTCATATTCAAAAGGAAAGGTTGTTATGTGGGATACTTGCCATTTTTCAGTAATGATGAAATAAACAATCTCTGCAGGGCCTGTATAATTAACACCTTTGCTTTTTTAAAAAAGGCACAATTAATTTATACTTATTTCTAAGCTAAATTCTGTTGTTTTTTGAACCAGTGATTTCATTTTCACAAACAAGAAGATGAGGCTTAACCTTGACAACATTGGTGTTACTTTCTGATTGGGAAAAATATTAACAGTCTGAACTTAAGCTTTTATCAGAGAAAAATTGAATTTTTAAATAAATCTATTTTTATTGAGGAGATAAATGAGGAGAAAAGAAAACAATTGCCCTTGTATTACTAGTGCTATTTTCCTATTTCTACCTATTCTACACGGTTAACATGAAATGCATGTATATTGCATGCAGATACATTATATTAATTACAAGTAGCTGATAATTCACTTAGTGAAAAAATACGTGTTCAAGATACATAGAGTCAATATTGCTTATCAAGTAAGGTTACTAAGGGCAAAATAATCACCAATATCCACTTAATGTCTACTGAGATAATATATTTTGTGAGAAAAAGAGTAATTTAGAATTGATATTCAATGTAAAGAGTCAGAGGGGGCTTCTTGGAGGCAATGGCTAAATTTATTGAGCTGAATTTTAAAGCTCAGAGAGATGGATCAGCAGAGAGAGGGCATTCTAAGTAGGAACTCATTAGTTTATGTGTAATAGAGGAGGGTTCATTTAGGGAGACTGATGAAAAATGGTGTTAATGATTAACAGTTGCAAGTTGATAGAGGTCTCTAAAGATCAGAAAGATGGATGTGTATTTGTTAATAATCATAATAAGAAACCACTTTAGTTTTTTAAGAAAGGGAGTAACATAATAAAGCAAATCCAGGCTACAATGAGTATAGCATACTGGTACAGATCATAGAGTCTGAATCTCAATTAATAGATTTGAATTCGGCTTCTTTCAATTCCTAGCAACCTTGTGTAAGTTACTGAACTTCTTTGTGCTTCATATTCCTCAACAGTAAATTAGAACTAGTGATTGTGCCAACTTCTTAGGGTTGGTGTGATGATTAGATGATTTCATGCAAGTAAAATGATTAGGAGAGTACCTCACATAGAGTATCCAATTAATAAATGCTAGTTCCCACATCAGTGGTGTGAGGGAAACATTATCGTTTAGCCATTTCTCAATCTAGCCATTCTTATTGTTCTTATATGCTTTAATCTAAGTCTTGTACTCTAAACAAACCAGTTTGCTCTTCCTTGTCACTCAGACAGACTTTGAACATATTATTCCTGCTTATAGTAGCCTGTTCTTTTCCACCAAACAACATTCATACTCTAGTTAAAACTCTTACTTCAGATGACATTCCTTCACTAATCCCACCCAGATTCCAGGAATCCTGCAGCATTGTATATGTGATGTAGGTGCTCCTGTCAGTTTTTCTGTGGTTATCTTGGTGATTCAATCCTCTCCCTTCTCCACTGAAATCATCCTCTCAAAGGTGGCTAACTTGACCAAGAATAGAAGCCAGAATTCACTAGTGTTATCCACACACATTTATTTATTTTTTCATCATAGTCTGTATATATTTTCATGATAATATGTTTCTCTACTGCCAATTAGTCAAAAGGGAAGGAGGTAGCTCCCTGGAGAAAATGGTTAAATACTGAATGCTTGCAATATGTAGGCATGGGAATCGGACTGTTTGGGTTTGTATCCTGACTGTATTGTCTACTAGGCAACCTTAGGCAAGTGTTCTTAATGCTTCTGTGCCTAGGTTTTCTCATCTACAAAATAGAAAAAATAAATGGTAAATCACCTGATATTGTTTGGATCTGTGTCCTCACCCAAATCTCATGTTGAAATGTAATTCCCAATACTAGAGGTGAGGCCTGATGGGAGGTGATTAGATAATGGGGACAGTTTCTCATGGTTTAACACCATCCCTACTTGGTGCTGTCATCATGATAGTGAGTTTTCGTGAGATCCGGTTGTTTAAGAGATCAGGACCCTCTCTCTTGGTCCTGCTCCTGCCGTGTAAGATGCCTGCTCCCACGTTGCCTTCTGCCATGAGTAAAAGCTCCTTGAGGCCTCCCCAGAAGCAGATGCCACCATACTTACTGTACAGCCTGCAAAATCGTGTGCCAATGAAACATCATTTCTTTATTACCCAGGTTTCAGGTATTTTTTTTATAACAATGTCAGGATGGACTAATATACCACTTCATAGAAATGTTTAGAAAATTAAATAAAATAATGAATTTAAAGCATTTAGCATAGTGTCTGGCAGGTAGGAATATCTTAGTAATGTTAACTGTTATTTATTTAGTACTAAACCCGAAACATAGGAGAAAAAGTATTATCTTTATCTTATAGAACAAGACATAGGTTTAGAGTAAAGGACCTTATTCAAAGTGACAGAGCTAATAAATGGCTGCTGCTATTCCACTGCATTCATTTTATCCTGCTATTTTTCTGAGTTTCCACAACATTTTAGATATTTAAAAGAGAAGATTATTACTTTATGTCAATTCAGTTAGTAATACTTATTTCTTTTGTACCTATGGCCATAGAATTATCAGCCCTGTACTAAACCATCTGATTCTACCACTTTTGCCTCTAGGTGTATTGCAAATTTAGATGTCTTCTATGTAATACCTGTAGGTGAAAGATGGCTTATCATGTGCAAATAAAACTGCATCAATGAGGAAGAGCCCTGACTTCTTGTTTTCCAGAGCAATCCTAAAACTGGGTATCAAGGCTTTATTTATTTGCATCTAACTGTGTGTATCACCACTGAGTGTCCCTAATTCTAAGAACATATATTATAACAATTAATGAAACCCCAAGAAACTGGGCTTAAAATTCAACACTCAATAAATGTCCTGTAGAAAAGTCACAGCAATGTTAAATCGATTACCTTAAACTAGTGCTTTCCCAAAGCATGTGTGGCAGAACACTGGTTTAATAAAAAGCTCCTTAAGAAAAGCATTTAGTGGTCAAATAAATTTGTTAAGCACTATATGCTATAATCACCTTCCAGGAAATTTACAGTGCTGTATTAGTTAAGGTTGTTTTGGTTGCAAGTAACAGAAACCAACTTGAGCTAGCTTCAGCTAAAAGGTAATTAATTGGAAAAAAATTATGGTAATTCACAGAAATCAAAAGAACGGTTGAACAAATGAACCTCAATAAGAGAAGGAATTAGAATATCTCAGCAGCAAGAGTTCATGGAGCTTCCTGAATGTACAGTCTTAGACCAGTGCTGGCCAGAATGTATAAAATTATCCTAAAAATCTTAAGGGCTGCAGTGTCTGGTACACATTGCATGTGAGTCTTCAATAATTCTTAGCTATCCTTATTAAACATTTTATGTGCAAATCAGGCACAAGATATTCTGATGTGGAGATCTGGGATGGGGCTCAAGAATCAGCATTTTTGCATAACTTCCCACATGAGTATGAAGTGGAGCCAGATTTGGGATCCAGTTCTCATGTACCGGTATCAAGTGCCACAGACATCAGCAATGCCCAGCTTCTGTGTCTCTCAGCTCAAAATTGCATAAGGACAATTATTCTAATGGGGCCTTTGAGGTTCAAACATTTTACTTCGTGGCCAAACAGCTATGGCTAGGGAATTAGAATATACTTGACTTCAGAAGACATATTTCTGAGTAATAGGGGTATGCTATGATCTGAATGTTTGCGTTTCCCCAAAATTCACATGTTGAAACCTAATCCCCAGTTTGATAGTATTACCAGGTGGGGGCTTTTGGGAAATGATTAAGTCATGAGGGTGGAGACCTCATGAGTGGGATTAGTGCCCTTATAAAAGAGGGCAGAAGGAGCTTATTAGCCCCTTTTCCCATATGAGGACACCTAGTCTATGAAGAATGAGCCCTTGCCAGACACTGAATCTTCTGGCATCTTGATCTTGGACTTCTCAGTCACCAGAACTGTGAGCAATAAATATCTGTCATTTAAAAATTACCCAGTCTAAAAGAATTTGTTATAGCAGCCTGAACAAATGAAGACGGGGCAGTTCCCAGAGAAGAGAAAATCTTTGTGAACTGCGTAGCCACCCCAAGAAGTTTCTGCCTTTAGAAACATTCTAAGAAGTGCCTTTTAAAAGAAATCTGCTTAATTTTGTTGACCCAGACTTTACCTAAACTCATTTGACTACAAGATCCCATTTTTACCCATATGTAATAATATTATTCAGAGCAAATAATCTGCACAACACACATTAGGAAATGTTGAGTTAGAAAACTATTGAGTTAAAGCTATTATTTCCTAATCTTCACAGATTTGTGCCTAACCTTGCTTTCAACTGATGTTCACATAATTTATTTCTCTATATGACACAGCGGATGGCTCAGCCCTCACAGTTCTGAAAGAATCTTTTGTCTCTTGGCTCACTAACTCATGAAATGCCCGGTAACAAAAAAAGACGAAGGGATTTTATATAATCAAATAAGTTTAGCAAACATTGTATATAAACTTTTAAAATTTCACAATGTACTTAATCATGTAAAAGACTCTGAGAAGACTTGTAACAAAGACAATTCTTCAACTTTGCTTAACCCAATATTTTTCAAACTTATTTTTTGAGAGAACTAACTCCTATCAGTAATGCTTACCTTACCCACACGCTGCAGCAGAATGGAAGCCTGGGAATTACAAGTCCATTTTTTCCCTCCATTTCCTCCTTCTTTCTTCTTAATATTTTTCTGGTCTAGAAAGAACAATTATTTCATAAAGAATAGCCCCACAGAATTTCTGGTCTGAAATTGACCCTATTTGGTTATTACTTAAGGCAACTCTTTCTAACTTGCTTTGCTTTTCCCTCTATTATAAGAATGGTGAAGATCATAGCACATTCTTCTGAACCAAATAAATGTTGTCAAAAGCACCTCATATGAAAGCCATGCTTAGAATTCTCGTTCCTTGCAGTTGTACAACAAAAACAACTTTTGTTTTATTTTACAGCATTTAAAATTGCTTTTGCTTAAATGCAAAACTGAGAAGCCACAAAAATTGGATTAACCACAAATCAAAGAATGCCTAGAGCAATGCATAGGTTATATACTTGTACATCAGCTTCTTGAGTGTCTGCCTTAATGGGTAATATTCCCTAAAGCATTTTTATGTATTTCAAACAATAAATAAAACAAGTTACAAGAGGTATGTTCACCTACTGAATTTACCTGCTGTTACATCTGCATTTGACATGGCTGCCCTTGAGTTTCATACATTTATAGAGCCAGGCTACTGTGCTGCTTAGTATGGGGGGTGACTTGGATAAATTTTGAGGATGAGCAGTTAGTTCACTTAAAGGAAGAACTAACTGGGTCACCATCAAACTTTTTTTTTTTTTTACATTTTTCAGAGAAAGATCACATCTGCTAGAATCACTAGAAATGGGGAAGATAAAAATATCAAAGCAAAATTGAGACTTAGCTTCCTGACACAGCTCTCCCATTCACCAACACTTGGCAAAAAAAAAAAAAAAAAAGTGAAGCTAAAACTTAATAGGCATTTATTACTGTTATTTAAAATAAGGTCAGAAACCAAACACAAAGAGCCCAGCTCAAGCTGTCTGCCACCTGTCTGGGTCTGGCTGCATGAAGCTGCCACATATTCCCTGGTGGCTGTCCTTCTTGACTACCTAACGGGTTGAACAGCCATCTGTGTCTCCTGCCATCACTAATCAGGATGGTACACACATCTATTGTCCTTGGGCTTCAGGGCTCTTAGAGCATTATGGTTCCTGCCTATGGCTTATTGCTTAAGGAAAGCTAGTCTGGTTCACAGAGAATTTCTGAAACTCTCCTTTCCTCTCCTTCCGTGACCCTCTGACAGCTTCTCTGCTCTTTCCACCCTTCAGTGGTCCCTCATTCGATTTCCATTTAATCATTAAAATCATCATCACCAAGCTGTCTTTCTCCAGGACTCCATCTGCTTTGCTTTCAAATTCCACATCCTCTGGGACAAAGCACTCCTGAGAATTCCATCTATTTTGCAATCTTAAAACTTGAGTTTAGCAGTTACTGACTCTTAATAGTGAGGGAAGCCCCAGCTGTTTGGCTTTAAAGAGGGAAACTGCACACGCGCGCGCGCGCGCGCACACACACACACACACACACACACACACACACACAGTCATAATTGGGCAACAGAATAAAGAAAGAAAATATACTGAAAATGTTCTTGGAGTTTCTGATTTATTCTGACAGCCACTTAAAATTCCCTTGAACAGATATTTGCTAAACATATTATATAAGTAATAGAATCTGAAGATAGAAAAATAAATCATAGAGCCAGCCACATAAGGTGTATGTTGTCTAATTTTATAGGATCTCAAAGTGCTTCAGTTATGTTAGATTTAAGAAATAATGAGTAAATTGGGGGTGTGTATCTTTGTCCTAAATGATCAGTTTTAGAAAAAAGAAATAATAGTGTGGTTTTCAGATTTCATAGTTTAGTATTTTCCTTGTTTTATCTCATTTACAGGATGTTAATCCCTTCCATCTAATTTTTAAATATACACAGAAATGTAACTGAAATACTGTGTTTGCCTCACCATGCAAGCTTTCATTTATGTGAGAAAGTCTAGCCTAATTTCTTAAGTTCTTTTCTAACATTACAGAATACTTTTAATTATAAGAATTAGGCCAGAACTTCGGTTTTAATCACTGTGGAAATTCAACTCTTATTTCTCTTATACAAAAAGAAAGCCAGTACACTTATTGTATGTGAAAGTCTTTTACCTGTTGAAAAGAAAATAGTGTTTTGATTATAGTAATTCAGTCTTTCGTTAGTACTATTCAGTTTTGCTGCTATTCCTCATCCCAATATTCAGAAACTAATTAAGCAGTCTTAATTATTACCTGTCACATGCCTAGAATACATGTCAAACAGTCCATTAAGTGTCTTAAAAGTCCTTTACCCTGCTGTTTTCTGTCTCTTTATTTTTATAGTACTTACCACTGACACCTAGATAACTCAGACAGGAAGAGAGCCTAACCCAAACAGCAAATAACTGTGATTGTGGAACTTGAATAAATACCAGGTGACAAGTTTTAATTACATAAGGAAATAACATATGTGAAAAGAACCCTGAGATCTGTAAAATAATTTGGGTAAAATAAAAAGCACAGGCTTTATCTAAACCACTGATTTAATATTGATAGCAGTTACAATTATAATTAAATTATTCACTGTTGTTTTTATTTTTCCTGTTTCCCTTTCAAGTCACTCACACACATTCATTCCCCAGGTTCCTTTTAAGGATGCAATCATAAAGACTAAACTATTCCAAGAGACCTCTTTCTTCCTTAGATAGTCTTTCCCTACTGAAATTTCCAGCTCAAATTTCCCAAGTGGTTTTCAAGCAAATGTTTGGTATCAGTGCTTTTGGACAGAAAAAGTAAACTATTTTGCTTTTTAAAGTCTAACCGTCTAAGTTCAAATAAGCATTATTAAATATATATATTATATATTAAATATATATATTATATATTTAATATATAATATATATAATATATAATATATAAAATATATATTAAATATATATAATATATAATATATAATATATAATATATATATTAAATATATATAATATATAATATATAATATATATATTAAATATATATAATATATAATATATATTAAATATATATAATATATAATATATAATATATATATTAAATATATATAATATATAATATATATTAAATATATATAATATATAATATATATTAAATATATTATAATATAATACATATTAAATTAATATATATTAATTATTATATTTAATATATAATATATTAATTTAATATGTATTATATATTATACATATTATATATAATATATATTAAAATAATATATATTGTGATTTTGTGAATTATATAATATATATTAAATGCATATATAATTATATATAATATATTATTAAATATATATATTAATTATATATATATATAGAGAGAGAGAGAGAGAGGGAGAGCTCTATCTATTCTTGTTAAGTTCACTTAGTCATAAAAAGGGAATGTAAATACTAAACATGACCATATGTGAGATACCCCTGGGGACTTTCAGAAAAATTTAAACATGTCAGCAATTTGCAAGGGATTTGTAAACAAATCTATGGAAAATGCTTTAGCTCACCAGTAGTATAAAGTGTGTACATTAAAACAAAAAAAAACTTCTCTGAGCAAATTAGCAATTATTTAAAATAATGAAAATGTGCAGTACTAGCAAAGACATGTGGAAACAGGATTTCTAACATATTGTCAGTGGAAGTGAATTTGGTAAACACATTAGGAAAGCAATTTGAAAATAAGTATTAGCATTCTTAAAAATGATCTTACTATGATTCAATAAGCTCACCTTTAGGATGCAATGCTTTGCAAATTGTGATGGTTAATACTCAGTGTCAACTTGATTGGACTGAAGGATACAAAGTATTGATACTGGGTGTGCCTGTGAGGGCGCTGCCAAAGGAGACTAATATTTGAGTCAGTGGGCTGGGAAAGGCAGACCCACCCTTAATCTGGGTGGGCACAATCTAATCAGCTGCCAGCGTGGCTAGAATATACAGCAGGAAGAAAAATGTAAAAAGACAGACTGGCCTAGCCTCCCAGCCTACATCTTTCTTCCATGCTGGATGCTTCCTGCCCTTGAACATCAGACTCCAAGTTCTTCAGTTTTGGAACTTGGACTGGCTCTCCTTGCTCCTCAGCCTGCAGATGGCCTATTGTGGGGCCTTGTGATCGTGTGAGTTAATACTTAAAAAACTTATATATATATGCATTTATTTATTTATTATTTATTTATTCCTTTGTTCTGTCCCTCTAGGGAACCCTGACTAATATAGATTTTGGCAATAGCAGTGGTTCTAGAGGAATAGAATATTAGGGATGGGGTTCTTTCATTGGTTTGGGGGTTTCTGGAGTTCTGCTTAATATGATTAGACCCAAACATGCTAAGGACCCTACTTATAATTGTATGAAGAACACTGACAGTCCTTGGCATGAACTGTTTAGAAAGTTATGCAAAATACATGCATTTGACACTCCTGATTCATTGCTCATGGGAGGCAAAGAGGTTAGTGAACCTATACATAATACCTTTGACCTTATGTGGAGAACCAAGGAACTTAATGAAGCTTGTTGGTTGCTCATAAGTTCAGTGGACAAAGTGATGAAAGAAAATGATGAACTCAGGGATTCTATCTCCCGGCTTCAGAAGCAGATACTGAACCTCAAATCTGCTAAGATTGCCCTGAGTGAGAGTTTTATCGCCTGTAGAGAAAGAGCTGAAATTGTGGAAAAAAAGACACAAGCTCTTACCACATGAGTGGCTGACCTGCAATGAAAGGTTCATGCACAGCCTCAACAGGTGTGTACTGTTAAAGTGAGGGCATTAATTGGAAAAGAATGGGACCTCACAACTTGGAACGGAGATGTGTGGGAGGACCCTGATTAAGCCGGGGACACTGAGTTTGTGAACTCTGATGAACCTTTTTTGCCAGAAGAAACAGCTTTCCCATTCCCATTAGTGGCAACATCTGCTCCCTGACGCATGCTGCCATCAGCCTTTCCACTTTAGTCTGAGGAGATAAACCCTGCGCTGCCTGAGACAACTATGATGGCCTCCCCTGAGGCAGTTGCCAGGCGAGGTAATGTTGATTCTCCTCAGGAGCCGCCCCCAACACCCCTGTTTGCTTCTAGACCTATAGCTAAAGTCCTGGGGGCCCCTAGAGGTGAGGCTGAGAGTGTGACCCATGAGGAGCTGTGCTACATTTAAAAAAAATACTGCTTGACTTTTCTAATTTGTATAAACAAATCTGGAGAACGGGAATGGGAATGGATATTAAGCGTGTGTGATAATGATGGAAGGAACATAGAGATGAATCAGATTGAATTTATTGATTTGGCCCACTTAGTAGGGTCTCTGCATTTAGTGTTGCAGCTCGGGGAGTTAAAAAAAGGTTCTAATAGTTCATTTGCTTGGTTAGCTAAAATATGGATTAAAAAATGGCCCTGTAAGTGATCTGGAAATGCCTGATCTCCCTTGGTTTAATGTAGGAGGAAAGGATCCAAAGGCTTAGGGGGATTGAGATGGTGGAGGGGATTAGTCACTTTAGACCTACTCATCCTAGCTGAAAGGGTCCAGAAGATATACCCTTGACCATTGCCCTGCAAAATATACTTGTGAGGGCAGCACCTGCATCTTCGAAGAGCCCTGTAATTGCTCTTCTCTGTATGTCACATCTAACAGTGGGAATGACACTCACTCAACTATAAAATTTAAATACAATGGGTATAATTGGATCCCAAGGTGGCAGGGGCCAAGTGGCAGCACTCAACCATCAAAGGCAGGGTGGACATAGCTACCGTAATGGACAGTAGAGGCAAAACAGCAATCAGAATAGTCTGACTCCTGTAGATCGCTGGCATTGGCTATTTAATCACGGTGTTCCTAGAAGTTAAATTGATAGGAAGCCTACTGCATTCTTACTTAATTTATACAAGCAGAAAACTTTCAGGTCGAATGGACGAAAGACTAATTTGAAGTATAAAAACAGAATCATGGCCTGTCAATCAGTTTCCAGACTTGAGCCAGTTTACAGACCCAAACCCCCTAGAATGAAGGGGAGGCTGGGTCCCCTTGAGAAAGGACCCCACTACATTACTGACAATTTATGCGGTGAATCTTTCTCCCATCCTTCCCCAAGGAGACCTCAGGCCTTTTACCAGGGTAACTGTGAATTGGGGAAAGGGAAATGATCAGACATTTTTGGGACTACTGGACACTGGCTCTGAGCTGATGTTGATTCCAGGGGACCTAAAATGTCATTGTGGTCCTCCAGTTAAAGTAGGGGCTTATGGAGGTTGGGGAATTAATGGAGTTTTTAGCTCAGGTCTGACTTACAGTGGGTCCAGTGGTTCCCAGGACTCATCCTGTGTTCATTTCCCCAGTGCCAGAATGCATAATTGGCATAGACATGCTTAGCAGCTGGCAGAAACCCCACATTGGCTCCCTGACTGGTAGGGTGAGGGCTATTATGGTGGGAAAGGCCAAATGGAAGCCATTAGAGGTGGCTCTACCTAGAAAAATAGTAAATCAAAAACAATGTCACATCCCTGGAGGAATTGCAGAGATTAATGCCACCATCAAGGACTTGAAAGACGCAGGGGTGGTGATTCTCACCAACATCCCCATTCAGTTCTCCCATTTCGCCTGTGCAGAAGACAGATGTATCTTGGAGAATGACTGTGGATTATCATAAGCTTAACCAAGTGGTGACTGCAATTGCAGCTGCTATACCAGATATGGTTTTATTACTTGAGCAAATTAACACATTTTCTGGTACCTGGTATGCAGCTATTGACTTGGCAAATGCCTTTTTCTTCATTCTTGTCCATAAGGCCCACCAGAAACAATTTGTCTTCAGCTGGCAAGGCCAGAAAAATACCTTTACTGTCCCACCTCAGGGGTATATCAACTCTCCAGCTTTGTTTTATAATCTTATTTGGAGAGAGCTTGATCGCTTTTCACTTTTGCAAGATATCACACTGGTCCATTACATTGATGACATTATTTTAATTGGATCCAGTGAGCAAGAAGTAGCAAACACACTAGACTTATTGCTGAGACATTTGTGTGCCAGAGGATGGGAAATAAATCTGACCAAAAGTCAGGGACCTTTTACCTCAGTAAAATTTATGGGGGTCCAGTGGTGTGGGGCTTATCGAGATATTCCTTCTAAGGTGAAAGATAAGTTGCTGCCTTTGGACCCTCCTACAACCAAGAAAGAAGAACAACTCCTAGTGTGCCCATTTGGATTTTGGGGGCAACACATTCCTCATTTGGGTGTGTTACTCCAGCCCATTTATCAAGTGACTCAAAAGAATGCCAGTTTTGAGTGGGGTCCAGAACGGGAGAAGGCTCTGTAACAGATCCAGGCTGCTGTTCATGCTGCTCCGCCGCTTGGGCCATATGACCCAGCAGATCCAATGGTCCTTGAGGTATCAGTGGCAGATAGGGATGCTGTTTGGAGCATTTGGCAGGCCCCCATAGGTGAATCACAGTGAAGACCTCTGGGATTTTGGAGCAAGGTCCTGGGACCTTCTGCAGATAACTGCTCTCCTTTTGAGAGCGAGCTCTTGGCCTGTTACTGGGATTTGGCAGAAACTGAACGTTTGATTACGGGTCATCAAGTCACCAGGTGACTGAACTGCATACCATGAACTGGGTGCTTTCTGACCCATCTAGCTATAAAGTGGCTCATGCGCAGCAGCATTGCATAATCAAATGGTATTGGTATATATGTGATTAGGCCCGAGCAAATCCTGAAGGCACAAGTAAGTTACATAAGAAAGTGGCTCAAATGCCCATGGTCTCTACTTCTGCCAGCCTGCCTTCTCTCCCCCAGCCTGCACCAATGGCCTCATGGGGAGTTCCTTAAGATCAGTTGACAAAGGAGGAGAAGACAAGGGCCATTTTCACAGGTGGTTCTGCACGATATGCAGGCACCACCTGAAAGTGGACAACTGCAACACTCAGCTCCTGTCTAGGACATCTCTGAAAGACAGTGGTGAAGGCAAATCTTCCCAGTGGACAGAACTTCAAGTAGAGTGCCTGGTCGTGCACTTTGCGTAGAAGGAGAAATGGACATATGTGCAATTATATACCGATTCATGGGCTGTAGTCAATGGTTTGGCTGGATGGTCAGGGACTTGGAAGAAGCATGATTAGAAAATTGGTGAGAAATTTTGGGAAGAGGTATGTGGATGGACCTCTCTGAGTGTTCAAAAACTGTGAAGATATTTGTATCCCATGTGAGTGATCACTAACAGGTGACTTCATCAGAGGAGAATTTTAATAATGAAGTGGATAGGATGACCTGTTCTGTGGACACCACTCAGCCTCTTTCCCTAGCCACCTCTGTCATCGCCCAACGGGCCCAGGAACAAAGTGGCCATGGTGGCAGGGATGGAGGTTATGCATGGGCTCAGCAACATGGACGTCCACTCACCTAGGCCAACCTGCTTATGGCCACTGAGTGCCAATTTGCCAGCAGCCGAGACCAACACTGAGCCTTCAATATGGCACCATTCCTCGGGGTGATCAGCAAGCTACCTGGTGACAGGTTGATTATACTGAACTTTTTCCATCATGGAAAGGGCAGAGGTTTGTCCTCACTGGAATAAACACTTACTTGGGATATGGGTTGGCTTATCCTGTACACAATGCTTCTGCCAAGACTACCATCCGTGGACTCATGGAATGCCTTATTCACTGTCATGGTATTCCGCACAGCATTGCCTCTGACCACGGCACTCACTTTATGGCTAAAGAAGTGTGGCAGTGGGTTCGTGCTCACGCAATTCACTGGTCTTACAATGTTTCCTATCATTCCTGAAGCAGCTGGATTGATAGAACGGTGGAATGGCCTTTTGAATTCACAATTACAACGCCCACTAGGTGACAATACTTTTCAGGGCTGAGACACAGCTCTCCAGAAGGCTGTGCATGCTCTGCATCAGCGTCCAATATATGGCACTCTTTCTCCCATAGCCAGGATTCACGAGTTCAGGAATCAGGGGGTGGAAGTGGAAATGGCACCACTCGCTATCACCCCTAGTGATCCACTAGCAAAATTTTTGCTTCCTGTTCCCACAGCATTATGTTCTGCTTGCCTAGAGATCTTAGTTCCAGAGGGAGGAACACTGCCACCAGGAGACACAACAACGATTCCACTAAACTGAAAGTTGAGATTGCCACGTGGACACTTTGGGCTGCTTCTACCTTTAAGTCAACAGGCTAAGAAGAGACTTACAGTGTTGGCTGGGGTGATTGACCTGCACTATCAAGATGAAATCAGTCTACTACTCCACATCAGAACTAAGGAAGAGTATGCATGGAATATAGGAGATCAGTTAGGGCATCTGTTAGTATTATCATGCCCTGTGATTAAGGTCAATGGGAAACAGGCCAATCCAGGCAGGACTACAAATGACCCAGACCCTTCAGGAATGAAGGTTTGGTTACTCCACCAGTAAAATAAACCATGACCTGCTGTGGTGCTTGCTGAAGGCAAAGGGAATACAGAATGGGTAGTAGAAGAAGGTAGTCATCAATACCAGCCATGACCACGTGACCATCTGCAGAAATGAGGATGGTAATTGTCATGAGTATTTCCTCCTTCTTTTGTTAAAAACATGTTTGTGCATTTACACACTTGTACTAAGAAAGTATTATTTCCTTTCTCTTATATCAGGTGACATAAGATTGATTGACTTCACATCAGAATTTAAGTATTGTTAACTTTATGTAATAGTATTTGGGTTGGAGTTTGGTGTGTTTCTGGTTGTATGAAAAATAGTTGTATTATGTTAGGCAAAATTATGACCTTATCATTGTCTTTATTTGAAGATTGTGTATGATCTCAGGAGATGTATATGGGTTCAAGTTGACAAGGGGTGGGCTTGTGATGGTTAATCCTGAGTGTCAACTTGATTGAATTGAAGGATACCAAGTGTTGATACTGTGTATGCCTGTGAGGGCGTTGCCAAAGGAGACTAATATTTGAGTCAGTGGGCTGGGAAAGGCAGACCCACCCTTAATCTGGGTAGGCACAATCTAATCAGCTGCTAGTGTGGCTAGAATATAGAGCAGGCAGAAAAATGTGAAAAGAGAGACTGGTCTAGACTTTCAGCCTACATATTTCTCCCTTGCTGGATGCCTCCTGCCCTTAAACATCAGACTCCAAGTTCTTCAGTTTTGGAACTTGGATTGACTCTCCCTGCTCCTCAGCCTGCAGATGGCCTATTGTGGGACCTTGTGATCATGTGAGTTAATACTTAATAAACTCCCCTTTATATGTGTATTTATTCCAATAGTTCTGTCCCTCTAGAGAACACTGACTAATACAGAAATTATCCTCAACACAATATATATTATGCACAAAGATCGTCACGGTTTGTTTGTAACTGAAAAATTGAAAACCACTGATAGAGAAAGTGTTGGTAAGTTACATGGTGTCATCCACTCAATGAAATATCGTATAGCCATTGGAAATAATGTTTTTAAAAACTTAGAGGCTTGTGTATAATATAGTATTAAATAAAAAATAACACAAATGTATACTTACTGTATAATAATAGCTGTATAAAAACAACATGTGTTGTTAAACATGCATTTAAATTGTGATAAATTCTAAAAGGGAACATTTAGGGCATGAAGGGGCAGAGTCCAGAGCATAGACTTCCAGCTGGTTCAGATGATTCAGAGAAAGTAAAATTTCAGCTGATACTCAAAGAAGTATAAGAATTAACTAGGTGAATTGGGGAAGAAAAAGACGGAAGAGGGTTTCAAGTAGAAAAAAACATTTTTGTGAAGGTTTGAAAGTGTGAAAGAGGAACTTTTGAGGAAATTATGATTGTCTAGTAAGGCTACTGAATTATTTTAAGACTCGATCAGACATCCCTTTTAGAAAGCTCACTCTGGTTTTAGTGTGGAAAAAGAACTGGAGAGGAGTAAGACTGGAGATGGGGGAACAAATACTTGTAGCATTTACATGGGATTTCTCTATAAAAAATTAAAGTTCAATACCAATCTGTCTCATAATTCTACATGTTAATGGTTGACTTGTCTCTGAGCTTTTTAAAAGGCACTAGATTATTTTTATATTTTTAGCCCCAGAACCTCGCACAGAAATTGGCACACAGTAGGGGGCTCAAGAAATACCTATAAAAGACAAATGGTAGTACTTCTTTAGAGTAGCTTAAACTCTAAAATTAGGCTCATTTTTGGTTGAACTCAGTAGAGCAAGAAGTCCACACAAAATGGAGTATATTGCTGTTTCCAATAAAATATACTATTAAATTAAAGCAATAGCCCCTTTATTAAACAAATACCAATTTTCAAACCTGAAAACAAATGACAGGCATTATCCATAGTAGTGGAGGCAACACAAAGATTTAGCCACAGATGAGTGATTTTTAGGTAACCACTGAACTTGATCTTTATGAAGCTATACTTGGCATGTCAATGAATAGGAATAATTTTAGTAATGTAAATTATATATGTGTAAGAATAAAGACCTAATATAAACATTTCCAAAATGTATTGCTAAGTTATAGTGACAGGATTGTGAATGTTAGAGAAGAGAATAAAGGTAACAAAATGCATAATAACAATTTTTTTAAAAAAAGCTTGTGCATATACAGGTGCTCCTCAGCTTATGATGAGTTAAAACCTGATAAACACATTGAAAATTGAAATTACCGTATGTTGAAGATGTGTTTAATACACCTAACCTACTGAACATCATAGCTTACCCTAGCCTAACTTAAACATGCTTAGAACACTTACTTACATTAGCCTACGGTTGGACAAAATCATCTGGTAACACATTAAACTCTAGAGTGTCAGTTGTTTCTGGGAGCTGCTGCTCATTACTGCTGCCCAGAATCGCAAGAGGGTATTACACTGCTTTCTACTGAATGCATATGGCTTTCGTACCATCATAAAGTTGAAAAATCATAAATGGAATCAATGTGAGGCAGGGACAATCTGTAATATTACATCTGTAATATTACATGGAAAAATATTACATGGAAAAATGATACAAATGTCTACAACTGTATCATTATAGCTATATAAAAATGAAATCATGTTTAAAGTGGAAAGGGACACTGGAAGGGAATATACCAAAATTACAATGAGGTGATAAAATTATGAGATCTATTCTTTAAATACATAGTTTACCACTTCCGTACACTCTTTTCAAAATTAGAAATAAATTATTAAATCTAATTTATAGAAGTATAATTTTAAGTTACATATAATCTTGAGTAAAATTTGTTAAATTCGTAGGAATGACAAAACCATAATTTTGTTTGTAATGTAAACTATGTAAATGCAAAATTCAGTTAGTGCATCTTAATACATAGCTCCTTAGACATGATTTTATGATCAATCCATTATGAACACCATCTGATACCATTCAACTCAATTTCTGGCCTATTACCTATGCTATTTTGGCTCAACATTTCTAATGGTTTAATCTACAGCCAAGCAGTTTTTGTTTTTTCTTTTCTAGTCCTTTCCTACAGTTAGAAAGTCTGTTGTCTGCATGGAGGTAAAATTACCAGCCAGAGTTTTGTATAAATTAAGTTTTAATTGAGTGTCTATTAGCCTTGACACTTGGAATGATGCTGAAGCCTGAAAAACAATAAACCAGTTTGATTTTCCCGTTAAAGAGAGTTCAGTTCACATTAAGACTGGAGTGAATCTGGTGATTTCAGATTCTCTAGGACTTTGGAGAAATAATTAAACTGGTTTTATTGGTGGTGTAATGATTGGAGATATCACTAGGTTGGTCCCGAGCTTCCTCTGGGCTGAAATGACAAGGGAGCCCATTAGAAACAGCCAGGTACCAGATGAATCATGAGTTGATTGACTACAGAGATGATAACTCCCCTCCCCCACCTGCTCCCCACAAGTTTTTTATTTCCGCTATAAATCAAGAATTTTGTTTTGTTTCCGCTGATACTACAGATCACAAGAGTTATTTTAAAAGACAATAACTTTTTCCTGGGTTTTTGTTTTACTTTGAAGAAGGAACTATTGACAGGATTCCTGTCACCAATGTACACTCATTATGCCTAGAAAGATGATAAAAAAACTTAAGAATTTTCACAACTCAATTTAATTCTACATTCTGTGCTTGACAGAATTCACACTGAGTATGCTTAACTAACTACTGTACCAACTATTACAAAGACCAGGGCAATATTAACCCTTTTCCTTGAGTGTATAATTGAGCTTTGCTCAAAAAGAACCACCTCAGAGCTAAGAACAGATTTTCTGTTAGTTAAAGTGAAGTCTCAACCAGTTATAGTTATATCGTATTGCTTAGAATGTGTTTCTGCATTGTTTCTGTCTTCCTTGCTTTCAATTACCTCTTTCAGTTCGCTAAATCTATTTTTTGTGTGTCCACTTGCCATTTACTCTAAGCAATTAACTAACACATTAGAGTTGAACTGTATCTATGAAACATAGCTTAAGTATTAAAATTCTTATGATCTAGGACAAAATTCGCATTATATATAATGTTTATTACAGCATATGATCTTTCTGTGTTGAATTTCCTGAGTGTTCTTTAAGCTTCTTCCATCTGGTTGTCTAGATCTCTAGCAAGACCAGGGAATTTTTCCTTATTTTCTCGAGTAAGTTTTCCAAACTTGTGGATTTACTTTCTTTCTCAGGAATACTAATTATTCTTATGTTTGGTCATTTCACATAATCCCAAATTTCTTGGAAGCTTTGTTCATGTTTTAAAATTATTTTTTCATTGTCTTTGTCAGATTGGGTTAATTTAAAAGCCTTGTCTTCGAGCTCTGAAGTTCTTTCTTCTACTTGTTCAGTTCTATTGTTGAAACTTTCTATTGCGCATTTTGCATTTCTCTAAGTGTGTCTTTCATTTCCAGAGGTTGTGATTGTCTTTTCTTTATAATATCTATTTCTCTGGAGACTTTTTCATTCATATCCTGAATTTTTTAAAATGTCGTTAAGTTGTTTTTCACTTTTTTCTGTTGCCTCCCTGATTGCTTAATAATCCACCTTCTCAATTCTTTTTCTGGCACTTCGGAGATTTTTTCTTGGTTTGGATGAATTGCTGGAGAGCTAGTGTGATCTTTTGGGGATGTTATAAAACGTTATTTGAATACAGATAATTAGGGGAAAATGGTGAATAGGAGACAGGATTAAACTCCCGCTTAGATGAACAGAACAGCATCTGGAGACTCACATTGTGAACTTTTGCTCCAAGAACCACTGCAGGAACATACCAGAAAAATTGAAAGAATTCACAGACCCTTTGAAAGAAGTGGCTTGCCACTGCAAATGCTGTGAGACAGCTGAAAAACTGTGAGTTACCAAAGAGTGAGAGGGGGAAAAGTCAGCCTCTGAACACATCCCCAGGGTATGTTCTTGACACCTTTATTGAAAATGAGTTCACTGTAGGTGTGTGGATTTTTTTTTTTGTGGGAGGGGGGGTGGTTATCTATTCTGCTCTATTGGTCTGTGTGTCTGTTTTTATGCCAGTATCATGCTGTTTTGGTTGCTGTAGCTCAGTAGTATAATTTGAAGTCAGGTAATATGATTCCTTCAGTTTTATTCTTTTTGTTTAGGATAACTTTTTCTCTTTTGGGTCTTTTGTGGTTGCATATAAATTTTACGATTTTTTTTCTATTTCAGTGAAGAATTTCATTGGTATTTTAATAGGAATTGCATTGAATATGTAGATTGCTTTGGGTATATGAACATTTTAACAGTATTCATTCTATCCATGAATATGAAATATATTTTTTTTCAATTTCTGGTGTCCTTTTCATTTTCTTTCATCAGTGTTCTATAGTTTTCATTATAGAGATCTTACACTTCTTTGGTTAAGTTAATTCCTAGGTATTTAATTTTATGTGTGGCTATTGTATTTATTTATTTATTTATTTATTTATTTTGAGACGGAGTCTCCCTCTGTTGCCCAGGCTGGAGTGCAATGGTGCGATCTCGGCTTATGTGTGTCTATTGTAAATGCAATTACTTTTTAAATTTATTTGTCACCATTGGTCACTGTTAGCATATAGAAACGCTATTGAGTTTTTTGTGTTAATTTTAAAACCTGCAACTTTACTGAATTTATCAGTTCTAATAGTTTTCTTCTGGAATCTTTAGGTTTTTTCAAATATAAGATTATATCATCTGCCAACAAGGATAATTTAACTTCTTCCTTTCCAATTTGGTTACCTGTTATATCTTTTTCTTATTTGATTTCTCTAGCTAAGATTTCTAGTACTATAGTAAATAACAGTGGTAACAGTGGGCATCCTTGTCATGTTCCAGATCTTAGAAAAAAGGCTTTCAGTTTTCACCATTCAGTATGATACTACCTGTGGGTCTACATATATGGCTTTTATTATGTTGATGTATGTTCCTTCTATCCCCAGGTTTTGGGGGTTTTTTTATTGTGAATGGATGTGGAATTTTATCAAATGCTTTTTCAGCATCAGTTGAAATGGTCATATGGTTTGTATCCTTCATTTGGTTGATATGATATATTACATTAATTGATTTTTGAATGTTGAACCACCCTTTCCTCTCAGGGATAAATACCACTTGGTCATGATGAATGATCTTTCTAATGTAATACTGACTTCAGTTCACTAGTATTTTGTGGAAGACTTTTGCGTCTGTATTCATAAAAGATATTGTTTTGTAGTTTTGTTTTTTTTTTGATGTGTCTTTTTCTGGCTTCAATAACAGACTAATACTGGCCTCATAGAATGAGTTTGAAAATATTCCCTCCTCCTCTGTATTTCAGAATAGTTTGACGTAGATTGGTATTAGTTTTTCTTTAAATGTTTGGTAGAATTCAGCAGTGGAGCCATTAGGTTCTGGGCTTTTCTCTACTGGGAGATTTATTATTACAGCTTTGATCTTGTTACTTGTTACTGGTCTGTTCGGATTTTGGATATTTACCTGATTCGATATTGGTAGGTTGTATATATCTAGGAATTTGTTCATTTCTTCTAGACTTTCCAATTTATTGGCATATTGTTGCTAATGGTAGCCCCTAATGAGCCTTTGAATTTCTGTAGTATCAGTTGTGATGTCTCCTTTTTCATTTCTGATCTTGTTTATTTGGATCTCATCTTTTTATTTTTTCTTAATTGGGCTAAAGGTTTGTCAATTTTGTTTAACTTTTCAAAAAAATCCAACTTTTTGTTTCATTGGTATCATTTTTTAAATTTCAATTTCATTTCTTTCTGCTCTGATCTGTACTATTTCTTTTCTTCTACTAATTTTACATTTAGTTTGCAATTGCCTTTCTAGTTCTTTAAAATGTATCATTAGATTGTTCATTTGAAGTTTTTCCTTTTTTTGATATAAACACTTATAGCTATAAACTTCCCTCTCAGTAATGTTTTTGTTGTATCCCATAGATTTTGGTATTTTGTGTTTTATCATTAGCGTCAAGATATTTTTCAATATCTTTCTTATTTTTTTCATTAACCTACTGGTTATTCAGAGGCATATTGTTTAATTTTCATGTTTTTGTAGAGAATCCACAATTCTTTTTGTTTTTAGTTTCTAGTTTTATTCCATTGTGATCTGAGAAGATGTTCAATGTTATTTCAATTTTTTGAATGTTTTAAAACTTGTTTTGTGACCTAAAATATGGTCTGTCCTTGAGAAAGATCCATGTGCTGAGGACAAAAAATATGTATTCAGCAGCCCTTGCATGAAATATTCTATAAATATGTATTAGATTCATTTGGTCTGTAGTGTAGATAAAGTCTAATGTTGCTTTTTTGATTTTCTGAACTGAAAGTTCAGTCCAGTGCTGAAAGTGGGGTGTTGAAGTCTCCAGCTATTATTGTATTGGTGCCTATCTCTCTTTTTATCTGTAATAATATTTGGTTTGTATTTCTGGGAACCCCAGTGTTGGGTGCATATACATTTAGAATTGCTAAATTCTTTTGCTGAATTGACCCCCATATAATTATATAGTGACCTCTATTGTCTCTTTCAATAGTTTTTTTTTTTTTTCTGGAAGTTCATTTTGTCTGATATGAAAGCTTATCCACCATGATCAAGTGGGCTTCATCCCTGGGATGCAAGGCTGGTTCAATATACACAAATCAATAAATGTAATCCAGCATAGAAACAGAATCAAAGACAAAAACCACATGATTATCTCAACAGATGCAGAAAAGGCCTTTGACAAAATTCAACAACCCTTCATGCTAAAAATTCTCAATAAATTAGGTATTGATGGGATGTATCTCAAAATAATAAGAGCTATCTATGACAAACCCACAGCCAATATCATACTGAATGGGCAAAAACTGGAAGCATTCCCTTTGAAAACTGGCACAAGACAGGGATGCCCTCTCTCACCACTCCTATTCAACATAGTGTTGGAAGTTCTGGCCAGGGCAATTAGGCAGGAGAAGGAAATAAAGGGCATTCAATTAGGAAAAGAGGAAGTCAAATTGTCCCTGTTTGCAGATGACATGATTGTATATCTGGAAAGCCCCATTGTCTCAGCCCAAAATCTCCTTAAGCTGATAAGCAACTTCAGCAAAGTCTCAGGATACAAAATCAATGTACAAAAATCACAAGCATTCTTATACACCAATAACAGACAAACAGAGAGCCAAATCATGAGTGAACTCCCATTCACAATTGCTTCAAAGAGAATAAAATACTTAGGAATCCAACTCACAAGGGAGTGAAGGACCTCTTCAAGGAGAACTACAAACCACTGCTCAATGAAATAAAAGAGGATACAAACAAATGGAAGAAAATTCCATGCTCATGGATAGGAAGAATCAATATTGTGAAAATGGCCATACTGCCCAAGGTAATTTATAGATTCAATGCCATCCCCATCAAGCTACCAATGACTTACTTCACAGAATTGGAAAAAACTACTTTAAAGTTCATACGGAACCAAAAAAGAGCCCACATCACCAAGTCAATCCTAAGCCAAAAGAACAAAGCCGGAGGCATCACACTACCTGACTTCAAACTATACTACAAGGCTACAGTAACCAAAACAGCATGGTACTGGTACCAAAACAGAGATGTAGATCAATGGAACAGAACAGAGCCCTCAGAAATAAAGCCGCATATCTACAACCATCTGATCTTTGACAAACCTGAGAAAAACAAGCAATGGGGAAAGGATTCCCTATTTAATAAATGGTGCTGGGAAAACTGGCTAGCCATATGTAGAAAGCTGAAACTGGATCCCTTCCTTACACCTTATACAAAAATTAATTCAAGATGGATTAAAGACTTAAACGTTAGACCTAAAACCATAAAAACCCTAGAAGAAAACCTAGGCATTACCATTCAGGACATAGGCATGGGCAAGGACTTCATGTCTAAAACACCAAAAGCAATGGCAACAAAAGCCAAAATTGACAAATGGGATCTAATTAAACTAAAGAGCTTCTGCACAGCAAAATAAACTACCATCAGAGTGAACAGGCAACCTACAAAATGGGAGAAAATTTTTGCAACCTACTCCTCTGACAAAGGGCTAATATCCAGAATCTACAATGAACTCAAACACATTTACAAGAAAAAAACAACCCCATCAAAAAGTGGGCAAAGGACATGAACAGACACTTCTCAAAAGAAGACATTTATGCAGCCAACAGACACATGAAAAAATGCTCATCATCACTGGCCATCAGAGAAATGCAAATCAAAACCACAATGAGATACCATCTCATACCAGTTAGAATGGCAATCATTAAAAAGTCAGGAAAAAACAGGTGCTGGAGAGGATGTGGAGAAATAGGAACACTTTCACACTGTTGGTGGGACTGTAAACTAGTTCAACCATTGTGGAAGTCAGTGTGGCGATTCCTCAGGGATCTAGAACTAGAAATACCATTTGACCCAGCCATCCCATTACTGGGTATATACCCAAAGGACTATAAATCATGCTGCTATAAAGACACATGCACACGTATGTTTATTGCGGCACTATTCACAATAGCAGAGACTTGGAACCAACCCAAATGTCCAACAATGATAGACTGGATTAAGAAAATGTGGCACATAAACACCATGGAATACTATGCAGCCATAAAAAATGATGAGTTCATGTCCTTTGTGGGGACATGGATGAAATTGGAAATCATCATTCTCAGTAAACTATCTCAAGGACAAAAAACCAAACACCACATGTTCTCACTCATAGATGGGAATTGAACAATGAGAACACATGGACACAGGAAGGGGAACATCCCACTCTGGGGACTGTTGTGGGGTGGGGGGAGCGGGGAGGGATAGCATTAGGAGATATACCTAATGCTAAATGACGAGTTAATGGGTGCAGCACACCAGCATGGCACATGTATACATATGTAACTAACTGGCACATTGTGCACATTTACCCTAAAACTTAAAGTATAATAATAATAATAATAAAAAACAAAATAAAAATACAACTCCTGGTTTCTTTGGTTTTCATTGGCATGAAATATCTTTTCCCATCCCTTTGTATTCAGTCTATGTGGGTCTTTATAGGTGCAGTGTGTTTCTTGTAGGCCATAGATTAATGGCCTTGTTTTTTCATTCATTCAGCCAATCTTTGTCTTTTGATTGGAGAGTTTAGTCCATTTACATTCAATGTTATTATTGGTAAGTAAGGATTTACTCCTGCTATTTTGTTATTTGTTTTGTGGTTGTGTTTTTGTTTTCTCTTCTTTCTTTCCTTTCTGTCTCCCAGTATTTATGATGATTTTCTATGGTGATATGATTTTATTTCTTGCTTATTCTTTCGTGTATCTATCGTATGTTTTTACATTTAACATTACCATGAGGCTTGAAAATGCTATCTTACAACTCATTATTTTAACCCAATAACAGCACTATTTGCATAAACAAAGAGGCAAAAAGAAAACTAATAAGTACTTGCCTTAACTTTGTTTCCCAGCTTTTTAACTTTTTGTTATTTCTATTTATATCTTATACTGATGATGTCTTGAAAAGTTGTTGTAGTTACTATTATTGTTTAGTTTATCCTTTAGTCTTTCTACTTCGGATAAGACTAGTTTACACACCACAGTTATAGTGTTATGATATTCTGCATTTTTCTGTGTACTTGCCATTAGGTTTTGTACCTTTATGTGATTATTTATTGCTCATTAATGTCTTTTTTTCTGATAGAAGTACTCCCTTTGCATTTCTTACAGAATGTGTCTGATATTGATGAAATCCCTCAGCTTTTGTTTATCTAGGCAGTCTTTATTATTTTCTTGATGTTTCAATGATATTTTTGCTGGATATACTATTCTATGGTAAAAGTTTTTTTCCATCATCACTTTAAAAATGTCAGTAGTGGCTTTTGGGAGTCAAGGCCTAGAGTTAAAAACCTCAGAAGTCTGCCTGGTATTCCATTGTATCATAGATAATCTGGTACTCAAACTACAAGATGTAGTCTTTCTCTCTCTTCTGGCTTCCTTCCAAAGGCAGAGAAGCCTCACTTCATAGCCACTGCCACCCCTGGCCATGAGGAATACTGCCAGACTACCACTGATTTTTCCTGAAGCTCCCAAATCTCTTAAGTAAGCTTGTGGCAAATGTTACCTGATCTGATACTTACCCTTCAGGGCAGTGGGCTCCCCTCTGGTCCAGAGAATGTCCAGAAATGCCATCTGTATTAGTCCATTCTCACAGTGCTATAAAGAACTACCTGAGACTGAGTAATTTATGAAGAAAACAGGTTTAATTGATGCACAGTTCCCTAGGCTGTACAGGAAGCATGCCTGGGAGGCCTCAGAAAACTTACAGTCATGGTGGAATGTGAAGCGGAAGCAAGCACATCTTATCATGGCAGAGCAGGATAGAGAGAGCAAAGGGGGAAGTGCTACACACTTTTAAACCATCAGATCTCATGGTAACTCATTCATTATCATAAGAACAACAAGGGGGAAATCCACTCTCATGATCCAGTCACCTCCCACCAGGTCTCTCCCCCAACATTGGAGATTACAATTCAACATGAGACTTGGGTGGGGGCACAGAGCCAAACCATAGCACCACCAATAGTCAAGTCCTGGAATCAGATACCCCAAGTGCCTGCTTGGTGCTCTACCTCATTGTGATGGTGTTGGTACCTGAAGCCAGCAAGTCTGAGAGGATCACCAAAGCCCTTGATGTAGTACCTGGGTATCACTGCTGGCTATTCAGGACCCAAGGGCTCTGTAGTTAGCAGATGATGAATGCTGGAAGGACTGAGTCCTTTCTTTCAAGGTAGCGGGTTCCTTTCTGGCCCAGGGTGTGTCTAGAAATGTTTGGGAACTGGGGCCTGGAATGAGAGTAGCGTTACTCTGACCCACGCCCTATCCTGCTGTGGTTGAGCTGGTGTTTAAGATGCAAGACAAAGTCCTCCTCATTCTTCCCTCTCCTCCCCTCAAGTGGAAGGAAGGGGTCTCTTTTGAAGCCACAAGCGGTGCAGCCTGGGGTTAGGGGAGGGGTGATGCCAGCACTCTCTTGGCTTGCACAAGGGGTGTTTCAGTATATCACACGCCACCCCCCAGTCCACTGTCTCTGGATCTAGTTCAGCCCTAGGACTTGCCTAAGAGTTACAGTCCTTATGGCATAGACTGCCTTTCAAGTTTATTTAGAAACCAAGAGCACTTTGGCCCTCTGTGGCAAGGTTTCTGGGCACTAAACTTCGCATGACTGAAATCAGGGATTCCCCTTTGTCCGAGGCTAGTTTAAATGTTCCCTCTGTGGGTGGGTGTCAGCTGAGTTTGGTCTGGTTTTTTTCTGCTGTAACAGAACAGCACTGAATTCAATGCCTCACAAGTGCTATGTTCTCCTTCCCCCAATGCCCAGAGACACACTCTGCACCACGCCACAATTGCTGGTGGTGCAGGAGCAGGGTGGCCTGTGATTCCAGACATATTTTTTTTATCTCTTCAGTGCCTCTTTCAGCAATATGAAGTTAAAACCAGGTACTAAACTATGAGTGTTCACCTTAGTTTTGGTTCTTATGAAGGTGATTTTTCTGTGTAGATAGTTGTTAACTTGGTGTCCTTGCAGTGTGGACAATCAGTGGAGTTTCCTATTCTGCCATCTTGCTCTGCCTCCACAAACTGGCTCTTGCTGTAATGAACCCACTCCTGTAATAGCAACATTAATCCATTCATGAGGGCTCTGCCTCCTAAATTGTCTCTTAAAGATCCCATCTTTTAAAAGTGTTGTATTGGGAATTAAGTTTTCAACACCTGAATTGTTGGAGACATGTTCAAACCATAGACAGTGCCAAGCTACTAAAACGGAGTGATCTTTTTAGCTTTCAATTTGTTATTGAATGGAAAAGAAACATTTACTCTTTGGTCTCTATCATTTTTGGAGTTGATATTACTATTTAGCAATAGATGATATTAAATTCAAAATATGTAGCTAGTACATGTATGTAACTTGTGTAACGCACAAAAATTAAAATATGTAGATTTTAAATACCTAAAATGAAGGACAGAATATAATAAAACTGTATTTTTGTATCATTTCAATGCTCTTTAGAGGACTGTTGCGGGAAGTCAGGGACCCTGAACGAAGGGGTGAGTTCCCCCGATAAAGGACAAAGGACACAAACTTATAACCCTCAAGTTAATAGGGTTTATAATCATAACATCACACACAAAAATATTTTTTTATTATCCTACAAAATCAAGAAGAATAAACTCTCTCCCAAATGACGTATCATGGACAGAGCCAAGTGGCAGTAAGCTTTTCATATGCATATATCTCAGAGTCATTATTTTTTCTCTCTGTTGTAAACATTTTTAATGTAATACTTAAATGCATAGTGGGGGTGTCTGACACACTCCTTGTTTATAAAGAAGAAACACACCTGTTTATTTCATTTCTAAAACCCACTAAAATTATGAGACCAAGGCAGCAGGAAAGGAAATGGTCCACACTGTTACCTTAGTCAGTTGGGCAACTCTTTTTGGAGAGTGGACATAGGTTTGTAGATATAAAGAATGGACTGGAATATAAAAACAATGAAGTGTTTTGTAGCCATTCTTGGAACAACCTGTACATCACTGCTACTTGATATGCACCCTCCCTCCCCCCAACATATGTTTCTTGCTTTAGGAATATGCTAATCTGCGGTTTACAAAAGTTAGTTTAATAACAATTGTACAGTTATATACTTTAAAATGTCTAGAGTAAAAACACACTTTTATGTTCTAATAATATGACTCTTTACTACATCATGACTCATCTGTATTGGCTTTCAAAGGATAGCCAATTTTAAACCATGGAAAGCTCACTGAGTAAGAAGGTCTAGCAGAGAAGCTAGAAAACATAATCATGAACCTCAATAAAACAATTTCTAATATGAGAAATTACTTACTTCTGTTTTTTTCTTAATATGAATGTCAATCTCCGTTGAGATTTGTGAGTAATTGGATACTGTTTCAAGGATCTCCCTGAAGAAAATTCTTTTTGTCCATTACTTGTATTCATAAGGTCACAGAAGTCTTAGGGCTTTTGTAAGTTATACTGTCTGATCATTTCTACTGTTTTTTGTTAGACCGCTTAATAATTTCAGGGCAATAGCTCATAAGATCGTAAATTAAATTATGTTGACATATCAACATTACTGATGGCTTTACTTAATGTACACTAGGCAATTTTGAGTGAAGAAAACTCAAGGGATCCTCTGATCCCTCCGCTGTATGTCACTCAGTAACATATTCCACTAGATAATCTTTTCTCTCTAGAGCACCATCGGACTCTGTCTAAGATTCCACACAATGCTGCCATATACTGGAACTGACAGTACTTCATGCAGAACCAATTTAACCAGGATTTAGAAAGCAATCTTTTTTTTTTTCAAACTTATGGAAAATGTCAAACTCAATATTTAACTTTTGACATTTTACAAGAATTATGTTCACAAGTATAGCATATTATTTTAGACAAATGTATGTGTATGTATGCATACCCATTAACCAGGTGTACCTAAAATAGGTTTGTCTTAGATGAAATTGCAAATTGTTGGGGAAACATAAGGTAGAAATAGTATATTCATTTGCTTTTGAATGTACAAATCTTATGTGAATTAAAGTACCCATTACTCAAAGCACATATCAGCTGGGGCACTGTCAATCTGGTCCTCTTGTCTGGCCCAGCCCTAACTAAAGCTGATCATTCTAACTCAGACTTTCTCTCTATGTATATTTACGTTGTATGCATTGTTTCTCTTCATGCCTTATATACATTGATTACATGGGAAAAACAAGAGATGAAGAGTTTAATGCACAGACCGTGTTCATTTGTAGATGTGAGTTGAGTAGGAGCAAAAGGCTAATCTGATAATTAGATGCATTCATTTTAATTTCAGAAGGGTTCTGATCAAGAGCCAGTTATATTCCTGCTACTGTGCAACAGTATTATGCTGTCTGCATGACAATATATGCTTTTATTCACGATACACTTATTTATTCCACAAGTATGTTATTATGTACCTTCTGTCTACTAGCCACTGTTTTAGTCTCCGAATAGAAGAGTAAAGCCAGCAGACATGGCCTTTGTCATTAAGGAAATAGTAAGAAGTAATGGCTAAGGAACTACATTCTGAAGTGAGATTCAAATTCTGTCTCTATAACTTATTGGCTGTGTAGTGTTGAGCACGATACTTATACATCTATGTACCTTACTTTGCTCATCTGTAAATTGGCTTGATAAGTTACAATTGCTATGAGGAGTAAATATAAAATATATAAAGTCTTTAGAAAAGTATCTTGCACATAGTATATACTTAAGAAATAGTAGTTATTATTTTTATAGTGGAGGGAGCTTACAATTAGGGGAGAAGATAAGCAAATAAGTAATTAATGTGATGTGTGCTACACTAGAAGAATCAAAGTCACCATGGAAGCCACAAAAAAAATCCCTCATAACCTTAATCTGAAGTGCCATGGAATGAATGCTTCCTGGAGAAAGTGATGTTTAAATTAGGAATTTTTATAAGAAATTAGTTAGGTGGAGAGAAAGCATTGGGAATGCAGGGGGAGACTATGCTTCTCACAGGAGAAACAGCAAAAGACCAAAGAACAAGAACACATTCAGAAATTTAAGTCTTGAAAACATAAACCTTTTTTGTTATAAGTGAGCCATGTAGCTGGATGCAGTGACTCATGCCTGTAATCCCAGCACTTTGGGAGGCCAAGGTGGGCAGATCACTTGAAGTCAGGAGTTCGAAACCAGCCTGTCCTACATGGTGAAACCCTGTCTCTACTAAAAATACAAAAAGAAAAGTTAGCTGGCCGTGGTGGTTCACACCTGTAATTGCAGCTACTCGCAGCTACTCGGGAGGGTCTGAGGCAGGAAAATCACTTGAACCCGGGAGGCAGAGGTTGCAGTGAGCCAAGATCACACCACTCCACGCCAGTCTGGACAGCAGAGTGAGTAAGTCTCTGTTTCAAAAAAAAAAAAAGTGACCCATGTTTATTCCTGATGTTATGCCTAGGCTATTCTTTGTCCATTGCAGTGTTATGGAAGTTAAAGGGAATCTAGCAATTGAAAGACTTTATCCCAAACAAGAACAGGTATTCCTTTCTGTATTCCACCCCTATTTCTTTTCTTTTCTTTTTAAACATCAGAACACTATTTAAAAGTCTGTTCTTGGCTCCATATAAAAAATTTCATTTACAAATGTACCCACAATATTTCTATAGTCACTACTTTATTCACCCATGAACTCACATCAACCCCCATATCTTCAGAGGTTTTTATACTTGGCTTGAGATATTCACAGACTTTAAATCTGGCTGCTGCTAGCCAACATTCTAGGATTCAAGAGGCACAATTTGCATAGAACAATTTTTACTGAAAAAAAAGTAATTTCACAGATAAGATTTCTCCATTAAGAAGATCTGATAAAGGGCAAAAGTTGTAAAACAATTTTCCATGAAAGAAAATATACTTCTTTATATTATTCATTTGCTTTAGTGTAAAAAGGTCTAATTCTGATGCATTGTGCTTCACTCTGGATCTCCATTTAAAAGATGCAACAAAAATACTAGCACTTCCTGGCAGCTTAAGCAGGTCACAGCTTAAATGAGCTCTGAGCAAGGCTCCCATGGGGAAGTAATTGTGTCACACTTCCCTATTCCTAGTACCTAAGATTTCAAATATTCTGGAAGTGAATGTTGTTCATTGGAAATGGTACTGACAAAATAACACAGAAAATAAGAAAATATTATTATTAGGTACTTTTAGATGAGAGTTTGATGTATCCAGGTCAGATATTTCTGTCTAAATGTAGATTAAAAGCAGACTTTTAATCTTTTTTTCAGTAGACCATTAACTTACTTTGTTCAAAAAACCAAGAGAAAGAGCTAGTCATTTCTCTCCACAACCTCACAATGTCATATCATTCCTTGTCACAAGCAAGGCAACTGCTTCTTGTTTCATATGCAGTAGGAGAATATACCGGGTTATGCTCTCATTGAATCCTATTGGCCCACTTCATCTTTGGAACAAATTTCAATTTGAATTCCAGCTAAAATCATCCTTTTCCTATACAAGAATTTAAGGGCAGGTCATGGTATTTGACAGATTCATTTGGTGAAACAAAAATTAAAAACAAATATTCTTGCATATACCTTGAAAGACCCAAAGGAAAATATGAACACCTAAATTGAAAGATCAATTTCTTCAGAAAACAATAGGTATAAGTATGAAATACTTTTAAGAGGCTGATCATGGTCAAAATATGTGTACATATCAGATTCTTCTTAGAATTTTTGGATGAGAATCATGGTAAGGTAACTACTTTGGAGAACATGGGAGGAAAATCCTCAAATTGGGAAATGAAGCAAAAACAATTATGTCTTCCAAATGTAAAGAAAAGAAAATGTTACAAAAATTCATATATGTGGTACAGAAAATTCTAATACTTAACTTGCCTATACTGCATGTTTAAATAAATGCCCTCATATATGCCTCAGAAGAGTTAGAGAAAGTCACCCACATTAATATAACTATAAAGAACACTCTTTGAAGACTTTTGCAAGTAATACATAGCTACAGATATTCAGTGAAAGCAACTGGTGAAGACACTGAACTTCTCAACAGACTGGAAATCTTCCAAAACTCTGCCTATATTGGAGAGAGAGAGAAAACAGGAACAAAACTATGCTGTGATGTGACATCCCTAAAGTTAAATAATAGTAGTAAAAGAACATTTTCAAAGCTACTATATTAGAATAGTTTCTAGAATGTGAAGCATCTTTTTGTTCCTTACTTTCAGAAATTAGTCTACAGCAGAATCAAGACTATGTGAATGCCAGTTATGCTCATTCTATTCCCCAGATTTTTACACTCTTCTCTTTCTCAGGAACCAGTATAGTTCTGTTCACAGGGTGCGTACTCAATTTCTTCCTAATAATTGAATAATTAAAACTGATTTTCTAAAAAAATTATCGGAAACCCTGACAGGATTTTCAATTAACTGCCAAAAAGGGTGCTAATAAAACCAATCAACACTTCCTACATGTCAAGCATAAGTCAAAGCGTGTTACATGTATTATTAACTTTTTAAAACTCGCAATAATCCTCTGAATTAGATACTATCATCATCAAACAAATGGAAAAATTGTGGCATGGACAGGTTAAGTAATTTTTCCAAGTTCACAGAAATTCTGCATTCTTAATCTTGATAGCATACTGGGGAATTCTTTGGAGACTGGAGGTATCTGGTATTGAAATAATGAAAATTCTGAATCCTTGCCTGTATCAGAAAGAACCTGAAGCCATTCCACAGTTGTAGTCCAGAATTCTGGGGTTGAGATGATACCCAAAGGGCTCTTACAACTAACCACATTTGCTGTCAAAAATTTGGATTCCTTCCACCAAGAACATGGATCAAACAGAACATTTTTATAATCTGGTCAGGAATTATATAATTAGGCAAACATTTTTATCCCTAGAGGACTTTCTCATCATCCAAGGCAGTACCTGTAATTACTCTAACTGGTCTAATCCCATATCTTTTTGGCAATAACAACAGCAAAATCATATTCCTCAAATGCATGATTGCATGCAGTTTTAATCAAAGTGAAAGAAGAACACTCAAACCGATATCAGCAGTGGATTGGCTTCTAGCATTTTCCTTTAGTTTTTTATGTTTATTGAATGACTTTTCTCTTTGTAGGCCTGACTGAAAAGAACTTGACTGTGGAACTATATTTCACTCACATGAAAATGTCAAGACGTGTTAAAAAAAAAAAGCAATAAAAACAGAAGAAATACTGAGAGAATTTATAATATAATGTTGGGGGGTGCCTTGCTTCTCTGATGTTCATTGTCTGCACACATAGTAGATTAATGAAAAGTGAAAGGGAGTGGATTTTTTTTCACTTTTTACACTTTAAGAAACAAAGAACAATATTAGATGGTATTTATCAAAAAGTAAATACATAATTCTAGTGATAATCATCAATATTTTTTTCCTTTCCTCAGTACAAAGATAGATAAAATGAGTGCCTTCACTTCTGAATCCTCAAGGTTTCCTCTAGTGCAAGGACCCTGCTTTATTCATCTTTGAGTCCTCTGCACTCAATAATGTGACTAGCACTTAATATGTAGTCAATAATTTTCTGCTGAATCAAACTGTAAGGGTGAAAAACCAATCCTCATAGAACTTGCAAAGAGACACATATGAAGGCATACAAGCAATAGACACTATGGATTTTAAATCCCAAAGCATAGTTCTTTGCCAATGATATTTGTCAGGTAATTGAAATTGCTTATTGTTTAATCCAGTCTATAGTTATTATTCTAATAGTAACATTTATCACTTACCTACTAGGTGCCAAACCCTTCAGTGGAAAGTGAGTATATTTGTGTTTTAAGATTCTCATAAGTCCTGTGAAGTAGAAATTGTTATCACCCAAAGTGAGATTCTGAGAGATTAAATAACTTGCTGAAGGTCAGACAGTTAATATATGACGGAATAAGAATAAGAAACTTAAATGTGTGTCTCCAGAGCCTATACTCTTGCTGTCACTTATGATATTGTCTGAAACTTTGAGCTGAGCCATGTGTATATACTTTATGAACAGCAAGCATACTGTTTAAACAATGTCAATGAGGATTACATTGGACATATCAAAAAATAATATCAAAGAGAAAATGTTGAGCATTATGAAAAGGAGTTTCCTGTGTCTAGGGATGATTGGTTTGATTATCTATGTGTGCAACGTTTGTTTTAAACATAAGGTTTTAAATATTAAAAGGAAAAACTAAAGGATTCTAGAAAAAAGCTAATTTACTAGAGTATTTTAAAAATAATCAATAATTACAGTCCACAACTAGAAAATACAGAAAGTCTTGGATATAAGGTCAAACATAATAAAAGTATCTCTAAGCATGGTGTCCTTTTTTCTTCATGTTGTAAAGCTAGTTGAATCCAAAGGCCTCTGGTTAACATATAATTGAGAGGCAACATTCCTAGAAAAATAAATAAATACTCTCTGTGTGTGTGTGTGTGTGTGTGTGTGTGTACCTGTTACCACTAGACCAATTTTATGATTTCATCTATAATTTATAAATATGCTTTCATTTGGACCCTTTATGCTTTATTAATCTGAGAGTGAGGATGACATTAAGACCTATCCTCTTTTCTTTCTCTTTCTCTTAAGATGGCAACACTTCGTATTGGTTTTTAGGGGTTTCAAAACACTTCAACATTCTTCATCTCACATGGTCAATAGAAATATTACCAATATTATGTTGTCCATATTGCAGATGAAGAAGGAGCAGAACAAGGCAACTTGTAGCAAAGTGGAATCAAAACCGAGTTTCCTGGTAGCCAGGTTCAGTGCTCCTTCCTCTAATAAAGCACTGGTCTGGATATTTTCTTGGTCCAATCTCCGTGCTTGGTTGTCTTCACATTGATTTTCTAACCTGACAGGATAGAAATACTGACTGTTGTTGAAATGAGTTACCAAACTGGAAAAAAATAAATAAATAAATTAACACACACACGAAGAGCCCAAGAAACCCAAATCACCGTTGCTTTTGTAAGTTTAAACTGAAAATTTTTCCATGAATAAGCTTGAGACAACCTGGACCTAAATTTTTCCAGCTATCCCTCCCCCAGTTCCTCTTTTCCACCATAGGCTTTAGAGCTACTAGCAAGCAATAGAATGATGCCAGGATTAAGTGCTGTTTGAGGATTGGCATCACACGATTGGAGAGGCCTGTCTGGTGTTTTCTTTTTAATATTTCTACAAACTCTTCCACAAACCTTAAGCATCAAACTTCTTATTTTTTTATATAAATACTTATCTCCAGCAAACTTGCTCCTTTGTTTAATATTTTAATAATATTTGGAGAGGATAGAAATTCCTAGGGGGCAAAGGTGTAGCCATGGTAGAACAAAACAGTATGTTTATATCCATGTTGGAATGATCGAGGGAGAGAGTAAGTATGCATATATAGAGAGAGCCCTTAAACTGGCATTAGTATGTATGAAGACAATGTTAAAAGCCTTGCAAAACCTGAAGAAGGAAACCATCTCTGAAATTACTGGAAGAGATTTCCAATTCATCAAGTACTATTTAATTACTTTAAAGCTTCAACTTAAAAACAAATCCAGCGGAATGATGGCATTGAGGGTTTCTTAATCATATTTTATCACACTCCTTAGCAGATTGGTCGGTGAAAGGAGCAAAATCAATCTGAAATTTCCTGGGATTATTAACCATTTAAAACACTAGATTTTGGTATTGGCCAATCCATCAAACAGAAATATGCTTCTTTAAGGCATGAAAAGTTATTAATTCACTGACCCATGATTATTTTCCTATGTGAAACACACAGTTAATAATAGGGATAAAACACTTCTCTAAAAATTCCATAATTCAAATAAAATCAAACTTGATTGACTCAGAAATCTGCTTCCCCCTCCCCCAGGGACTGCATTATAGCTGCTGTAGGATCATCATGAGATTAGTAACCTTTGTGAGATTTTTTTGTCAGATGTTTAGTCTTTGTTATGGCAGAGAAAATACTCTTTTTAGGATAAGCAATGATTTGTGTGCGCATACAGATCGAAAAAGTTTGTCAGGATTTTGCTTGACCTCTCAGCTCAGCCTAAGACTGGGAACCTTAAATTTTAAGTTCTAAGTTAAAAGTAGTACAGAGGGCTGGGAGAGGTGGCTCAGGCCTGTAATCCCAGCATTTTGGGAGGCCGAGGTGGGCGGATCACGAGGTCGGGAGTTTGAGACCAGCCTGGCCAACACAGTGAAACCCCATCTCTACTAAAAATACAAAAATTAGCTGGGCATGGTGGCATGTGCCTGTAATCCCAGCTACTCAGGAGGCTGAGGCAGGAGAATCACTTGAACCTGGGAGGCCAAGGTTGCAGTGAGTTGAGATTGTGCCACTGCACTCCAACCTGGGCAACAGAGCAAGACTCAGTCTCTAAAAACAAGAAACAAAAACCAAAACAAATGATACAGAGTATTCAGCTAATTTTTGGTATCAAGGTATGGATTTTTTTCTGCTTTTTCCTCACATATTTTGTTGGCTTTTAGTCTGGACCTGTTAATGCAGGATTTCCAGACCTCTCGTTAAATTCCCTAAGATTTTTTTTTTGGAATTTCCCAATTTAATTTCCTATATGTTGATAAATAAGCCTTGTCAATGGTTGATTACCTTTCCATGTTCTCTATGTTTTGCCTCCTCCACCTCCCAGTGATATACATTACCACTTTTTTGTGTGTTCAGAGAGGAGTCATTTCTACTGGACAGCACCATCTCCTTTTGAGCACTGCAGTCTTCGTCAAGATTCATTATCGCATCTGCTTGGTACCACTATTTCATACCATAATGGTGCATTTTCTTTGGATTCCTCAATATTCCTTAATCACCTTATGTTCATTGTAGTAATGGAGACAATGGCTCCCTCCTATGTAAATGTTAGACTTTTTCTGCAAATGAATGCGCCAAAGTATTTTAAATTGTCTAGTAAAACTTTTTAAAATGTTGTTTTCTCTATTTACAATGAATGTCCACCCCACCCCTCATGTGACACATAAGAATATCTGTGATGTGAAGATTGTACATTAAAATAAATAAAATAAGTGATAAATACTGTGTGTGTGTGTGTGTGTGTGTGTGTGTGTGTGTGTGTTTAGCGTTTAGCTTTTTAGGTTCAGGGGTACATGTGCAGGTTTTTCATATCTTTAGGTAAATTGCACATCATTGAGGTTTGATGTACAGATTCTTTTGTCACCCAGGTAATAATCACAGTACCCAATAGGTAGTTTTTGATCCTTTCCCTCCTCCCACTCTACCCTTTCAAATAGGCCCTGATGTCTGTTGCCCCCATCTTCGTGTCCATGTGTACTCAATATTTAGCTCCCACTTATAAATGAGAACATGTGGTATTTGGTTTTCTGTTCCTGTGTTACCTTGCTTAGGATAATTGTCTCCAGCTCTATCCGTGTCACTGCAGAAGGCACGAGCTCATTCTCTTTTATGACTGCATAGTATTCCATGATGTATGTGTACCACATTTTCTTTATCCAGTTTACTGTTGATGGGAATTTAGGTTTATTCTATGTCTTTACTAATGTGAGTAGCGCAACGATGAACATATGCATGCATGTGTCTTTATGGTAGAACAATTCACATTCCTTTTGGCATACACCCAATAATGGGATTGCTGGGTTGAACGGTAGTTCTGTTTCTAGTTCTTTGGAAAATTGCCACACTGCTTTCCACAATGGCTGAACTAATTTACATTCTTACCAGCAGTGTATAAGTATTCCATTTTCTCTGCAACCTCACCAGCATCTGATTTCTTTTTACTTTAATAATAGCCATTCTGACTGGTGTGAAATGGCATCTCACGGTTTTGATTTGCATTTCTCTAATGATTATTGATATTGAGCTTTTTTTGTATGCTTGTTGGCTACCTTTATGTCTTCTTTTGATAAATATCTGTTCATGTCCTTTGCCCATTTTTATGAGGTTGTTTGTTTTTTGCTGGTTAGTTTAAGTTCCTTATAGATGCTGGATATTAGACCTTTGTTGGATGCATAGTTTGCAAATATTTTCTCCCATTCTGTAGGTTGTTTGTTCACTCTGTTGATAGCTTCTTTTGCTGTGCAGCAGCTCTTTAGTTTAATTAGGTCCCATTTGTTAACTTTTTTTTGGTTGCAATTGCTTTTGGCATCTTCAACATGAAATATTTTCCAGGTCCTATGTCCAGAATGATATTTCCTAGGTTATTTTCCAGGGTTGTATAGTTTTATGTATAGTTTTATAAGTATTCTGTATCATTTTATAAGTTTTATATATAGGTTTACATTTAAGTCTTTAATACATTTTGAGTTGATTTTTATATACGGTGTAAGGAAGGAGTCCAGATTCTCTCTTCTGCATATGGCTAGCCAGTTATTGCAGCATCATTTATTGAATAGTTTTCCCATTGCTTGTTGACTTTGTTGAAGATGAGATTGTTGTAGGTGTGTGGTTTCATTTCTAGGCTCTCTATTCTGTTCCACTCGTCTGTGTCTGTTTCTGTACCAGCACCATGCTGTTTTGCTTAATATAGCATTGTAGTATAGTTTGAAATTGGGTAATGTGATGCTTCTAACTTTGTTCTTTTTGCTTAGGATTGCCTTGGCTATTTGGGCTTTGTTTGGTTCAATATGAATTTTATAATAGTTTTTTCTAGTTCTGTGAAGAATGTCATTTGTAATTTGGTAGAAATAGCATGGAATCTGCTTTGGGATGTAAGTCCATTTTAACAATATTGTTTCTTCCTATCCATGAACATGGAATTTTTTTTCATTTGTTTGTGTCATTTCTAATTTATTTGGGCTGTTAAGCAGCGTGTTTTATAGAGGTTTACATGTTTACAAATCTTTCTTCTTTTAGTGTAATGACTCAGCCTACATGTCAATAAATTTTGGCAGGTCCCATAAGCTAACACTTCCTAGATATGTAAAGAAAAGTGAAAGCAACTGAAATATAGACATGGTCATATTCTTCCTTGCTCTTATATGGAGTTGCTAATGAGTACAGGAGTATGGGTGGGAGTTATGCTAAAAACCCATCAGCTCATTTTGTTTTCAATTTTAACTTGTGTCTTTGTCAAACCATCCTCTATCAGGCTAAAAATAGTTGTGTAAGGACAGCCTGCTACAATATAATTGTTTTCAATATTTTTGCTTCTGAACTGTTCACATGCACAAGACATTCTCTTATAGTTTTCTCACTGTAGTGATTCTTAAGGAAGTTCTCAAGGCTGGGGAGGGAGCTGTAGGACGTGGATGCATAGAACACATATCAGATAATCTGGACTGTGAGGAAATACGTGTAGCCTCAAAAACCCCAGCCCCTGGAGATTTTTACAGGATCCCAGCCCCACCCTTGCTTCATGGAATAGTGAAAGATTCCGGGAATGGGGGTATTGTTTTTCTTTCCTATGATCCAGTCTATTTTATTAATCCTTATTTTACTGTGACTTTTGAACTCTCTCCTTTGTTTTTGTTTACAGAATTTTTGCTCTACAGATGAGGCATATGTTGTAATATAGTTTTGTTTTGTTTTTTGAAATGCTGTCTTGACCCAGTTTGAGGTCAAGGCTAGTCAGTTCCCTTCTTGAGCAGCTGATTAAGTCCACACCCCAATTACTTTCCTTATGGAGCTTTCACACTCCTCTAGGCCACTCTACACCTACCCTAATTGCCCTGGGACCAGGTATCAGACAACTAGAGACATCCCCTATACCCCAGAGCCTACTTGGCCAATTCACAGGGAACCTGTGAAACCAAATTAACCCCACTGCATTTGCCATACATTAAGCTGCCCCCTACAGCTCCTACTTGCTTTTACCCTGTTCCCGTGAGTAACTCCCTATGTGGCCCTGCCTGGCAGCATTCCCTCATTTCAAGATATAAGTAACAAAGCGTACTGCCTTTCATCTATCCAAGTGACATTGCATTGTGTCCTGCCATCAAAAGAACTTTTAAGTCTTTTAATATCTATTTTTATATAGTAAGATTTATCTAGTCTTTCAATTGCATCTGACTTTACAATCAGATCTCCCGCAATCAGATGCTCGTAGCAGAATATAGTGAGACTTGGAGTAAGAACTGTCTGAATTCAGATTTCTGACACTGATGGGCTGTGTTACCTGGAACAAGGTCCTGTCTCTCTGGGTCTTGGTTTCTTTATTTATAAAGTAAGACTATCAATAATAGTGCCTATTTCACAGTGTATGGTAATAATTAAATGACATAATATGTATAAAACTCTTTGCATACTACCTGGCATATAGCAAACACTAAATAAATGGTGGCTATTATTATTAATAGGTGTATATTTCATGTTTCTTTCTGGTTTGACTATAATTATTTTTATTGTTCTCCTGGGGCTTGTTTTGTAGAGTAACAACATGAGTGTTTTACTTCCAAAGGATAATCAAATGTCCCAGTAGGATTTTTTGAATTAATCCTTCAATTATCCAATAATTTATTATTCTACTTTTGCCATATACTCCTTATAAGTTCTAGGGTATTTTTGTATTGTCTGTTTTGCTCCATTCGTCTGGTTATTCTTAAACAAGAATCACACTATTTTAGGCATTGATGTTTTAAATACCTTTAATGAAAGATGACTTTCTTCCTTTTTTAAAAGTAATTTCTTAGATATTCTTGCCTTTTTACTATTCACAATAAATTTTAGAAAAATTGTGGCATATTAAAAATACTTGATTGGCAATTTTATTTTGATTGAATAAAGTGTAAAAAATATGGGATAAACTGACTTTTTAAAATTTATTATACTTTAAGTTCTGGGACACATACGCAGAATGTGCAGGTTTGTTACATAGGTATACAAGTGCCGTGGTGGTTTGCTGCACCCATCAACCCGTCATTTACATTAGGTATTTCTCCTAATGCTATCCAACGCCTAGCCCCCCACTCCTTGACAGGCCCTGGTGTGTGATGTTTCCCTCCCTGTGCCCATGTGTTCTTATTGTTCGCCTCCCACTTATGAGTGAGAATATGTAGTGTTTGGTTTTCTGTTCCTGTGTTAGTTTGCTGAGAATGATGGTTTCCAGCTTCATCCATTTCCCTGCAAAGGGCATGAACTCATCCTTTTTTACGGCTGCATAGTGTTCCATGGTGTGTATGTGCCACATTTTCTTTTTTTTTTTTTTTAATTTTTATTTTTTAATCTTTTTTTTTTTTTTCTTTTTTTATTATTATTATTATACTTTAAGTTTTAGAGTACATGTGCACATTGTGCAGGTTAGTTACATATGTATACATGTGCCATGCTGGTGCGCTGCACCCACTAACGTGTCATCTAGCATTAGGTATATCTCCCAATGCTATCCCTCCCCCGTCCCCCGACCCCACCACAGTCCCCAGAGTGTGATATTCCCCTTCCTGTGTCCATGTGATCTCATTGTTCAATTCCCACCTATGAGTGAGAATATGCGGTGTTTGGTTTTTTGTTCTTGCGATAGTTTACTGAGAATGATGGTTTCCAATTTCATCCATGTCCCTACAAAGGACATGAACTCATCATTTTTTATGGCTGCATAGTATTCCACGGTGTATATGTGCCACATTTTCTTAATCCAGTCTATCATTGTTGGACATTTGGGTTGGTTCCAAGTCTTTGCTATTGTGAATAATGCCGCAGTAAACATACGTGTGCATGTGTCTTTATAGCAGCATGATTTATAGTCCTTTGGGTATATACCCAGTAATGGGATGGCTGGGTCAAATGGTATTTCTAGTTCTAGATCCCTGAGGAATCGCCACACTGACTTCCACAATGGTTGAACTAGTTTACAGTCCCACCAACAGTGTAAAAGTGTTCCTATTTCTCCACATCCTCTCCAGCACCTGTTGTTTCCTGACTTTTTAATGATTGCCATTCTAACTGGTGTGAGATGATATCTCATAGTGGTTTTGATTTGCATTTCTCTGATGGCCAGTGATGATGAGCATTTTTTCATGTGTTTTTTGGCTGCATAAATGTCTTCTTTTGAGAAGTGTCTGTTCATGTCCTTTGCCCACTTTTTGATGGGGTTGTTTGTTTTTTTCTTGTAAATTTGTTTGAGTTCATTGTAGATTCTGGATATTAGCCCTTTGTCAGATGAGTAGGTTGCAAAAATTTTCTCCCATGTTGTAGGTTGCCTGTTCACTCTGATGGTAGTTTATTTTGCTGTGCAGAAGCTCTTTAGTTTAATTAGATCCCATTTGTCAATTTTGGCTTTTGTTGCCATTGCTTTTGGTGTTTTGGACATGAAGTCCTTGCCCACGCCTATGTCCTGAATGGTAATGCCTAGGTTTTCTTCTAGGGTTTTTATGGTTTTAGGTCTAACGTTTAAATCTTTAATCCATCTTGAATTGATTTTTGTATAAGGTGTAAGGAAGGGATCCAGTTTCAGCTTTCTACATATGGCTAGCCAGTTTTCCCAGCACCATTTATTAAATAGGGAATCCTTTCCCCATTGCTTGTTTTTCTCAGGTTTGTCAAAGATCAGATAGTTGTAGATATGCGGCATTATTTCTGAGGGCTCTGTTCTGTTCCATTGATCTATATCTCTGTTTTGGTACCAGTACCATGCTGTTTTGGTTACTGTAGCCTTGTAGTATAGTTTGAAGTCAGGTAGCGTGATGCCTCCAGCTTTGTTCTTTTGGCTTAGGATTGACTTGGCGATGCGGGCTCTTTTTTGGTTCCATATGAACTTTAAAGTAGTTTTTTCCAATTCTGTGAAGAAAGTCATTGGTAGCTTGATGGGGATGGCATTGAATCTGTAAATTACCTTGGGCAGTATGGCCATTTTCACGATATTGATTCTTCCTACCCATGAGCATGGAATGTTCTTCCATTTGTTTGTGTCCTCTTTTATTTCCTTGAGCAGTGGTTTGTAGTTCTCCTTGAAGAGGTCCTTCACATCCCTTGTAAGTTGGATTCCTAGGTATTTTATTCTCTTTGAAGCAATTGTGAATGGGAGTTCACTCATGATTTGGCTCTCTGTTTGTCTGTTGTTGGTGTATAAGAATGCTTGTGATTTTTGTACATTGATTTTGTATCCTGAGACTTTGCTGAAGTTGCTTATCAGCTTAAGGAGATTTTGGGCTGAGACAATGGGGTTTTCTAGATAAACAATCATGTCGTCTGCAAACAGGGACAATTTGACTTCCTCTTTTCCTAATTGAATACCCTTTATTTCCTTCTCCTGCCTGATTGCCCTGGCCAGAACTTCCAACACTATGTTGAATAGGAGCGGTGAGAGAGGGCATCCCTGTCTTGTGCCAGTTTTCAAAGGGAATGCTTCCAGTTTTTGCCCATTCAGTATGATATTGGCTGTGGGTTTGTCATAGATAGCTCTTATTATTTTGAGATACGTCCCATCAATACCTAATTTAATGAGAGTTTTTAGCATGAAGGGTTGTTGAATTTTGTCAAAGGCTTTTTCTGCATCTATTGAGATAATCATGTGGTTTTTGTCTTTGGCTCTGTTTATATGCTGGATTACATTTATTGATTTGCGTATATTGAACCAGCCTTGCATCCCAGGGATGAAGCCCACTTGATCATGGTGGATAAGCTTTTTGATGTGCTGCTGGATTCGGTTTGCCAGTATTTTATTGAGGATTTTTGCATCAATGTTCATCAAGGATATTGGTCTAAAATTCTCTTTTTTGGTTGTGTCTCTGCCCGGCTTTGGTATCAGAATGATGCTGGCCTCATAAAATGAGTTAGGGAGGATTCCCTCTTTTTCTATTGATTGGAATAGTTTCAGAAGGAATGGTACCAGTTCCTCCTTGTACCTCTGGTAGAATTCGGCTGTGAATCCATCTTGTCCTGGACTCTTTTTGGTTGGTAAACTATTGATTATTGCCACAATTTCAGAGCCTGTTATTGGTCTATTCAGAGATTCAACTTCTTCCTGGTTTAGTCTTGGGAGAGTGTATGTGTCGAGGAATGTATCCATTTCTTCTAGATTTTCTAGTTTATTTGCGTAGAGGTGTTTGTAGTATTCTCTGATGGTAGTTTGTATTTCTGTGGGATCGGTGGTGATATCCCCTTTATCATTTTTTATTGTGTCTATTTGATTCTTCTCTCTTTTTTTCTTTATTAGTCTTGCTAGCAGTCTATCAATTTTGTTGATCCTTTCAAAAAACCAGCTCCTGGATTCATTGATTTTTTGAAGGGTTTTTTGTGTCTCTATTTCCTTCAGTTCTGCTCTGATTTTAGTTATTTCTTGCCTTCTGCTAGCTTTTGAATATGTTTGCTCTTACTTTTCTAGTTCTTTTAATTGTGATGTTAGGGTGTCAATTTTGGATCTTTCCGGCTTTCTCTTGTAGGCATTTAGTGCTATAAATTTCCCTCTACACACTGCTTTGAATGCGTCCCAGAGATTCTGGTATGTGGTGTCTTTGTTCTCGTTGGTTTCAAAGAACATCTTTATTTCTGCCTTCATTTCGTTATGTACCCAGTAGTCATTCAGGAGCAGGTTGTTCAGTTTCCATGTAGTTGAGCGGCTTTGAGTGAGATTCTTAATCCTGAGTTCTAGTTTGATTGCACTGTGGTCTGAGAGATAGTTTGTTATAATTTCTGTTCTTTTACATTTGCTGAGGGGAGCTTTACTTCCAAGTATGTGGTCAATTTTGGAATAGGTGTGGTGTGGTGCTGAAAAAAATGTATATTCTGTTGATTTGGGGTGGAGAGTTCTGTAGATGTCTATTAGGTCCACTTGGTGCAGAGCTGAGTTCAATTCCTGGGTATCCTTGTTGACTTTCTGTCTCGTTGATCTGTCTAATGTTGACAGTGGGGTGTTAAAGTCTCCCATTATTAATGTGTGGGAGTCTAAGTCTCTTTGTAGGTCACTCAGGACTTGCTTTATGAATCTGGGTGCTCCTGTATTGGGTGCATAAATATTTAGGATAGTTAGCTCCTCTTGTTGAATTGATCCCTTTACCATTATGTAATGGCCTTCTTTGTCTCTTTTGATCTTTGTTGGTTTAAAGTCTGTTTTATCAGAGACTAAGATTGCAACCCCTGCCTTTTTTTGTTTTCCATTTGCTTGGTAGATCTTCCTCCATCCTTTTATTTTGAGCCTATGTGTGTCTCTGCACGTGAGATGGGTTTCCTGAATACAGCACACTGATGGGTCTTGACTCTTTATCCAACTTGCCAGTCTGTGTCTTTTAATTGCAGAATTTAGTCCATTTATATTTAAAGTTAATATTGTTATGTGTGAATTTGATCCTGTCATTATGATGTTAGCTGGTGATTTTGCTCGTTAGTTGATGCAGTTTCTTCCTAGTCTCGATGGTCTTTACATTTTGGCATGATTTTGCAGCGGCTGGTACCGGTTGTTCCTTTCCATGTTTAGCACTTCCTTCAGGAGCTCTTTTAGGGCAGGCCTGGTGGTGACAAAATCTCTCAGCATTTGCTTGTCTATAAAGTATTTTATTTCTCCTTCACTTATGAAGCTTAGTTTGGCTGGATATGAAATTCTGGGTTGAAAATTCTTTTCTTTAAGAATGTTGAATATTGGCCCCCACTCTCTTCTGGCTTGTAGGGTTTCTGCCGAGAGATCCACTGTTAGTCTGATGGGCTTTCCTTTGAGGGTAACCCGACCTTTCTCTCTGGCTGCCCTTAATATTTTTTCCTTCATTTCAACTTTGGTGAATCTGACAATTATGTGTCTTGGAGTTGCTCTTCTCGAGGAGAATCTTTGTGGCGTTCTCTGTATTTCCTGAATCTGAACGTTGGCCTGCCTTGCTAGATTGGGGAAGTTCTCCTGGATAATATCCTGCAGAGTGTTTTCCAACTTGGTTCCATTCTCCCCATCACTTTCAGGTACACCAATCAGACGTAGATTTGGTCTTTTCACATAGTCCCATATTTCTTGGAGGCTTTGCTCATTTCTTTTTATTCTTTTTTCTCTAAACTTCCCTTCTCGCTTCATTTCATTCATTTCATCTTCCATTGCTGATACCCTTTCTTCCAGTTGATCGCATCGGCTCCTGAGGCTTCTGCATTCTTCACGTAGTTCTCGAGCCTTGGTTTTCAGCTCCATCAGCTCCTTTAAGCACTTCTCTGTATTGGTTATTCTAGTTATACATTCTTCTAAATTTTTTTCAAAGTTTTCAACTTCTTTGCCTTTGGTTTGAATGTCCTCCCGTAGCTCAGAGTAATTTGATCGTCTGAAGCCTTCTTCTCTCAGCTCGTCAAAATCATTCTCCATCCAGCTTTGTTCCGTTGCTGGTGAGGAACTGCGTTCCTTTGGAGGAGGAGAGGCGCTCTGCGTTTTAGAGTTTCCAGTTTTTCTGTTCTGTTTTTTCCCCATCTTTGTGGTTTTATCTACTTTTGGTCTTTGATGATGGTGATGTACAGATGGGTTTTCGGTGTAGATGTCCTTTCTGGTTGTTAGTTTTCCTTCTAACAGACAGGACCCTCAGCTGCAGGTCTGTTGGAATACCCTGCCGTGTGAGGTGTCAGTGTGCCCCTGCTGGGTGGTGCCTCCCAGTTAGGCTGCTCGGGAGTCAGGGGTCAGGGACCCACTTGAGGAGGCAGTCTGCCCGTTCTCAGATCTCCAGCTGCGTGCTGGGAGAACCACTGCTCTCTTCAAAGCTGTCAGACAGGGACACTTAAGTCTGCAGAGGTTACTGCTGTCTTTTTGTTTGTCTGTGCCCTGCCCCCAGAGGTGGAACCTACAGAGGCAGGCAGGCCTCCTTGAGCTGTGGTGGGCTCCACCCAGTTCGAGCTTCCCGGCTGCTTTGTTTACCTAAGGAAGCCTGGGCAATGGCGGGCGCCCCTCCCCCAGCCTCGTTGCCGCCTTGCAGTTTGATCTCAGACTGCTGTGCTAGCAATCAGCGAGATTCCGTGGGCGTAGGACCCTCTCAGCCAGGTGTGGGATATAGTTTCGTGGTGCGCCGTTTCTTAAGCCGGTCTGAAAAGCGCAATATTCGGGTGGGAGTGACCCGATTTTCCAGGTGCGTCCGTCACCCCTTTCTTTGACTCGGAAAGGGAACTCCCTGACCCCTTGGGCTTCCCAGGTGAGGCAATGCCTCGCCCTGCTTCGGCTCGCGCACGGTGCGCGCACACACTGGCCTGCGCCCACTGTCTGGCACTCCCTAGTGAGATGAACCCGGTACCTCAGATGGAAATGCAGAAATCACCCGTCTTCTGCGTCGCTCACGCTGGGAGCTGTAGACTGGAGCTGTTCCTATTCGGCCATCTTCTGTGCCACATTTTCTTTATTCAGTCTATCATTGATGGGCATTTGGGTTGGTTCCAAGTCTTTGCTATTGTGAATAGTGTTGCAATAAACATATGTGTGAATGTGTCTTTATAGTAGAATGATTTATAATCCTTTGAGTATATATCCAGTAATGGGATTTCTGGGTCAAATGGTATTTCTGGTTCTAGATCCTTGAGGAATCGTCACACTGTCTTCCACAATGGTTGAACTAATTTACACTCCCATCAACAGTGTAAAAGTGTTCCTATTTCTCCACATCTTCTCCAGCTCTGTTGTTTCCTGACTTTTTAATGACTGCCATTCTAACTGGCATGAGATGGTATCTCATTGTGGTTTCGATTTGCATTTCTCTAATGACCAGTGATGATGAGCTTTTTTTCATATGCTTGTTGGCTGCATAAATGTCTTCTTTTGAGAAGTCTCTGTTCTATCCTTCACCCATTTTTTGATGGGGTTGTTTGTTTCTTTCTTGTAAATTTGTTTTAGTTCCTCGTAGATTCTGGATATTAGCCCTTTGTCAGATGGATAGATTGCAAAATTTTTCTCCCATTCTGTAGGCTGCCTGTTCACTCTGATGATAGTTTCTTTTGCTGTGCAGAGACTCTTTAGTTTAATTAGATCTCATTTGTCAATTTTGGCTTTTGTTTCCATTGCTTTTGCTGTTTTAGTCATGAAGTCTTTGCCCATGCCTATGTCCTGAATGGTATTGCCTAGGTTTCCTTCTAGGGTTTTTATGGTTTTAGGTCTTATGTGTAAGTCTTTAGTCCATCTTGAGTTAATTTTTTGTATAAGGTATAAGGAAGGGGTCCAGTTTCAGTTTTCTGCATATGGCTAGCCAGTTTTCCAAACACAATTTATTAAATAGGGAATCCTTTCCCCATTGCTTGTTTTCATCAGGTTTGTCAAAGATCAGATGGTTGTAGATGTGTGGCATTATTTCTGAGGCCTCTGTTCTGTACCATTGGTCCATATATCTGGTTTTGTACCAGTACCATGCTGTTTTGGTTACTGCAGCCTTGTTGTACAGTTTGAAGTCAGGTAGCATGATGCCTCCAGCTTTGTTCTTTTTGTTTAGGGTTGTCTTGGCTATCTGGGCTCTTTTTCGGTTCCATATGAAATTTCAAGTAGTTTTTTCAATTCTGTGAAGAAAGTCAATGACAGCTTAATGGGGATAGCATTAAATCTATAAATTACTTTGGGCAGTATGGCCCTTTTCATGATATTGATTCTCCCTCTTCATGGGCATGGAATGTTTTTCCATTTGTTTGTATCATCTCTTATTTCCTCGAGCAGTGGTTTGTAGTTCTCCTTGAAGAGGTCCTTCACATCCCTTGTAAGTTGTATTCCTAGGTATTTTATTCTCTTTGTAGCAATTGTGAATGGGAGTTCACTCATGATTTGGCTCTCTGTTTGTATATTATTGGTGTATAGGAATCCTTGTGATTTTTGCACATTGATTTTGTCTCCTGAGACTTTGCTGAAGTTGCTTATCAGCTTAAGGAGATTTTGGGCTGAGACGATGGGGTTTTCTAAATATACAATCATGTCATCTGCAAACAGAGACAATTTGACTTCCTCTCTTCCTTTATTCCTTTATTCCTTTCTCTTGCCTGATTGCCCTGGCCAGAACTTCCAATAGTACGTTGAATAGGAGTGGTGAGAGAGGACATCTTTGTCTCGTGCCGGTTTTCAAAGGGAATGCTTCCATTGTCCATTTAGTATGATATTGACTGTGGGTTTGTCATAAATGGCTCGTATTATTTTGAGATACATTCCATCAATATCTAGTTTATCGAGAGTTTTTAGCATGAATGGTGCATTGAATTTTATCGAAGGCCTTTTCTGCATGTATTCAGATAATCATGTGGTTTTTGTTATTGGTTTTGTTTATGTGATGGATTACGTTTATTGGTTTGTGTATGTTGAACCAGCCTTGCATCCCAGGAATGAAGCTGACTTGATTGTGGTGAATAAGCTTTTTGATGTGCTGCTGGATTCAGTTTGCTAGTATTTTATTGAGGATTTTCACATCAATGTTCATCAGGGCTATTGGCCTGAAATTTTCTTTTTTTGTTGTGTCTCTGCCAGCATTTGGTATCAGGATGATGCTTATTATTTGAAATAGTTTAAGAAGGAATGGTACCAGCTCCTCTTTGTACCTCTGGAAGAATTTGGCTGTGAATCCGTCTGGTCCTGGACTTTTTTTGGTTGGTAGGCTATTAGTTACTGCCTCAATTCCAGAACTTGTTATTGGTCTATTCAGGGATTTGATTTCTTCCTGGTTTAGTGTTGGGAGGGTGTATGTGTCCAGGAATTTATCCATTTCTTCTAGATTTTCTAGTTTATTTGTGTAGAGGTGTTTATAGTATTCTCTGATGGTAGTTTGTATTTCTGTGGGGTCAGTGGTGATATCCCCTTTATCATTTTTTATTGTGTCTATTTGATTCTTCTTTCTTTTCTTCTTTATTAGTCTGACTAGCAGTCTATCTATTTTGTTAGTGTTTTCAAACAACCAGATCCTGGAATCATTGATTTTTTAAAAGGGTTTTTTGTGTCTCTTTCTCCTTCAGTTTTGCTCTGATCTTAGTTATTTCTTGTCTTCTGCCAGTTTTTGAATTTGTTTGCTCTTGATTCTCAGTTCTTTTTATTGTGATGTTAGGGTGTCAATTTTAGATCTTTCCTGCTTTCTCCTGTGGCCAGTTGGTGCTATAAATTTCCCTCTACACACTGTTTTAGCTGTGTCCCAGAGATTCTGGTACATTGTGTCTTTGTTCTCATTGGTTTCAAGGAACTTATTCATTTTTGCCTTAATTTTGTTATTTACCCAGTAGTCATTCAGGAGCAGGTTGTTCAGTTTCTATGTAGTTGTGTGGTTTTGAGTGAGTTTCTTAATCCTGAGTTCTAATTTGATTATACTGTGGTCTGAGAGACTGCTTGTTAAGATTTCCATTCTTTTATATTTGCTGAGGAGTGTTTTACTTGCAATTATGTGGTCAATTTTAGAATAAGTGTGATGTGGTGCGGAAAAGAATGTATATTCTGTCGATTTCGGGTGGAGGGTTCTGTAGATGTCTACTAGTTGTGCTTGGTCCAGAGCTGAGTTCAAGTCCTTAATATCCTTGTTATCTTTCTGTCTCATTGATTTGTCTAATATTGACAGTTGGGTGTTAACATCTCCAACTATTATTGTGTTGGAGTCTGAGTCTCTTTGTAGGTCTCTAAGAACTTGCTTTATGAATCTGGGTACTCCTGTATTGGGTGCATATATATTTAGGATGGTTAGCTCTTCTTGTTGCATTGATCCCTTTACCTTATGCAATGCCCTTCTTTGTCTTTTGTGATCTTTGTTGGCTTAAAGTATCTTTTATCAGCCACTAGAATTGCAGCCCCTGCTTTTTTTAAATTTTCATTTGCTTGGTAAATATTCTTCCATCCCTTTATTTTGAGCCTATGTGTGTCTTGGCATGTTAGGTGGGTCTCCTGAATATAGCACACCAATGAGTCTTGACTGTTTATCCAATTTGCCAGTCTGTGTCTTTTAATTGGGGCATTTAGCCTGTTGACATTTAAGGTTAATATTGTTATGTGTGAATTTGATCCTGTCATTATGATGCTGGCTGGTTATTTTGCCCATTAGTTGATGCAGTGATGCAGTTTCTTCATAGTGTCAATGGTCTTTAGAATTTGGTATGTTTTTGCAGTGGCTGGTATCTGTTTTTCCTTTTCATATTTAGTGCTTCCTTTAGGAGCTCTTGTAACGCATGCCTAGTGGTGACAAAATCTCTCAGCATTTGCTTGTCTGAAAAGGATTTTATTTCTCCTTCACTTATGAAGCTTAATTTGGCTGAATATGAAATTCTGGGTTGAAAATTCTTTCCTTTAAGAATGTTGAATATAGGTCCCCACACTCTTCTGGCTTGTAGTGTTTCCACAGAGACATCCACTGTTAGTCTGATGGGCTTCCCTTTGTAGGTAACCCGACCTTTCTCTCTGGCTGCTCTTAACATTTTTTTCCTTCATTTCAACCTTGGTGCATCTCACGATTATGTGTCTTGGGTTTGTTCTTCTCGAGGAGTATCTTTGTGGTGTTCTCTGTACTTCCTGAATTTGAATGTTGGCCTGTCTTGCTAGGTTGGGGAAGTTCTCCTGGATAATATCCTGAAGAATGTTTTCCAACTTGGTTCCATTCTCCCCATCACTTTCAGGTACACCAATCAAACGTAGATTTGGTCTTTTCACATAGTCCCATATTTCTTGGAGGCTTGCTTTGCTCCTTTTCATTGTTTTTTCTCTAATCTTGTCTTCACGCTTTATTTCATTAAGTTGATCTTCAATCTCTGATATCCTGTCTTTTGCTTGATCAATTCGGTTATTGATAGTTGTGCATGCTTCACAAAGTTCTCTTGCTGTGTTTTTCAGCTCCATCAGGTCATTTCTGTTCTCTAAAATGGTGATTCTAGTTAGCAATCCACTAACCTTTTTTCAAAGTTCTTAGCTTCCTTGCGTTGTGTTAGAACATGCTCCTTTAGCTTGGAGGAGTTTGCTATTACGCAGCTTCTGAAGCCTACTTCTGTCAATTCATCAAACTCATTCTCCGTCCAGTTTTGTTTTCTTGCTGGTGAGGAGTTGTGATCCTTTGGAGGAGAAGAGTCGTTCTGGTTTTTGGAATTTCAGCCTTTTTGCCCTGGTTTTCCCTTATCTTCGTGGATTTATCTACTTTTGTTCTTTGATGTTGATGACCTTTGGATAGGGTTTCTGTGTGGACATCCTTTTTGTTGATGTTGATGCTATTCCTTTCTGTTTGTTAGTTTTCCTTCTAATAGTCAGGCCCCTCTTCTGCAGGTCTGCTGAAGTTTGCTGGAGGTCCACTCCAGACCCTGTTTGCCTGGGTATCACCAGCAGAGGTTGCAGGACAGCAAAGATTGATGCCTATTTCTTTCTCTGGAAACTTCTTCCCAGAGTGGCACCTGCCAGATGCCAGCTGGAGCTCTCTCTTATGAGGTGTCTGTCGACCCCTGCTGGGAGGTGACTCCCAGTCAGGAGGCACGGGGGTCAGAGACTCACTTGAGGAGGCAGTCTGTCCCTTAGCAGAGCCCAAGTGCTATGCTGGGAGATCCACTGCTCTCTTCAGCGCCGGCAGGCAGAAACATTTAAGTTTGCTGAAGCTGTGCCCACAGCTGCCCCTTCCCCCAGGTGCTCTGTCCCAGGGAGATGGGAGTTTTATCTATAAGCCCCTGACTGGGGCTGCTACCTTTCTTTCATATATGCCCTGCCCAGCAAGGAGGAATCTAGAGATGCAGTCTGGCGACAGGGGCTTTGCAAAGCTGTGGTGGGCTCTGCCCAGTTTGAACTTCCAGGTGACTTTGTATACGCTGTGAGGGGAAAACCACCTACTCAAGCCTCAGTAATGGTGGGTGCCCCTCCACCCACCAAGCTTGAGTGTCCCAGGTTGACTTCAGACTTCTGTGCTGGCAGCGAGAATTTCAAGCCAGTGGATCTTAGCTTGCTGGGCTCCATGGGGCTGGGATCTGCTGAGCAAGACCACTTGGCTCCCTGGCTTCAGCCCCCTTTCAAGGGTAGTGAAGGGTTCTGTCTCACTGGTGTTCCAGGAGCCACTGGGGTATGAAAAAAAAGTCTCCTACAGCTAGCTCAGTGTCTGCCCAAATGGCCACCCAGTTTTGTGCTTGAAACCCAGTGCCCTGGTGGCACAGGCACCCGAGGGAATCTCCTGGTCTGTGGGTTGCGAAGACCATGGGAAAAGCAAAATATCTGGGCCGGAGTGCACTGTTCCTCACGTCACAGTCCCTTAGGGCTTCCCTTGGCTAGAGGAGGGAGTTCTCCTACCCCTTGCACTTCCTGGGTGAGGCAACGCCCCACCCTGCTTCAGCTCACCCTCTGGGTGCTACACCCACTGTCTAACCAGTCCCAATGAGATGAGCCAGGTACCTCAGTTGGAAATACAGAAATCACCTGCCTTCTGCATTGATCTCGCTGGGAGCTGCAGACCGGAGCTGTTTCTATTTGGCCATCTTGCCAGCCACCCTCTAAACTGAAATCTTAACAACACTTAATGCTTCCATCTAGGAACACGTCTCTCCACTTATACTTAGAAACTTGTAAGAGGGGCTAGCTGCATCTAGTCCAATTCTTTTTGTAACTAGTTACGTGCTTTAGGATAAGTGGCATTCGTATTCTGCAGAGCTCGTGCCATTTACATTATGGTTAAATGAGTTAAAGTATTCATAAAAAGTAGAAAAATAAAGAGTTAAATTCATAAAAAAGCAAAAGGATGTTACCATTATTAGAAAATTAGACTTCGATAAGAAGGCCAATTTTACATAAAATGTATTTTACATCTCAAACAAAGGATCTCCACAAAAAAAGAAAAAAAGATACTCAAAAAATCAGTGAGACCCCTGGATCTCAATATCAACCAGGTCTTTAAAAGAACTATTCACTAACCACTACTATTTTAATACTGGTATCTTCTTATGATGAACACATTTCACTATGGAATCTGTACCCTGAATGTAGTAAAGTCAACCCCATGTTTTTAGAGCTTGAAGAAACCATGGAGGTCATTTAATTTAAACTGTCATTAAGTAGAAATGCCTCTCCTTGAATGTTTCCAACAGCAATGAATTACAACTTTGCAAGAAATTATTCAGAACCGCATTTAAAAATATAGTTATCATACCAAAATCCATCTCCCTGTAGCATTAATCTATGCACAGGTTCTATTGGAACAGAAAGATGAAGTATATAATCCCATTTGAGCAAAAAATAATAAAGGGAGTGGGAAGGGACAGTCAAGCAGTGAGTTTCAGAGGCAGTACAGCTTGAGCTGAACCTTGAAGTGGGAGAGGCTGAGGTAATCTAGGTTGAAGAACATCACTGAAAGTACTACACATTTAGGAGCTCTAATAAGTTTTGCTCTGCTGAAGCAAAGCCTGTGAATGAAGGAGTAGTAGAAGATGAGGATGGAGATATCAAAAAGTGGCTGGCATCTGAGGGTGTTCTGTGCTGAGTTTAGGTTTTATCAACAAGGGGAAGTCATTAAAAGGTTCTTTAAACTCAGAAGTGTCCTTATTATACTCTCTGGACCTACACAATATTTATCTTATCTTTTTTCTTTAACCTTTTCAAATTCTTCAAAACACTTGAAGGTAGTCTCTATGTCTTTTTAGTTCTTTTGGTAGTTTATCATTTATATGCTTTTTAGATTATCATCATCCTGGTTACCTTCCTCTAGACCCACTCTAGTTTGCTTAAGTTAATCTGATATTGTAACACCCAGAATTAATCAATACTTCAGAAATAATTTAATGCTGCAAAGTAGAATGGGATTATTTTATCTCATTAACTCTATACAAAACTTCTTTTGAAAAAGATTAAAATTAAGTTTAGTTTATTTTGGAGTTGGAGCAGTGGTGATTTATCAGTCAGTAGTGCCTTTGTTATGTTGTACCAACAAAGAACTACAAAATCTCGGTGACTTTATACAACAAACATTTATTTCCCACTTACAATGAATATCCAATACGTATCACAGTAATTCAGGAATCCAGGCTGACAGAAACTCCATCACCGTATCTACTTTCATAGTCAACAAGACCTGAAAAGAGAAATGGTGAATTGTGCACTGGCTTTTCAAGTTTCCAAAGCCAATCAGTTGTCCTCAATGAAATTCAAAGGCGTTGAGGACATACAGTCCTACCATGGACTTGGAACCAGAGGAAAAATAGATGATTTGACCCACCCTGATGACTTCTCTGTGACCAATTACATGTTCAGATTTTCTGTTGTTTTGGCATAAATGGCTGCCAAGCCAGGTCTTGTTAATGTTATACTTATCAAATCCTGCTTTTTGGTTAAAAGTATTACTTGAATTTTTACCTAATTAGATTCAGTCTACTGCTGCAACCTGTTTATATCATTTAGAATCATTATTCTGGCTCATATTATAGTAGTTTACACACAGCTTTGAGTCATCTTCCAAACTAGCAACATACCATCTTTGTCCTCAGAAACCTATGGCACAGTGCAAGAGACTGCACTTTAGGTTGACATTGATCAATTAATTCATTGATGTCATTATGGTAAGGCTGTACAACCAGTTCTCAATCTACCTAACTTGAACTATCTGAGTTATATTTCAGCATATGACTACAAGATTATTATCTGAGACTTCGTCAAATTCTTTACTTACAACATGTGAGCATTTTCCTGGTATAGCAACCTAACAGCCCTATCTAATAAGGAAAAAAGTTTAGCTTATCATATTTTATTATGCTGTGTGAACCCACATTGGCACCTACTGATTATTCTTATTCTTTTCTAAATTTTACAAAGAAATCTTGATAACAATTTGTTTTGAAATTTATTGTTAAAAATTAAAACCCATAGATTTTGGTTTTTGGCCCATAGATTCTGAAAACTGCCTTTTCCCCTTCATTTTTGAAAACAGGTTATATGGCCCTATCTCCAATATTTAAACTTGTTTTTTGTTTTACATTAGTCCTCAATTGTTATTTACACTGACACTGTTACAAACCTGCACATTTTTAGATGAAGCTTCTGGGGAACATGTAAGCTCATTTAATGCCACCACAATTTTATTGGGCTTTAAATGGAAGCTCTATGATATTTTTTATGATGTTTGTTCTAGATTTTCCAGTTGGAAGGCCATTACTACTTGCTGGAAGATATCAAAGTAAAATAAGTTTGAAATGGTTCAAACTTCTCCCATCTGTTAACATTAATCATCTCACCCATTCAGTGAAACTCTTCCTTTGCTTTTTTTTTTCTTTTTTTCTTTAAACTGAAAGTTTTTTTTTTATTTGTACAAATTTATGGGACACATAGAAATGTTGTTGCATGTATATAATGTGTAGTTTTGAAGTCAGGATATGTAGGGTGTCCATCACCTGAGCCCAATACATTTTTGTTAAGTGTGGTCACCCTACTCTACTATCGAACATTGAATATATTCCTTCTTTCTTACTGTATGGTTGTGAACTTTAACCTACGTCTCCTCAACCTCTCACCTTTCCCCTCCCCACCCTTCCCAGTCTATGTTACCTGTCTTTTCACTTTATCTCCATGTGATCAAATTTTTAAACTCCCAAATAAAAGCGAGAACATATGATATTTGTCTTTTTATACCTGGTTTATTTCACTTAAGATAATGACATCCAGTTCCATTCATGTTGCAGCATATGTCATGATTTCGTTATTTTTATAGTTAAATAGTATTGCATTGGGTAAACACTTTATTTGTTCATCCACTGATGGATATTTAGGTTAAGTCCATGTCTTTGTTATTATGAATGGTGCTGCAATAAACATGGAGATGCAGGTATATTTTGATATATTGATTTCTTTTCCTTTGGGTAGATACCCAATGGTGAGATTGTTGGATCGAATGGTAATTCTATTTTTAGTTTTTTGAGAAATCTCCATATTGTTTTCCATAGTGGCTGTACTAGTGTACATTCCTATCAATAGTTTATGAATTCCCTTTTCTTTGCATCCTTGCCAACATTTGCAATTTTTTTTGTCTTTTTAATAATAGCCATTTTGACTGGGGAGAGAAGGTATCTCATTGTGGTTTTGATTTTCCATTTCTCTAATTAGCAATGTTAAGATTTTTTTTTCTTGTAGCTCTTGGCCATTCATATGCTTTTTGGCCAATTTTTAATGGGACTTGTTTATTGCCTGTTGATATCCTTGTATAGTTCCCTGTCAGATGAAGAGTTTGGAAATATTTTCTCCCATTCAGCAGATTGTCTCTTTACTCTGTTGATTATTTCTTTGTGCAGAAGCTTTTTAGTTTAATTAAGTCTCATTTGTCTATATCTGTATTCTTGAAGTTTTAGTCATAAATTATTTGCCTAGACCAATGTTCAGGAGAGTTTTTCCCTAGTTTATTTCCAGTAGTCTTATCGTTTCAGGTCTTACATTTAAGAATGTAATTCAGTTTGTGTTGATTTTTTTATATGGTTTGAGATAGGGGTCCGTTTTTATTCTTCTCCATGTGGCTATCCAATTTTCCCAGCACCATTTATTGAAGGAGGTGTCCTTTCCCCAATATAAATTCTTGTTAGCTTTGTTGAAGATCAGCTGACCATTAATATGTGGATTTATTTCTGGGCTCTCTCTTCTGTTCCATTGGTCTATGTATCTATTTTAATACCAATGCCATGTTGTTTTAGTTACAATAGCCTTTTAATAGATTTTGAAGTAAGATAGCCTGATGTCTCCAGCCTCGTTCTTTTTGTTCAGAATTCCTTTGGCTATTTGGGCTCTGTTTTGATTCTCTATGAATTTTAAGATTCTTTTATTCTAATTCTGCAAAGAAAGATGTTGGTATTTTGTTAGAGATTGCATTGAATCTGAAGACTGCTTTGGGTAATATGGCCATTTTAACAATATTAATACTTTCTCTCCATGAGCATGGAAAGCTGTTACAATTGTTTGTGTCCTTTTCAGTTTATTTCATCAATATTTTGTTTTTCGTGTAGAAATAATTTATCTTCACTGTTAAGTTTATTCCTAGGTAGCTATTTTCTTGGTAGCTATTGTAAATAGGATTGTCTTGTTGATTTCTTTCTCAGCTAGTCAGTTATTGGTGTCCATAAATGCTACATAGCCTGGGCAACAAAGCAAGATCCCATCTCTCCAATATATATATATTTTTAATGGGCAGGCATGGTGGCATGTGCCTGTAGTCCCAGCTACTTGGGAGCCTGAGGAAGGAGGACTGTTTGAGTCCAGGAGTTTAAGACTGCAGTAAGCTATGACTGTGCCACTGAACTCCAACCTGGGTGACAGAGTGAGACCCTGTCTCAAAAAAATAAAATAAAGTAAAAATAAATAAATGTTACTAATTTTTATACATTGATTTTTTTTTGTCCAGCAACTTTACTGAATTCATTTATCAAATCTGAATTTTCATGGGAACCTTTAAACTTTTGTAGATACACAATCATATTATCAGCAAGGGAGGACAATATTACTTCTTCATTTTCTATTTTCATGCATTTTTTTCCTGATTGCTCTGACTAGGACTTTCAGAACTATATTGAATGTGAGTGGTGAAACTTGGCATCCTTCCCAGTTCCAGTTCTTAGAGGAAAGGCTTTCAGCTTTTCCCCATTCGGTATGAGGTTAGCTGTAGGTTTGCCATTTACAGCCTTTATTATTTTCAGATATGTTTCTTATCTGCTTAGTTTGTTGAGAGCTTTTATTATGAAGGCATTGTGACTTTTATCGAATTCTTTTTCTGTGTCTATTGAGATGATCCTATGGCTTTACACCTTATTCTGTTGATGAGATGTATTATATTTATTGGTTTATGTATGTCAGACCATCTTTGCATCCCTGTTATAAACCTCACTTGATTGTGGCGTATTATCTTTTTGATATGCTGTTGGAATTAGTGTGCTAGTAGTTTGTTGAGGATTTTTGCATTGATGTTCACCAGAGATGTTGGCCTGTAGGTTTTTTCTTTTTTTTCTTTTTTTTTTTTTTTGGTGTGTTCTTCTCTTGTTTTGGTATCAGGTTGCTACCAGTTACTAGAAGCCTCATAGAATGAGTGAGATAGGGAGAATTCTCTCCTTTTCGATGTCTTGGAATATTTTCAGGAGAATTTTTATTAGTTCTTCATACATTTTTGTAGAATTTGGCTGAGAATCCATCTAGTCTTGGGCTTTTCTTTGTTGGGAGATTTTTTGTTACTAATTCAATCTCACTACTTGTTATTGGTCTGTTCTGGTTTTCTGTATCTTCATGATTCAATCTTGGTAGGTAGCAAGTTTTCAGGAATTAATCAGTTTCCTCTAAGTTTTCCAGTTTGTCAGCATATAGTTGTTCATAATAGATTCTTGATAATCTTTTGTATTTCTGTGGTAAGAGTTGTAATTTCTCCATTTTTATTTCTTATATTCTTTATTTAGATATTTTTTCTTATTTTCTTAGTATAGCTAGCACTTTATCAATTCTATCTTTTTGGAGAACCAACCTTTTGTTTTGTTGATTACTTGAATGAATTTTTTAGTCTCTACTTCATGTAGTTCTGTTCTGACCTTTATTATTTCTTTTCTTCTACTAATCTTGAGTTTGGTTTGTTTTTGCTTTTCTATCTCCTTGAGGTGCATTGTTAGATTGCTGATTTGTAACTTTGCTACCTATTTCATGTAGGCATTTATTGCTATAAATTTCTCTCTTAACACGTTTTTGCTGTATCCCATAGGATTTATATGTTGTATTTCCATTTTCATTTGTTTCAAGAAATTTTTTTGTTTTGCCTTGTAATTTCTTCATTTACCCAATGGCCATTCAGAAGTATGTTGTTTATGGATTTGTATAGTTTCCAAATACCCTTTGGTATTTATTTATAGTTTTATTACATTGTGGTCTAAGAAGATACTTGAGATTATTTTGACTTTTAAAATTTGTTGAGACTTGTTTTGCAATATAACATATGGTCTATCCTGGAGAATGATCTACATGCTGATAAAAATAATGTATATTTTACAATTGTTGGATTAAATGTTCTGTAAATGTCTGTTAGGTATATTTGGTCTAAAGTCTAGTTTAAATCCAATATTTATTTGTTAATTTTCTAGTTGATCTGTCTAATGCTGAGAGTGGGGTGTTGCAGTCCCCCACTATTATTATATTGCAGTCTGTTTTCATCATCAGATGCAGTAATATGTGCTTTATGAGTCTGGGTGACTTTAGTGTTGGGTGCATATATATTTATAATTGTTATATATCTTTTTGCTTAATTGATCCCTTTGTCATTATATAATGACCTTCCTTTTCTATGTTTATTGTTCTTGACTTACAATCTGTTTTATCGTGTGTAAGTATAACTACCCCTGCTTAATTTTGTTTTCTGTTTGTGTGGAATATCTTTCTACATTCCTTTACTTTCAGTGTATTTGTGTCTTTACTCATTCATTTCTTGTAAACAGCATATGGTTGGATCATGTTTTTTTTTCTAATGCATCAAGCTATTCTATATCTTTTAAGTCAAGAATTTAATCCGTTTATGTTAACCATTATTATTGATATGTAAGGTTTTGTTCCTTTCATATTTTTAATTGTTTACTGGTTGTTTTATTTATCTTTTGTTCCTTTTTTTTATCTTTTTGTTTGTTCTTGTGGTCTGATGAATTTCTTTAGTGGTACCATTTGAGACCTTTCTCTCTCTCCATTGTGTGATTGTTTTACCAGTGTATTTTATTCTTTTATGTGTTTTCATGATGGTAAATATTGTTCTTTTGCTCCCAGGTTTAAGACTCCCTTGAGCATTTCTTGTATGGTTGTTTTAGTGATAACAAATTCCCTAATTATGTGCTTGTCTGGGAAAGACTTTATTTCTCCATTTGTGAAAGATAATTTCGGTGCATATAGCATTTCTGGCTGCAGGTTTTTTCTTAAAGCACTTTAAATATGTCATCCCAGGTTTCTGCTGAGAAACCCACTGTTTGTCTGATGGGGTTTTCTTTATAGGTGATTAGGCACTTTTTCTGTTTTTAAGATGGGCTCTTTATTTTTGAGTTTTGGCAGGCTGACTATAATGTATCATGGAGAAACCCTTTCTACATTGTATCTTCCTGGGGAATGTTGAGCCTCCTGTATCCAAATGTCTAAATCTCTTGCTAAACCTGGGGCGTTTTCATCTATTATTTTGTGAAATAGATTTTCTAATCCTTTCATTTTCTCTTCACTCTTAAAGATAATGACACTTTGTATATTTGGTTACTTTTGTTGTTCAAATACCATAAAGGCTTTGCTCATTCTCTTTCCTTTATTTTTTATTAAGTGGGTTATTTCAAAAGACCTGTCTTCAAATTTTGAGCCTCTTTCCTCTGTCTGTTATTGAGATCTTCTAATGTCTTTTGCATTTTCTTCAATAAATTATTCAGTTCCATATTTATTTGGTTATTTTAAAAATATGTATTTCTTTGGAAAATTTCTTATTCTTATCCTGATTTTTAAAAATTTCTTCATATTGTTTTTTAGAATTCTCTTGCACCTTACTGAGCTTCTTGGAAATCAATATTTTGAATTGCTTATCTTGAATTTTAAAGATTTCTTTTTTACTAAGATATATTACTGGAAAATAATTGTGTTTCTTTAGAGGTGTCATATTCTCTTGCTTTTTCATGCTTTCTGTGCCCTTACATTGACATTTGCACATCAGATGTAAGAGTTGCTTCTTCCTATTTTTGAATTTACTTTTGTAGTGGAAGACATTTTTCTGAAAATATATCTGTGGTGTTTGTTGGGTAGAGTATTTTTGGCTTTGATCCTGGATGTGTGTAGTAGTGTAGTCTCTGTATGACTTCTTTGGTTGTAAACAGTGTTAGTGTCTTTTGTGATTTACTGGAGGGTTAGGGTGCCGTTGTTAATGGAGGCTGTGGTGAAGTTGTGTGAAGTTGTGCTAGAGACTGGGAAGCCAGGTGGACCAGTCTTCAAGACTCAGTGGAGGCAGCAGTGGACTGATTGTATCAGCTTTTGTGCCCCAGGGTGGTATATGCTGGTACCTGTGTTGGCAGTTACTAGAAGCCCAGTTCTTGGGACTCCAGATGGCTTACTCAGATGCTATTAGCAATAGTTGTGGGCTGAGTGGGTTCTTGGATCCCTGAGCAGCTGGTGTGGTGTGGGCAATGGTAGAAGCAATGGTGTTGCAACCCTCTTGGCTTTGAGTGGTGCCAGCTGCTGTTTGCTCTAGCTGTGGTGTGGGTTCACCCCCCAAAGGTCCAGAAATGCCACTCTTAGGCTCTTTTGCTCTCTGGAGCAGCAGCACCATAGCACCATGCAAAGGGAGTAGGAACCCTACATTCACGTAGAAGCCACACAGAGAGCCCATGCCACCAATAGGGTTGCAATTACAACTCACTGCCCCAGCCTGATAGCTTTCTGGCTCACCCACCCTGGCCTCTGGTGGCAGCAGAAGCCGTTGGGTGGTGGAGGAGGAGGGGACTCATTCTCTGCATGAGAGTCTTCACACAGACAACACTCCACTGGTGGAAGGAAATTTCACTCTTCACTTGCCAAGCCAGGTACAAAGATTGTGCCACTACTGGGGATAAAATCACTTCCCACAGCCCCATACAGGGTGTTCGTAGCTTCTGAAAAGCACATGATTTGGTGTACCAGGGGCTGCTTTTTGGTGTGCTACACTGTCATGTCCTTGGGGCACAGCACTCCTTGTGGGCTAAGGTACTGAGAACCTCAAAGTACCTTTGGGTCCAGCCAGCTCTGTACCACAGTAATCCTCTGAGTGGACACTGGGAAATGTTAGTGTCAGCTACCAGGATGTGGAGATAGAGAGGCTGTTGTCCACAGGACAGAATACAGTTCCATGATGGCTGTGCTCCTAAAATAGTGTTCTGCTGTATTTCTAGGTATTGTATTATTTTTGTGGCAATTGTGAATGAAATGCTTTCCTGATTTGGCTCTCGGTTTTGCTGTTGTTGGTGTATAAGAATGCTAGTGATTTTTGTACATTGATTTTGCTAAATTTGTCAGCTGGAAGAGCTTTTGGGCTGAGACTATGGGGTTTTCTAGATATATGATTATGTCATCTGCAAACAGATAGTATGACTTCCTCTCTTTGTATTTAGATGGGCTTTATTTCTTTCTCTTGGCTGATTGTTCTAGGCAAGACTTCCAATACTATGTTAAATAGGAGTGGTGAGAGAGGGCATTCTTGTCTTGTGCCAGTTTTCCAGGGAAATGCTTCTAGCTTTTGTTCATTCAGTATGATGTTGGCTATGGATTTGTCATATGTGGCTCTTATTATTTTGAGGAATGTTCCTTCAGTACATAGTTTATTGAGTTTTTAACATGAAGATATGTTGAATTTTATTGAAAACTTTTTTTCATCTACTGAGATAATCATGTGTTTTTTGTCTTTAGTTCTGTTTATGAGATAAATCACATTTATTGATTTGCATATGTCGAACCAACCTTGTATCCCAGGGATGAAGCCTACTTTATTGTGGTAGATTAGCTTTTTGATGTGGTGATGGATTCATTTTGCCAGTATTTTGATGAGGATTTTTGCATCAATATTTACCAAGGATATTGGCTTGATGTTTTTTGCTGTTGTGTCTCCACCAGGTTTTGGTATCAGGATGATTCTGGCCTCACAGAATGAGACCAAGAGGAGTCCTTTGTTACCAATTGTTGGAATAATTTCAGTAGGAACGGTACTATCTCTCCTTTGTATTATACATCTGGCAGAATTTGGCTGTGAATGCATCCGGTCCTGGGCTTTTTTTGGTTGGTAGGCTATTTATTATTGGTCCAATTTTGGAGCTTGTTATTGTTCTGTTCAGGAATTTAAATTCTTCCTGGTTCAGTCTTGGGAGGGTTTAAGTGTCCGACAATTTATCCATCTCCTGATTTTCATGTTTTTGGCATAAAAGTATTTCTAGGAGTTTCTGATGGTTATTTTTATTTCTGTGGTAGGGTGGCTGCACTGCTGGCAAGAGCTTGGGGTTCTACTTGTTGAGGAGCAGGTATTCAAAGTGATAACATCCCCTTTGTCATTTCTAATTGTGTTTAGTTGGATATTCTTTCTTTTCTTCTTTATTAGAAGCTAGCAGCCTATCTGTCTTATTTTTATCAATAAAGCAACTCCTGGATTTGTTGATCTTTTGAATAGTTTTTTGTCTCAGTTTTCTTCAATTCAGCTGTGATTTTTGTTATTCCTTATCTTCTGCTAGCTATGGGGTTGGTTTGCTCTTGCTTCTCTATTTCTTTCAGTTGTGATGTTAGGTTGTTAATTTGAGATCTTTCTAACATTTTGATGTGGGTGTTTAGTGCTATGAATTTCCCTCTTAACAGTGCCTTAGCTGTGTCCAACAGATTCTCATATGTTGCATCTTTGTTCTCATTCACTTCAAAGAACTTCTTGATTTGTGCATTAATTTCATGATTTACCCAAAAGTCATTCAGGAGCATGTTATTTAATTTTTATGTAATTGCATGGTTTTGAGTGACTTTCTTGTCTTGATTTCTATTTTTATTCCACTGTGGTCCGAGAGTGTGTTTGGTATCATTTTGGTTCCTCTGTGTTTGCTAAGGATTGTTTTGTGGTCAATTATCTGGTCAATTTTAGAGTATGTGCCATGTGGTGATGAGAACAATATATATTCTGTGTTTTTTGGATGAAGACTTCTGTAGATGTCTGTTAGATACATCTTGTCCAATGTTGAATTCAGGTCTTGCATATCTTTGTAATTTTCTGCTTCAATGATCTGTCTAGTACTGCCAGTGCCGTGTTCAAGTCTCCCACTATTATCTTGTGGGAGTCTATGTCTTTTTGTAGGTCTCTAAGGATGTGCTTTATGAATCTGGGTGCTTCTATGTTGGGTGCACATACATTTAGGATAGTTAGGTCTTCTTGTTTAATATAACCCTTTACCATTAGGTAATGCTCTTTTTTGTCTTTTTTGATCTTTGTTGGTTTAGTCTATTTTGCCTGAAAGTAGGATTGCCATTCCTGCTTTTGTCTGATTTCCGTTTTCTTGGGTTAATTTTCATTTATCTGTTTATTTTGAGCCTATGGGTGTCATTATGTGTAAGATTGGTCTCTTGAAGACAGCATACCATTGGGTCTTGCTTTGTTATCCAGCTTGTCACTCTGCACCTTTTAAGTCTGTTTATATTCAAAGTTAGTCTGTTAGTCTTTTAGTCTGTTTACATTCAAAGTTAGTGTTGATATGTGTGGATTTGATCTTCTTATGGTGCTGTTGTGTTGTTAGCTGGTTACTTTGCCGATTTGTTTATGTGGTTGCTTTATAGTGTCAATGATTTGTGTATTTAAGTGCATTTTTGTATTGGCTGGAAACAGGTTTTTTTTTTTTTTTTCTTCCTGTATTTAGTGCTCTTTTGAAGACCTCTTATAATACAGATCTGGTGGTAACAAACTTCCTCAATACTTGCTTGTCTGAAAACAATCTTATTTCTCCTTTGCTAAGGAAGTTTAGTTTGGCTAGATATGAAATTCTTGATTGAAGAAATTTTTCTTTAAGGGTGTTCAATATAAGCCTCCAATCTCTTCTGGCTTGTAGGGCTTCAGCTGAGAGGTCTACTGTTAGCCTGATGGGGTTTCCTTTGTAGGTGACCTTCCCTTTTTTTCTGTCTGCCTTTAACATTCTTTCATTTCTACCTTGGAAAATCTGATGATTATATGTCTTGGGGATGATCTCCTCATGTAGGATCTTGCAAGGGATCTCTGTATTTCCTGAATTTGACTGTTGGCCTCTCTATTAAGGTTGGAACATTTTCATATACATTATCCTAAAATATGTTTTTCAAGTTGTTTGCTCTCCCTCCCTTTCAGGAATGCCAAAGTTTAGTAGATTTAGCCTCTTTACGTAATCTCATGTTTCTTGGAGGTTTTGTTTATTCCTTTTCATTCTTTGTCTTTTATTTTTGTCTGACTCTTATTTCAGAAAGCCAGTCTTCAGGTTTTGAAATTCGTTCCTCAGCATGGTTTATTCTACTGTTAATACTTGTTATTGCATTGTGAAATCCTTGTATTGTGTTTGTCAGCTTTGTCAGATTCATTAGGTTGTTTTTTATATTGGCTATTTTATCTTTCAGTTCCTGTATTATTTTATTGTGATTCTTAGTTTTTTTGGATTGGGTTTTTCCATTCTGCTGAATCTCAATTATCTTTGTTCCTATCCATATACTGAATTCTGTTTCTGTAATTTCAGCCAACTCAGCCCAGGTAAGATTCCTTGCTGGAGAACTAGTGTGATTGTTTGGAGGGCATAAGACATTCTGGCCATTTGAGTGACTGTAGCTCTTGCACTGGTTCTTTCTTATTTCTGCTTGTGGGTGTTCTTTTAACTGCAGTGTAAATTGAGTGCAGCTAATAGACATCTGGATGTTTTCATTTGGCTGAGGCTTTGTGCAGGGTCTTTGTTTGAAGCTGATTTCTTGTCTCTAGTTTCACAGGTTGGCGTGTTGGC